>NW_011332701.1:1079711-1764110 GCF_000001405.40 Homo sapiens
GAATTCTCATGAACACTCCTCAATTTGGAGAGAGAGGGACTGTGATGAGGGGGGTTGAGATGGTACCCAGAGCCTGATGGCCCTCACCAGCTTCAGGAGAAACCTGCTCCCCTCCAGGGCTCCTTCCTAGGGTCCGGCTTGCACTGCATTCTGGGAGAATCCTGTAGCCCCATCTTCCCTTTACCCATTGGCCGTTTAATGGTATCCCATTCTCACATTTAGCCTTTTGAATGAATCAACCACCATATTAAAAAATTAATAGATTTAATTTTTTTTTCAGCAGTTTTAGGTTTATGGAGAAATTGAGCAGAAAGTTTAGGGAGTTCTCCTGTACACCCTCACCCCATTTCCCCTGTTTCCTCATTATTAACATCTTACATTGGTGTGGTACATTCGTTACCATTGATGGGGCAGTATTATTATTAACTGGAGCCCATAGTTAAAACATATTGGGGTTCACTCTTCATGTTGTATATTTTATGAGTTTTGACAAATGGGGAATGACTCAGCTACCATGTCTTTGTTTTAGTAGATCGTTAGTTGCTTTTTGTCTTATTAGCTGACTCTTGTTTTGAGGAGAACTTTTTGTCACATCCTTTTGCACCCCGGCTTACTGTGGCGTGGGGCAGGGGTACTGGGGGCCAGCTGGTCTCTGGGGAGCAGCACTCACTGCATCCTGCCCCCGCCCCATTCTGCTCCTTTCTGGTCTCAGCAGCCTCCCTTGCTCCTTTCACCTGCCTACCCCAGCTCAGCTGCCTGCTGCTTAGATGCCACTGTGGGGCAAGGAAGCTGCCCCCAGTCGGTCCCCGAGGATTCTGCCCAGATAGGGATAAGAATCACCGCGAGTGTTTGCTGAGCACTTGGGAGGCATAGGCTCGGCGGGAAGGGAAGGCCTGCAGGCTGAGGTGGTCTGCTTTGAGTTTTGCAGCGTTGCCTGCGGTCTCCGTGGGTGAGGGAAAAGGCACAGGGAGGTGCAGAAGCGTTCCTGGCGCCACGGAGCCGGTCAGTGACAGAGCCGGGTCTCAACCCAGGCCACTGCCCTCGGCAGCCAAGCCCCTTCTTTATTTTGGAATGGCCACCTGGCCAACTGGCACACAGGGAGAACTCATGAAAGGAGGCGTGGCTCACTCCTGAAGGGAGAGGGACACAGGAGCAGCCTTGATGCGCAACGCCCCCTCCAGGCCCCGAGTCCCTGTCCTTGGAGGAAGCAGGACTCCCAGGTGGGAGAGGTGAAGCAGATGGCTTCCCCCACTGCAAGGAGGAATCCCGGTGCTCTTCTCCACCAGCCTTCCCTTTGGTCGCCCCCTGGCGTCCGCGTCATTGTGGGAACACTCGGGCGGGATGTATTTTAAAGGAGTGCCTGATGCGTGTGGGTGTGGTGGGGTTGGGGGTGGGGGTGGGGCTGGGGGTGGTTGCAGCGGGGCCTATGCAGGATCCCGGTTGGAGGGGGCTGCAGAGGCTACTGCTGGGCCTGGTGTCGCCATGGCAGCTGGAGAGCGGGCGACCGGTCGCTTGGCGTCCTGCTTGGGGTTGTTGCCCACATCACCGAGCGAACGTTCCTGTCCCGCCCACTCACTGCGAGGCTGGGCAGGGCCGCTTGCCAGTTAATTGTGGGGATTATTATTTTTTTTTTTTTGTAGACGGAGTCGCGCTCTGTCTCCCAGGCTGGAGTGCAGTGGCGCTATCTTGGCTCACTGCAAGCTCCGCCTCCAGGGTTCACGCCATTCTCCTGCCTCAGCCTCCGGAGTAGCTGGGACTACAGGCGCCCGCCACCACGCCCGGCTAATTTTTTGCGTTTTTTAGTAGAAACGAGGTTTCACCATGTTAGCAAAGATGGTCTCAATCTCCTGACCTCGTGATCCGCCCACCTAGGCCTCCCAAAATGTTGGGATTACAGGCGTGAGCCACTGCGCCCGGCCGGTTGTGGGGATTATCTGAGAGTTGCTGGAGTGTTCTGCACTTCCTTGCGAACCTTTTACCTGGGTGGGCAGGGGGAGAGGCCGAGTCAAGGGAAGGAGGCAGGATGCCACACACGCCCTGCAGGGAGAGTCATCTGCTGGGCACTGCGACACACAGAAAGCCAGGAGCCTGAGCCCCGCCCGCGGTTGTTGAACGGAGGGAGAATGAACAACCGCTGACTTCCTGGTTCCTGGGTGCCGCATCACTGCCCCTCTGCTCCGGGTCAAACCGGCTGTATGCTTAGCTTCAGGAACATGTGGCAGGTGGCAGCCCCCGGCCCCGTGGCAGGTAACGGTGGTTTTGCAGTGTGGCGTGCTGTGGGGGCCGGCAGGGGCACAGCTGGGCAGGCCAGGCTTTCTCTGGCTCAGTATGCAGGGCTGGTTCTTCCCAGAGGAGGCAGAGGTCAGGGAGGAGCTCTTTCCCTGTGTCTCCTGAACAGCTTCATCAGCACACCCTGCAGCGGGGACTCAGTGAGCATCCTGCAGCTGTCTTGTCCCAGAAGGGCTGTGTACTTTTGGCCCTGAGGGCAACCTCTGCATTTCCTTTCTGGGGGCTCCCAGATGAGCCCCGCTCCCCCAGGTCATCCTGATCCATATTGATGTGATAACCCCCTCCTCAGTCCGAAACATCTGGAGGCCCCGTTTGTCCGTGGGATAAGAATGGGCTTGAGCATGGCTGTGGGTGCTCCGTGTGGCGACAGTGGCATGTTCTGTGGCAGCTTGCTTCCTCTGTAGCCCGATGTCTTTGACTCCCAGCCCGATGCTCCCTCCTCACCCAGCAGAGGCCCCTCCTCGGCCTTTGCATTTGCTTTCATTTATCTTCCTTCTTTAAGGCTGCTTTTGAGGGTTTACTGGCCAGCAGCATCATGTGCAGTCTATAAACTGTGTGCCCTCTCGGGGCCAGGTAGGAGCCTGAGAGGGAATGGGAGAAGTGGTCACGAATGATTGTGAGGACTGCAGAAAGAAGACAGGGCTGAGAAGAGTGTGATTTCCCCTAGAATTCAGAGATGCCTGCACCAGCTGGGTTTTGAAGAATGAATAGGAGTTTGCCAGGAAGATTCTAGAGGAACAACAGCAACAAAAAGATTTAAACATGGGCACAGAAGAGGTGAGGCACAGATGGCACAGGGATTTGGGGTGTGATGGGGCAAGGAAGCCATGGGCAGGGTCTAGGCCCAGGACCTCAGGTGCTTTGCATGCCATGACTTGGAGGCAATGGCCTTGTCATGCAGAACTGTGCCTCCCTGGGCCCCATTAGAGTCCCTGGCTCTTGGTGTGCCTTTCATGCCCACACCACGGTAGGAGCAGGCAGGTGGGGTTTGGCCTGGGTTTCCCCAAAATGGACACTACTCCTTCTTGTGCTTCAGTATCAGAGTGGGCCCGTGGAGTGGGAATAAATGTTTGGGTTTAGGAGGCCTCCAGCTGGGTGGCCTGCTCCCAGGCAGGAAACACAGATTAGAGGAAGTATCAAGTTGGAAGGCAGCAGCCGTGGATGTTAAAGCTGGAGGAACCTCTTAAGGAATGGCTGTCAGCTCCCTCGTTTGGTGTGGTAGGAAGATGAGGGTGAGAGGGGTTGGGAGCAGGTGCTGGAGCTGGAGCCTGAACCCCCATATCTCAGTGCTGCCATCATCCTTCATAATAAGGAAACTGAGGCACAGGCAGGTTACATAGTCTTCTCAGGATGTCAGTGGCAGAGCTAGGACGTCTATCTCTGCAGCTCAGTTCTGTGCGAAGTCCAGGCAGATGGTGCTGATCAGTAAGGGGTGCTGGCTGAGCGCTGATGGCCACCTGCATCTCAAGGAGAAACAGTGTCACTGGCTAATCTGATGGCTTCTCTGGGCACCAGCACGTGGGCACCATCACCCTTTCTCTGCAGGGGGTTTGTTTAGTGTATTTGGTAGAACATCCCCCAGCCTACTAGGTGTGGCATGCTCTATGCCACAAGCTCTGTATCTCAGGCAGCATTTTGTACTTTGAAAAAACAAGTTGGGAACAGAACCCTGATGAATGTGTTTCATTTCCTGTCAGAGCAAATGAAACCTGAAATATTAATGGCACGAGATTTCCCTTATCTTCCTACAAAATCTTCCTACATTGAAAAATGTACTCCCCACAAGCTTAGCATGCAGCTCTGCTACCTGTGGCCCGAAATCATTAGTTGTCCATACTCACTGACCTTTGGAAATAAACACGAAGGTTCACTTGAAGACTTGGGGGAGAATCACGGTCAACTTGTGACGCTTGGTTTTTCAGATATTCAGCTGCTCTGGAGAGCCTTGGAGTTCCAGCTGCTCTAGAGGTTCTGGGGAGGGAGCTGTTAGCCTCCCATATGAGCGTGTGGCCCATCGTTGCCATCCACACCTGCCCCTCTGTGGGTGAATAAGTGGTTTCCTTTCTCAGCTGGTTGACGCTTCATTTGTTTGTGTTCTTTTTCTTTACAGTCTCCTGAATATTTACGCGTTGCTGAATCTCCTGTGGACAAACCACCAATAGGCCAGGACTGTCCTGTGGACAGACGGGGTGAGCCTCTTCTTGTGTCTGGAGATTCTGAGTGAGTAGAACCCGTTATGATCCCCACTGCACTTAATGTGGCATTCATGAATGAGTCTGGGCTGATGTGCTAATTGGGGGCCGTAAGAAGAGTTATAGCCACGATGGCCCTCACCTTTCTCTAATAAAAGCTTAAACACAGCTACGGTAAATATTTTTGCTTTCTGCTTTCACAAACTTCACATACGCTTACATTTATTTTGAGGCGAAAGGGGAAGAACAGACATTTACAGGGGACCAGTTGCTAGGAGAAGACTGTGCATTCCCTGTAACCCTGTCAGTCTCACCTCGGAGATCCTGTCCCTGGAGTGCCCCAGGTCCCTTTTCCCAGCTGCACTGAGTGCCTCTGTCCTCCTGGTGGAGCTGTGCTGCTTTCTTGGGCAGCCTCCCTTCCCCATGGGGTGCACATAGGCTGGGGGCATCCCGGTGGTCAGTTCTTCCCAGGGACCCAGGAGGAGGGGCTGGCAGAAAGTGGGCAGGTTCTTTCCGCTCGACCTGGCAATAACAATTCCTAAATTGCTCAGCACCCCAGGCTGCTTGCCTTGACCCAGGTAGCCAGTCCCAGGCACCACCAGTGTGGGCAGGGCCCTCCCCAGGGGCAGCAGCAGGGCAGCCCAAGACACTGGTGGCCACCACAGTTAGTCCCCACAAGGCGATTGTGCAGGACATGTTCTCGAGCTGCCTGCAGGGTCTGGTTGTGGGAGCAGCTCAGCCCCTCCTGCAGAGGTGGGAGCATCTTCTACAGCCAGCCATTGTCCCGCAGGAGCTCTGTGCCCAGTGGAATATCTCAGTGCAGTGCACAATGGGGCCACAGCTGTGTCACAGCCATGCTCTGTCCTTTAGTGGGCCGTCTGAGCCACATTCCACCTGCCTGTTCTGACACACTGCTCTCCCTCGATGACCCTGCTCCCACTGGCCTCCCCATGGTTTCGATCTGTAACCCAGACCCTGTTCCCAGGAGCTGGCTCAGCACCATCCTGCTCCACACCCTCTCTCAGGAGACATCCTAACCTGCCCAGCCTGTCCTGTTCCTGCCTCTCAACCCAGAACACTGCAGGTCCTTCAGGTATTCGGTGAGACCTTAGAAGCAGGCACAGCAGGATTTATCCCACATGCACCATGCACCGTGCTGAGGAAGCCACGGTCACTCCCCTAATGGTCACTAGAGGTGAGAGAACTGAGGTTGTTGCCCATGTGGTAGAACTGGAATTCAGGGCCTCAGCCACACCTCAGTCACCACACCACGCCCTGTGCAGGACGCTGGGGAAACCAGGCAGCTAGGACTGGCCTGTGCCTTGGAATGCTTACTCAGACCACCCATCCTTGTCCCCTTTGCACCTCAAAGGCTTGGTCTACTTTTCAGACACAGTTTTTATATTGTCAGCCTGATACATATGCATATTTTAAGATGTCAAAGAGTTTTATAAGTTTTATGAAAAAAATAGCAGACCCCTGGCCTCCCAGACCATCTCCCCACCGCCCCTGCCCTGCCCACTCCCCATAGATTACCACTTCCAGCTCTTATTGCTTCTTCCTCTGGATTTATCTCCACATTTGTAAAGAATATGGGCACGCTGCTATTTCTTAGTCTTCTGTTGTGGTCAAGATGGTTGAACTCGTAGATTTCCCTCCTGAGAGCTGCTCCATCTAACCCTAACCCTAACTCTGATATATAGAGTTATGTCATCATTTAGGTGAACCCTTATGCAGTGTGTATCAGTCAGGATAGGCTGCCTCATGATGCAGGAACAAGCATCCCCAGACCTGAGAGAGTTCCGTTTCTCTAGCCTCCTGCCCTGGGGGTGGGTGCTGAGTCTGGGGGAGGTGTGGGGTGGGGGGAGGGGCCTCAGCGCTCAGCAGACAGGTGCTCACTGGTGTCACCATGTTCCCTGCCCTCTTCTCATATGGAACACGTGGTGCCCTTTTGCCAGGGCATCCCTGCTCAGGGGTCAGGATAGTCCTCCTCTGAGTGGCTGGGAGTCTGACTGCTCCCTGTTTAGACTATTGAGTAGCCCCCTGCTTTCTGCCTCACTCCCTTTTTGTGCTGGTGTCTCAGTGCTTGGGCCTTTTGGGGTTTTAGAGGTGGGCCGTGAGGCTGGGCATGAAAAGGCTTCTCTGCCTCCACCGCCCCCCCGGGGCTCCTCATCCCTGTGCTGCCTCAGCACTTCGTCTGGCAAGATTTGCAGGTGCAGTTTTCATTTCTCATTCTTTGTTGGTTTTGAGTGATTTCAAGAGAAGATGCAGAAAGGCTGTGACCCCACCTCTAAAAGCCAGCGGTCAACCTGGCCACCCTTAAGCCTGTTCTAGTGGGCCCCCTGCCCCGTTGCCCTGCTGTGACAGTGTCCCACGAGGACAGACTCAACACAGGACTTCAGTCCTTGCCTTCCCGAGTGCTGGCAGCCCTGGTGCTGTTGCTTTCCCTCTCCCCTCCTTGTTCTCAACCTCAGGAGGAAAATGCCCAGTTTCTCATGATGAGATATGATGTCATCTGTAGGTTTTTTTTTTAAAAAAGTGGGTAAAATTCATATAACATTAGCCATTAACCAGTTGAAAGTGTGTAATTCAGTAACATGTAGTGCATTTGCAGTGTTGGGCACCCACTATCTGTGTCTAGTTCCAACAAGTTTTCTTCATCCCAGAGAGGAACTCTCCATTAAGCAGTCACTCCCCAGCCTCCCTACCCCAGTCTCTGGCAACCCCAATCTGCTTTCTGTCTCCATGGACTTACATATTCTGAATGTTTCCCATAAATTAGACATCATATAATTTGTGACCTTTTCTTTCTGGCTTCTTTGGCTTAGCATGAAGTTTATGTGGATGACCCATGTTGCAACATGTGTCAGAACTTCAGTCCTTTCTAAGGCTGAACAATATTGCATTCTGCAGATACACCACATTTGTTTGTGCCTTCATTTGATGGGCGTTTGGGTAGTTTCCACCTTTTGACTGTCAGGAATAATGCAGCTGTGAGTGTGTGTGGATAGTGTTAGATTCGGTATCTGTTTTCAACTCTTTTGTGTATGTATTTAGGAGTGGAATTGTTGCGTTCTGTGGTGACTCTGTTTCACTTTTCCAGGAACTGCCAAACTGTTTTCCACCACAGCTGCACCGTTTTACATTCCCGCCAGCACTGAATGAGGATTCTCATTTTCCCCCATCCTAGCCAACACTTGTTAGTTTCTGTTTTTTGTTTCTTTGTTTCATGATGGCCAGTCTATGGGTGGGAAGTGGGGTCTGACTGTTTATTGGCATTTCCTGAATAGGTTTTTTGGTAGATGTTCTTTATCAAGCTGAAGATGGTCTCTGCCTCATTTAGTGAGTGGTTTTTAATCAGAAATGGTTGTTGGATTTTTGTCAGATGCTTTTTCTGCATCAATTGATCTGATCATATGATTTTGTCTCTTTAGTCTGTTGATGTGGTAGATTATATCCATTGATTTTTCTAATGTTGAACCAACATTGCAGCCTTGGAAAAAATACCACTTGGTTGTAGTGTATAATTCTTTTTAAACGTTGTTAGATTTGATTTGCTAATAATTTGTTGTGGATTTTTAAGTTGTTTGCTCCTGAGAGGCAGTGGTATGTCATTTTCTTATAATTTCTTTGGTTTTGATGTTAGGATAATTCCAGCTTCATAAAGTGAGGAAGTGTTTCTTCTTTTCCAATTTCTGGAATAGGTTGTAAAGAATTGGTGTAATTTCTCCCTTAAATGTTTGGTAGAATTCACCAGTGAAATCTATCTTCCTTTTACTGATTTTTAGTTTAATTCTATTGTAGTCTGAGAACATATTTTTATGATTTCTATTTTTAAAATACTTGTTAAGGTGTACTTCATAGCTCAGAATGTGGTCTATCTTTGTGAATGTTCTGTGCAAGCTTGAGAAGAATGTGTATTTTGCTGTAGTTGGATGGAATATTCTATAAATGTCAATTCTGTTGAGTTGATTTATGATGCTATTCAAGTGAACTGTCCTTGTTGATTTTCTGTCTGCTTGTTCTATCAATTACTGACAGGTCTTGAAGTCTCCACTTATAATAGTGGATTTACCAATTTCTCATTTAGAATTAAAATTCTCTCAGATTTTGCCCCATATATTTCAATTATCTGTTGTTAGGTGCATAGCCTTTAAGGATTGTAACATCCTCTTAAAAATTGATTTTTCTCTCATTATGTAATGTCGCCTCTTTATCCCTGATAATTTTCCTTGGTTGGTAGTCTGCTTTGTCTGAAATTAATAATGGTACTCCAACTTACTTTGATTAGAGTTAGCATGGTATACCTTTCTCTATCCCTTTACTTTTAACCTACCAGTGTCTCTGCATTTAAAGTAGATATCTTGTAGATAGCATAGAGTTGAGACTTGTGTTTTTTATCCACTCTGAAAATCTCTGTTTCAATGGGTGTGTTTTGATCATTCACATTTAAATGATTATTGAGGTACTTAGATTAATATCAAACTTTTTAGTAACTGTCTTCTGTACTTGCCAGAGACTTCTTTTTCTCTCTCCTCTGGTTTCAATGGACCATTTTATGTGATGCCATTTTATCTCCTTTCATAGTGTATCACTCATACTTCTTTTTAAAAGTTTTACAATATATGTTTACAATATGTATTTCAAAATAATCTAAGCCCACCTTCAAATAACACTATACCTCCTCCCATTTAGTACAACTACCTTATAACAGAATACTCCCAAATCCTCCTTCCTGTCCCTTGTGACATTGCTGTTAATTATTTCAATTATCCATATGTCATAATCATACAGTATATCGTTACCATTATTGCAGTAAATAAATTTATTTTTATATCAAATAAGAGTAAGGAAAATAGAAAATTTTATTTCACTGTCATTTATTCCTTTTTGAATACCTCTTTTTTATGTAGATCCAAGTTTTCAACCTATATAATTTTTCTTCTGTATGAAGAAAAATCTTTTAACGTTTATTTCAGGGTATATATTGCCAGTAATGAATTCCCTTGGTTTTGTTTGCCTGATAAACTATTTCTCCTTCATTTTTGAAGGATACTTTTTCTGAACATAGAATGCTAGGTTGGTGGTTTCTTCTTTCAAAATTTTAAGGATTTCACTCCACTCTCTCTCTCTCTCTTTTTTTTTTTTTTTTTGAGACAGAGTCTCGCTCTGTTGCCCAGGCTGGAGTGCAGTGGTGCTATCTCGGCTCACTGCAAGCTCTGCCTCCCGGGTTCATGCCATTCTCCTGCCTCAGCCTCCTGAGTAGCTGAGATTACAGGCGCCAGCCACCATGCCTGGCTAATTTTTGTATTTTTAGCAGAGATGGGGTTTTACCATGTTGTCCGTGGCTGGTCTCGAACTCCTGACCTCAAATCATCTGCCTGCCTCAGCCTCCCCAAGTGCTGGGATTACAGACGTGAGCCACCGCACCTGGCCTATCCACCCTCTTCTTCCTTTACTGGTTTCTGATGAGAAGTGGGCTGTAATTCTTATCTTTACCCCTCTATAGATAAGGTGTTTCCCTACCCCGCTGGTCATTTGCCTTAGTCATTTTCTCTGTCTTTGGTTTTCTGTAGTTCAAATATGGTGTGCCTAGGTGTAGGGTATTTTGCTTTTTGTTTTTTTTTTGTTTTGTTTTGTTCTTAGTATTTACTCTATTTGGTGTTCTTTGAGCCTCCATGGTCTGTGGCTTGGATCTGTCATTAATTTTGAAAATATTTTGGCCATCATTACCTCAAATGATTTTCTTCTCCATTGTCTCTTTTGTTCCCTTTTGGTATTCCAGTTACACGTGTAACATCTTTGATGTTGTTCCACAGTTCTTGGATACTTTGTTCTGTTCCCCTCCCCAACCCATTATTATTATTTTTTTATTTTTATTTTTTTGTAGAGGTGGGACTTTGCCATGTTGCCCAGGCTGATCTTCAACTTGTGAGCTCAGGTGATCCCCCCGCCTCAGCCTCCCAAAGTGCTGGGATTACAGGCATGAGCCGCTGTGCCCGGTCTTCCCACCATTCTTTGTGTGCATGTGTGTTTCATTTTGAGAAGTTCTTGTTGACCTGTCTTCAGGCTGATTATTTTCAGCCATGTTGATGAGCCCGTCAAAGGCATTCTTCATTTCTGTTAATAGGTTCCTTTTGGGCTGGGCGCGGTGGCTCACACCTGTAATCCCAGCACTTTGGGAGGCCGAGGCGGGCGGATCACCTGAGGTCGGGTGTTTGAGACCAATCTGACCAACATGGAGAAACCCCTGTCTCTATTAAAAATACAAAATTAGCCAGGCGTGATGGCGGGCACCTGTAGTCCCAGCTACTCGAGAGGCTGGGGCAGGAGAATGACGTGAACCTGGGAGGCGGAACTTGCAGTGAGCCGAGATCACTCCACTGTACTCCAGCCTGGGCAACAGAGCGAGACTCCATCTAAAAAAAAAAAAAAAAAAGAAACATGTTGTCCTTTTTGTCTTCTAGCATGCCTTGTAAGTTATTTGAAGCTAGATATGATGTATAGGGTGATGGGAACTGAGGTAAACAGGCCTTTAACGTGAGGTTTTCTGTTAATCTGGCTATGGGCTACGTGTAATGTTTGTTGTAGCTGTGAGTGCCGGCGTATTCCGATCCTTGCAGTGCCCTTGTTTTTGTCCTCTGGCTCTGGGCTTCCCTAAATTCCCTTCCTCAGACAGAGTGAGTGTCGTGCAGCTCTCCCAGCTTTCACCTGCTGTTGTACACTGGAGTCCTGTTGGTGTAGTTGTAGGGTGTGGGGAGGGCCAGCGGTCTATAGTCTTCTGATTACATCTCAGTCTTTCTGTGGTCCCATTTCCCTGGGCTGTGACTGTCACAGATGTTTCTTCTTATATAGCTTTTCCAGACCCCAAACAGGAGGCCAGAGGGGGCTGGACTCAGGAATGCCCTTCCTCCGTGGCTTTGCAACAAGGTTCTGGTAAAGTCTTTCCCTGCGGGGAGCAGGCCTTTGTCCTAGAGAAGGCTCTGGATGCATTTCACCAGGATGACGTTTGTCCTCCCTCTGCCAGAGTCACCAGGAGATGTCTCTTGGGTTTTCATGGTGAGAACCTAGTAGGGATCCTGGAGGAAAAGCCCATGAAAGTTTTGGGCCCCCCTAAGACTGTGGCTTCTAGGAGTTTCTCAGTCATGGGAGTCCACCCTTGGCCTGCAGCAATTTGTCAGAATTACCCAAACTACTGTGGTATGGCCCTGGAGGCTCTGTTCCAGGTCAGTGGATCTTTGGATTTGGCTGTGTCTCTAGATTTCAGGGGGGCGGGTTGCAAACTCAATTCACTGATGAGTCCAAAGAAGGTCATTGATTTTCAGTTTGTGCACCATTTTCTAGTCATGAGGATGGGAGTGATGACTTCCAAGTTCTTTACGTGTTGGAGCGGAAACTCCAATCCTTCCCCTGCTTTGATTTTCCTGTTACCCTAACCGGGAATCATGTTTGTTATTTGATGGTTTACTCAGTTGTCATCTGTCTTCCTAATTAGGACATAAGCTCCAGGGAACTGGAGTGTCAGTGTTCCCTTGCGTCCTTGCACCCACAAGACAGCCTGGCACATTCTGAATGAATACACCGAAAGGGATAAATAACGAGGCCAAGCCACCTGGCTATGGGTGGCTGCTAATCCGTAGGATTTCTCGTGCCTTGTGGTTTCAGTGAATTTGCGACACACATGAGTGATGCTGCCAATGGGAGGCTCCCAGATGTCCTCAACAAATAGAGGAGTGACCACTCAGATCCAAGGGTGTAGCACTTCCCGCCTATCACTGGGAGCTGATGGGCTGTCTTTAGCATGGCACTTTGTATGGTGCTGGCGCCCAGGCTTCCCTGGGGCAACAGCGTTGGCCCAGGCGACACACAAGAAGAAGGGGGTTTTTCTGTGGTCACTTCCGCGTTGCTAGTTGTTTTGCCCTCTTACTGTGGCTAAACCTTCTGTCCATACCTGTCCCCCATTCTCAGTATTTGGCTTTTCGGATTGCAGTAGTGGGACTTGGGTGCACATTGCAATAAACCAATTTGCCCCCATTATCCATGTCTTGTTGATGGTCCCACTGCCAGCATCAGTTCTTATGAACAGATTTCTAAACCATCACCATCTGTTCTGCTCTTAATTTCAAGTGTAAAAAGTATTACTTTCCTAATTCCGTCAAGGGGAGGGAGAATATGTATTCCTAAAGACCACAGTTCTTGTATGAGGAAGTGTAGATCTGCCACCCACCTACTAAAGGAAAGGTTGCTTCTGCCCATCCTCAAAGCTGTTGAGCAGTTATTTACCTAGAGGGTAAAACTGGCCCATTCGCATCTCTATAAAAACAGGTAGGAAAAGGTGGAAGGAGCTGAGTTGGGGAGGTGGAAGGGGGGCAAAAGCTATGTCTCCCGTCCCTCCCTGACAGTGCAGCCCCCCAACCCTCCAGCCCCCGCCAGTATAGGTGGGAATGGGCTGGCAGGGCTGCATTGTGGTGGTCCCTGCTGCTGCTAGGGCTGTTTCCAGAAGAAGGCCCAGTTTCAGGCTTGACTTCCCCTCAGAAGTCATAAGGACCATAAGGTCCATCTGGGTGGGCGCTGAGCTCTCCACGATGGGAGCAGGATAGACATGAGCATCTTCACCCTCGTGGTCCCTCTGAGCCTGCCCTGGGGGTGAGCTCTTTTTCTGCTCAAATGAACATTCCAGGCAGGCCCTGGAGCTTTCTGTCGTTCTAAGGCAATAGAAGGTTCTTTGGTTACTTTCAGTCCCAGGAACATTGTTGGTCAGTCATGAAAAGGAGTAATTATAGACTCTTTGGAGCTTCTCCCACCCGGCTGGAGCCTGACCTGTCTTGGAGCCGGCTGGGGAGGGAGGGCTGTGTGTCTCCTTCTTTCTTTCTTTGCCTCTGTTTTTGCTGGCCAGGGAGTGTTCCGAGGGATGGAGTGTCTGGGGAGAGGGCATTCTCTCCACAAGTGGGCTGGGTGGCACTTCTGGGGTCCAGCAGATGTTTCACTTGGACTTCCTGTCTCCAGTGACCCTCGGGTAGGTTTCTTAGAGATGACCCTGCTGGGAACTTGCAGCTCTTCCCTGCGACCTGTGGGAGGCCTTGCTGGGCTGATGCCCTTGACTGCTCTCCCTATCCTCCACCATGCCCCTCGGGAGTGCTCCTGGGCTGTTCCTTCAAGGCGGCCCCAGGCTGGCCCCACACTGGTGGGAGCAGCAGGCAGCTCCTCCTTGGGCAGCTCCTCCTCTTCCCCTGTGAGGCAGCTCTGGTCATGGCCTCCTGCCTCTGGATTCTCAGGAAACTCGGGTGCCGCGTCCGCAGACATTGGGGACTCGGTACAGCTATCCTAGGGGTCTGCTAGAAGCCCTGTTTGGGAATCATGGTGAAGCCACCTCCCCAGCCCCCTCCATGAGGCACAGCCCTTCACGGAAAGTCCCTGCTCCTCTTCTGGTACCCCGTAGGCCAGAAACCATGCTGGGGTGGGGAGCTGGGAGCATCTGTTGATGTGGGATGCAGGCGTGCTTGTCACCTCTCCTGGCCCTCAGGGCAGCAGGACAGCTTACATGAACATCTCATCCCGCTGCTGGTGGCCTCTGGTGAGAGACTACTCCAGTCGGTCCCCCTGTAGCTCCTGGATCTTAGCGGGGGCCTGGGAATGGGAGGCCACAAGGAGGTTCCAGAGCTAACTAAAGCCGCTGAGACTCAGAGGGAGTCTCACGCCACTGCCTCCTGTGCCCCCATCCCCTAGCAAAGTGGGACTGATGAGGGATGACCTTGCGTCCTTCTCCCCTGTTCACTGGGACCTGGTGCTGTTGCCACCGTGGGCCCAAACATCCACTGCCCTTTTAGCAAGGCAGCGCTGCTCCATAGGGTCCAGCCGGGGAAGCATCTGGCTTTGCACAGGTGGAAGATCATGACTATTTCCAGAGTCTGTTGCCAGGCTCCATGTAGTTCAGGAGTTGTTTCTCCCTCTGAGAGTCCAAAGTGGTTGTTTTCCGGAGTTTGGCAGTACCTAAGGGTTAATTGGGATGTTATTGTCTGCATTTGGCTTAGAGATAGGAAAGTTTTATGTTTATTCAAATTATCAGTAATTTAAAATTACAATTTTAGTCTTAATTGTACGTATTTGGAGATCCCATTTAAGTCTTTGGAAATAATTGCAGAGTAATATTTTGGGAAGTTATATTACAATGCACAGACGTTCAAGTGGAGAAAGGTCCCTGCGTGTGAGCCTTGGCCTGGCAGAGGGGCATCCAGGACAGGATCTACAGCACACAGCCCTCCCAACTGGGTCTGGGCATGGCTGCAGCTGAGTCTAGCCCTCCTTTCTGTGCTGCTGCATCCCAGGGGATACGGCCACACAGGCCACAGTTGCCTAGACCGACCTGGTGTCAGGATCACTGTCTCTGCTTTGGTAAGATGTCCTTGGGAGGGGAAGGGAGCCAGCCAATGAGATGAGGGGTAGGAGGGTGACAGGGTGGAGCAGACCCTCATGCTGGCAGAAGAGAGGTTCACATTCACCAGGGAGCAGGTTTTTCTGAACCCTGGAGAGCTGAGGGGGGCACCTGGAGCACCCCTGCAGTCCACAGCATGGGGTGCTGGCTTCTGTACTGTAGTGCAGTGCCATGAGGTACCCATCCCTTGCAGTGGGGTAGGGTTTAAAACCCAGAAGGCAGCCCTCCCTGGAGCACAGCCCCATGGTGTTTAGAGACCCTCTCCTCTGAGCACATGCAGGATGTGACAATGCAGGTGGGCCTAGTGCTGCAGTCTCAGAGACACCCATGGGCTTCTGCCATGCTTTTTATCCACCAGGGCAGTAAAAGCAACGTCCACAGTGGCTTAGCCTCCTGCAAAGCCTGTGGCAGGACAGCCAGGGTTCCCTGACAGTGGAGATGGTGGACGGCCCCATAGGGGGTTGGTCCCATCTCGCCAGCAGAAGTGACCTGTGTGGCCTTAGTGGTCAGTGCTGCCTATTGTGATAGTGGATTGTTTAAAGCCAGGTCCCATCGTGGCTCCTGAGGGAATGAAAATGAGGGGTTCTTTGCTGTGATCTGATGCTTGTGTTCCACCAAATCCATATTTTGGAATTCTTATCCCCAAAGTGATGGGACCTTTGGGAGGGAGACATTGGAATTCACATTCCCAAGGAGATGGGGCCTTATGGAGGTGTCTTAATCTGTATTCTGCTGCTGAAACAGAATACCACAGATTGGGTAATTTATAATGAACAGAACATTATTTGGCTCAGAGTTCTAGGGGCTGGGAAGTCCAAGGTTGAGGGTTGCATCTGCTGAGGGCCTTCTTGCTGCGTCCTAACATGGTGGAAGGCATCATATAGTGAGCGAGAGAGGGAAGGGGGCCAAACTCATTGTTTTATTAGGAACCTGCTCCTCAGTCACTAACCCACTCTCGCGATAATGGCATTAATACATTCATGAGGGTAGAGCTTTCAGGACCTAATCACCTCTTAAAGGTCTCACTTCTCAACATTGTTGCATCGGGGATTAGGTTTCCAACACATGAACTTTGGGGGGGCACATTCCAACTATAGCAGTGGGTGATCAGGTCCTGATGGTGAAGCCCTCATAATGGGATCAATGCCGTTTTAAAAGAGGCTGCAGAGAGAGCCTCCCGCCCTCCACCATGTGAGGACAGAGTGAGAAGCTGCCGTCTCTGAGCCATCACGCAGGTACTCACCAGGCACGGAATCTGCTGGCTCTCTGGTCTTGGACTTCCCAGCCTCCTGAACTGAGACAAGCCACTTTCTGTCATGTATAATCTACCCAGTTTATGGTATTTTGTGAGAGTACCCTGAATGGAATAAGACTCCCTTCAAACAAATGTCCTGCTCTTTGAAAGAGAGTGTGGGGCTCACAGTCTGCTAGTAAAGACAGTTGTAGGAGCAATGGCAAGCCCACACTGGCTCGGATTTTCAGACCTTATCATTGAGTTAGGAGCGAAGTCCTCGACCTGAGGTTTTATTGGTCCAAAGTCAGGGCCTGCTGGAGCCCGACAGGTTGCGTGCTTGGCCTGTGGAGCAGTTTTCTCCAGAGCACCTCTATCCCCTCTGCCTTGTGCCAGGCCCAGCAGGGACTGAGGGTAGAATAATGACAGGCACAGCTCCTCCCCTCAAAGAGTCCACTATCTGGGGTTTGATGCTGGAGCGCAAGGAGGGGCTGCCCACATGGGCGGAGCAGAGGGCCTGGGGAAGTTCCAGGAAGAAGTGACTGTGTGCCGAGGCTGCAGGAGTAGAGGCAGCCCAGGAGAAAGGGGGGCATGGGCTGGAGGTGGGGGTGGTTCCAGGCAGAGAGAGCAGCTTGCACACGGGAAAACAAGGCATGGAGTGGGCAGCTCCTTCCGCCTGGTCTCTAAACCTGTGAAGAGGGGGCTGGGGAGAAGAGACGGGGGTGGAGGAGAGCAGGACTCACAGGCCAGCCAGCCCTCCACAGCCTTGGGAACAGAGTGAAGAGCTTGGACTGTGTCCTATGTCCTGGGGCCGGTGCCACTGCAGGCTTTGGAGCCAGGAGGGACTCAGTGGAGCTTGCTGTGTATGATTGTGAGTGTGGGGAATGGTTTGGGGTGGGAGGCAGGACAAGCAGCTGTGGACTCCTGTCTGCAGGTGAGTGCCAGGGCTCAGTGTGGGTTCTGATTGGGCTAAGTAGGTGCCCATCTGCCTGGAGTCCAGCTGTCCTTGTGTGGTCTGTAGACCTTGTTGTCAAGGTCTGGCAGCTCAACGCTGGTCTTTCTGAGATAATGAAAAGGGAAAACTTTAGAGGCAGGACGAAGACCTTGTAGTGACCAGTGACATCCCCACAGGGTCTAGGTGTGCGAGGTCTATTGGCGCCTGTGTGGGAAGGCGGGAAACCAGGGGCTTGGGGCCAGCTACAAATGCCACACTGGGCTCTGCCTTGGCTCTAGGTGCTTTGGTTGCTGGATTTGGTGGTGGCTCAGGGCAGTCACTTGTCATTCTCAGTATTTTATCCCCTGGGGCCTCCTCAGAGCCATAGGAGATGGTTCACCTCTGAAGGACTGCCCCATGCTGTGCTTGGTAAGCTCGGTCACCCAGGGCTGTCACAGAGATGGGCTATGGCCCACATGGGCTGAGCGGATTTCTGCCCTGCCACCTACACCTTGCTGTGATTACTTTGGCAGTGTTTCCCCGTCAGGAGAGCAGGTGGGAAGGGAGGCAGGTCCCTGAACTGGGATAGAGCCCGGAGACCTGGGTGTCCTCTGCTCTGTTGTACTGACACGCTGCGTGCTTATGAAATGAGGGCAGGGGTTCTCAGTGCTCCCATGGCATGGTGACTATAATCCATGAATGATGCCCACACAGTTCCTGGCATGCTCAGTGTAGCCTTGTTGTTGTAAGAGAAAAAAGCAGGGATTCTCCACTTCCCCACAGAGTGAACTGGAACGAGGAGAGACTGGTATTTCTCCAACACTAGGTTTCTTTGGATTTTTATGCTGGTTGATACTCCCTAAATCACAGGTCGCCTTAAAGAGAGCAAGAGCCCTGCACGGTGGCCCGGACCCTTGGGGCCCCTTCCATCCGATGCACCTCGTGGCCCAGTCTTTACCTGCTCACCATGCACAGCACTTCGCATGGGTTTGGAAACGTGTCATCTGCATGGCAAGGATGGGAATGGGGAGTGGGAACCTGCAGTTTAGGGTCCAGGCGGGTGGATTTTAATTTGCCCCTGGGGGATTCTAGGGCCAGCAGAGCTCACTGCCGCTGCTGTCTGGGCCTCCAGGCAGTGAGCTGCTGGGGGAGCCCCTCTGGAAATGGACAGTGGCTGTCAGGGCGTAGGACGCTAGGGGGCGAACAGAGGAAGTAGAGGTATCTGGGGCTGAAGTTCAAGGTTGCAGCATGAAGTTCAGGGTTGCAGCGCCCAGCCTAGCAGGGCAGGGTTCAATCTGCAGGACTGGCATGAGGAGGCAGAGGAGTCAGCCAAGCCCTCCCCTCAGCCTCTCTCCAGACACTACAGATCCAAGGCCAGGTCTGCATGAGGACAGCCACCTGGTCTCGGCTGAGGTTACAGGAAGGGAGTCGGGGCAAGGGCCAGTGAGTTTGTTCCTAATTTGGGTCCCCTAATTGTCCAAGAGAAGAAGAAAAGGCCTAATTTCTGTTTCGCTAAGTTTTAGACTACTTTAGTTCATGTTCTTTAACAATAGGTTATTCATGCAGAGCTCATCTCTATTAATCAAAATGTATGATTAGGCAGAAAGCCCTATTCCCACACCAGAGTGGTGAAATGCAGTGCATGTGTGTTCAGATCAATTTTTGAAGTCTTGATTTTGTTTTGTTACATGTTTATTTGATTGCTTGCAGAAGAATGAAGTTTTTTGGCCCTCTGGAAAATTTTTCTTTCTCCTGAGAGGTTTTCCAATCTAGTAGAAAATAGACGCAGAGTTTGGCTTGCACTGATTGCGGCATTAGAAGCGGCCCTGTACATTTTAATGTGGAAGACGTGATGGTTTTGCGTTTGCTCCTCCAGTTGTGCCCCATAGCTGTCTTTCTGCCAGCTCTCTTGCACATTTAGTTCTTGAGTGAGATGTTCTAAATAGAAGCCATGGTCCATTCAGTCCCCAGCCTGCTGTCCTTCTGTGACCCGCCAGCCAGCTTTGCTTAGGGAGCTATGAGCCCCTCCTACTAGGCTACAAAGTCATGGGCAGGAAAAGCATTTGTGCACAGCCAGGAGCAGAGCACCCAGGCCCAGGTCTGTCCCGGAGCCATGTGGACCTGGCGAATGGCTGTTCAGGTCAGAAGGGGGTTTGGATACACCGGTTCTGTGTTTCGGAGGCCAGCGTAGTCCCCAGTGTATTTCGCAGAAGTGATAGCAGCTTTATTCCCAAGGCACTAGTGCCTGCGCGTTAGGCACGTGCTGGGTGCCTGCTTGAGTGTCTCCTTTGTTCCTCTCTATCACTGGCTGTCCCCTGCAGAGGCAAGCGAGGCAGAGAGTTGGCTGGTAACAGCCAGTGTCCGCAGAGCCCCAGGGCTCCCTGACTGGGCTGTGCCACCTGGGGACAGGCAGATAGACCCCAAGTAAAGTTAAAGGGAAGCACAGTGGGGCCTGCACAGGATGTGAGTTGGAGGCTCTGGTGAAACTGAGACTTGGTGGGGGATGGGAGGCAGGGGCCCTGCTGGGACAGACAGGAGACCAGGGGCCAGTGGCAGAAATGGTCCTCGATCTACCCTCATGCAGATGGTGGCCTCTACCGGGAGCCCTGTGTGTCTCTGAGCCTTAGTCTCCCTCCCTCCAGTCTGCGAAATGGGCATAATAGAAATGATGCCTCTCACTAATAAATCTGTGCAGAAAGAGAAAGCAGTTTGCAACTGCAAAGCATTATTCAGGTCTTCCTGGCTCTACCTCCAGGATCGTATGCCTCCGCTCTCTCACGAGACACAGGCCTCCCATGTGCCCGGTGGTGGTCTCGAGGTCATCTGAGCCATCATCCACCCCTCTATACCGGGGACAGTGTGCTGCCAGGAGGGGCACCAGAAGAGGTGTCATACAGTGGCATGCTGAGCTAGGATTTGAGGCACTTCCTGCCTCTTCTAGTTCCTTGTGGGCCGGGGGTGCTTTGCTCAGATGGTGCTGGGGAGGAAGGGCAATATCTAAGGATGTATTGAGAGGGTCACATTCAGGTGTGCCATCTTCTGAGGGACAGAACCCTGTCACGACAGTTTTGCCGTGACTGAATTCCCACATTGCAGAGTGCGCTTGGGGTGTGGCTCTGAACATCGCTGGCAGGTCAGGTGGAGCCTCGCTGCTCTGGGGAGCTGTGCCCAGGTTCCCTCGGTTCCTGAAGCTCAGAGGTTGCAGGAGAAAGGGCCTCCTGGTGGCTGCTTACTCTGCCCCACTGTGAAGTGCCTGGTCACTAGAGTTAGGCCTCTCTCCCACTCCGGGCTTCAGGGATTCCACTGAGGATGGAGGGTGTTGGATTTAGTTTCTTTTTTTTTTCTTTTTTTTCTTTTGAGATGGAGTCTCACTCTGTCGCCCAGGCTGGAGTGCAGTGGCACCATCTCTGCTTACTGCAAGCTCCGCCTCCTGGGTTCACGCCATTCTCCTGCCTCAGCCTCCCGAGTAGCTGGGACTACAGGCGCCCGCCACCACGCCCGGCTAATTGTTTTGTATTTTTGGTAGAGACGGGGTTTGACCGTGTTAGCCAGGATGGTCTCGATCTCCTGACCTCGTGATCCGCCCACCTCGGCCTCCCAAAGTGCTGGGATTACAGGCATGAGCCACCGCGCCTGGCCCCCTTCTGGAGTATTTCGTTCATTAGAAGTAAGTCAGGGACTTAGTGTCTTTAGCTCCAGCCAGTCCTGTGGCCTCTCTGCCACTGTGTGAATGTCCCCAACCCCCCACCTGATAAGCAGGTGTCCTGAGGTCATCAGGGATTTGGACTTAGTTATTAAAAAGCAACCAGCACCCTTAGGAGCCTCCAGAGCAGAGATTGCCAAACTTTCTCAGACCACGGTGCCCTGGATCTCAGCAATTTCATGGTGTTTCTAGACCAAAACACATAGCTAACAACTCTACTCTTTAAGTAGCTAGGTCCAAACCACATGGTATTTATGTCCCAACAACTTGGAAGCCACATGAGAAATAATACTCATAAATTGAAACAAATGTATTTCATCCTAAACCACAATTACAAACGGAAGTGTGTCTGCTGAATGAGATTGGCACCATTCTCATTTCCTGTTTGATGCTGACTTTTGTGTGGGACTTGCTGTTTAAAAGTTTATTTTTATTTTTAATTTTTATACACATATCATAGTTATACATATTATGGGGGTACGTGTGATATTTTTTCTTGAGACAGCGTGACAGAGTTTTGCTCTGTAGCCCAGGCTGGAGTGCAGGGGTGCAATCTTGGCTCACTGCACCCTCCACCTCCCTGTTCAAGCGATTTTCATGTCTCTGCCTCTTAAGTAGCTGGGACTACAAGAGGTACGCCACCTCGCCTGGCTAATTTTTGTATTTTTAGTAGAGATGGGGTTTCACCACATTGTCCAGGCTGGTCTCAAACTCCTGGCCTCAAGTGATCTGCCTGCCTAGGCCTCCCAAAGTGCTGGAATCACAGGCATGAGCCACCGCACCTGGCCTACATGTGGTATTTTAATATAAGCATATACATTATTAATTGTGGCAAAGTACACATAACATAAAATACCATCTTAATCATTTTAAGTGTATAGTTCGGTGGAATTAAGTACATCAACATTGTTTTGCAGTCATCACCATCAGCTATCTCCAAAACGTTTTCATCTTCCCAAAACTTAAATTGTGCGCATGAAACAGTACCTCTCCTTTCCCCCTTCCTCCAGCCCCTCCCAGCCACCACTCTACTTTCCCTCTGTCTGAATTCACCTCTCTAGGTACCTCATGTAAGTGGAATCGTGCAGTATTTGTTCTTTTGTGACTGTCTTATTTCACTTCGCATGGTGTCCGTAGGGGTCCTGCACGTTGTGGCATGCGTCAGAATTGCTTCCTTTTTTAGTGCTGAATAACACTCCATTGCGGGAATATGCCACATTTTGTTGATCTGTTCTTCTGCTGCTGGACACGTGGGTTGGTTCCGCCATTTGGATTGTGGATAATGCTGCTGTGAACAGGGGTGTACAGATGTCTCCCTGAGTCCCTTCTTTCAGTTCTTTTGGGATATACCCAGAAGTGGAATTACTGGACCATATGGTAGCTCTTTTTAAAATTTTTTGAAGTGCCATACTATTTTCCACAGCAGCTGCACCCATTTACATTTCTATTATGCCAACAGTGTACAAGGGCTCCAATTTCTCCACATCCTCACCAGCACTTGTGTTTTCATTTTTTTTGTTTTTCTTTTCTTTCTTCTTCCTTTTTTAAATGGTACTATCCCAACAAGCGTGATAGCAGGAATTTGCTTTTAATTACAGCTACTTCTGGCCTCACGAGACGTCTTTCAGAGGAATGTAGTGTGATCTCACCTTGGAAACGAGAGCTGCCTCAAGGCAGTGGTGCATGCGGTGCTGACAGGTGCCAAGGGTCACTGCCTTCCCCATGGACATCTGGGCTGTGCTGCAGTGCCCCTGTGGGTGCAGCAGGGCCCCTAGGGTGCCTCCGTGCAGCTTGGGAGCCATGGAACTAGACAGTGTGCTTCAGACGAGTAGATAAGCACAGAAACAGAGCCGTAAGGACTGGGGGGAACGTCCAGTCCATAGTTCTGTGTGGAACCACGATCCACGGAGGCAGCTGAGGGGCAAGTGTAGTGTACGTGGCTGTGCGCTCCATCTCCGTGCTTACAGCCCTACAAAGTGGGAAGAGAATGGAAGAAACAGGAGAGAAAAAGTCCCGTGTGGTTTCCCGGAATCCTGTGGGTAGTGAGAGTCTCAGCATTGTTATTCCTAGCATGTTTTGTGTGTAACGTGAGATGAAGCAAATGATTACTGATGTGATCTTTTAACTCTGAGGACCTTGACCAGGATTTTCAGTGGCGAGGAGAAAGGAGATACGGAGGAAAGGTGCTGCGGGTTAAGAAAGCCTCGGGAGGCTGGGCGTGGTGGCTCACGCCTGTAATCCCAGCACTTTGGGAGGCCGAGGCAGGTGGATCATGAGGTCAGGAGATCGAGACCATCCTGGCTAACACAGTGAAACCCCGTCTCTACTAAAAATACAAAAAAAAAAAAAAAAAAAAAAAAAAAAAAATAGCGGGGCGTGGTGGCAGGCACCTGTAGTCCCAGCTACTCCGAAGGCTGAGACAGGAGAATGGAGAATGGCGTGAACCCGGGTGAACCCGGGAGGTGGAGCTTGCAGTGAGCCGAGATCACGCCACTGCACTCCAGCCTGGGTGACAGAGCGAGACTCTGTATCAAAAAAAAAGAAAAAAAAAAAAGAAAAGAAAAAGAAAAACAAAGCCTCTGGAATCCGGAACTACAAATCCATAAGTAGCCCTAGAGCGTTCCCTGGAGAGGCCTGGAATCAGTGGCCAAACCAATCACACGGAGCACCCCCAGTCCCGGGTCATGTCTTGAAATTCAGTTTTCTGCTGAAAGAAGCTGAGACTACTTGGACAAATGGTTGATACCGGGTTGGGGGCGGGAAATGTACAAGTTGAACCTAAATGCTTTGTCATAGCAGATAATAAAGGAGCCACCCTGGACTGTGAGGATGTGATTCTGCTGAGAGAGAGCATTAAAAGAGGAAAAAAACTATTAAAGTCAAAGTCCATGAGGATAGTGTTAAAAGGACTCGTGAGCTCACCTGATGAGGCCAGAGATGGACAATTTGAACATCAGTAAGAGTAAAAATCACAGTAGGTTGAAATGTATGCAGTATGTTTAAGTCCATGAGTTTTTTTAACAATACTCAGGAAATAAACCTAATCCGTCACCTTTGGAGAATGCTAGGGAACCAATTATATATTTTTGGTAAATAAGGGAAAGCTCTGAAATATATATCCTGCTTTTCTTATGCAGGCCGCACTACTGGGTGAGCAGGTGGCAGGTTGGGAGGTTCCATGTATAGAGGATGGAACCTCTGTGTCTGAAGCGTCTCAGCACATCTGAATTCACAAGCTGGGCGCTGGTGGCCCTGGGGCCTGCTGACATCTCAGGAAGGGAGGAAGAGCCACACTGCCCGGGAGCTGGTCTGCCCCTATTCTAACAGGGATCTCATTCGACTTCCAGATCCAACCACTGATTTGCAGGAACGGAAAGGACAGAGGACGATGTTTGGCTGTGCTTCAGGCACCTGGCCATCAAAAGCCAAACCATGGGAAATGCTGTGTGACCAACGACTCTTCAGTTAATAACTTGGGAGGCAAAAAAAAAAAAAAAAAAAAAAAGAGGTGGAAGCACAACCAACGGTTAAAGGGGACATAAAAGGCACACATAGTGTGTGTGTAGGGACATGTGCTACATGGAGCAGGGTGGGGCTATGATTACCCTACAACCAGGATGTGGTCAGGGGCACACAGGGAGGCTGGGTCCCGAGGGCTGGAGTGGCCGGTAGGGCCCCTCTTCTTCCCTGCCTGAGGATTGTAAAGGTTGTTTCATAGCCGTTTTGTTTGTTTATTTATTTATTTATTTATTTAGAGATGGAGTCTCGCTCTTTCGCCCAGGCTGGAGCGCAGTGGCGCGATCTCAGCTCACCGCAAGCTCCGCCTCCCGGGTTCACACCATTCTCCTGCCTCAGCCTCCCGAGTAGCTGGGACTACAGGTGCCCGCCACCACGCCTGGCTAATTTTGTTTTGTATTTTTAGTAGAGACACGGTTTGACCGTGTTAGCCAGGATGGTCTCGATCTCCTGATCTCGTGATCCGCCCGCCTCAGCCTCCTAAAGTGCTGGGATTACAGGCGTGAGCCACTGCGCCTGGCCTCATAGCCATTTATTAAGCTAAATATTTACACTATGTTTTCTAAAAAAGTAAAATTATTTTAACAACATAAAAGTCAAAGGAAGAAGTTCCTGGAAGTGGTCTTGAAGGTGCAAGTGGGCAATTGTGAACAGTCTGCTGGTGCAGGATGTGGCGCTTCGTCGTGGGAGTGCTGTCTCCCTCCACTGTGGGCCGCGCTCCTTCCTGCAGCACTCGCAGCTCACTGCTGCCATTTCCCGTGTAATCCTGTCTTCTGTCTTGACTCAGACCCACTCGTATCTTTGTTGTCTGGGGTCTGCGCTTTACTAGGGGACCTTGGAGTTCTGTTGTTGGCTGTGACTTCATTCCATGTTCTTTCCCATAAGGAACTGTGTTGGGAATAGTTTGATGATTCCATGGTCATGCCTTTTGGCCTTTTCTGTGAGGGGCGAATGGGGAGCACATGGAACTTATTGCTGCTGTCTTCAGTATTTCTTGGGGGAGGAACTCGGTGTGGTTTTTTCCAGCCTGAGCCCACCCTGAGGTCGGTTGTTGGACCCACCTGCCTGATGCAGACTGCCAGGGTCTTCCTGCCAGCGCGGGATCCCCCACTTTCCATTTCCTCTTGCAACCATCAGACCCAGGGACACATGTGTGGCTCCTTCTCCAGTAAGCGACCTGGGAGGTATCCTTACCCCAGGACCCGAGTGAGCGTCTGTTGGAGACTCCCAGGTGTGCAGGCCAGAAGGACATGCCCAGTTGTGTGGCTGCCTCTTCCCTGCAGGGAGAGAGAGAAGGCTGGCGTGGGGCTTCTCCCCGGGCTGGGCCTGCGTTGTCCCCGAGGCCCGTGGCCGCTGGAGCAGCCCCTGAGCGACTCTGCTCCTTCCTGGGCCTCGGTTTCCTCGTTCTCAGGGGGGGCTTCTGCCAGACTGTCTGGGAGATGTTTTCAGCCCTCTAATTTGTGCATGCTGTGACTCACCCAAAATTACAGAGCAAAGCTAATGGAATCAGGAATTTATAAATCCCCCTTCCTTCCTCACGCGGTTCCTTGAGTTTTTGAAAACTACCATTCAGAATGAGACAGTGGCCTTCTACCTGAGGCCACAGGGTTGTCTGTGGCCTAACTGATTTCTGGCCAGTCAGGCTGGGTGAGCCTCAACAGCGTGAACATACTAAAGGCTTCTTCCTTGCCCTGGGACACCGGTTCTGGCCAGGCTACAGGGCTCACAGCTCAGACCTGCCTCTGCCTGGGAGTGACACGGTCCCCTCTGCTCACGTGCCATGGATCAGAGCTGCCATGTGGCCCAGCTTAGGGAGACCAAGAAGCATGGGAGACTCCCCGGCTATTTGACGAGCAGGACCTGTCCATGCCATCTCCCATCTGTGCCCTGCATCTGCGACTTCCAAAGAGCATTGGCCTGCACTGTCCTATGAAATGCTACCACAAGCCCTTTCTGGCAAGTGCAGTTAATCCTGTTCGGTGGGTTAGGAAACCAAGGCTCTGAGGGAGGCTTTCAGTGCCACAGCTGGGAGGTGAGAGTTGTGAGTTGCAGATGTCTCAGCCATCCCGAGCGTGACCATTCTGAGTGGCGGGAAGCTTTTCACTCAGCACTGAGTACATGATGCCTACAGTGTTCTGGGCCTCCTCCATCAGGAATCATGGGCCCTTCTCCCCAGGACGCTCATCGATGGCCCCGGCTCCTCCAGCCCTGGCTCCTCCAGCCCTGGCTCCTCCAGCCCTGGCCCCTCCTTGGGCTGTGGCTGCACCCTGGGCTCCACCCATTCCAGACCCAAAGGCCCATGGGCCAACCAGACACCGCCCCTACATGGTGTGCCCACAGGCTCTTATGGATCCCAGAGGGCCCCCTTTGTCCTGCTTGGGGAGGCTGGGGTGGCCGCTACACAGTGCCCTGCCGTGGCCCCCATGCTCCCCAACTCCCTACTGTGTCTGCTGGACGTTTGAACAGCCTCCTGCCCTAAACCTTGCATCCTGCCACCTCTGGCCCACTCTCCACCCTGGCCTACTCTTCACCCTGGCCCACTCTCCACTCTGCAGCCAAGTGATCTTTTCCAGCAGCACATGTGACTGAGTATTGCTGATGGCTGCGACTGCTTTCAGGATCAAATTGTGTCTCTTCCGAAAGAGACATCAGATAAGAGACATTGGAAAAGAACATGAATTGCGGTCACCCAGAGCTCTTTCGCGGTTTGGGATTAAGCCATGCAGAAAGGTGTGCAGGAGCCTAGATCACCTGCCAACCTGCCTCTTGCCATCCTCTATTTTGTACGCTCAGTCACCCCAGAAAATTGCTCCGGCCCTTGGATTTACCTCCGTGTCACTGTCCATCCGGTACCCTCTGCCTGGGATGCCTCCTGGGTCTCCATCACCCGCCTCACTCGTTTTTCCTCTGCACATGGCATCTACTTCCGCCCTTCCGCAGGACACCTTCCCAGGCTGGGTCTGGACCACCCTGCGGACTCGCTCCTCGCAATACTGGCCACATGCCCTCAAGCCCATCTGTTTCTTAGAGTCGATGTCCCCTAAGGTGTGAGTTCCTGGTGAGCAGGAGAACCTGTGCCTTTTATAACCTGGTGTGCTGCTCGGCGTGCCGAAGGAACCAAGGCGATGTTGAGAAATGAATGGAACAGCTGTACTGTGCAGAGATACGTGCAGAGAGGGGCAGGAGGAAGCCTCCACTTCAGACTTCAGTGTGAAAAAGAGACACTGGAAAAGAACATGAAATGTGGTTGCCCGATGCTCCTTTGTGGTTTGGGATGAAGCCCTGCAGAAAGGTCCGGGCAGCACTGCAGCCCCGCCATGCTGCTTGCCCCACGTGGGTTCTGGAGTCTGGTGGCACCTGGAAGAGCAGGTGGAGTGGAAGCTGCTAGAAGGTGGGAACCTGAGGGTCCTGGGCTGGCAGAGGCCTTGCCCCCGCTTTGCCTAGGGAGGCAGTGAGCTTCCTCCTTCATTTGAACTTTGCCCTGAAGAGCTGGGCCTTCCTTGTTCATGGGGAGCCTGATGCTTCTTCCCAGCACACCACAGCCACACAGGAGGTGCAGCAGAGCATGCGGAGATCCACCTGGCAACTCACAGCCAGCCGCGGCGTCACTGTCAGGACTCTGTGAAAAACAAGGTTTCTGTTTGGCGCGGGGACGACCAGAGGGAAGGAGACTGGTAGAGCCTAAGTATTCAGCCGACCATTAAAAAGTGAAAGTCAGAAGCAATGTAAGTCAAAACTCAGGACATCTCAGGGTGACCTTGGCCACTCACAGTTGTTCGTGTTTGAAATCACATTGATTCTCGCAGCTGTCCAAGGCGCAGGAAATAACCACTCTGGGTGATGTCGTTGGGATGGTTTTGTCAGCACTCAGGATTTGGGGGTTTGTTATGAAAATTTCACGTTACAAAAAAGGGAGAAGTGCAGTTTTGTGTGTTTAGGGTTATTGGTGGCTAGACATCTGAAAATCAGGATCCCCGCTCATTGATTTTTTTTTTTTTTTTGAGATGGAGTCTTGCTCTGTTGCCCAGGCTAGAGTGCAGTGGCCAATCTTGGTTCACTGCAACCTCGGCCTCCCAAGTTCAAGCGATTCTCCTGCCTCAGCCTCCTGAGTAACTGGGATTACAGGCGCCTGCCCCCCGCCTGGCTAATTTTTGTATTTTTAGTAGAGACAGGGTTTTAACATGTTAGCCAGGCTGGTAACTCCTGACCTCAGGTGATCAGCCTACCTCGGCCTCCCAAAGTGCTGGGATTACAGGCGGTGCCGCTCCTTACATTTTGTTGCTGTTCCCAGGAAGATTGATGGAGGGAAAACACACTCTCCACAGAGGAGATCCTGTGTTTACAGCCGTCTTAGATAGAGTCGTGATGAGGAGGAGGACTCTGGGCCGACAGTGTATGAGGGTTCCGCCTCATAAGGCTGTTTGGTGTTTGTGCCCACACTGGGTGTGACGGGTTGAAGCAGTGGATAACAAGCCTATTACTGTTATGCAAATGTGGGCGGCCCAGTTGCATTCTTCATGCATGTGTCTCTCCCTAATGAGTTTCAAAATCTTAATTTAGATCTTGATTTTGTTGCAGATAGGATTCCAATTTAAAGAGCGTTTGTCATTCAGAGACTGTGGTAGACAGGAAAATGGTCTTCAGAGATATCCACACCCTAGCTGTGGCGCCTGTAAATCTGTTACTTTATGTGACAGAAAGGACTTTGCAGATCTGATTAAGTTATGGATCTTGAGATGGAGAGATTATTCTGGATTATTCAGGTGGGCCCTTATAATCATGGTGACCCTTATAAGAAGGAAGCTGGAGGAGTTAATTGTCAGAGGAGAAGGTGCTGTGACGATGGAAGTGGAGATTGAAGTGATGCACTTTGAAGATGGAGGAAGCGGCTGCAAGCCAAGGAATGCAGGTGGCTTCTAGAAGCCAGAAAAGGCAAGGAAACAGATTCTTGCCTAGAGCCTCCGTAAAGAACCAGGCCAGTCGACACCATGACCTTAGCCCAAGGAGACCTGCGTGGGATTCCTTTCTTTTTATTTTCTTTCTTTTCTTTTCTTTTTTTTGAGACAGGATCTTGCTCTGTCATCCAGGCTGGAGTGCAGTGGCGCCATCTCAGCTCACTGCAACCTCCACCTCTTAGGTTCAAGCCATTTTCGTGCCTCAACCACCCATGTAGCTGGGATACAGGCACATGCCACCATGTCTGGCTAATTTTTGCATTTTTTTGTAAAGATAAGGTCTTGCTATATTGCCTAGGCTGTTCTTGAACTCCTGGGCTCAAGGGATCCACCTGCCTCAGCCTCGCCAAGTGCTGGGATTATAGGCGTGAGCCACTGCACTCAGCCCTCTGTGGGATTTCTGAACTATAGAACTGTAAGAGAGCAAGTTGGTGTTGTCTGAAGTCACTAGATTTATGGTGACTTGTCACAGCAGCCATAGGAAGCTAACACAGAGACTCAGGGACCAAGCCTTTCCATTGCAGCAAGATTGATCAGTTGTTCTCTCCCATCACGGGGCTCTCATTTTGCTCAAGTCCTATGTCATCGTCCCTCTTTTCCTGGAGAGCAGGAGCTGACTTCAGACGCCAGATCTTCTTTTCCTGCCACAGCGCACTTGCAGCTCTTGGGAGGTGAAGGTTCTGCCTGCTGCTCTTCTGGAATGATAAACGCTGGGCCCTTAGTGGAAATGTCAGGTGAAATGGAAGGCAGCTCCTTGGGTGCAGTGACAGGACCTGCAGTGGGCCTGTTGGAGCTGGCACTGAGGGCTGCTCCCCATCCCTCTGTGGGTGTATTGGCTGCATGCTGACTGGCCGTCCTCGTGGGCGTGGCCTGGTGTGTGTGCAGGTGGACAGAGGCTGGAGTATCCTTGAGAGGCTGTGCGTTCTCTCGGCTTCTTTTGGAGCCAGAGCCATCAGGGAGCCATCACCTGTCCTGGCCTGACCTGTCCTGTCATGAGTGCTGTGTTCCTTGAGCTGCCTCTCAGGCTAGGGGATGAGGTGGCTGTGCTCAGGCCTGGCTTCTGCAGGCTTCTTCCTATCTTTGGAGCGGCTCCACCACTGGAATCTGTGACATGAGAGGCCCGTAGCCCAGGCCCATCATCTAGAATGGAGAGGCAGCCCCACAGCCTCCTGGGAACCAGAGCTCCTTGCCTGGGTCATCACAGAACTAAGCCTTAAAATCAGGAGGCCTCAGCAAAGCGCCTCTAGAGACTCAAACCACCTTGTAAATCTCACTGGGAGTGAACGATTGACTTTTTACTCAGTACCAGGACTACATACTACCTCATTTATGGGTTTTTCCTCTAAATTGCTAATGTTTGAAGTGGAAATTTTCAAAACTGACTAATGTCTCTGCTTCAAGATTTGCTGTCAGGCAACTTATTTATAAATAAAGCAGCTTTTCAAGGAGCACTAACAAACAATCCCTCGTGTTAGGAGACTCAGAGCCAAGTCGTGGCTCTAGGTTGGCCTTGCAGGGTGTTAGGGAGCCAGTTCTCCACCCCAGGGCCATGGACTTCTGGGTCCTTGCACCATCCAGAGAGGTGATGATGTGGTTATTCCCATGTATAGAGTCTACTGTTTTCAGGGGGCATTTGCATCTGTGGTTTCATTAGATGTTCAGAGCATCCCCACAGGGGTTAGTTCATGTAGAGAAGGAATCAGAGGCTCACAGAGGTTCAGGGTTTGCTGGGTCACCAGCTCCTAAGAGGGGCCCTTTGGGCTGAGGCCACGGCGCTTTCTTTCTTGCAAGACAGAAATTTTCCTTTTCCTTTCTTTGCCATAATGGCCACCTCCTTCCACCCCATATCCTTCTTCCCTTTGGCCACTGGTGAGTTCTGATTATTTTTGGAAAAAAAAAAAAATTAAAACTCTGGGAGCTTGAGACTGAGGTAAAGTCCCCTTTCGTAGAGATTTTTGGACTGACATGTTAGCTCTCTGCCCTGTGTAACTTCAGAGTTTGGTAGGTGATGGGGACACGCCTGTTGGAGAGTCCTGGTGTGTCCAGTTTTGTCCCCGCAGCTTCACTGGCTGTCAGAGCCACAGCCTTTGCTTACGGCTACGCCCTGGAATATTTAACAGCAATTTCTTTTCGCTTTCTTCTGTCGTGTTCTGTCTGTGTCAGTGTTTTGTGGTCTTACTGTACCTGTTGTTTTATTATAGGCAGATACTGTAAACGCTGATACAGTCTGTGCCCTGCGGTTGTGGTTTTTAGGGCCTTGCGGCGGCATCTTTGCTAGTGCTCACTGCAAATAGGGGCAGGAAGCAGTTGTTTGGGAATGAGCCACATGGTGGAATATCTTGAATGTCCCAGGCCAGGCACAGAGCAGCTGCTCAGTAAATGTTGCTGAGTGAGAGGCTGGGGGGTTGGTGAGGATAGGCAGGGGTGGGCGTCCAAGGCTGCAGAGTTGTAAAGCGGGGGGTGGGGCAGCCAGCAAGTCCAGCTCGAGGAAACACCACGGGGTTCAGGGGCTCTGTGTAAGAAATGGCAGAGGTTTGGCTTCGCTTTTAGTTGTTTTGTTTCTTGTTCAAGTGAGGAGAACACACCGAGAAGGGAGGAGAGCAAGGCTGGCTGAGCGTCATGGCAGGGTGGTAAAGGAATCAATCACCCGGACAGGTTGTCCGTTCATGTGCCGTTGTTTGCATTGCTGTGATACAGACTGCTGTGCCACTGAAACCTTCCGAAAAGCAAGCCACCCAGAGAGTGACTTGGGCAGGTGTGTATTCATGTGTGCATCAGGGAGAGGAATACTTGCAAGGAGCAGAGCTTCCAGAAGACCAAGATTCAGTGGAGGCAGCAAGTCAGGGCCGGGCAGAAGCCCCTGGGGTATCTGCGGAAGAGCACTTTCCAGGGTGCATGGATGGATGCGTTAACCAGCCAGTTCCTACGCATCACGGAGGAGAGGTGCCTGCCCTCCTGGGAGCCGTGCCTATTCCATTGCTTCTGTTGTTTTTTTGAGACAGGGTCTCACTCTGTCACCCAGGCTGGAGTGCAGTGGCACGATTTCAGCTCACTGCAGCCTCTGCCTCCCAGGCTCAAGCGATCCTCCCACCTCAGCCTCCCAATTAGATGGGACTTCAGGTGAGCACCACCATGCCTGGCTAATTTTTAAATGTTTTGTAGAAACGGGGTCTCACTGTATTGCCCAGACTGTTCTCGAACTCCTGGGCTCAAGTGATCCTCATGCCTCCACCTCCCAAAGTGCTGGGATTTCAGGCGTGAGTTACCACACCCGGCCTCTTGTTGTTGTTAGTAAACTTTTAATTCTAGAACAGCTTTAAAGTTATAAAAAAGTTGCAAAGACTGCAGAGAATTCCCATGCTTGCTTCCTCCAGTCTTCTCTCTCGTTAACATCTTACATCACACGGTGCATTTGGCATAACTGAGGAACCAACGTGGGTCCATTGCTATGAACTAAACTCTGCAGTTTATTCCAATTTCCTTAGTTTTTGCTTAATGTTTTTTTTCTGTCCCAGGAGCCTGTCCAGGCCACTACGTTACCTATAGTCCTTGCGTCTCCTTAGCCTCCTCTGGTCTGTGACAGTTTTTCAGCTTTCCTTGTTTTTAATGACCTTGATAGTTTTCAAGAGTACAGGTCTTTGTGAATATCCTTCGATTTGGGTTTATCTGCTGTTCTTCTCATGGTTAGACTGGAGTTATGGGTTTGGGGGAGGAAAACCACAGAAGCGAAGCACCATTTTCAACATACATCAATGTTGCATGATATCAATATGACTCATAACTATCGATGTTGACCCCGATCAGCTGGCTGAGGTAGCATGTGCCAGTTGCTCACTGTAAGATTACCCCACCTTCAGCGGGGTGCGGTGGCTCATGCCTGTAATCCCAGCACTTTGGGAGGCCGAGTGGGTGGATCATGAGGTCAGGAGATCGAGACCATCTTGGCTAACATGGTGAAACCCCGTCTCTATTAAAAATACAAAAAATTAGCCAGGCGTGGTGGTGGGCACCTGTAGTCCCAGCTACTTGGGAGACTGAGGCAGGAGAATGGCGTGAACCCAGGAGGCAGAGCTTGCAGTGAGCTGAGATCACGCCACTGCACTCCACCCTAGGCGACAGAGTGAGATTCTGTCTCAAAAAAAAAAAAAGAAAGCAAAAAAAGATTACCCCACCTTCTTTCCATAGTCCTCCCTGGAAGGAGGTCGATGTGCAGAGCCCATGCTTAAGGAATGTGGAGTTACACTCCACTCCTTCATGGGGGGTGGGGATATCTGTATAAATTATTTGGAATATTTCTGTATGGGGGACTTATCTATTCTCCCCCATTTATTTATTCAAACATTTACATCAATATGGATTTGTGGATATATAATTTATACCTTGCTTTATAATCCAGTGCTGTGTTATTTATTTTATTGCTCAAACTGTCCCAGCTTTGACTATATGAAGCTCTTTCAGGTGGCATCCCATGTCCCTTAGAGAGATCCCTACCTTTTTGTTTTTTTGAGTACAGTCAGTTGGCCATATCCGTGAGTTCTGCATCTGTGGATTCAACCAACCTTAGATGGGAAATATCTGGGAGAAAAATAGATGGTTGCATCTCTACTGAACAGACTTTTTGTCTTGTCATCATTCCTTAAACAATACAGTATAACAACGATTTATATAGCATTTACATTGTACTAGGTATTATAAATAATCTAGAAAGGATTTAAAATATATTGAAGAATGTGCATAGGTTATATGCAGATTCTACACCATTTTATAGAAGGGACTTGAGCATTGAGGATTATGGTATCTACAGGGGGGCCTAGATAACCAATCCCTTACAGATACCCAAAGAAAACTGTACCTCTTTCTGGCACAAGATACTCAGGCTCATCTTGAATTTTTCCTACCCAGTCCTGGACTCAGCTATTTCTGCAAGGATCCCTGCCTTATTTTATTGAAGAATGGTATCTAGAAACCAAGGTCTGGAGACAGGGTTCTTCTTGTCACCGAGGTACATTGCTTCCAGGCCCTCTCAGCAGACAGAGCTAGGAAATATGCATGTATGCTAATCTGTGTATACATATGTATCTCCCATAGTTTTTTTTTATTTTTTTATTTTTTGAGACAAAGCCTTGCTCTGTTGCCAGGCTGGAGTGCAGTGGCACGATCTCCACTCACTGCAACCTCCGCCTCCCAAATTCAAGCAACTTTCCCGCCTCAGCCTCCCTAGTAGCTGGGACTACAGGCGTGTGCCACCACACCCAGCTAATTTTTGTACTTTTAGTAGACAGAGTTTCACCATGTTGGCCAGGATGGTCTTGATCTCTTGACCTCATGATCCATCCGCCTTGGCCTCCCAAAGTGCTGGGATTACAGGCGTGAGCCACTGCACTCAGCCTTTTTTTTTTTTTTTTTTTTTTTTTTAAGACAGAGTCTCCCTCTGTTGCTCAAGCTGGAGTGAATGGCACAATCTTGTCTCACTGTAATCTCCACCTCATGGGTTCAAGGGATTCTCTTGCCTCAGCCTCCTGAGTAGCTGGGATTATAGGCATGCACCACCACGCCTGGCTAATTTTTGTGTCCCATAGCTTTTTTTTGAATGCACGACCCCATCTGGCGGCGAAGCCCTGGACCTAGCCTTCTGATCACTCATGGGAACCATGACCACGTGTCACATAGTAGAAAGGAAAACTTGGACAACTTACTGTGTAGACAGGAGCAGCAACAACAAAAAAGACTTGGAAGGCTTAAAGAATATTTTCCAAGTATACACAAATACAGAGAATAATAAGAGGAATGACTTTGAGAGCCTGAGGCAGGAGGATTGCTTGAGCCCAGGAGTTCAAGAACAGTCTGGGTAGCATAGAGTGACCTTGTCTCTACAAAAAAATTAAAAAAAAAAGCCAGGTGTGGTGACGCGCACCAGTGGTCCCACCTCCGTGGGAGGCAGAGGCAAGAGGATCACTTGAGCCTGGGAAGTTGAGGCTGCAGTGAGCCATGATTATACCACTGCATTCCATCCTGGCTAACAGACCAAGACTCTGTTTAAGAAAAAAGGAGTATCTGGGGTACCTGCTATCCAGTTTAAGACATGTACAAATATGATTCAGCCTTCCATGAGCATGCCTCCCCAGCCACCCCTGTGAAACCCAGTAAATTGAATTTACTGTTTGTTTTTTGGAGGCATGTTTTATTTTTACACTGCATGTATGCCTAAATGATATATCCCATTGTTATGATATTTTCAAACTTTGTAGAAATGATACCTTACTGTGTTCCTACAACTTGAATTTTCATTAACTGAGACATTTTACATGTATTTATCTTCTTAGCAATCCTGAGAAAAGCAAGAGTCACTATCTCCATTGTATAGATAGAGAAACTGATAATGTAGAGCAATGATGTGATTTTTGCTAATTTCAAGCAGCTAATGGAGATCGACTTACATTTGTACCTTCAGAGCCCTAGTCCATGCTCTTTGTATGACATAAATGTCAAGATTCATCAGGAAAAGGAAGAACAGGCGGGTCTTGTTGGTTACTCTGTGACCCTGTTGCTTCCCTGGGACCTGGAGGTCCTGGTGTCTCCCTTAGCCTGGAATCCCAGTCTCCATCTGGGTTTTGCAGGCTCCAGGAGTTTTGATGAAATGAGGACCCATATGGCTGGTTGAGACTCCCACCCCCTCATCACTCCCTACCAGCGTTTGTGCAGAATCCTCCTCTCCTCCCGAGTTGGAAATAATGTATAGTTGGCTCAAAAGTCAGCCCCTCCTTATTTTAGCACCAGATGCTGCCTCTCAGCTTCACGCTGCCCTCCAGCAGCATTGCCTGTGGTCCATGGGATCTTGGCCTTCACACTCAGCATTGAAACAGCTGCCTTCCGCTCCCATCATAGGAAAGAGAACAGAAGTCTCTTGCTCCCACTCCCCCCGCCCCACCCCCTGCTGCTGGCCTATTTCTGTGCTTTGTTTTGCTGTAGAACTTCTGGAAAGAGTTGTCTGCAGTGGCTTTCTCCATTTCCTCCCTTCCCGTTCTCTCTTATACCCGCTCCAGTCGGACTTTTGCCCCTTCCACAGACACCTCTCCTGACACTTTTGACCCCATCACTTAGAGATCAAGATCTGTAAGACTCCAAGTCTCCAGATCCAGTGGTCAGCTCTCGGTCCCTTCCCATGTGACTGACCAGCAGTGTTTGCCACAGTCGTCCCCTCTAGGAAACACCTTCTTCCCTTGGCTTGTGGGGCACTCTGTGCTTGGGATTTTCTTCCTGCTTCACTGGACTTTGCTCAGTCCCCTTACTGACCCGTGAGTGTCAGAGTGTCCCTGCGGTCAGTCCATGCCCCTCTTCTCCGCTCGGTCCACACTCCCACCATGGTTGACCTCATTCCGACTTGTGGCACAAGGAGCTCACATTTATCTTTTAGCTCTGATTTCTCTTCTGACCTCCAGACTGTACACCCTGTTGCTCACCCAGCGCTTTCCCTTAGAGTTCTAATTGACGTCCCCACACAACAGGCACCAAGCTGTCCCTGGCCATCTCAACCCCAATCTCCACATCTCAGTAAATGGCAGCTCCATGCTTCCGGACACCTAGACCATAGACTTGGAGCCAACCTTGACTCCTGTCTCTCTTAAACCCCACATGGAATCTGTTCCGTAAGCTGCCCATGGTCACACCGGCACCGCTGCCGTGCGATGAGAGCCTGTCATCTCCTTGCTAGATTGCTGTGCCAGTTTCCTGATGGTTCCTGTTTCCACACTGACTGCATACCTTCCCACCCAAGTCTGTGTCTGCTCAGCAGCTGGTTTATTGCATACAAACTTAAATGAGAATGCTCCTCCGACCAGAGCTCTCCGTTCCCTGGCCATCCCATTAAGAGTAAATGCTGGAAGCCCCTCCTCAACTGACTTTATTTCTTAAAACTCTATCCTGCAAAATCCTGCCTGGCTAATAACTTTATCACCTTCTTCGTGTTGGTTCCAACGTTCCCTTCTGCAGGTGGCTTCTGCGGACTTTGGTACTGGCCCACATCCCTGAGCTGGTAACCCCCCACCATGCACAGGCACCCCCACATTAATTCTGTAGCTTATTTGTTTATTGTTGTCTGTGCCACTCCAGACAGGAAGCCTGTGGGGGTTGGGGGCTTGGTCTGCCTTCTTCAGCCCTGGGCTCACAGTCCTGACATCTTCTTGAAGACGGCGCTCACGGTCAGGCTGCAGCAAATTCACAGTTGACATCTAGGAGTGAGGGCCTCCTGCCATGCTGCACTCTGGCCTCTCACCTGCCTCCTGCTAGTCCTGGGCACACCTGGAGGACAATCAGGGAATTTCTTTCCCCATCTGGTTTGGCATCCTCCAAACCTGGGAACCTTTCTAACACCTGACTGCTTGGTGACCATGTGTGTGCTCTGTGGATTTCTGTCCAGGAGGGTCCCTCACTCTGGCCCTCAGGGCCATGTGCATGTGGACACCGACTGGTAGGGTTGGTTTCCTATGCAGAGAGCAGGGCCAGAGGCATAGCCGGCCCACCCCCAGCCCCATTGCTCACGGTTCACCCAGTCCCCTGGCCTTTCCGACGCTGTGCGCATCTGTATTTGTTGCAGTGAACAGAGCCTAGAATTATAGGACTTTGTCAGACAGTTTGATTTTCAACCCCGTAAAAAATACATTTTACTTAACCACCTAGGATACCTCTACATTATAGACCTCAAGCAGAAGTTTCAGGAGACAGTTTCTTACTCTCATTAGAGGTGATGCGTTTTGTGTGGTCTTCGGTTTCATTGCCCCATAAACTCACTTGGCGATCTGCCTGTGGGTCCCCAGCAGTCTGTAAGCCACAGCTTTCTCAACCGTACTTCCTGTTCTGGAGGAGAAACCTGAGCTGCAAAGAGCTAAGGGTCTTGCTAAGGTCATACCAGTGAATTCACCAAACAGCCAGTACTGGAACCCTGTCCTCTGATTCCCATCCTGTGGCTTTTTTAGGCTTGTGTAATCAATTTTAATGATTGTACCATTGTAGCTTATTTAAATTACCCCAGGAGGAACATCAGCTCTGTTCAAGAAATGTTATTGTAGTTGCTCACCTGCTTTGTTCAGGGAAATGCATCTTTTGTGGGATTTCTTCTGAGTAATTAAGAGGGTCTAAGAAGCCAGTTTTATAGTCATTTATTTAACTGTAGAGAACAATGAAGTTAAACACAAAAGCTGGTTCCATCTGCAGGAACATATGAGTGATTTGCATTAGAAAGGGTGTTCATCAAAGCTCCTCCCAGGTGCCTAGGGAGGCATGGGGGGCCTTGGTGGGTTCCCTGAGGGTCAGGCCAAGGCCTTGGGCCAGGGAGCACAGTTCCATTGCACTGGGTGTGTTGGGGCAGAACCTTGTGCTTGGAGGTAGGTGTTGCTTCTGGCCCTCGGTTGCTTGCTCCTGCAGGCAGGGCCGTGGACCCGTAGCTCAGCAACCATGGAGGAGCTGTGAGAAATGCACAGTCTCAGGCCCCACCCTGGCTCTGCTGACTTGGAACCTGCATGTTAACGAGACTGGGGGTTTGTATGCACATCACATCCGGTCCAGCTCTGGCCTGAGGACTCCGGTCTGTGGTTTCTAGTTTTTATCATCCAGCTGGTCATCCTCAGCAGTAGAGAATGTGGTTGGTTACCATGTGCAGGGCAGCCTGCTATGTGCTGTGGTAACAGAAGGGTGGGGCAGAGCCCTCCTAGCCCTCCCAGCCCTCTGGGGCTTGCTGTCTCTAGGGCAGGCAGGGGCTGGCATATGCAGTTGTACACCATGGTGTTTTACAAAGCACGAGTGCCATGGACCCCATGGGTGGGCTGGATTGAGATGCAAGGAGGGAAAACAGATGGGGTGGGGTCCCAAGCAGGAGGAACTGCATGAGGAAAGGCGTGGAGGCTGGACAGATGCAGAGGCAGTCAGGGAATAGCCAGTGTCAGAATGGAGCAGGCGACAGCCGGGTTTTGGAGGCTTTCAGTCCCATGTTTAGATATTTGGACTTTATCCAGTGGGTCATGGAAGCTACTATAAACTTTTTAAAATTAAATACTATTTTATTTAAAAAATTGTGTAAAATACACATAACATAGGATTCACCTTCTAGAACCATGTTTAAGTGTAGAGCTCAGTCGCATTAAGTACATTTACACGGTTGTGCAACCATCACCCCATCCACCTCCAGAGCTCTCCTCACCCTGCAAAACTGAAACTCTGTCCCCATTAAACACTTAACTCCCATTCCTCCTCCCCTCACCCCCTGGCACCCACCATTGTACTTTCTGTCTATGATTTTGACGACTTCAGGTGCCTCGTATGAGAGCAATTGTATAGGATTTATATTTTGTGACTGGCATATTTCACTCTCAACGTCCTCACGGTGCACACACGTCGTAGTGTAGCACGTGTCACAGTCTCCTTGTCTGTTAAGGTCGAGGAATACTTCCTTGTATGAATAGACCACATTTTGTTGATCGTTCATCTGGTGAAGGATGCTTGGGTTGCTTTTACCTCTTGGCTGTTGTGAATCATGCTGCTGTGAACATGGGGGTACAATCTCTTTGAGCTCTTGTTTTCTTTTTCTTTTTTTTTCTTTTTCTTTTGAGATGGAGTCTCGTTCTGTCACCCAGGCTGGAGTGCAGTGGTGCAATCTCAGCTCACTGCAAGCTCCGCCTCCCGGGTTCACGCCATTCTCCTGCCTCAGCCTCCCGAGTAGCTGGGACTACAGGCGCCCGCCACCGTGCCTGGCTAATTTTTTTAAGTATTTTTAGTAGAGACGGGGTTTCACTGTGTTAGCCACGATGGTCTCAATCTCCTGACCTCGTGATCCGCCCGCCTCGGCCTCCCAAAGTGCTGGGATTGATTACAGGCGTGAGCTACTGCGCCCGGCCTGAGCTCTTGTTTTCACTTCCTTCGGGCATACCCCCAGAAGTGGAGTCATTCCTAGATCATATGGTGATTCTATTTTTAATGTTTTAAGGATAGCATTTTCCAAAGGGGCTGCACACCATTTTACATTCCTACCCACCGTGTACAAGGGTTCCAGTTTTCTCCACATCCTCACCAACACTTGTTATTTTCTGGTTTTTCAATCGTGGCCACCCTGATGGGAGTGGGGTAGCAGCTCTCTGTGGTTTGGATGGCGTTTTCCTGATGCACGATGGTGTGGAGCACCTCTCCTGTGTGGGAGCACTGTGGCCTGGTGAGCAGGGGCTCTGTGGTGGGGAGGCGCGTGCCGAGGGCTGTAGGAGAGGGCGACGGGTGGTGCTGTGCATCAGGTTCGGGGTGATGGGAACGCTGTCCCTTGCACCTGCACATCAGGCCTCCCCCATGCTACTTTGGTGGCTTCTGTGGGAGCACAATATGTCCAGGGTGCCATCCCCAAGGCAGAAGGGAGCACCATCTGGTTTGATGTGTGGCCTGTACTTCACCAAGCCCACCACATTTGGCCTATGACTGTGTCCTGCTGCGACTGGGTTGAAGTCAGAGGAGCCGAGACAGGCGGGGGAGCATTTGGAGGACGTGTCCCTTGCTGTGGTGTCTTTGCAGAAGTGGCCAGCACTTGCACTGCCCAGTAGTATTTTCGATGCTCCTGGGAACATGAGAGGATTGCACTCTCTGCTTTCTCAAAGTTAGATAAGACCATGTGCCTTGCTTCAGCCAATGACATGTAAGCAGAAGTGACTTGTGGGTAGAAGCTGGAAGGGACTTTCTATGCTGTCCTTTCTCCAGTCACATCGGTCCTAGAAGCACATGCCTAGGAGGAGGGGCCATAATAGCAACGTGGCTGTTATTTGCTTTGGACTCACAGTGGACTTTGAGTGAGCAAGACAGAAACCATTACTGGGCCCAGGCCCTGTGGCGTGGGAGCTGTTTGTTGTCACAGCACAGCCTAGCCTGTCCTCACTGATCCAGGAGGAACCTGAAAAGTATTTTAAGTGCACAGATAGGTGAAGATGAAAGTGTAGCGTTTTGGGATAATTCTGCATGCTTCTTAGTATCTCCAGCAGTTTCGAGATTTGGCGAAGGGGCTGAACTTTTCTGTAGGTAAATCTCTTGCTGAAGAGTTCATTATCAGCTGGTAATGGCTTCATTTTGTCAGCGGCACAGAGCTCTGGCTTGTGCGTGTCTGAGGCCTGTCCCCACTGGGGCAGGGAGGTAATGAGAACTCATGAACCCTGCATCTCTGCCTGGCTTTAACAGCCTCTGTGTTTTCCAGTGCTTATCAAATCCAGAGCTGTTTACATTTCAGGAGACAACTTCAGACTCTGTGGACCTCATTATACTTCCAAAGCAGGAGGGTCGTTGTTTTTAAGCATTATTCCCAACTTTTTTTTTTTTGACTGCAGAAATGCCTTTTTAATATCAGAAAATTTCCAAGTTTTCCTTACTTGGCTATAGTCTTGTTTTTAGTACTGCTTTGGTGGTTCAGTAACTATTCATTAAACAAATCTCTTCATTTTAAGTTTATTTCTTCTATAGGGCTCTTCTCTTCTCTTCTGTTCTCTTCTCTTCTTTTTGATACAGAATCTCCCTCTGTCGCCAGGCTGGAGTGCAGTGGTGCGACCTTGGTTCACTGCAACCTCCACCTCCTGGGTTAAAGCTATTCTCCTGCCTCAGTCTCCCGAGTAGCTGGGACTGCAGGTGCATGCCGCCATGCCCAGCTAATTTTTGTATTTTTAGTGGAGACGGGGTTTCACCATGTTGGCCAGGACGGTCTTGATCTCTTGACCTCATGATCCACCTGCCTCGGCCTCCCAAAGTGCTGGGATTACAGGCATGAGCCTCCGCATTCAAATATATGTAAAAACGGAGAGAATTGTGATCCCTGAAAATTCATGTGTTGAAATCTTCACCCCCAGGACCTCAGAATGTGACTGTATTTGGAGAGAGGGTCTTTGAAGAGGTAATTGAGTTAAAATGATATCATCAAGGTAGCTTAATCCAATCTGACTGATGTTCTTGTAAGAAGAGATTCAGACACAGACAGGCACAGACGGATGGCCATGTACATACATGGCGGAAGACAGCCGTATGTGAGCCAAGGAGCGAGGCCTCCTGAGAAACCAGCCCTGCTGACACCATAATCTCGACTTCCAGTCGCCAGAACTGGAAGAAAATACATTTCTGTTGGTTAAGTCCCCTAGCCTGTGGTACTTTGTGATAGCATTCCTAGAAAACTAATACAGTGCCTGTGTGCTATTGTTCAGTGTCAGCAGTTCCAGTTTTTAAGCAATCTTCATGGACTGCTCCCGAAGTTCAGGGAGCATGGGGCCTATAGCAGAGAACTAGGCAGCACCTGCCCTTGTGAAACTGACACTCTACGGAAACTGGAAAAATTCATGAGGACAAGCTTCAGTTAACAACACTTTGAGGCTGGGTGTGGGAGCTTGAGCCTGTAATCCCAGCACTTCGGGAGGCCGAGGCAGGTGGATCACTTGAACCCAGGAATTTGAGAGCAGCCTGGGCAACATGGTGAAACGCCATCTCTACTAAAAATACAAACAATTAGCTGGGCCTGGTGGCAGTTGCCTGTGGTCCCAGCTACTTGGGAGGCTGAGGTGGGAGGATTGCTTGAGCCCAGGAGGCGGAGGTTACAGTGAGCTGAGATTGCACCACTGCACTTCAGTCAGCCCAGGTGACAGAGTGAGACCTTGTTTCAAAAAAAAAAAAAAAAAAAAGACACTTTGAGACTGGGCGAAGTGGCTCGTGCCTGTAATCCCAGCAGTTCAGGAAGCAGAGGCAGGAGTACTGCTTGAGGCCAGGAGTTCAAAACCAGCCTGAGCAACACAGCAAGACCCCTGTCTCCACAAAAAATATATTAAAATTAGCTGGGTGTGGTGGTGGATGCCTGTAGTCCCAGCTACTTAGAGGCTGAGGCAGGAGGATTGCCTGAGCCTGAGAGGTTGAGGCTGCAGTAAGCTATGATCATGCCACTGTATTCCAGTCTGGGTGATAAAGCAAGACCTTGTCTCAAAAAAAAAAAAAAGAGCACTTTGAATTCTCATAATCATAATCATATGACATCTGTCTACCTTAGAAACCCTCGCTGGTGGGTGGTCACACATAATGCTGGTGGTCTGCGGGGGGCAGATGGACTCTCACACCCTCCTAGGTTCCCCTTTAGGAACTGAGGCTTCAGGTATGGGAAGGGTTTGTGGAATAAATGGATGAAAATGGAATGAGAAGCTTTGCCCACGTCAGAGCCAACCTATCATGTGGACCAGGATTCAGACCACCCCTGGGAGAGGAACCAGGATGCACCCATCATTCTTTTTTTTTTTTTTTTTGAGACGGAGTGTCACACTGTCACCCAGGCTGGAGTGCAGTGGTGTGATCTCGGCTCGCCGCAACCTCCGCCTCCCAGGTTCAAATGATTCTCCTGCCTCAGCCTCCCGAGTAGCTGGGATTACAGGCGTGCACCACCATGCCTGGCTAATTTTGTATTTTTAGTAGAGACAGGGTTTCTCCATGTTGGTCAGGCTGGTCTCGAACTCCCGACCTCAGGTGATTCACCTGCCTCAGCCTCCCAGAGTGCTGGGATTACAGGCGTGAGCCACCGCACCTAGCCGACACCCATCATTCTTACACAGTGAAGACCCAGGGAGATGATGAGTCACACCGGGAAGTGATTCATTTGCTTACTGTTAAGTTCATCCAGGATTCCTTTAAATACCAAATCCCCATATACGCTTAAAAATACCTAGTTCACTCAGAAACAGTGTGCTGACTGACGGAAGCCAGACATGAAAGACTATGTGGTGCAATTCCATGTATAGGACGTTTCTAGAAAGGGCCTAATGACAGAGATGGAAAGCAGATGAGGGCCTGCTTGGGTCTGGGGCGTCAGTGGGGATTGGCTGCAGGCAGCCATGAGGAGCCTTCAGGGTGATGAGGGTTCTAAAAGTGCGTCGTGTGCCTGAGCCACTGCGACATTCACTAGAAGTCCTCCGTGCTGACGGAGGGTGAACTGTGTGGGGCCCAAGTTCTATCTCAGGAAAGCCAGGGAAGCCACTCAGTTCAGCTTTGTGAAAATCAAGGGAGTCTTCTTGGAGGAAGTGGACTCTGAGCTGGATGTGAATGACGGAGTGTCTTTGGTAAGGAGAGACAGCTGCAGGGGACTCCTGGTGGAGGAACAGGATCCCGGGGGAGCGGCCGGGCGGGTGACTGAGGCGCCAATGGAAGGAGAAGCCTGTCGCAGGTGAGGGCATTGAAGGGAACTGCAGGGACACCCAGCGCTTCTCAACTCTGACTGCAGATTTCCAGCTGCCATTTCTAAAGGACAGGTGCCTGGGCTCCACTCCTGGAGGTTTGGATTTAATCAGTCTCGGGTATAGATCCCGGACGTTAGTATTTTTAAGCATATTTTTAAATGAAGTGATACTCTAATTCTATCATTTTCTTTTTACTTCTCAGCTTGTTGCTTCTCTAAAGAGATACCTCCCTTTATCCATTTTGTGGTCACCCAGTGGGACAGTTGAGAGAGAAAAGGCCGGGTGGCATGTGATTCTTCTACTTCATTTACCAGTTTTGAAGATGATGAATTTGTTTCCCATGACCTTCCAAAGGTGGTTTTTTAAAATTTATTTTAATCTATCGTCGTGAACTCCTGGGGCGTGAACGTGTGTCATAGGTTTCAAACCACTGCAATCATTATCCTCATTGAGGTTCATTGTGGCTGGTGGTAGTGTCTTCATATTGGCCTCTGAGACCTTCTGACCTGATTCTAGTTATCTTTGATAATTTCCTTGTCTTTAAAAAATTATAATTGTATATATTTTTTAATAATAAAGATGGGTTTCGGCTGGGCGCGGTGGCTCACGCCTGTAATCCCAGCACTTTGGGATGCAGAGGTGGGCAGTTCACGAGGTCAGGAGATTGAGACCATCCTGGCCAACATGGTGAAACCCCATCTCTACTAAAAATACAAAATTAACTGGGCATGGTGGCGGGCGCCTGTAGTCCCAGCTACTCAGGAGGCTGAGGCAGGGGAATCGCTTGAACCCAGGAGGCGGAGGTTACAGTGAGCAGAGATCGCGCCACTGCACTCCAGCCTGGCGACAGTGAGACTCCGTCTCAAAAAATAATAATAATAGTAATAATAATAATAAAGACAGATTTTGCCATGTTGCCCAGGCTTGTCTCGAACTCCTGGGCTCAAGCCATCTGCCCACCTCTGCCTCCCAAAATGCTGGGATTACAGTGTGAGCCACCATGCCCAGCCTAACTTCCTTGCCTTTTAAGAGTAAAGCAGTTTTATTTCCCATTGCTCTTCCACTAGCTTTAAGTATGTGTTAATTTATTATTTTAGGTTGTCCTAGAGGTTATGATCTGCAGACTCATTAGATGCTAGTGATGCTGGTCTTCTTTAAATTGGTACTTTAACCGCTTCCTGGACAAGGCAGGGACTTTGCATACAGATATATCAGTATGGTGTGGAAGACAGCTACACTCACCATTATACCACCTGCACAGATATCAGTATGTTTTGAAAGTTGCCTGGAGACCTTGGTGGCAATCCAGGGCTGAAAACTCTGGGTGGGGCACTAGGTGGGTGGCAGGTGCACTGGGGACTGAATGGGATGCTGTGGCAGAGAGGACCAGACCTAAAGCCTTTAGTGAAGAAGGCCTGGTGTGAATTTTTTAGCTGGTTATCAGGTTCATATTTTAAAGAATATTTTTCTAATTACGTTTGTTTGTTTGGTCTGGCCTGATGTGGGACGTGGTATTTTCAGTGTATAGGTCTTCCTAGAGTTGGGAAGGAGGGATGCCCTTCTGTTGGAGATGTTTCTGTTAACTCAGGTGCTTTAGGAATGGAAAGGAAAGTCATGCAGCTCAGGCCCGGCAGGGGCATTGTTGAAGATCCTCAGCCAGTGAGGCGCCTTCCCTGTGCCCAGCACATTGCTGAGGACCTTGCCTGAAAGATGTCCTTTCATCCTCCCCACCCACCTGAAAGATGAGAAGTGGAGGACTGATGAGAACCTTCCAGATGGGTTCTCCAAGCCACACAGCTAACAGGTGCCAGAGTCGGAATTTGAACTCAGCTGTGACTTACTTCTGTTACCAGCAGAAGTGGGTGAGAAAGCCGGCCACAGTCCACTAAACACGGGCTATGACCAAGGTCTCTTTGACAACATAATCCAACAAATAGGCTTGTTTTAGAATATAAATCTCAAGGAATTTGGGGGGAGTTGATATACTCTTGTTTTTTACTTTTTATTTTGAAATATTTTTAGATTCACAGGAGGTTGCAAAGAAATATTCAAGAAGATCCTGAACACTCTTCACTTAGCCCCGCTTCAATGTTAACATTATGCATAACGATAGTACAATAGTCAAACCAGGAAACTGACAGTGATGTAGTCAACAGAAACTAGTCAGACTCCAGTAGTTATAATGTATGTATGTGTGTGTGTATGTGTGTGATTCTGTCCAATTGCATGTGCAACTTCATGTAACCACCACCACAATCAAGATATTTAATTGTATCATCAGCAAAGGACTGCCTCATGCTACCCCATTGTAGCCACATGCACAGTCCCTCTTCCATCATTCCTAACCTATGGCAACCACTGGAGGACATTTGGAGTTTCCAGTTTGGGGCTGTTATGAACCCAGATCTGCTATATGAACATTCACTTACAAGTTTCTATGTGAAAACAAGTTTTTATTCCTCTATGATCAATTATCTACAATTGCTGGATTGCATGGTAAATTCATTTTTACTTTTAAAGGAGTTGCCAAACTATTTTCCAGAGTGGCTGTACCATTTTATATTCCCATTAGCAATGTATGGATGATTCAGTTTCTCCACATCCTTGCCAGCATTTGGTGTTATCACTGTTTTTTATTTTAGCTATTCTCATAGGTGTGTAGTGATATCTAGTTGTGGTTTAGATTGCATTTTTCTGATGCCTAATAATGTTGGGGATCTTTTCATATGATTATTTGCCATCTGTGTATCTTCACGGGTGAAATATCTGTTCATCACTTTTGCTCATTTTTTTTTTTTTTTTGAGACGAAGTCTTGCTCTTGTCTTCCAGGCTGTAGTGCAGTGGCACGAACTTGGCTCACTGCAACCTCCGCCTCCTAGATTCAAGTGATTCTCCTGCCTCAGCCTCCCGAGTAGCTGGGATTACAGGCGCCTGCCACCACGCCTGGCTAATTTTTGTATTTTTAGTAGAGATGGGGTTTCACCATGTTGGCCAGGCTGGTCTTGAACTCCTGACCTCAGGTGATCAGCCCACCTCGGCCTCCGAAAGTGCTGGGATTACAGGCATGAGCCACCGCACCTGGCCCACTTTTGCTCATTTTCTAATTAGATTTTTTTTTTAATTGTTGAGTTTTAAGGGCTGTTTATATATTCTAGATACAAGTCCTTTGTTAGGTACGTGATTTGCAAATAATTTCTCCCAGAGTATAATTTTTTTTTCTGTTATCTTAACTTGACCCTTGACAGAATGAAAGTTTTTAATTTTGAGGAGGTCAAAGTTTTATCAAATTTTTTCCTTTTATGGATATTGTGTTTGGTGTATGTCTAGGAACTCTTTGCCTAATCATTAAGGTCCCAAAGCTCTTTCCTTTGATTTTTTTTTTCTACATGTCTTATAGTTTTATATTTAAGTCCTTGATTCATTTTGCGTTAGTTTTTGTATAAGGTATGAAATTTATGTCAAATTTCTTTTTTCTTTTTTTGCCTATAGATGTGCAAATACTCCAGCGCCATTAATTGAAAAGGCTGTCCCTCCTTCATGGAATTACTTTTGCTCCTTGTGACAAATCAGTTGGGCATATTTGTAGGGATCATTTTTCCTGGGCTCTCTACTCCATTCCATTTGATCTCTGTGTCTCTCCCTTTGCCTATATCACACTGTCTTGATTACTATATCTCTGTAGGAAGCCTTAATATCAGGCAGGGTGATTTCCCCAATTTTATTCTCCTTTTTCAAAGTTATTTGGCTATTCTCAGGCTTTTCTCTTTCTAATAAATTTTAGAATAAGTTTGTTTGCATCTACAAAATACCTTACAAAGTTTGACAGGACTTTTGTTAAGCCTGTCAGTCAATTTAGGCAGAATCGACCTTTTAACTATGTTGAGCGTTCCAGTCCATGAGTATGTCTCTTCAGTATTTAGGTCTTTGATTTCCTTCCTTGTCATTTTGTAATTTTTATTTTATATAGATCCTGTACATATTTTGTTAGATATATTCATAAGTATCTTCTTGTTATCTTTAGAGCAACTTTAAATGGTGTTGCATTTAACAGTCTTGATTTCCACTTCTTTGTTATTAGTGTATAGACATGCAATCAGTTTTTGAATGTTGATCTTGTACCCTGAAACCTTACTGAACTATATGTTTTCCTCTCAGCACTGTCTGAGCTGCATCCTACCAACTTGGTATGTCGTGTTGTCATTTTAGTGCAGTTCTATATAGTTTAAAATTTCCCTTGAGATTTCCCCTTTGACCTATGGATTAGTTAGAAGTGTGTTGGTTAATTTCCAAGTATTTGGAGATTTTCCTGTAGTTTTTTTGTCATTGATTTCTAGTTGGAGTCCATTTTGGTCAACATATTCTGCATGATTTTAATTTTTTTGAATTTATTAAGGCTTTTTTTTGTGACCCAGGATATGGTCTATCTGAGTGTATGTTCCATGGACAATTGAAAAGAATGTGTATTCTGCAGTTTTTGGGTTGAATTTTCTATAAATGTCAATTTGATCTTTTTGTTGGATGGTGTTGCACACTTCTGTATCTTTGCTGATCTTCTGTCCAGTAGTTGTGTCAGTTGCTCAGAGTGGGTACTGACATCCCCAAATATTATTGTGAATTTGTCGATTTTTCTCTTGGCAAGATTTGTTTTTGCTGTATGTGTTTTGTGGTCTGGGGGGTACGCATTTAGAATTTCTGTATGTTCTTGGTAGGTTGGGCATTTTATTATTATGTAATATTATTCCTTGTCTTTATTTAGTTTCTTTACTCTGAAGTCTGCCTGGATATTAATATAGCCACTTTTGCTTTCTCATGATTAGTGTTGGCATGACATGTCTTTTCCCATCCTTTACTTTCAGTCTACCCATGTTGTTATGTTTGAAATGAGTTTCTTGTAGGTAGCTTGTAGGTTATTTTTTAAATCCATTCTGCCAATGTCTGTTATTTGATGTAGTTAGACCATTTATATTTAAAATGATTATTGACTTGCTAGGGTTTAAGTCTGCATTTTATGATTTTTTTCCTTCTCTTTCTCATTCCTCTGTTTCTTTTTCCTTGCCTTCCTATGGTGACAAACATTTTTTAGAGTCCCACATTTCCTTATTTATACTGTGTTTGAATGTACGGCTTTGGATAGTGTTCTTTATGATTGCTGTAAATATTATGTCAGCCTACTGGTGTCAGAGTTTTACCACTTTGGACCCTTTACCCTCACTACTTTTTAAATATAATTGTCTTAAGTATTTCCTCCGTATCCACTGAGTACCTTATCGTATGACATAATAACTTTTGCTTCAACTTAAAGTATGATTAAAGAACCTCATGAGGTGAAGGACAGTCTAGTCTTCTTCTGTTAGTCTCTTTTTCTGTTTGAAGACATTTCTTTAGCCCTTCTTTAAAGGTTGGTCTGCTAGTAATAAATTCTTTAGCTTCTCTTCTCCTGAGAATATCTTCATTTCTCCTTCATTTCTTTTTTTTGATAGCAAATTTATTGAGTCATAATTCACATACCATGTAACTCATACCTTTAAACTGTACAATTCAGTGGTTTTTAGTGTATTCACAGAGTTTTGAATCATAACCACAATCTAATGTAATAAAATTGTAAGTCTGGCTTTTTGCATGTGATAGAGGGGAGAAGGAAAAGCAGTCTATATCATCTTGCTCTGGAACTAGAAGTTGATAGTCTTTTCAAGTGTTTTATAAATTTCAGGTTCCTCTCTCCATCCCTTTATTTTTATTTATTTATTTATTTTGAGATGGAGTCTCGCTCTGTCACCTAGGCTGGAGTGCAGTGGCACGATCTTGGCCCACTGCAAGCTCCGCCTCCCGGGTTCACACCATTCTCCTGCCTCAGCCTCCCAAGTAGCTGGGACTACAGACACCTGCCACCACGCCCGGCTAATTTTTTGTATTTTTAGTAGAGATGGGGTTTCACCGTGTTAGCCAGGATGGTCTCGATCTCCTAACCTCATGATCCACCCGCCTCGGCCTCCCAAAGTGCTAGGATTATAGGTGTGAGCCTCCGCGCCCGGCCCCTTTCTTTATTTTTAAAATGTATTTTAATTTTTAGTTCTTAATTGTGGCAAGAGATACATACAAATGTATCATCTTAAGCATTGTTTAGGTGTACAGGTCAGTGACGTTAAGGACATTGACATTGTTGTCCAGCTATCACCACCACTCATCTCCAGAATGATTTCATCTTCCCAAAATTTAACCTCTGCACTCATTAAGCAGTAATTGTCCATTCCCCTCTTTTCACACCCCCTGGCAACCACCATTCTACTTTCTGGCTGTGAATTTGACTCTTCCAGGTACCTCACGTAAGTGGAATCCTACAATATTTTTGTGCGTGACTGACTTCTTTCCCTTAGCATAGTGTTCTCGCAACGTTGTAGTAAGTGTCAGAATTCCCTTGCCTGTGAAGGCTGAATAATACTCCACCGTATGTGTAGACCACATTTTGTTTATCCATTCATCCATGATGGACACTTGGGTTGTTTCCACGTTTTGGGGACTGTGAATAATGTTGCTATGAGCATGAGTGTGCAAATAATCTCTTGGAGATAGACCCTGCTTTTCATTCTTTTGGGTGTATACTCAGAAGTGGGATTGCTGAATGATGTGGTAATTTATGTTTTTAATTTTGGGGGGAACTGCTATACTATCTGTCCCTGTCTTTTCCTTACAAACACGTGTGGAAGACTTTGAGGCATTTGACCTGTGGAACATCTCCCTTCTTATTTTGGATGGGTGCACTCCTGGTGAAGTTCAGCGTGTCCCTTTGTCCTCTCTCTCCTGCACATTGGCAGCTGGATCCAGTACCTTTGCTGGACTTGGTTCCGTCTCTTTCGCAGGATTAGAGGAAGTGCTCTATGTCTGTTCACCCATCTTTTTGTGAGCAGGCAGCTGTTGATGCTCAATGCCCCTGTTTTGGGTAAAATTGTGTCTCCCCAAAATTCATTTGTTGAAGTCTTAAGCTCCAGCATCTCAGAACCTGCCCTTATTTGGAGAAATGGTCTTTACAGAGCTTATCAAAGCAAAATGAGGTCATTAGGGCAGGCCCTAATCCAGCATGCCCAGCGTACTTCCAAGAAGAGGAAATGCGGAAGCAGACACGTGCAGAGGGAGGATGGGAAGATGTGGTGACTCCATATAAACATAAACACGGCTGTCTCTTGCCCTTCATTCTTGAACGCTTTGCTGGACAGGAAATCCTTGAGTGTCTTAAATAGGCTACTCTTTTTTTTTCTGGAGGTAATCATGGTTGTCAAAAAGTCTTAAGGGTCAGCCACAGTGGCTCACCCCTGTAATGCCAGCACTCTCGGAAGTCAAGGCAGGAGGATCATCGGAGCTCAGGAGTTAGAGATCAGTCTGCGCAACATAGGGAGACCCTGTCTACAAAAACCTTACCTTTCATTTCTTTTTCTTTCTTTCTTTCTTTCTTTCTTTCTTTCTTTCTTTCTTTCTTTCTTTTTTTTATTTTTTATTTTTGAGACAGTCTCTCTCTGCCGGCCAGGCTGGATCCAGTGGCACAATCTCGGCTCACTGCAACCTCCGTCTCGCGGGCTCAAGCGATTCTCCTGCCTCAGCCTCACAAGTAGCTGGGATTACATGCATGCACCACCAAGCCTGGCTAATTTTTGTGTTTTTAGTAGAGATGGGGTTTCACCTATAGGCCAGGCTGGTCTCGAACTCCTGACCTCAGGTAATCTGCCCACCTTGGCCTCCCAAAGTGCTGGGATTACAGGTGTGAGCCACTGCACCGGGCCTTAACCTTTCATTTCAAATAAAAAGGAGATAACCTGGAATTCTGTGTGGGCTCTCAGTGTAAAGATAGAAGGACACACAGAGTGTTTTGAAACATGCCCCTCCCTGATCAGCAGGTGTCCTGCTGTGTCACATGTGACTGTCAGTTCCCGACCCCTCGGCCGAGCAGAAAGGGCTTTGGCAAGGTGTCCGGAGTTGGAGGTGGCCTCTGGGAGGTTTGCTGCCCGAGGGTCCTGTTGCCGCCAGGACTGGTGAGGAGACTGAGGATTGAAGGGGCCAAAAGCTGACAAAATTCTGTGCGGGGGCTGAGTGGCAGATTCGGGTCTGAATCATTTCCTGGTTCCTGGAATATTCCCACTTAGGTGCCGAAGCCAGAATTGGAGGGAGCGTGGCGCCTACTCATGGAGCCTGCCAAGGCACTGCCAGCTGCTCACAGGCCAGGCCGGGCGGGCAGAGCCTCCTCGCTGCCTGCTGGCTTTGAAATTCATGTTTGAGACACACATTCCAGCCTTCACTGCTTGTTCAAGGTGATACATGATTTTCAGACTGGACAGCTTGGCCTCTTGTCTGTTCTTGTGTTTTCCTTTATGTACCAGGATAATGTTAAACCCTTCCCATGATGCTGCAAAAACCAAATAGTGCAGCACACACCCCACAGCCCGAAACAACTGCAGGTGCGTGTGCCAGTGGTTCTGAAAGGAATACAGAGACGTGTGGTTTCCGAATCCGCTGATTGTTTTATTATATACTGTTACAGATCATGTTATTCTAAATTACAAAATAAAACTTATGTTAATATACATTTATACAACGTATATATTATACATTATATAGCATGTAGTGATGTATGATGTAATGTATGATATGTACTATATAATAATTTATAATATATTATAATTATTATAATAAAAATGACTGGCCAGGCACCGTGGTTCATGCTTGTCATCTCAGCCCTTTGGGAGGCCGAGGCAGGAGGGTTGCTTGAGGTCAGGAGTCTGAGACCAGCCTGGGGCCACATAGTGAGACCCTGTCTTTCTAAAAAAAAAAAAAAAAATAGTAATTTGTTATTATTCTTCCTATTACTATTTTTAAGGGACAATTTTGGAAACATACTTTACTTTTTCTAGTGTAGCAAAGAATTTACATTTTGTCACCTGAAAGCGTCCTGGAAAATCCATCCTAGTGTCTTGTAATTCTAACAGTCACCAGGAAGGCTACTTTGAGAAAATTTCATATGGTATGAGGGAAAACAAGAACATTCTCATTTTTTTTTGTCTTGCTGAATTAAAAAAAAAAAATAAAAGCAACAACAAGAAAAAACAAAGCCCAGGGCTGGGGTTAAGTAGGTGAAGGAGGAAAGGGAGTCCCCACCTGCCAGTCTCAGTGCCGCTCTTTGCCATGCACACACCCGTATGTGTGCCCATGTGTGTGCACACAGACACCACCGGGTCCCCTTGGAGTTACCAGGCAAATGCATGTCATCAGCTGTTGTGCCTTGATGTCTCCTAAGCTACATAGAATCCCCTCAGACCACGCCTGACACCCAGGACACCAGGGCAGTAATCCGCACGCCCATTTCACTCTCACCATGTAAATTGCGTTTTCTATTTTCATTTCATTTTATGTCACTTTTCTTCAACAAGTAATTATTCTAGGGCTTTATAAGAACGCTGTGCTTTCTTAGTCTATTTATAATGAGTAAGAAGTTGTTTTTATTCTATTTCTTTTCTGTCTGTGCTTGCCATTTTTTTTAATCACGATTGGATAAGGGGGGATCCCTGCAAGATAACAGCGCCCACCAAATTAGAATCTCCCTGAAAAACATACAGTTAATCAGGAGGAAAATATAGTTGCCCATAGTCCATGATTATAGCACAACTAGGGGACAATTAATGTAGCAAACCTCTGTTTCCACCCAAGACCAGGATACAGGGTTTCAGGGCCAGGCCAGAGCCCCGAGCCATCAGGACCGGGCACAGGAGAGTGCAGCAGCGGCCTGGTCCCACCCTCACTCGGGAGATAATAAGAGACATCTGAAATGTCACTCAGGAATAAAAGAGAGGGTCTTGGAAAGTGCATGGGATGGGAGAGTCTGCTCCTGGGAGATGTTTCCTGGAGGTTTGGTGTGAAAGGGAAGAGAAGAATTAGCTGAAAATAAGGAACTTAGTAAAACAACAAATCATCCACAAAGAAGAGCTCCTCTCAGGGGAGGAGGAGGTGGAAGAAGAGGAAAATCTCTCTCCTTAATTAAAAAAACTGTACTTTAGAGAAGTAAGAGAAGAGTGCATGGCTGAACCATGTTCCTGAGCAAGCCACACAGACCTCTCCCTCCCTACTGACTCTACTCATCAGCTTTTGGGGAGTCTAAGTAAATTAATATAAACCCAAGCACACCTAGCGTCCATACAATATTACTGTAAGAAAAAGAAATAGAAAATGTGTAGCAAAATGCTGGACATGAAAACAGCCAAGAAGCACAAATGAAATGTAAGTAATAGGCAATTGCAAATGTGAAAAAACACCATGAGCCAGCTCTTCATAAAATAAGACTGGAAATGGATAAACAACGGGAGATATGAAATGAGAGCTAATTAAGGAAAGCAAATGAAGAAAAGTCTAAGATAATCTCTGAAATTAATAGTAAATGATAAGGTTCCCCAAAGGGATAGTAGTTACAGCTGAAAGCACAGTAGGGATAGAAATGAAAGAAATAGAAAAGATCAAAACCAAAGTGTCTGTTGGAAAGACATCCAATTTACCTGTAATTGGTGACCCTGAAGAACTAAAACAAGGCAATGGAACAGAACTAAAAATTTAAAACTGCAAGTCAAGAAAACTTTCCTAAAATAAAATTAAGACCCAAATCTACATGGAAATATAGTCCACTGCCATTCCGGGAATGGTTGACTCAAGATTTATGCTCTAGGAAGACTAAATTCTAAAGATAAAGAGAATATCAGCAGGGCCTCCAGGCAAAAGGACCAAGTTATTTACAAAGGAAATTTACAGAGTTGTTTACAAAGTTACAAGTTATATGCAAAGTCTGGTGTCAGACTTATAACAACAACAAAGAAAGCAAGACAGCAATGCACAATACTTTTAAGAAACTCAAGGAAAGAAAACGTGAGTGAAGGATTTTATGCCCAGCCAATGGTTCTTTAAGTGATTCAGAAACAAAAATATTGTGCCCACCAGGCACACTTAAAGAATCAGCTGGCATTAGTGATATGTCAGAGGCTGGACGGCAGAAATGGTCTGCCCTGGTTGCAGGCAATGAGGAGTTTCATCATCTGTCGATAATTTAAAAACAATAATAAAACTGACTGAAAGTCCGTCTGCTTTTTATGTCACTGTGATCCAACACTTTTAAACAATGTCAGCCAAAAAATACTCCTCCTGAAAAAACCTATTGTTGGTCTAATTTCTAAGCAATTTTTCCTATTACAATTGCATTTTAATGCTATGTGTAAACCTCAAATTAGCATATTTGCATTACTTATGCTTTAATAAACATTATATTCTACATGGCATTTAATTTGGAGAACTCCCAAGTATACGATCAGCCCCTGACATCTGCAGACTGAGGCACATGTGTTTATTTTGAGAGGAAGTTTGTAGCAATCCAGAATCATGCAAACTCCATTGAGGTCCGGACTCCTGTGACCCTGTGTATTCCTCTGTTTGGATAGCAGATTAGGAATAACCAGTGATATCACAATAGGTAAAGACAAAGAAACAGAACTTGGATTTCTTCAATTCTGTCATTCTATGTGAACACTAGAGGTTTTTATTGGTGTGTAAAATTTGAAGAGTAAGAGCACAGATGATGAGATTGGATATTTTTGTTTGATTGGTGCAACTTGTAGTTGACACATGAAATATTTTACTGAATATGAGCTGTACCATTAGGACTGAAATTCATCTTTTAAAATTGTCCATGGTTTTTAAAATTACAGATCCAGTTAAGGAAATAGTGATTATTACTGGTTATTATGTGATAATTACTGAAAACACTGTTGTCACATAGAGGATGAAGGTGTTAAAAATTAGCCACATTATGTATGCCACATAGCAGGGGACAGGCTTCATCCAATGAAAAGATGATGTGGGAAACTTTGGCGAAGGCACTGATAGTATTTTTACACTTAAACAAGTATTTTAAAATGTTTAAAAAAAATTGTATATGTATGACCGAAAGAAAGGTAGGGATAAGTATGGAGGAATGGCTATAAATGTTATATATTCTGACAAAATAGAAATAATGAATAAAAATAATAGTTGGAGTAGGAAGAGCAAAAGAGGAACAGAGAATCAGCTCATTGATTGCCCTGCAGGTAGGAAAGTGGTAACATTGTTTGGTATACAAGAATGACCACTGAAACAAAAATATAGACCTTAAATACCCAAAGAAATGCAAAAACAAAACAAAACAACTTTTAAAGAAGCAAACAAACCATATAGTGAAATACACACGGTCAATATAACACTAAAGAATAGAACTGAGACCAAACCTAGCAGCCGCATCAGTAAATTAGAGTGGATTTAACCCATTTATTAAAAGGCAAGACTGATTTTCAGATTGGTTCACATAGTGGCACCCAACTCTATGCTGTATAAAGAAGTCATATCCAAAACACAGTGATCCAGGAAGGCTGAAAATGACAGGAGGGTGTATAGCAATGAAGAGAGAAAAAGAGCTTGGGAGTTTTAATCCTGACTGCAGCCAAGCTAGTATCAGGCCAAAAGCATTAATGGAAACAAAGAGGGCCGCTGTCAATGCTAAAGGCTGCAATTTGCAGAGAAGATACACTAGGTGTGGTTATGTCTGCTTCACATAACATCACCAGAACCTCTACGATGCGGAAACCACAGGGGCGGTGGGGAGACATGAGGGACACGCAGTTCCAGGACATTGTGACTGCCTTGCTCAGCCTGAGACATGTGAAGGGGACCAAAACATACGCCTCCAAATGTACCAGACTTTGTGCTGTGATAATAGGGAATACAACTTTGTTTCGAGACTACTTGGAACACTTAGGAAAGTTGACATATATTAGCTTACAAAGACAACCTCAATGAGTTCCGTAACAGAAATAATACAAACAACATTCTGTGCTCACAATGCAATAAAACTAAAAATTAATCATAAGATTAAAAACCAAAAAGGCCCTTCAATTTGAAGAGTTACAAGATTAAACTCTATTAAATAAGTTTTTAGGTGAAAGGAAATACACAAACCAAGTGCATAATTTTTGAATTTGACGATAATTAAAATATATCACTCTGTGGAATACACATAAAGCTGTGGTTATAACCTCAGAAATGAAACCAAACGAATTAATGGATTTATCATCTAACTAAAAATGATAGATAAAAATAGCCAAATAAACTTAGAGTAGAATGACAAAAAATAAGAGTAAGATTGGAAATTCATGAGTTTTAGGAATGAGAAAAAAATGAAACTGATAAATACACAAAATACTACATCCTAGAAAAAGAATCAAGTGGACAAACCTCTGTCTAAGCTAATCATGAAGGGGAGAGAGAGAGACCCCAAACAACACAGAATAAGAAATGACATTAACAGAACAGAGCATATTTAAAAAAATCATTAAAAGCTTACTTTGTATAGTGCTTTGCAAGTAAGTGTGAAGACCTGGATAGAAAGGGAACTTCTTTAGGAAAATATAATTTATTCAGATTGACCCCAGTAGACACAGAAAGTTTTAAAAAAAAATTCCTACTGGAAAAAAATTCAAATCTATATTTTCACAGGAGAATTCTATCAAATCTTCAAAGAACAGATATCTCAATGCTACTTAAATTATTCTAGAACATAGAAAAAGAAACCTTAAGATTATTCAATGAGAAAACCACACACCAATCTCACTTAGGAATATTGATGTAAAATGCCTAAGTAAAACAGTATTAGAGAGAACCCTTTAAAAATGGTTTTGAGACAACTGGATAGCCATTTGGAAAAAGATAAAATTTTGTCGATATCTTTCATCATCTACAAGCATACATTTCAAATGTCTCTAAATAGGTAGTTACCAGAAAAACTACCACAAGAAAACATGGGTAAATTTTAAAATAACCTGTGGGTAGGGAAAATTATGATTCAAAATCCAAAAGCAATGTAAAAAAGATTGAGAAATTTGGTTGCATTAGGAAAAAAACAAAACAAAACTGCTTTCGCATGATGGGGGAGGGACACCATAAGCAAAGTGAAAAAGCCAGGTAATAAACCAGTAGAAAATATTTGCATCTTATATCACAAAGCTAATTCCTTCAAAATATAGATTATAACAAGATACCATTTCTCATGGGCCATATTGGCAGAGAGGAAAAAACTCAAAACAAAACAATACAAGTTTGATGGCGCCCTCTATTGGCGAGGCTGTGGAGCAGCCATTCAGATTGCTCCACCCCTGGAGGAAACAGGATGCCTTGGGACTTGGTGCACCTGCATAGACCCTGACTCAGCCATGCCTCCTTCCTGAATTTACCTGGAAGACAATACTCCAAATCCAAACATGCTCATGGCATATGGAGATCTTAAATTAATAGGTCCTCTTTTATGTCTTTCAATAAAGTAACAGATATGTTTCTATAGAGGTCTTCCATTTTTACATTAAATTGATTCCCAGGTATGAAATTTTGGCTACTGTCCCAGTGGCAGCCCTCTGGAAATGACCTTTGTTGAGTTTGTGTTTTGACCTGGTATCCAGCAACCTTGCTTAACAGTCTGAAGAGCAGCTTGGGGCTTTTCTCTATGGACAGTATGTCTCCTGCATGTAATGACAGTTGGCTTTCATTCATCCATTGCAATCTTCATCCTTTAATTTCTTTTTGTTTTCTTACTTCTGTGGTTGGGAGTGACAGAACAGTGTTAAGCAGAAGCAGTTATACTGCAAATTCTTGTCTTATTCCTTCTTGTAGGGCCATCTCTAATGGTCCACCATGAGGTGTGGAGTTTGCTGTGGACTTGTGGTAGATCCTCACTTTGTTAAGGAAGTCTCCTTCTGGTCCTAATTTGCTAGGAGTTTTTTCTCCCTTTAATTGTGAATGCATGTTGAACTTTATGAAATGGTTTTTGGGCATCAATTGAGATGATCTGTTAATGTGATGAATTATGTGATTGCGACAATAGCTTTTCTAATATTACACCAAGTTGACATGCCTGGGATAAACCTGTATTTCATCATGATATGTCTCTTAAAAATTGCTGGGTTCACTTGGCTAATACTTTATTTAGGATGTTTTTTCACCTGTTTATAAATGAGTTTGGCCTATAATTTACCTTTCTTATTCTGCCTTTCATTGGTTTTAGTGTGGAGATTATATTAGACCCATAACATTCAGCATCTCATCCTTTTCTCTTTTGGAGAGCAATTAATATAAGACTGAGGTGATATGTTCCTCAATGGTATTGTTAAAACTTACCTGTGACACCTTCTGGTTCCAGTGCATTACTAGTGGCCAGATTTCAAGTGACTAATTAAATTTCCTTAACATTTAAAGTCTATTCACAATGAGGAAATAAACCTTACCTCATCAGTTGGCTTCCTTCAACACTACCATTTTTCTTCTTTCTTGTGAGTATGTGAGCCTTAGTTCAGGCTGCTATAACAAAAATATCATAGATTAGTTTAGAGAACACACATTCATTCCTCACAGTTCTGAAGGCTGGGAAGTCTAACGTCAAGGGGCTGGTGATTCCTGGTGAGGGCCCTCTGCTTGGTTTGCAGATGGCTGCCTTCTTCCTGTGCTCTCACATCGGGGAGAGAGAGAGCATCTCTCTCGTGACTTTTCTTCTCATTCCCATTCATGAGGGCCTAATTTCTTCCCAAAGGCCCCACATTATAATAGCATCACATTAAGGATTAGGCTTCAACCTCTGAATTTGGGAGGAGCACATTCAGCCCTTAGCAGAACCCCACCCCCAAGATTTTCCTAAGTGAATGAATAGTCATCCCCCAGCCTTGTTCCTGGCCTCTAACAGCATTTTAGAAGGAGGTTTCTCATGACTGGGGTTGGCTGAGATGGGAATTTCCTGATTCCATTGGCTGTGATTCAGCCCCATGCCATCCTGCCAGTAAGATGAACACATGAGTCATGCTCAGCTGCTAGGGTGCCTGGTGCTGCTTCCAGTTCCTCTGGGTGACCTCTGTCCAGCACATAAACCTCCTGAAGCATTCCGAATTTGCGGAAAGTGAGCCACCCTCCCAATGTGTACATGTCTGGGCCTACCTTCCTGCTCTCGTATGTGACAGGCACACAGCCTTTCCAGAAGGTACCTCATTGCCTAGTACAGAAATGCTGAGGTTCTCACAGGAGTGAGAACCCTACTGACTGGCTGTTGTGTCTCTCCCATACAGTCGGGTGTGGAGCAGTTGGACCCACATACCTATCTGCGCCCATCCTCAGTTGAAAGGTAGTGAACAGCTTGGGCTGTGGACTCAGGCAGGCCTCGGTTCAAATCCCAGCTCTGCCACTCAGGGGCTGTGTGTGCAGATAGGCTGCATCTATTGTCCAAAGCCAAACATGGGGAAAACCAAACAATCTCTCAAAGGGGTGTGGTGAGGGCTTAGGCAAAAGACTGGTGTACCGTGGCTCGGATGGATTAGTTTCCATTCTCCCTCTCTCTGTTTCCAGCTTTCCTCTCACTACAAGATGAGGGCCCTGTCCCTCTTGGGCGTTTGCCAAAGGAAGGTCTGGACACCCAGCAGCTCATTCATGTCGCTTCCCAGTTTGCTGTTACCATGTTGCAGTGCAGAAGCCATAAGCCGCATGATCCGTGAGCCTGGCCCTGCAACTTGGCTCCTCCACACAGCAGCGTTTGCCTTCATTGTCACAGATGACTATGAGAAGATGCCCTTGGTCATCTTTGGTCTGGGCTCTGGAGTTCTGTAGAGCTTTGAGCCGCCAGAGCTAAGGGGGTGAGGCTTGCCCCAGGCCGGTGGCACACCCAGGACTGGGCCTGGATGACTTTAATGGTAGGACAGAAGGAAGAGAAAGGAGCTCCCCAGAGTCCAGCTGCTGGGCTGTGCAGCCCATTTGCAGTGTACTTCCAGGAGCCTTGATGGTGAATGCTGTAAAAGGGGGAATCTTTCTTCCCCACCTTTCTTTAAATCATAGAGCTATTGTGATGGCTTCTGAGCTGCAATAGAATCACCCATGAGGATTTTTGTTTGTTGTCTTGGCATGAAGTTCCTGTCCCTTCACAGTAATCCGGCAGGTGCCTCCCAGGGCATGGAGTCATTGTGTCACATTCTTCTCCAGGACTGCAGGAGGGTGGGCACAGAGTTCCACAACTTGAAATGCAGCAGACAGTTGAAAGGATTCTGCTCACACCAGGAGTTGGATTGTATTTTTCCAAATGCATTAAGTATTTTAAGCAGCTTGAGCTGCTTAATGGGCCTGAAAGCATTTGATTAGTCCAAAGGGCTCTATGCCCGGCAGGTCAGGGGACAAGAAGTTCTTAAAATCCTATGGGTCTGACCCCTTCTGCTCTCTCTGGCTATCTGGCTACAACGGGTCCCCAGGGTTGCAGCAATAGCTGTGACCTGCTTATCTTCCCAGAAGTGCTGGAGGCAAGCTGATCCCTGAGCACTGTGCCTGGAGCACTGCAGGTGCCCTGCAGCCATCTCCATCCACACCCCCTGCCTGGCCTGCCCCGATTCCAGGCTGGGCCTCGGGCTCCCCTCCCTTCTTCGTCCCCCTCCTCATCTATCTGTGGCTCTTTCTCTCGGGCCCTACCACCAAGCCCTCTCCTTGCCATTCTCTTCTGTCCCTCAAGCCGTATTCCTCAGCATCACATGGTCCTCCCGGGTCCCGGTCCACTCCTGTCATGTGAGAACAAATGGTGTCTGCTGGAATTTGCTTCGGGCCTCTGTTGTGTTTTGAGCCAATGTGTGTGGTCCTCCTAACGTCATTTGATTCATCCGGCAAAAGGCTCTGCTGCCTGCCTGTCTGGGGCAGAGCTTCTAAGACCCTGTCAGTTTTGGACAATGAGGCTTCCCTGGGGGTGCAGAGTGGTGAAGCTGTTTGGAATCCTTCTCTTGAGGTGGAGTCCAGAGTTTCTTCCTGTCAGTTCCTCCCCATTTGTGTCAGCAGGGTGCTATGTCCAGCGCAGGTCCTCCCCTGGCCCCTTTCTGGCCTTGCAGAGTGCCCCCGGCCCCGTGTGAGCAGATGGCCTTCTGGGCGGAGCGTGCAGTCTCTTGGCAGGGCAGCCAAGTTGGGGGTGAGATGGACCTAGGGCTCTCTGACCCCGTAGGTTTGGCCTAGGCTGAGACTCTGAGCAGGTCACTTACCTCTGGGTCCTCATGCTCAGGTTCAAAATGAGACAGACAGTGGAGTTAAGAGATGATTTTTCTGATCCTTCTTTGGGTCTTTGCATCAGTTATTTTAAAAAAAGAGAAAAGCAAGCCAACACAACCATCCTCGGCTGATTGGTGGAGCAGGGCTTACTTATGTGGCTAGTTAAAAGAAAATTTATTTTTGAAAGCTGCATGGAGATTTTCCGTAAGCACAGTAATGTGAGCCGGGGTCAAAGCTGTCTTTCAGAGACAGGGAAGTGCAGAGATGTTCAATGTAAATTGTGCCTTTTAGCTAAACACTTGGTAGATTCAGCACTGGCCGTGTAGGTTTGTCCTGCTTGTTTTGGGGGAACCAGAAAAGATCTGATTGAATTTAATCTGATTTCTGCTAGAGTTTGGTCATGTAAGATTTGAAAAAGTGAACCTTCCTGAGCCAGAGCAATCAGGCAACAAAGAAATAAAAGGCATCCAAATAAGAAAAGAAGCCAAACTGTCTGTCTTCACTGATGTTATGATTCTATACATAGAAAACCCTAAAGACTTTGCCAAAAGGCTCCTGTAACTGATAAACAACTTCAATAAAGTTTCAAGATACAACATCAATGTAGAAAAGTCAGTAGCATTTCTCTACACCAATAATGTTCAAGCTGAGAGCCAAATCAGGAACACAATCCCATTTACAATCGCCACACACAAAAATACTTAGGACTACAGCGAACCAAGGAGGTGAAAGAAATCAGAGATGACACAAACAAATGGAAAAACATTCTATCCTCATGGATTGAAAGAATCAATATTGTTAAAATGACCATACTGCCCAAAGCAATTGACAGATTCAGTGCTCTTCCTATCAAACTGCCAAGGCCATTTTTCACAGAGCTAGAAAAAACTATTCCAAAATTAATATGGAACCAAAACAGAGCCAGATAGCCAAAGCAATCTGAGCAAAAAGAAAAGCCAGAGGCACCAATTACCAAACTTCAAACTATACTACGAGGCTGCAGTAACCAAAACAGCATGGGACTGATACAGAAGCAGACACACAGAGCAGTGGAACCGAGTAGAGAACCCAGAAATAAAGCCACACACCTACAACCATCTGCCCTTTGACAAAGCTGCCAAAAATAAGCCATGGGGAGAGGACTCCCTATTCAGTAAATGGTGCTGGGATAGCTGGCTAGCCTTATGCAGAAGAATGAAACTGGATCCCTACCTTTTACCATGTAAAAAATCAACTCAGTTGGATTAAAGATTCAACCTATGAGAATCCTAGAAGAAAACCTAGAGAAACATCATTCTGGATATTGGCCTTGGGAAAGAATTTATGACTAAGTCCTCAAAAGCAATTGCAACAAAAACAAAAATCAACAAGTGGAACCTAATTAACTAAAGAGCTTCTGCACAGCAAAAGAGTAAACAGACAACCTACAGAATGGGAGAAAATACAAACTATGCATCCAACAAAAGTCTAATATCACAACTCTACAAGGAGCTTAAACAATTGAACAAGCAAGAACCAAATAACCTCGTTAAAAATTGGGCAAAGGACATGAACAGACACTTCTCAAAAGAAAACAGGTAAGAAGCCAACAAGCATATGAAAAAATGCTCAACATCACTAATCATCAGAAGAATGCAAATCAGTACCACAGTGAGATACCATCTCACATCAGTCAGAATGGCTATTTTTCAAAAGCAAAAAAAATAACAGTTGCTGGCAAGGCTCTGAGGAAAAGGGAACTCTTACACACTATTGGTAGGAATGTAAATTATTCAGCCACCTTGGAAAGCAGTTTGGAGATTTCTCAAAGGACTTAAAACAGAACTACATTTGACCCAGCAATCCCATTCCTCAGTATATTTCCAAAAGAAAATAAATCACTCTACCAAAAAGACACATGCACTTGTATGTTCATCACTGTGGTATTCACAAGGGCAAAGACACATAATCAGTCTAGGTGCCCATCAGCAGTGGACTAGATAAAGAAATTATGGTACATATACACCATGGAATACTATGGAGCCATAAAAAAGAACAAAGTCATGTCCTTTACAGCAACATAGATGCAGCTGGAGGCCATTATCCTAAGCAAATTAACACAGAAACAGAAAACCGAATACCACATGTTCTCACTTATAAGTGGGAGTCAAACATTAGGTACTCATAAAGATGGCAACAGTAGACACCAAGGACTACTAGAGGGCAGAGGGTGACAGCGGGGCAAGGGTTGAAAACTAACTGTTGGGTACTGTGCTTGTTACCTGGATGACGGGATTAATCATACCCCAAAGCTTAGCATCACACAATATACCCAGGTAACAAACCTGCACGTGGACTCCCTGAATGTAAAATAAAGGTTGAAATTAGTCAAAAAATAAGGAAAAGTGGGCCTTCCCCGCCCCCCACACTTATAAAGAGTTAAGGATTTTGTGTTTATTTTAAGCCATGTTGAACTCAGCCCAACATATTGACACAAGGCAGGACTTAGTGCAGTGTCACTAGGCTTTAATTTTGTTGCCCTTTGGGCTAATAAAGTCAGGTTATCTCACTGGGCTGTTTCCTTATCCATTAAGACATTTGATGTAACTAAGTACCCATCCTATGGTGACATAAACTTTTTCTTATGTCATTGGAAAGTCCAGAATACCTGGTTGCAGGCAAGGTTTGATCTAGCAGCTTGACCTTGTTAGCACAGGTCCAGTTTCTTTCCCTCAGTCCTCCCTGGTATTTTATCAGCTTCATCCTAAGGCTGGTTCAGGGAAGATATTCTGATGATATATATTTCTGCTTTGGCAATGGAGGATTTATATTCGATTGTCAGAAGTCCTCATGTCCTATTTAAAGTCTAGTCATTGGAAAATAGGTTGATAAGGATGGACCTGAAGAAAATAAAGCAGCAATTTGTCATGACAAAGCAAGACTAGGAAGAGGCATTGGACCAGCATGACCAATTCAAGGACACGTTGATGATGTCTTCAGCGCAAGTGTTCTTCCCAAGCTTGGGGGACCTGGCAGGGCTGCCTACAGGGCTGGTGTCCAGCCTGCTCTATAGAAGGCGAATTAGAGATCGCAATAACGGGCCAGCTTCCATGATGACCCCAGGTTGTAGTGATGTCTATGTAGAAATGAAATAAATGCATAATTAAAACCAAAGGTAGGCTTGCATTTGGGTTGAGGTCCTGGCACCTACGGAGGCCACAAGTGTGTCAGGGTGGAAGGTAACTTGGTGAAATAGGAAGTCACTGCCTATTGCCCACTCATGTCCCCACTGATGGAGTTAGCTGGGGGATCCCCTGGTGCAGACCCTGGAGAGGCATCACTGTCTTCCTTGTTCAGTGGGCTTGGGTCACCTGCATGAATTCTGAGGTTGGGAAGGTGTAAACATTTCCCTCAACACCTGCAGCCCAGCCGCCGTCTCCCTGGGTGCTTCAGTCAGCCGTCACGTTGGGGAGGCGTCATGTAAGGTGGTCCTTGTCTGAGTAGAACCTGATTTTGAAAATGAAATTCATTTCCTTGCCTTCATTTTCCAGACGAAAAGATATGTATTTGTGGTGTGTGTGTGGCGGGAGAGTAATTGGCTTTGGTTTTGACAAGGAGGACACCAGAGTCCTGTTCTGATACTCAGTTTTGGGCCCATGCGTGACAATTCTGTGTTTCTTTTCAGCATTTGCCAATACATTATTTTCTAGAGTCTCTCCCAGCATACGGAAAAACCCCAAATTCAAATTTGACTTTTCTCTTCGAGGCTGGTTGTGGCATGCTGAAGCTCCCAAGGCATGTAATGTAGTGAACAAGGTGGCCTCCAGGAGCGCTGTCGGCTCATGGGCCCCACCCACCCACCTCGCGGTGTAGGAGGATCCACCAAGTCACTGTCAGAGTGGGTTGGAGAGACCTGGCCTGGGGTCAGCTCTGTGGGCAGATGGGCCCTTTCCCCCACTGGGTGGAGTACGCTCCTTAGTAGCCCAAGACAGAACATTGCCTTCTCCCGAGAAACCCACCTCTGGGGAAGGTTAGGCCATGGGATCTGCGGGAAGGGTTTTAGGAGTAGATTAATGGGATTTGTGATCCCAAGCACCCAGGCCACTCTGTGGTCCCCACCCCTGGGCTTGAGTCCTGCTGAGGTATAAGTGGTGCTAGAAGACCTCTGCCCTGCCCTGCCCTGCCCTGCCCCAGGAACCTGGCTTTCTCTGGGCTAATGAGTGTCCTCTCTGAAGGTATCCAGAGGCCGTGCAGACACTCACACTTTGGTGTGAGGCGTGCCCTCGGTTGATCAGTTACACTGCTGTGGGGTGCACAGGTGGCAAGGTGGGGGATTCTGGGATCGGGGAGGCTAGTCTGGGTGTAGGGTCCTGCCCTGGAGGGGCTCACAGTGGGGTTGAAAGCAAGCTCTCGAGGCGTTATTATTCGGGACTCTGAGTGCCGGGCCATGCTGGGGGAGTGAGGGCAGGGGGAGCTGCGGAGGCAGGGCTCTGAGGGCTTTAGAACAAGAGCCGGTGTGTGTTTCCCACTGAGTACCTGCCGGCACCTCATTTATGCCACGTAGCAACCCCATGACATAGGCTTATAGGGGACTATAATTATCCCCATTTCACAGCTGGGAGAACCTAGGCTTAGTGTCACAGAACCTAGGCTTAGCCACTGGGTGGCTGATACTGCCACCCAGTTCTGAGCCAGTATCAGCTTCCAGCCCCCTGACTCAGTCTCTCTGCTGTGGTTTCCTCTCAAGTGCCAGGATCCTTCCTGGTCCCGTTTCCAACTCAGACCAGTGGAGGGGCGCGCTGTGGTTACCACTCATTAGAAGAGAGGCAGGGTCTCTCTGTCTCTCTCTGGGTGTCCCCCACTGCCATCTCTGGGTGCTGGGGGAGCTGCTGTATATCTCTCTCTGTCTATCCCTATCTCTCCCTCCACTGCCATCTCTGGGGGTTGGGAGAGCTGCTCTGTCTCTCTATCTCTCTCCCCCCCCACCCCACTGCCATCTCTGGAGTTTGGGGGAGCTGCTCGCTCTCTCTCCCCCCTCCCACTGCCATCTCTGGAGGTTGGGGGAGCTGCTCTATCTCTCTCTCTCTCTCTCTCTCTCCCCCCACTGCCATCTCTGGGGGTTGGGGGGAGCTGCTCTCTCTCTCTCTCTCTCTCTCTCCCTCTCTCCCCCTCCGCCAACCACTGCCGTCTCTGGAGGTTGGGGGAGCTGCCTGGGATGCAGAGCGGCTTGGATTGGTGCTCCCTCTGCCTCAGTGGTTGAGCTGACCTCTGTCCAGTCTGTACACATTGGATCCTGAGGCTGAGCTTGGGTGGCTGTGGCAGGAAGGTTTGGTGACATCACACCCTTCAGGCTTGTGTCTGTCTGAGCCAGGCTCTGACTGGCTGGGAGAAGAGGAGGAGGTGGGGTTCTGGGAGGCCCTGAGGCTGAGCACGGCTGCTGTGCTCTGTGGCTGCACTGCAGGGGCACGGGCTCAGCATGTTCTGGGCCAGGGCACACAATGCTTTCAGATCAGGCTCCAGCACCCCACACGCCCCTTCATGCTTTGCACTTTTTGTCTACCAGCCAGAGGGCAGTGAATAATGAGAACAAACAACATCGGGTCCAGATTTTCGTGGTCATTTTCCTAACAAGCCGAGGTCAGAGAGCACTGAAAGGAGGCCTAAGTGCTTCTGCCACCTCAGCTGACTGTTTTTCAAAAAGGAAAGCATGCGTGGGATGTGTGTATTAGGTGTTACGGTGATGTCTGTTGTCAGATCATGGCCAGAAAAGGGGTTGTTTCAATTAAAATGGATTTTGGACTTCGTTTTTCTTGGAATGAGTAAATTGAGGGAAATAGCACATGTTGAGATTTTGGATTTCTGCTCTTAGAAAGGATTTAAAATAAGTGGTCTTCAGTAGTTCCACAGCGGATCTTCGAGACTGGTACAGATGGGGTCTCCTGGATGTAACGAGTTCTTGCTGCTTTAACTGGATCCGGTTGACTCTGTCTGACCAGCTCAGCTGGTTCGTTCTATGAAACGCACTTCTGCTTTCTGGAATCTGAAGGAAGGAGAGAGATAGAAGACAAAGAAGGACAGATGTGTTGGTGGCCAGACCCTGGCTTCTGAACAGTCCTTCCTGATGGCTTCAGGACCTGGGAGGAGCGGCGGAGCAGGTGGCTGCCCTGGGCTTGCCAGACACCTCCATTCCAGCAAGATCCTCCTGGGGGATGTGGTGCCCTCCCTGCCTCTCAGGCACAAGCATATGCTTGTTTGGCCTAAAAAAGTCTCCTTAATTAAAATTAATATCGTAATGCAGTAAATCCTTCTGCCTCCTCTTCCCCTGCCCAGTTACAATTCCCGGCGGCTCTCCAGCCCATAGAGGAGGCTTCTCAAAGTTTCCTGCCTCCTGGAGGAGAGAAGCCATTCCCCGATCACCCAAAAGGACAAAGTATGTGCCCACTCTGCGTCCTTGCTTGTCACTGCCCAACATCTGCAAACATTAACTAAAGTGCTGAGCCCATTCAGGTGTAGGACTCACTAGTTGGTTAATGTGACAGACAGCGTTTCCTGTGCCAGCGCTGGCTGGTCACTTCCTGTCATCCAGCACTCTTGAGTGTTGCAGTGGATGCCTGTTTCGTAGGAACACTCAGCCTGTTCCGTAAGAAGGAGCGCCACTTCTCAGCCTGTACTTAGCAGGTCACTACTGTTGGCCACTCTGCTTTTCTTTTTAAAATTTTAATTATTAAAAAAATTTTTTTTGAGAGTTTCCCTCTGTTGTCCAAGCTGAAGTGCAGTGGTATGATCTTGGCTCACTGTCACCTCTGCCTCCCTAGTAGCTGGGATTACAGGTGTGTGCCACCACGCCTGGCTAATTTTTGTATTTTTAGTAGAGACGGGGTTTCACCATGTTGGCCAGGCTGGTCTTGAACTCCTGACCTCAGGTGATCTGCCTGCCTTGGCCTCCCAGAGTGTTCGGATTACAGGCATGAGCTACTGCTCCTGGTCCCCTTCTTATTTTTATGTTAGTCTTTGGAAACAATTGGCATATATTTTAGTCTGTTTAGGTTACTGTAACAAAATACCATAAACTAGGTGGTTTACAAACAACAGACATTTATTTCTCACAGTTCTGGATGTGGGAAGTCTAAGATCAAGGCGCCAACAGATTTGCTGTCTGGTGAGGGCTTCCTGGTTCATAGAAGGCCATCTTCTCACTACATCCTCACTTGGTGGAAGGCTCAGGAGAGTTCTCTGGAGTCTCTTTTACAAAGGCACAAATCCCATTAATCACCTCCCAAAGGCCCACTGTCTAATAGCATCACTTTGGGCATTAGGTTTTAACATGTGAATTTGGAGAAGGGCAGGCACAAACATTCAGTCTGTAGCAGCATACAAAAATGTAACAAGAATAATGTGATGAACAGCTAGGTATCCACAAGCTGCTAAAGGTAGAGAATACTACCATATTGGTTACCTATTTCTGTGTAACATATTATGCCAACACTTAGTGGTATAAAACAGTAAACATTTATTATCTCACACATAGTCTGTGGGCCAGGAATATGGAAGCAGCTGAGCTGGGTGGTTCTAGTGGAGGGGAAAGATGTGAGCTGGGGCACCTGAAGGCTTGACTGGGGCAGGAGGATCCACGTCCAAGATCGACTTCACCTGGCTGTTGGCTGGCAAGAGGGCTCAGTTCTTTGCCATATAGACCTTTCCACAGAGCTGCTTGAGTGTCCTCACAACATGGCAGGCGGATTCCCCCAGCCTCAGTGATTCAAGAGAGAGTATAGAGAGAGTAGAGAGGAAGCCGCTGTGCCTTTTATGACCTGGTCTCATTAGTCATACACTGTCATTTCTGCTTATGTCTGTTCACTAGAAGCAAGTCACTAAATTCAGGCCACACTCAAAGAGAAAGGAATTAGGTTCCACTCTTTGAAGGGAGTGTCAAAGAATATGTGGAGAGAGATATATATATATATATATATATATTCTTTTTTTTTTTTTTTTGAGATGGAGTCTCACCACTCTGTCACCCAGGCTGGAGTGCAGTGATGTGATCTCAGCTCACCGCAACCTCCGCCTGCCAGGTTCAAGTGATTCTTCTGCCTCAGCCTCCCAAGTAGCTGGAATTTACAGGCACACACCACCACACCTGGCTAATTTGGGTATTTTTAATAAGGCAGGGTTTCACTATGTTGGCCAGGCTGGTCTCGAATTCCTGACCTCAAGTGGTCTGCCCGCCTCAGCCTCCCAAAGTGCTGGGATTACAGGCATGAGCCACCATGCCCAGCCTGTGGATGTATTTTAAAGCATCATAACACCATTGCAGCTAGAGCCCCTCCCCAGTTGCATCTTGTCTTTCACACAGAGGTAACTACTGTTGAAGTTTGATCCTTGTTTATGGCCTAGTACATGTATAAGTATTTCTATCCCTGTTAGTTCTGCATTTTGTCTGTAAGCGTTATGTAAATGATATCACCTTGTATTTTTTTCTGTAGTGTGCCTTTTTTTTTTTTTGAGATGGAGTCTTGCTCTGTTGCCCAGGCTGGAGTGCAGTGGCGTGATCTCGGCTCACGGCAAGCTCCACCTCCTGGGTTCAAGCGATTCTCCTACCTCAGCTTCCCGAGTAGCTGGGATTACAGGCGCCCGCCACTGCACACAGCTAATTTTTGTATTTTTGGTAGAGACGAGGTTTCGCCATGTTGGCCAGGCTGGTCTCGAACTCCTGGCCTCAAGTGATCCGCCTACCTTGGCCTCCCAAAATGCTAGGATTGCAGGCCTGAGCCACCGCGCCCATCCAGTGTGCCTTTTTTGCTTAACATTATGTTTGTGAGATTCATCCATGTGAAAACAGGTGGCTGTATTTCATGCATTTTCACTGCTGTGTGGTATTGCATTGTACAAACATAAGACTATTTGTCGTTCTCCATTGATGGATGCTTAGTTGGGTTCCTGTGACTTGCTGCTACAAACAAGGTTGTCTTGAGTACTCAGGTATGTGTCTCTCTGTGAACGTGAGCTGGATTTGTCAGTATATTTAGCAAGGATTGGAATTGCTATGGGAGAGAGTACAGTAATCTTCAAACGTACTAGAAACAGCTAAATTTTATTCCAAAGTGTGTGGGTGTCCTCATGAGTGGTCCCACTGACAGCGTATGAGTTTCCTCTTCTCCTTTTTCTTGACAGCACTTGGTGTTGTCAGACATTTTACATTTTTGTCTAATGCGTGAAAGTGCTGTCTACATGAGGTATTAATTTGCATTTCCCTGCGTGCCAGTGAGGCTAACATCTTTCCATGTATCTATTTTCACATATATATTTTTTCATATATTTGGTATTCTGTGAATGACTGGCCATATCTTTTGCACCTTTTTTTCTGTTTTCTTATTGATCAATCTGATCCGTTGTTGAGTTTATGTACCATAAATATCTTTTTTCTTTTCTTCCTTCTAACATAATGTAGAAGCTAAGAGTGTGGATTCTGGGGCCACATTGCCAGGGTTAAATCCCAGCTTCAACACTTCCTGTGTGGCCTTAGGCTTAGTCTGTGTATGCCTCAGTGTCCTCATCTGCAAAATGGGATGATGGCTCCCCACGGTGGGCCTGGGAGGATGCGCAGGTTCGTATCTGTGAATCAGTTAGTGCCTGTCATAGTAAGCACAAGATAGACTAATGCAACCTAGTGTGCTGGGCCCTGTGTGGCCACACGGGGCTGTATGCACAGGCGTCACCATGGCCAGAGCTGGAGCTCAGATGTGTCTGAGAAGATTGGCAGATGCTGCTTCACTCTGGCTCCCGGTCTCCTGGGTGGCCCTGCTTCCATCCCTGAGCTGCCTGAACGGAAAACGAAATCCCATCCCCGCTCCAGGGGGTGCCTGGGAATTGGAAGGCATCAGGCTCCTCACAGCAAAAATAGAAGCCTCATTTGCTTAGGAGAGAACAATGACGAGGAGGCAAGCCAGCAGAGGCGGCCTTGGCGGGCTGTGTACACCCTCTGCTTGTCTCCGCACTCCCTGGGGTCAGACGTAGACGTGGCTAAGCTGCCTGCAGACCTTCTCTTCCCCTTCATCCTGGCCTGCAGTGGGCATCAGGGTCCATCCTGGGACGTGGGCTGTCTTGGCACCAAGTTCCAGTTCTTAATACCTCAGTGTCACACTGTTCCCTGATTTCTCAAAGCCAGGAAGGAATTGCAGAAAACAAGGTCAGTTTAGTATCGAGAATCACTGGAGAGCCGTGTCAGAGCCCTGCTGAGAAGGGCGCGGGGAACTGTGTTCCTGTCTACCTGATGCTGTGGGCTGCACAAGGACGGACTTACTGAAGATTACAGGCCAGGGGGAAGAGGGCACGTTTAGTGTCAACCCTACACAGAAGAAGTTAGCTCCGCTGGGCGCGGTGGGCACTTTGGGAGGCTGAGGCGGGTGGATCACCTGAGGTCAGGAGTTCAAGACCAGCCTGGCCAACGTGGCGAAACTGCGTCTTTACTAAAAATACAAAAATTAACCTGTTGTGGTGGCATATGCCTGTAATCCCAGCTACTCGGGAGGCTGAGGCGGGAGAATTGCTTGAACCCGGGGTGGGAGAGGTTGCAGTGAGCTGCACTCCAGCCTGGGCAACGGAAACTCCGTCTTAAAAAAAAAAAAAAAAAAGAACAAGTCAGCTCAGCCCCACTGCAAGGAGCTCCTGGGTTTATTTAAGTGAGCCTCAGATAACTTTACATAAAAGCAAATGTGTAAAAAGCGATAAAGTCAGATATATTGAACATTTGTCCTGAGGGCAAATTTCTGAGCTCTAAAAGCCAGTTTGGTTTTAGATAACATCTGTGAGTCTGGAAACAGGCTGAGATACTCTATATCTGCACTCCCAACTCTGCCTTTGGCTTTGTGAGCCCTGTGGTCTCCTTGAAAGAATTGGTCCCCAGTGGGTGAACTAATCACCCATGAAGAGTCTCCCAATTCAAATCTGGAATAAAAAGTGAGGACATGGGGGCAGAATGTTACTCATCACATGTGGCCCGTCAGTACTAGACTTCAAGGTAAGTTTCCAAGAACAGAGCTCTGTGACCATTTTCATGATAGCAATTTGTACATTATTACTAAGTAATTTTAATGCCGTGTTTACAGGCCACCTTCCCAAACAAAACAATTGTTTCTGGAAGTTAGACTCTTGAAGACTTAACTTTTAATCCAGTTTGTTCTCAAAACATTTGCACAAATGAGAGTCTTGAGGTTTGAGCTTTCTATTCTAAAGGCTCAGCTTCTTGCCCAGGAGAAAAATAATACATGCTCGTGTTTATAAATAAGAGTTATGGCATTGGAGTCCTTTACATTGCAGCCAGCCTAGGGACTCAGTTATTCAGAATTTAAACATTTTACTTGTAAAGAGCACTTTGGTATCCACCCCAAGGGCCCTCCTCTGCCTGTCTCAGCACCATCTCTGTGTGTCCCATCAGGAAGCAACAGACAACTCCCTAAGCCCCACAGTAAAAACGTCTCTCCTGGTCTGGGGGCGCATCCATCCCCCATGTCCCCAGTCCCATCCTGGGTGTTCTGGGATTCCAGCCACAGCTGTGGGGACACCGCCATCTCACTGCATCCCTCTTGCTCTTGCGGCAGCTTGGCTGAGCTACAGGGCCGGGCCGCAGGAGGCGTCCTTGTGCCGGAGCTCACCTTGTGCCGGAGCTCACCTTGTGCCAGGTGTTGAGCTCTGCCAGCTGCCCGGCCCCACTGTGAGGCCGCCCCTTGCAGGTGAGTTCACTGGCAGCCCAGCCAGCCCACGAAGGCCATGTGAGTGTGAACCCCCATTACAAGCTTTCCCTCATGAGATGGCGCTGATCAGTCTGGGGGATACCTGCCTTTCAGTATGGGCTGCAGCCATTAGGCTGGTACCAGGAGGAGCCAGGTCGAGCTGGCACTGGGGCGACGCTCTGTCTTTGATGCACCCTGATGCCTCCCCCATCCTGCTGACCATGGTGCTCAGCACAGACCCCTTCCAACCCATCCCAGGGCCTCTGCTCAGTGTGGCCAGAGCCTCCTGTCAACAAGTATGTCACTGCCTTCGGGTTATTATTGTTCACCAGATTCCACTTGCTCTACAACCCAGGCACAGTGCACCAGAGTTTCCCAAACCTGTGTGCCGAGTGCCAGCCCCTTAGCAAGTGCAGCGTTGCCCATTTCACTCTGGGAAATGCAGCCATAGCTCTGGGGCCAGCTAGAGGAAGGAGTGTGATTGTGCCTTCCCGGGACAGCTTCCAGGTCTGGGAGTCTGTGATGTTGTGAGTGTTGCCTTAGCTTTGCTAAGAAAATGCTTAGGGAGATGGGTTCCTTCACCCATTCTTCCACTCATGTGCCTTTCTGGCTCCAGGGCTGGTGTCCCCTGCTTTGGAGGGGACGCTCACATGAGCTGCCCTATTGGGGTTCCGTCAAGTTTCTCTTAGCCTAAGCGGCTTCCTGTCTCGGGCTCCCTCCCCAGCCATTTGGGTCACCTTGGGTCCCTGAGGATCGCTTCTGGATCTTGGACCCCCTCACCAACTCCTGTGACATAATAATCAAAGGTAATCAGGAAATGTATGAATCGTCTTCTTTAAGGAATATTTAGCATTTCTGCTCATTCCAGAGTCCCTGGAAGCATGGCATTTCAAAGGCTTGGTTAGATCACAAGTCCAATTTACTGCCAGAAATTTGCACGTAGAATAATACAGAGCCTATGATGGCAGTTGAAGTGGTATCCTGTGAGAAAATTAATTAGTCCTGAAACTAAATGCCGACAGCCTCAGCAAAATATTCATGAGAGAAGCAAACCTCGTGCGTGGTGTTTGAAGTCAGGCAGCTGAGGCTGTGTACTGGACGTGTTCTCTGTGGCTGAGTTCTGCTGTGGATTCTGGGCTAGTCTAGGCAAGGCCTGCCTCTCCTTCTGGACTGGCTCCCAGGGCTGGGGGCTCAGGAAGGCCCTGCACCCTGGAGAAGAAGGGAGCCCCTGAGACTCTTTGGCCTTGTATTTGTGTGTCCCTCTGGGCTGCAGGGCTGCAGAATAAACCAGCTCCCAATCCTCCAAACAAAAATAAAGACCTGTGAATGGCTACACTTGGAGAGCAGAGTGTTTTGATATCATGGGGAGACCTGTGTACTTAATTTACGGCCTGAAGATTGAGAAGGATTTAATTGTTCCAAAAATGGTGAGAAAAGAGCAGGTCCCAGCCTTTCTGTCTGATCACAAACAGCCGAGGGGGACTGGGGAAGTGGCCTGGTCCTCACTGCCCCTGGAGGGGCAGGAAGAGGATGGAGTGATGTGCTTGGCAGATGCAGGAATGGCCAGGCAGTGGGAAAAGCCTAGGGTTTCCAAGCCATGTCTGATCCTCTGTGTTCCTTCTGCCTGCTGGGATGGAGCCCGCCCCCCAAATATGCCTGGCTCACTTACGACTCAGAGTCAGCTGCCCCCAGGGACTTCCCGGCTCTCGTGACCTTGCTGGGCATGACTTTCAGGGGAGCCCTCTGTCCAGGAGACATAGGTCACTCGAATCACACAGCCGTGCTTTAGTGAATGCTAGCCAGGGGCCCTGGAGAGGGCAAGGACAGGACACTCCTGCATGGAAACGAAAATGAATATTTTTCTCTGCAGAAAATGAAAAGTGGTGCTGGGTCCAAGTGGTAGGTGACCTGGCTTTTGAGCGAAAATGCTGCTGGGAAATGAGAGAAAAGAAACATGAAAAGAATGCAAATGAGGGTGGTGGACAGGGGCCCAGAGGCCTGATTCCTCCACCCTCCGCAAAGGCTGGGTGTGTGATGCCTATAAATAGACACTCAAAACCCGTTCTAAATGGAGTGAAGACATGGGCCTGCTTCCTCTTATGGAAAGGCCTTACATAAGGTGCAGTGCTGCTATTGCTCCTGGGCGGTGTGATGATTCTGTGCCTTTGTCGGAAGTCAGTGTGAAGCCTGTGGGGCTTCTGGGGGATGCACATGGATGAGCTCTGGGCTTTCTGGAGACTCGCAGACTCTGGGAAGGAGGCGGTGGGCGATGGGCAGGTCTCCTAGGGCTGGGAAACAGTCCTGAGACAGGCTCCGGGTTTCCTGAGGCGCTTCTGGGCCAGGAGCAAGTGGGAAAAGCTGGACTGCAGGGCTTGGTCAAGTGACAGCTGCCCAGAGCCGGAGTTTAGGGTGCCTGGAGAGGACAGGGGCTGGCAGGCCTGACTTTCTCACTGATCCACTTGGGGTCACAGAGCCAACCTGTAACAGAGTGAGGAACTGAGGCCGCATTGCTGGACTCCCAGTGGAGGATTCTTGCTGCTGGACTAACCTTTAGTTCATGAACTCACCCAGAAATTACTTATTTTTGGAGGACCGCAGATGGCGAGCTTAGGAGTGAAGAAGGGAATACTATTTGATGCTAATGTGATTCCAGGCAACATTCTAGAGGTTCCCTTGCAATTCACCTTCCCAGCCACCTTTGAAGTAGTTATTGGCCAGTTTTATACACGATGAAACTGACAGAGATGGTGTGAAGGGATTTTCTGACGTTCACACAGGAAGCAAGCAGCCCATGCTGACTCCACTGCGGAAAGCGTGTGTGTGATTGACATGCTTTTTGTGTGGTGCTCACTTTGGGTGTGATAAAGAGGCCTCCTTGCAAAGGGCCAGGATCTGTGAAGCACCATGTTGCTTCACAGAACAGGCCGTGAAAAGCCACAGAAGCACCATAGCCTGGGAAAGAAATGGAACAACGGTGCAAACAGCCAGTTTCCCCTGAGCAGAGGCAAGCAGGTTACGGCTCTGCAGCTCCCTTAACGGGTAGCTTGTTCAACATGGAAACATCTTTAGCCTCCTCAGAGACGTTGGGTCATCTCCTTTACATGGGGACCAGAAGTATCTTCCCTGGGCCATTTTGGGTGGAGGAAATTTCGTAATTATAACCCTCTGCTAGGGGTGTCTACCTAGGAAGTGAGAGCAACTGGCCGCTTTCTTAGAGAAGTGAAGACGCTGAGTAGACTAAACCTTTGTGATGAAGTCGAAGCCACTGTGTTGCCTGTGTCCTGTTTCCTTCCCCAGTGAATGGGGCTCTTCCCTACGACTGCAGACCCCAGGACCAGATTGCAGGTGCCCTGTCCAGCAGCGCAGCCATTCGTGAAGGGCTCGCAGCCTGGCCCGGCTCAACAGCTGATGCCCCCGGGAGGAGGCTGTATTACTATCCTTTTTGAAAGGAACACAGAAAGCCCTTTGTAACTTTGTCTGTAGCCAACATGGAGGGAGAGGCAGAATTCAGATGTGATGTTGCAGACAATTGAACACCCCTCCTCCTGTTCCACCCCAGCTTCCTGCCCGTAGCCTTCTAATGCCCTTGCCCTGAATTCCTGATCCAACCCAAGGGCCTGGCCTTGAAACCCCCGAGCCTGCTGGCAGTAGCTTCCTCTTCAGCCTTCCTGTGCAGAGCTTCCTCTATTCAGGGAAGTCTGAGACCTGGTGGCCTCTTTCTCATTCTTTTCATGAAACCATCTTGCCCAGGAGAAGGTGGGCTGAGACCCTGGGCATTGGAAAGGAGAGGTGGTCCTCCTTCCTCTCTTCACTTTCATCGCAGTCCTCTCCCCGCCCACCCCCATATGCACACCCTCCGCAGTCTGAAAGTGTCGTGAAGCACCAGCTCTGCAAACCCGTGGGGTCAAGCTTTGTTGTGGGAAAATACATATTCATGAGGGCTTTGAGGAGCCTCATTAAAATGCAGAGAGTCTCTCCTTTCAGAATGGTACATAAGCCATCTCTTTATTTGCCCAACACATTGTTCTTAAGGCAATAATTATGCGATGAATGGCTAAAGAAACATTTTAATTATTTGTTTAGGGTAATTTCTGATTATCTCATTAGAATTATAATCTGTCCACTTTTACAGGTGATTCAAAGCCTCATATTTACATTTTTATACTTGAAGGAGCTCTATGTGCGCACCTGTATCATTGCTGAAGTGAAAGTAATTTTCTCTGTTTTCTTCTGCTTTATTCCAGAAAGATTTGATCACCAGGAGATTTTTCGGGACATTACCAAACCACTCATTTTAGGTAAGAAATACAAGGCAGCGTTGCATGGAATGAGGTTTTGCTTTTGCCATGTGGGGAGCGGACCGTTTCACTGGAGGGAAAATGCTACATTGCAGGCAGAGCTGGCAACTGCCGTGGCTCTTTGTTTTCTGGGATCCTGTGTGTGTGAGCTTGGGGAGTTTGAAGCTGGGGTTTGAGTCACAGCCAAGGAGTGGATGGACACTGGGGACGCTTCTGGCACTTACCTTGCCCGGAACCGACCTGCCCACCACCCAATGACAACACAGCAAGACACGCACTCCCCATCTGTCCTCTCCTCATTATACTGGTGTTTCTGTAAACCATGGTCCTCACCAGACTCAGTCATTGATTTGTGTAACCCCTACCTAGGTTCCTAGTTACAGCGAAAGTAGACACATGTATATCGGCAATAATAGGTAGCACTCGAACCTTTCACTCTCCAGTGTGGGCAGTGGCTGGTCTACTTTGAGAAGGGACCAGCCATTGTGAGATACCAGGAAGCTGAGCAGAAGAAATCTAACTTTGATAAAAAGAGGCCTCCTCATCTTGCCAGGGATGGAGCGTGGTCCATCCTCCCTCCCTGTGCATGGAGCAGTATTGCAGCCCTGAAGACACTGCCCCATGGTCAGCATCTGGCTTGCCCTTGCCCTGTAGGACTGGTAGGAACAGAGCCCTGGTGCCAGCCGAGTGTTCCACACAGGGGAGACTTGCAAGGGACAGGTTCTGCACTGCAGATGAATTGGCTGTCTTCTTCTGTGGCTGGAGACACACAAGGCAGCGGCTTTGTAGGGAAACTGGTGTACAGGGTGGGGCGTGTTTGGAGAACGAGGAGCAGAGGGCATTGTTGCTGGAGTTAAAGAAGCAGAGCCAGGGATGGTCTTCATGTCCTGATGCCCAGAGCAGGCCTGAGCTTCTGATGGATTCTGGGGGTTCTTATGTATTCTTGGGAAGGAGCATGTGGTAAGCTTGGACAGGGAGGCAGTTCAGAGTGTTACATGCAAGGCAGCGGTGGCCTTGGGAACACCCCCCCTGCCTGACCAAGGCAAGGAACACTTTGTGTGTCCCAGTGTGGAATCTCTGTGCCAGTTGTGAGGGGACGGATGAAGACCAGCAGGGGTGAGGACGGGATTCTGGAGTGTCAAGACTCAGGTTCAGAATCACAGTTTTTCTTCCAGGGCAGCACAAGGCCACAAGTGTGGCTATTTGAAGCCACCCAAAAAGCCATTATTTGTAAAGCAAGGCAGCTTTATTGATTTCACTTTCTGCCCTGCATCTTTCCCACATTGTGGTAACCACTCACCATCCCTGTTCTGCTGATGAGGCAGGAATTCCCTTGCATCCAGTTGGGGAGCATTCTTGTCACAAATGTCCTGGATGAATTACACGGTGGCTCTCCGTGGAGGGAGCACATTCACAAGGCATTTAAGAGATGCAGGACAATCAGCCCTCGTCCATGAAACAGGGTGAAACGTAGAAGAGCTGCGTGATTATTAATGGGTTTGGACATAAGCTGGAGTGTTTACTGAAATTTTTCTCAGTTGTCAGTTTTCAAAGTTTGTGAATGTACTTTTGTGCTCTCAACAGGCCTTTTCTGCTCTATTTAACTTTCTACTTAGGGTTGTAAACATACTTCAGCCGTAATGACATTAGATACATCATCCACTCTCAGCTCTGAAAATGCTGGAGATTTTGATTATCACCAGCAGTAAGGACAGCTTATGAAGGGAGATGTTACTTATGGAGACACAGCTCATGATTCCATAAAATTCCAGTCTTCTGGGAGCCCAGGGTTAAGCAGCTGCCTCAGCCCATCCACCCTCTAGGGACTGTCCACGGTGAAATTGGCTTCTTGACGTTTTCCTTATGGAACCTGGGGTGTCATTACATTCTGTTAGAGTCATAGGGTGGTTCTATTTATGCCTGTAAGGTATAAGGTATTTTTTTCTTCTGAGTCTAGAAAAGACCTACTGGAATTTTTATGTATCCTGAAATACTATTAGACGATCAAAATCAATTGCAATAGAGAAGGTGCTGGGCTCTCTTCCCAATTGCTCTCACCCATCTGCAGTGTAATAGGCCTATCATGTAAGTGAATATACTCATCACAATTCTCTGCAGCTTCCCAGCAGAAAAGCATATTCCTTCTCAGAGAGAAAGGCGGCAAGGAGATGGATATTTTTAAATGCCAATTATGCCAGAATGAGTCTCTGTGAGGAGATCTGTAAAGAGAAGAAAGGGCCGGGGTTTATTTATTTTTCTGCTGCGAATGGAATCATTCTGTAGCTTCAGAATACTAATCCCTGTGATGTGCCTGATGTCTTTTCATAGGATAATTTGTGAATGTGCTTCCACTTACAGGAAAAGTTTGAGGCTCTTTTCTTATTCTTCTTTTTCTTTTTTTTTTTTTTTTGAGAATTAAATTCTAGGCCTCACTATATCCTATGATAACCGTCCTATAGGCCCTCGATCTATAAAATGTGTGCATAATGAAATATATAAAATCAGCGATTATCCTGAAGGAACACAGAAAAGATTAATAAGCTGTATTTAAATCACGGCAAGTCTCAGAACATATATTAAGTTAGAAGACATCACGTCCTGAAAATGACGGGCTGATGTGATACTAGCATGTACCCCCGTATGGATGCATATAAATGCTGTGTAAAACCTAGCCCAAAGTGTTCTTTAAAACCTAAGATCCAAAGAAAGGCATGGAAATTCCAAGCTATGAGACATGAAGAGAAAACACAAAGCCAGAGCACTAAGGGAGGAGGCCATGAGACCCCCAAGCAGTGAGGTTCCTGATGGAGAGCCAGGATGATGAAGACTGTGTGACATTTGTGCAGGGAGAGACACGGCAATGGCTGGGACAGGGTAGCAAGGCTAGGAGCAAGTGCTCATATGTATAGGAAGCCAGGAGGTGGCAGACGTGTGTTATGGACCAGGTGGGATGTGATGCAGGACAGCTGGTTGGCCACATAGGAAAAGAGAAAAGATAAAGTGAGATCCCTACCTCACAGCACATGTACCAGTAAACGGCCATAGAATTAAAGGCCTATGCCGGGCACGGTGGTTCACACCTGTAATCCCAGCATTTTGGGAGGCCGAGGTGGGCAGATCACCTGAGGTCGGGAGTTCGAGACGAGCCTGGCCAACATGGCAAAACCCCATCTCTACTAAAAATATAAAAAATTAGCTGGGTGTGGTGGCGGACATCTATAATCCCAGCTACTCGGGAGGCTGAGGCAGGAGAATTGCTTGAACCTGGGGGGCGGAGGTTGCAGTGAGCGAGATCATGCCACTGCACTCCAGCCTGGGTGACAGAATGAGACTCCATCTCAAAAAAAAAGAAAAAAAAAAAGGCCAAAATGTAAAGACAAAAATGTTAAAATACATAGAAGATTTTTTCTATCTGCTCTTGAGGTGGGAAACATACACACATCATAAAAGAAAAGATGGATTAATCAAACATCAGTATTAGCAACTTCTTTAAGAGAACTACAGGCTGGAATAAATATTCATGATGAATTTACTGTGAGAGATTTGTATTCTGTTTGTATCAAGAACTCTTTCAAATTAATTTTAAAAAGACAATAGAATTGAAAAATGAGCAAATACTATGAAGAAGAAAAAATGAAAATGTCAAATAGACAAATGAACTCTGCCTTGCTCCTAATCTGGGAACTGCCTGGGAGACCATGAGATGTTGGCAAATTAGAAAGTCTGATAATCGAAGGGTTGCCCAGAGTGTGAAGCAAGGGGGCCTTCATGTCCTGTTTATCAAGGGCAAGTTAGTAAACCCCTTTAGAGAACAATTAGGTGTTATCTAGTAAGGTTGAAATGTGGATCCCCCATGACCCAGCAATTCTGCTCATGAAAGGGATTCAGTGTTGTATTAGTCAGTTCTCTCAAAAACAGAACCAATAGGATCAGTTTATCTTAGAGTTTATGTATCGATCAATCGATTGATTGGTCAATTGATATAAGGTATTGGCTTGCATGATATGGCATCTGGGAAGTCTCACAATCTGCCATCTGCAAGCTGGAGACCCAGGGAAGCCAGTATTGTAGTGCAAAGGCCTGGAAAGCAGAGAACTGGTGCAGATTCCAGTCCAGGCCGAAAGGCCTGAGAACCAGCAGCATGGAGGGCAGAGAAGACCAATGTCCCAGTCAAGCAGTCAGGCAGAGAGTGAATTCAACCCTCCTCTGCTGTTTTGTTCTATGCAGGTCCTCACTGGAGTGGACGATGCCCACCTACACTGAGGAGGGCCGTCTGCTTTACTCAGTCTGCCAATTCCAATGGTAACCGCTTCCAGAAACACCTCACAGACTATCCAGAAACAGTGTTTAACCAGACGCATGGGCACCTTGTGGCCCAGTCAGGTTGATACATAAAATTAACCATCACAAGTGGGTCACAACCAGCGTTTTCTAAAAATATGAACCAGATTAGAACAGAAGATATCAGAGTTTGTTCTGCATAGTGAATGATAGTGATCCTGAGAAGGGGGACTTTGAGGGGATGGGACTGACAGCGATGGTTAAGCCTGAATGGAGGTTTGCTACATTGTTTTCTATACTTCTATGTATTTGCAAAGTTGAGGAGAAAAGAAGTTGTGGTAAACCCCTGGATGTAGGCACACGGACCCCAGTGTTCTGTGCTGTGGGTCCCTCTGATGCAGCCGTCTTGCTCCCGTCTTGCTGGTTCATCCTCCACCTTGGCTGACTACCTGGCCTCACCCTTGTACAGGTGCTTCTGTTTGTCTCTTCATTGAAATGGGTGGGATTTATTGATTTATTTAGAGACAGGGTCTTGCTCTATTGCCCAGGCTGGAGTGCAGTGGTCTGATCATGGCGCACTGCAACCCTGACCTCCAGGGCTCAATCAACCCTCCCTCCTTGGCCTCCTGAGTAGCAGGGACTACAGGCATGTGCCACCACACCCAGCTTATTTTTATGTATTGTTTTTATAGAGGTGGGATTTTGCCATGTTGACCAGGCTGGTCTTGAACTCCTTGGCCCCTAGAATGCTAGGATTACAAGTGTAAGCCATCATTCCCTGTGTGAAATGAGTAGGATTTCTGAATGAGCCAGGCTTTGCACATTGACCTGGCTCTGCCTCTTGAACTGCTGCCTTCACATGGGAGGCTCCTTCTGGCCCTGCCTGTGTGGCTGATTCCTCTCTCAGGTGCTTCTCTTTATCTTCACAGACGAGGCTCATGGGCTTCACTTTTTGGGACCTTAGGTGGACATCTGAGTCCACAGCCCTCCTGCCTGGCTTCTGTCTCTGTGGATTTGCAGGCCTGCTTGTCCCATATCCTCCAGTGCCCAGCCCAGTGCCTCATGTACAGTGGATGCTCAAGAAGTGTGTAGTCATCACATAGCTCTAGTTTCTTATTTTTATTTTTATTTATTTATTTTTTTTGAGACAGGGTCTCACTCTGTCACCCAGGCTGGAGTGCAGTGGCATGATCATAACTCACTGCAGCCTTGAACTGGGCTCAAGCAATCTTCCCACCTCAGCCCCCTGAGTAGCTAGGACTACAGGTGAGTGCCACCATGCCCAGCTAATTTTAAAATCTTTTGTAGAGAGGGCATTTCACCATATTGTTCAGACTGGTCTCGAACTCCTGGCCTCAAGTGGTCCTCCCACGTGGGCCTCCCGCAGTGCTGGGATTACAGGCATGAGCCACTGCCTCTAGACTTTAGAAATGTTCAGAAGCTCACCTTCCCATCTGCAAAGTGGAGACTCATGAGTTGGGGGCGGGTAGATTGTGAGAATGAACCACATAATGAAGAGGGGATGTGTAGCACATGTGAGTTTTCCCATCTTGCTGGTTTCCTTCCCTGGAAGAGGCAAAGAGAGGACAAGGAGCTGGCTGTTACTATTTGCTTGCAGACTTGGTGTGTGCTTTCAAATTGGAAGCTCCTGCTCTGACACCCAGTTCTTTTTTGTTTTAAGTTGTACTTTAGAAGAGAAAAAAATTCATCAACACCCTTTTTTTTAAAAGATGGAAAATGGGTTAAGAAAGTAGCACGAGGAACTGTGAGCCCAACATAATTAGTGTGATGAAAGAGAAGTTAGCCATTTCTGTATGTAACTTTTGATTAATGATATTCAGCTCTAATTAATTATGTCCAATTCTAATTAATGACATTAGTGTGCAAGCTGGCATTCTCAAACTATATTCTGAGGATTCCCAGCGGATGTTCTTGAATATAATAGTCCCCGGTCACATTAGGTTGGGAAGTGCTGTGTGTACTGCCCGTCTTGGACACTCCCAAAGCACCATATAAAAGGCCTTCAGAAGTCCTGCAAGAAAAGGAACAATTTAAATTTCTTTTAACCTGTCATTTCCCAGACTTACTTTTACCATGTGTGCTGCTAGGCACATACGGACATGCTAATTTAACTCTCATACCACAAGGTGTGCTTGGATGAATTGATGAGCAATGTACATGTCATGGAGACGTTTTCTAAGTCTTCCAGAGTCATAGCAGGGGTCTCCTGTATCGCAGCAGAGCATACTGCAAAGAATTGCATTTCCATACAGTCTAGGGCTGCTGTGAACTAATCTCCTTTCTTGGGCAAATCGCTTAATCTCCTTCAATCAGTTCATACATCTGCAGAGGAAAGGGTGATGGCATGCCACCCTGGATGGTGGGAGGACTCCTAGCAGTGGTGGCTGTTACCATCTCATAAGAAACCCTCATTACAAGAAAGTCCACGTCATTTGCCATGTGCTGGTCTCGGGGGGTCAGCGAGTGGGGGGCTGCAGGGAGAGACCACCAGTTACCTCCTGAGCCTCACGTGTGGGGTACACTGTGTTTTGTCCGTTGTTGGATTTGTATTCATTGTTCATCTAAAAGTGATTATGTTGAAAAACAGAATGGTGGCAGACAGGCATGTTTGGCATGGGTTAATGCGAGGCTGGAAAGAGAGCCCCTGACCTTCAGTTCGAGAATCAGCCACTGCAGGAAAGGGTGGCGTCTTGGTGGCCGCATACTGTGAATGTCAAGGGAGACGAAGAGTGCACCCTGGGGAGGGCGGACTCATCAGTCCAGTGGGTTGTCCAGGAGGGAGTGAGGGTTGATCTTTCATCTCGAAGGATGAATATACATTTCTGCGAGAGAGGGGGAAGACGGGCGTTCCAGGCAAACAAGCGTGTATATATAACTGAAGCGTGGACAGAGGAAGCAGCGTGGCTGGTCTGGGAATGGAATTGTTTGATCTGGCTTGATGGAGGAGCTAGGGGGTGAGGTAGAAGAGGTGGCAGAGGCCAGCTTGACCTGTGTAGATGGCTTGGGAGAAGCCCTGGCAGGTCTTTGTTGGAGGGCTGACAGGAAGGGATATGTGCTTTCCATAGTTGACCTTGGAGGGTGCGGCATGGGGTGGAGGCCCGTGCACCAGAGGCTCCTCATAGAGTCTCTACAGAGAGATGACCAGGCTAGCGTTTTCATGGCATGAAGGTTGTCTTCAGAAACTCGCTTCACAATCTACTTAAGATGAGTCAAATCTACCCTCCAAAGAACATCTGCTGCTACTGGAGATAGCGCTTCAAAAGCTAATGCAGGTGCTGAATGTTTTTCCACCATGAGGGTTCCTTCTGTGCATCAATTAGTCTAGACTCTTGCTGTTTGAGGAAAGAGGCTCAGAGTAGTTAAGCCACTAGCTCCAGGTCTCATAGCTGGCTGATAGGACATCAACCTGCGGAGTCTCTATGGAGGTGGAATAGTTTCAGTGGTGCACTGAAACAGTAGGGGATGGATAGGAGAAAGGCTTGGTCTATTAGTCAGGTTGAGCCAGAGAAGCAGTAAGGGATGGATATGAGGAGATACATTGTGAGGAATCTGCACACGTGGTTTTGGGACCTGGCCAGGCAAGCCTGAAGCCCGCAGGGCAGGCCATGGGGAAGGGCAGGCTGGAACTCCCAGGCATGGCTGCAGCTGCAGTCCACAGGCAGAATTTCTTCTTCCTGAAGGAAGCCTTGGCTCTACTTTTAAGGTCTCCTGACAAATTGATCCAGACCCAGACAGATTGTCTGGGATGATCTCCTTTCTAAAAGTCAACTCATTATGGACTTTAATGACATGGACAGAAGACTTTCACAGCAACGTCTGGAAGAGTGGCTGATTGCCTAGCCAAGTCAGTACCTCAAAAAGACCACACTCTTGATAACACGTGGGGGCTCCAGGACCAAAAGCTGGTGCTGCAGATGTGTGGGGTGGCAGCATTGTCACTTCCTGTCTCCCACTAACCTCAGGGTCACAGTGGGCTGGTGGCTGTAGCATGCTCCACACCTGCTCTCAGGGATGCTGGAGGGAGACTGAGGCCCAGGCTTTTGTCTTAGAGACTTGGGATATGTCTAGGATCCCTTCTAAAAGCCAAGTTCTAGATAGAATCTGGCCTTTCAGGGTTGGAGAGACCCCATGTGGCTTCTGAGCAGACTTCCTTCCTGATCTCAGTCTTGGAAGTGAAGGTCTTACCCCTGGTTGCCCCCTTCCTGTGACAGAGGGCTCTTTGCCTCTTTGCACTCCATGCCCCAGAGACAATCAGTGCTGGGGACAATTTTGTCAGAAATCTATTCCCAGCCCTAGCTTAGCCTAGTGGCACTCTCAGTCCTGAAAGCTAGAGGCCATTTCCACATTGGTGTAGCACCGTGGTTCTCAGACTGTGTTTGCTATCAGGATCACCTGGGGAACTTGGTAAAAATACAAATGCAGGTCATATTCTGCTTCCTCCATCCTGGGCCTCTGTGTTCTTTATTAGCCTTCTTGGTGGTTCTGACCTACATCAAAGTTGAGGACCACTGGCATAACGCACGGCTGCTCGAACTCCAGTGTGCGCCGGAATCTCCTGGGGATCTCATTTATTTTATTTTTATTTTTTGAGACGGAGAATCACTCTTGTTGCCCAGGCTGGAGTGCAGTGGCACGATCTCTGCTCACCGTACCCTCCGCCTCCTGGGTTCAAGCAATTCTCCTGCCTCAGCCTCCCGAGTAGCTGGGATTATAGGCACATGCCACCACGCCTGACTAATTTTTGTATTTTTAGTAGAGATGGCGTTTCTCCATGTTGGCCAGGCTGGTCTCAAACTCCTGATCTCAGGTGATCCACCCGCCTTGGGCTCTCAAAGTGCTGGGGTTACAGGCGTGAGCCATCACGCCCGGCCAGGGACCTTGTTTAAATGCAGATTCTGATTCCATGGTTTTTGGTGGATCCTGCGATTTTGTGTTTCTAACAACCCCCCAGGTGGTGCAGTTGCTTCTGGTCCTCAGGCCACATCTTAAATAGCAAAGGCGTAGATAGGGGCCGAAATTAAGCACTTAAGAATTACCCAGACTTGCATCGGAATTCTGCCTCTACCACTTAACTGTCTCTGTGTTACCCTGAGCAGACTGCTTGATCTCTCTAAGCCTTGATTTCCTTATCTGGACAATGGGAATAATGTGCCTTTTTTTTTGTTTTTTTGAGGTAGCACCTCTGTCTGTTGCCTAGCGTGGAGTGCAGTGCTGCAATCTCAGCTCACTGCAGCCTCAACCTCCTGGGCTCAAGCGGTCCTCCCACCTTGGTCTCCCGAGTAGCTGGGACCTCAGGCACACACCACCACACCCAGCTAATTTTTAAATTTTTAATTAGAGACAGGGTCTCATTGTGTTGCCCAGACTGGTCTTAAACTCCTGAGCTCGGGCAGTCCTCCCTCCTTGGCCTCCGAAAGTGCTGGGATTACAGGCGTGAGTCACTGCTCTTGCTGCTTTTTAAATAAAAACTGCTGGCCGGGTGCAGTGGCTCACGCCAGCAAATTCCAGTGCTTTGGGAGGCCAAGGCAGGTGGATCACTTGAGGTCAGGAGTTCAAGACCATCCTGGCCAACATGGTGCAACCCCATCTCTACTAAAAATACAAAAATTGCCTGTCGTGGTGGCAGACCCCTGTAATCCCAGCTACTCAGGAGGCTGAGGCAGGAGAATCACTTAAACCCAGGAGGCAGAGGTTGCAGTGAGCCGAGATCATGCCACTGCACTCCAACCTGGGCAACAGAGCGAGACTCTGTCTCAAAATAAATAAATAAATAAATAAATAAATATTGCTTTGACAGTTAGAAAAGAAAGAGTTTAATACCGCAACATAATAAAGACCATACAGGCAAAGCCACCAGCCAACAGCATACCCAGTGGTGAAAAATTGCAAAGGCTTTTCCTCTTAAGATCAGAAACAAGACAAGGATGCCCCCTTTCACCACTTCTATTTAACATAGTACTAGAAATTCTAGCCAGAACAATTTGGCAAGAAAAAGAAATCAGAGGCATCCAAATTGGAAAGGAAGAGGTGAAATTTTCTCTCTTTTCACATGTCATGGTCTTATGCAATATGTAGAAGGCCTTAAAGACTTCACACGAAACACACAAAGCTGTTATAACTAATACATGAATTCAGTAAAGTTGCAGGATCCAAAATCAACACACAAATATCAGTTGCATTTCTATACACTAACAGTGAGCAATCTGGAAGGGGAGTTAAGAAAAAAATTCCATTAACCAAGGAAGCAAAAAAATTGTACACAGAAAACTACCGAACATTGCTGAGAGAAATTAAAGAAGACACCAGTAAATGGAAAGACATGGAATGTTTTTAGATTAGAAGACAATATTGTTAAGATGTCAATACTACCTATATTAGTCCATTCTCATGCTGCTAATACAGACATACTCGAGACTGGGTAATTTACAAAGGAAAGAGGTTTAATGGACTCACAGTTCCACATGGCTGGGGAGGCCTGACAATCATGGTTGAAGATGAAGGAAGAGCAAAGTCATGTTTTACATGGCAGCAGGCAAGAGAGCTTGTGCAGGGGAACTCTCATTTATAAAACCATCAGATCTCATGAGATTTATTCACTACCACAAGAACAGTGTGGGGGAACCACCCCCATGATACAGTTATCGCTACCTGGCCCCACCCTTGACGTGAGGATTATTGCAGTTGAGGGCAAGATTTGGCGTGGGACATAGCCAAACTATGTCATATCCAAAGCAATCTACAGATTCATTGCAATCCCTATCAAAATCCCAATGATGCTTTTTGTAGAAATAGGAAAATTCGTCCTAAAATTCTTGTGCAATCTCAAGGGACCCTGAATAGTAATAGCAATCTTAAAAAGAAGGACAAAGTTGGCGATCTCACACTTCCTAATTTCAAAACTAGCTACAAAGCTGTAGTCATCAAAACAATGTAGTAGTTGCATAAAGACAGACATACAGACGAAAGGAATTGAGTAGACAGCCCCCAAGTAAACCCTGACATATATGGGCAAATGATTTTTTGACAAGGATTTCAAGGTCATTCAGTGGGGAAAGGATAGTTTCTTCAAATGGTGTTGGAAAAACTGAAAACAATATAAAAACAACACAAGAGAATACAAAAATCAACTCAAAATAGATCAAAGACCTGAACATAAGAGCTGAGACCATAAAACTCAGAAGAAAACAGGTGCACAACTTCATGACATTGGATTTGGTAGTGACTTCTTGGATGTGACACCAAAGGCACAGGCAGCAACAGGAAAAGATAGGTAAGTTGGACTTCATCTAATATAAAAACTTCCTCAAAGGACACAGTCAGCAGTGAAAAGGCAACCCAAGGAATGGACGGAAATCTTTGTAATTCATACATCTGATAAAGGGTTAATAGCCAGAATGTGTGAAGAATTCTTAGAATTTAACATAAAAAGAAGCCACCTGATTAACAAACGAACAAAGGGCTTGAATAAACATTTCTCCACAGAAGATAGACACATGGCCAGTAAACACAGAAAAACATGCTCAGCATCACAAATCGTTAGAGAATTGCAAGTCGAAATCACAAGATACCACCTCATATCTATTAGGCCGGCTATTACAAAACAAAACAAAACAGAAAATAAGTGTCTGTGAGGATGTGGCAGAATTGGAACCCTTGTGCACTTTAGGTGGGAATGTAAATGGTGCAGCCCGTCGGAAAACAGTATGACAGTTCCTCAAAAAATTGAAAATAGAATTGCCGTGGAATCTAGGCGTGGTTTCACTTCTGGGCATATGCCCAAGGGAAGTAAAAGCAGGGGCTCAAGGAAATATCTGTACATTCATGTTCATGCAGCATGATTCACAATAGTCAAGGGGTGGAAGCAACCCAGGAGTCCATTGGCAGATGAATGGATCAACAAAATGTGGTGTATACATAGAATGGAATATTATTTTGCCTTGAAAAGGAAGGAAATTCTGACACATGCTATAACATGGATGAACCTTGAACCTTGAGGTCATTATGCTAAATGAAGGAAGCCAGATAGAATAGCACAGATCCTGTGTGGTTCCACTGACATGAGGTACTCAGAATAGTCAAATTCATGGAGACAGAAAGTAGAATGGTGGTTGCCAGGGGCTAGAAGGAGAGGGAAGGGGGTTAGTGTTTAATTAGGACAGAGGTTCAGTTTTACAAAGTGAAAAGAGTTCTGGAGATGGATGGTCATGATGGTAGCACAGCAGTGTGAATGTACTTAGTGTCACTAAGCTGTATTCTTAAAAAGGCTTCCAATGGTAAATTTATGTTACGTGTATTTTACCACAATTTTTTTTTCTTACAACGGAAAGGACTCAACACCATATCTAGTAAAACACACACTGAATGTTGTTATTGAAAGCATAGATGGCAGGATCACTTGAGTCCAGGAGTTCGAGACCAGCCTGGGCAACACTGGGAGACTCCCATCTCTACATAGAATTAAAATAACAGATTAGCTAGGTGTCCTAGCTACTCAGGAGGCTGAAGTGGGAGGGTCCTTTGAGCCTGGAAGTTCGAGGCTGCAGTGAGCTGTGATCATATCACTGCATTCCAGCCTAGGTAACAGAGCGAGATCCCATCTCAGAACAACAACAAAAAACAAATAAAAAAATAAAAGCACAGAGCCAGTCACAGGGACACTCCATACATATGAATTCTACCCACAGTCATTCGTGCCCCTGAGTGTCTGCCTTCCCACCATTCTCTGGGAGTTGGTTTCCATTCCCTCACCTCTCCTGTTCTCTCTGACAAAGGTAATTGAAACTATGTTTCTGTTCTTTCAGTATGGCCAGGTGGGAAGCTGTTCTCTAGTGTGAGTTAACCAGGACAGAGGGTGTGTATGTGCAGGGGAGAGAAGCCGGCAGGCTCTTCCTCCCAGATGCTGGACTATGGAATGTGATACTAACATGGGGATCCTCCCCAAGAGCCTTGGATCCCCTAGTGCACCAAAGTATCCTACTGAGAAGGCATCAGAAAATCTGACTCACAGAAGTTAGGGCAGTGTTTACAGTACCATGACAGCAGGCAGAGCTTGGGGTTCAAAGCAGAATCTGAGGAAAGACTCTAAAAAGACGAGCCCCTGCCCAAGATATGGTGCCTTTTCTAGTCTCATAGCACATTGCACCCCCTCCCCTCACTGTAACAATCCACACCCTCAGAACGCGCACCTGGAGTTGTTCATGGAGACTAAAGTGGGAGGAAGCTTTGGACAGTCACCTTTTTGAAGTCTGTTTTGAATTGAACAGTGTGCAAATGATAAGCCACTTATTTTAAAATAAGCTTCTTAATTCAAGTGTAATATAAACAGAAAAGTACAAAAATCCTAAGTGTTTATTACCATGAATATTTTCAAAGTGAACACATCCATGAAACTACCATCCAGACTAGGAAACAAAACATCACCACAACCCAAGAATCTCCCCTAGGGTCCTCTCCCAGCCATAACCCACCCCCGACCACTACCACCACCACCTAAAGGTAATCAGAATCCTAGCACCAAATGTTATTTTTGCAAATGTTTGAATTTTTTTTTAAATAAATGAATTTCTACAATATATACTGTTTTATGTCAGCTTATTTTATGCAACATTATGTTTGTGAGAGTCACTCACAGGTGGTGTGACAGTAGTTCATTGACTCACTGTTACAGAGCATTGTAAAAATACAAATAATTCATCCATTCTATGTTTGATGGACATTTGCATCTTTTCTAGTTTTGGGTCATGATTGCTGCTGGGAACACTGTTACACATTTGTTGTACACATGATTGCATTTCTATTGAGGGTACATCCAGGATTGGAATGGGTAGGTCACAGGGTCTGGGTATGTTTCTATTTTAGTGAACACTGCCAGTCCTTTTTCTGACGTGATTGTACCCAATTACACTCCCACCTGCAAATAGGAGTTTCATTTGCTCCACATCCTTGCTCATAACTGGTGGTGTTAGTCATTTTAATTTGATTTTTAGTGGATGCATGGTGGGATCCTCTGGTATGATTTTCAGTTCACTGAAGACTGTTGAATATCTCTTTCGAATACTTGTCTTGTGCTTTTCGAAACCTTCTCTTGAAGTTTTTGTGCAAGTTTTTGCTCATTTTTCTGTTGCATTTTCTTTCTTAGTGCTTTGTAGGAGTTCTTTTTTTGTTTTATGAGATGGAGTCTCGCTCTGTCGCCCAGGCTTGAGTGCAGTGGTGCGATCTCAGCTCACTGTAAGCTTCGCCTCGTGGGTTCACGCCCTTCTCCTGCCTCAGCCTCCCAAGTAGGTAGGACTACAGGCGCCCGCCACCAGCCCGGCTAATTTTTTGTATTTTTTAGTAGAGACGGGGTTTCACCGTGTTAGCCAGGATAGTCTCGATCTCCTGACCTCGTGATCCGCCCAACTCGGCCTCCCAAAGTGCTGGGATTACAGGTGCGAGCCACCACACCCGGCCGGGAGTTCTTTATATAGTTAGTACCTGAGACCTTTGCTAGATGTACATATTACAAATATTTTCTCACACTTTCTCACGTTCAGTGGTATCTTTTGATGAGAAGGCCCAGATTATCAATCTTTTCCTTTAAGGTTAATGCTTTTTGTGCCCTGTTTAGGAAATCTATGCATACCTAAGAACATGAAAACAACAGCATATTTATTTTTTCCAGCCATTCTTGTTTTCTAATATATGATTTTAGGGTTATAAATAGCCTATTAAGCCTGCTTTAGCTGTAATCCACTATTTTTAAAAATTGTAGTAAAAAAACACAGCATAAAATTTACCATCTTAACCATTTTTAAGTGTACAGTTCGGTAGTGTTAAGTAAATTCATAATGTTGTGAAGCAGATCTCTAGAACTTTTTCATCTTGCGAATCTGAACATCTATACCCATTAAACAGCAACTTCTCATTCTCCTTGCCCCAGCCTCTGGGAGCCACCATTCTACTTTCCGACTACTCTAGGTACCTCAAGTGGAATCCTACAGTTTCTGTCTTTTTGTGACTGGCTTATTTTGCTTAGTACAGTGTCCTCAAGGTTCATCTGTGCTGGGTTGTGTGATAAGATTTTCTCCCTTTTTAAGGCTGAATAATATTATGTGGTATGAATAGACCACATTTTGTTTATCCATCATCCATCGATAGACATTGGGTTGCTTTTATTCCTTGGCCATGATGAATAGTGCTGCTGTGAACATGGCTGGCTGTCCAGCACCATTTTTGGATACGTTGTATTTTTATTATTAATTAGTTCAAAATCTGTTCACTTTTTAAAATTTCTCCTTTGAAATGTGGGTTATTTTAAAGTAGTTGATTTCCAAATGCCTCCATATTTTCTGGTTATATTTTTGTTATTTATTTCTAGCTTGCTTACCCCGTAGTCAGGAACAGATTATTTACAATGTTAACATTTTGAAATTTGTTTACACTGGCTTTAGACTTGTCCACCATATGATTAATTTTGACAGACTATCCCATGTGCCCTTGTGTGTAGTTCCTCAGTTCAGTACTTTCGATATATTCATGAGGAAAAATGGGTAATTGTGGTGTTCAAATCTTATATTTCCATTCTTATTTTTACTTCTTTGTTATATCATTTACTGAAAGAAGTGTGTTAAATTATCCAGCTGCTCATAATGTCTGTGTCTAATAGACATAAATTTCATAATGTCTAATACTTTAGATTTGTCTTATTATAGTCCTGTCAATTCTCCCTTTATAAATTTTGAGTGCATTTAACTAGATACATATAAATTTAGAATTTATTCCTAGTAGGTTGCCCTTTTTAATTATGAATTCTTTCTTTTCCATAAGAATGCTGCTTTTCGTAAAATCTAGTTTGTCTAATTACCAATATAGGTATATAAACTTTCTTTTTTAACTTACTGCTTTAGAATAGTTTTAGATTCACAGAGATGTTGCGAAGATAGTAGAGAGTTCCCATACATCCTGTACCTACTTTTCCCTGTTGTTAACATCTCACATTAGTATGGTACATTTGTTACAATTAATGAACCAGTGCCAATGCATTATTATTAACTGAAGTCCATACTTCATTCACATTTTCTTAGTTTTTATCAAATGTCCTTTTGCTGTTCCAGGATTCTATTAGGAGACTGCTTTGAGTTCAGTTATTATGTCGCTTTAGGTTCTTTTAGACTGTGACAGTTCCTCTGACTTTCCTTGTTTCTGATGACCTTGACAATTTTGAAGAGTAGTGGTCAGGTATTCTATAGAATATCTTTAAATTTGAGTGTGCTTGGCATTTTTCTCATGGTTCAATAGGGGCTATGGGCTTTGGGGCAGAAGATCCCATCTGAAAAAGTGCCATTCTTATCCTATCAAATCAGGGCTACATAATTTATCACTGCTGATGTTACCCTCAATCGTCTGAGTGTTATGCACCATCTCCATGAGGGAACAGTATCTACACAAATTATTTGCAATTCTGCACAGGGAGATTGGTCTGTTCTCACTCATTTATTTTCTCATTCATTTATTTATATTTGTATGGACTCATGGATATTCATTGTATACTTTGGGCTATAAACCAGTATTGCATTATTAATTTTGTTGTTCAGATAGTTCCAGCTTTTGCCCTTTCCTAAGATAGTGGACTCACCCCTCTGTGTTTCAACTCTACCAATTTGGACCCTCAAGTTCTTGTTGCCTTATTAGCCATAAATTGCAATTTCTTATTTCCCCAGTCCTCTGAGACTACTGAAAGTTCTGCTTAGGCCTATTGCCTCTTAACCACTACTTTCTTCCTGTGTGTGTTTTTAACCTTTTGGCTTCCATCACTCACAAATCCCCAAATGCCTTGACGAGAAAAGCAGCACAGAATGCTGAGCTTATTTCTGGGTAATTATCTACTTGTCATGATCTCAGCCCCTCAAGTCCTAGCTGCCTTGGACTCTCTGATGCTTCCACAGAGATCATTTAAAAAAATTTCGTCAAGAGTTTCTAGTTGTTCTTGGTGAGAGGATTAGTCTGACACAAGCTAGTGCATCATAGCAGGCGGTGGAATTCTTCAGACATAATATTTTTTTTTACTTCTTCTACTATGTCATAGTTGATGGTGCCTCATGGTATTTTAATATCTGATGCTTTGCACCCATACAGCAACTATCCTGAGTAACGAAGATGTTATGTCATATAGGAAAATGAGTCATTCTTTTTTTTTTTTTTTTTTTTTTTTGAGACAGAGTCTTGCTCTTTCGCCCAGGCCGGACTGCAGTGGCATGATCTCGGCTTGCTGCGAGCTCCGCCTCACGGGTTCACGCCATTCTCCTGCCTCAGCCTCCCAAGTAGCTGGGACTACAGGCGCCCGCCACCGCGCCTGGCCAATTTTTTGTATTTTTTAAGTAGAGACGGGGTTTCACCGTGTTAGCCAAGATGGTCTTGATGTCCTGACCTCGTGATCCACCCACCTCGGCCTCCCAAAGTGCTGGGATTACAGGCGTGAGCCACCGCCCCCGGCCGAAAATGAGTCATTCTTTGCATTTCATTCATTTATGCCCTTAGTCACAAGGGCTTTAGCAAAGAATTGGCTTCCACCCTCTCTTTAAGGTAAGGAAATAAATAATGACCTTGGAAGACAGTATTCATCATAAAAGCGCTTGATGAAAGGAGCAATTGGAGTGAACTATGTAAAACAGGCTTTTCAGTCTAATGGGACAGTGTAATTACTGGTGCAGATTTCTAGTTAGGCCTTAAAGAAATTAAGCCTCCCTATATGGTTAATAATGGACTTGTGTAAGAAGATTGCTTCAGAGATGAAGTTTGTGATTCACATTAGCATATTTGGCAGTGAAAGCGTTACCTTTCTCAATCAAGCAGGATATGTAAGATCTTTGTGTATGCTTTTGCTAAACTTTACTGCTGCCATCCCTGAACTTGACTTGATATTTTTACATCCCCTTCAAGTCTGCATCCCAGTTTTGTGTCATCTACAGTTCTGAAGAGCTGCCTTGTGCTTTATCATCATCCAGGGTTGAAAAGAGCCAGATCATTGGAGAATCCCCACAGACTGACAGTTTTCCCTGAATCGATGCCTGCTTATTGTGCTCATGCAGGTAGCTCCTATTCCATCTCACTTCGCTGCATGCAGCTCACATATTTCAGATGATCCACAAGAACATTGGGAAGGACCTGCCAAAATCCTGCCTTGCTAAAGTCCAGGTATACTCTCTTCCAGATCTCCCTTAACTGCCTTTGCAGATTCTATATCGGAGAAAGAAGTGAGGCTAATTTCACAAACTTATTCTTACCGAATTCATTTATAGCTCTAATAATTACCACTTTTCTTAGATGTGATCCCAAAACAATCCTTTAATAAATGCATTTTAGAACTGCACTGTCCATAGTGGCAGCTACTTGCCATTTAAATTTAATTTAAATGAATTAAAATGAAGCAGACAAAAAATGCAGTTTCTCTATTGGACTAACCATGTTTCAAGTGTTCAATACCTGCCATATTGGGCAGTGCAGATAGAACACTTCTATCATTGCAGAAATTTCTGTTGAACAGAGCTGTTCTAAAACCTTGTTTTAGAATCAGATCTGAGCTCACCCGTCTGCAGATTACTCAGTCATCATTTGACTGTTTTTTTTTTTTTTTTTTTAAAGAGACAGGGTCTCACTTTGTTATCCAGGCTGGAGTGCAGTGGTGCCATCATAGCTCACTGCAGCCTTGGACTCCTGAGCTCAAGTGATCCTCCTGCCTGTCTCCTGAGTAGCTGGGCCTACAGGTACATGGCACCAGGCCTGGACATTATTTAAGTCTTTAAGAAACATCTACATGTGTTTTTTCCTGTCACCTCTCTTTTTCTCCATTTCCTTCAAAATCACCTTGAAGGCGACTCCATTTCTGTATTGCCCAAATCAGTCTACAGTGTAGGTGTTGGATGTGGACTTTTTTTTTGGTTTCTAATGAGGTTGTGTTGCAGATGAGCTGAAGCCACCTTTGATATTCTAGGATTTGTGCCTGAAGAATAGCGCTTTCTGTCTTGCTGATGTTTATATGACTGCTATGATTGTCAAGGGAAATAAGGAGAAATGAATGGGATCCACGTTGCTTGGCCCAGCATACCTGTTTCTGAGTGCTGTTGGAGCTGAGAGGCATGCTCTTGGAGAATCAGCCATCAAGCTGTCTTTTCCAGAGTGGATGTTGTCCAGGGCAGTTGCAGAGTGAGCACACTGTCAATGAGTGCCTGGGGTCCTTCATTTATTTCTTTACAGCATCTGTAGTAGAATAAAATTCCAGTGTTAAGAGACAAAAAAAATGTGCCCAGCTCTCCTGGGGTTGACAGTCTCAGTTGGTAAATCCCATCCCAAGGGGGCAGCTCCTCTCCTGTCTGTGGTTTGCCTGCTGTCCCCCAGGAGCCACACTCACCAGTTTGGTCAGCTGGCAGATGATAAGAGGGAGAGAATCTTTTAGAAAACAGATCCTGGAGATCATTGTTAGTGGAGAACTTATTATCAAGTCAGGAAGAAGAAAAATCATTGTTAGTTGAGTGAATACATTTTAAAAAATGATAAAGTGTTCGTCAGGCACTTGGGATTTCTTGCTCATATGCTAATAGGATTTTTGAAAATCCACTCACTGTTTGGAAACTTGCTTGCTCAGTGACAACTGCATCCAAATAGCAGATCATGAGCCAGGTTTGTGGGGGGACAAGAGTGAAGGGAGTTCGGAGGAAGTCGCTCTGGGCCAGGAGGCAGGGACCCTGGCCACCAGCCATGTGACCCGGGGCAGATCCTTGCAGTGCTGGGCCTTGGTTTTGGCCACTGCCCCCTGGCCCCCCACTTCCCAGAATTATTGTGAGGAACTGTGCGTGTATGTGCAGGAACTGGGTTAACATATCTACTTATGGTTGGCCGGGCGCGGTGGCTCACGCTTGTAATCCCAGCACTTTGGGAGGCCAAGGCGGGCGGATCACAAGGTCAAGAGATCGAGACCATCCTGGCCAACATGGTGAAACCCTGTCTCTACTACAAACACAAAAATTAGCTGGGCATTGTGGCGCATGCCTGTGATCCCAGCTACTTGGGAGGCTGAGACAGGAGAATCACATGAACCAGGGAGTCGAAGGTTGCAGTGAGCTGATATGGCGCCACTGCACTCCAGCCTGGAGACAGAGTGAGACTCAGTCTCAAAAAACAAACAAACAAGCAGACAAACAAACATATCTACCTCTGGTCAACACAGAAACAAGGTAAGCTTTTGTTATCCCCTTTGATAGACAAAGCAACAGAGCTTAATGAGCATGCATGTCACAAGGAAGCACAAATTCACGCTTATTATTTTTATGGGAAGACCCCTCACTTCCTGGTCCTGATGTTCTCTGTGGGACCTTTGGTGAGTCAGGGAAGGCCTCACAGTATGGAGACAACAGTCCCAGCCTCTGACTTGCAGGAGTGTGGGGACTAAGTGACACTGGAAGTGTGCTGCACACGTGCAGGCCTGGATTATTAGGAGGGAAGGTTAGAAATCAAGAGCCAGGGGAAAACTGGGAATAGCTGGCTGGCTTTTCAGAAGGGAGTCATTATTTTGTGCACCTTGCAACTCAGGCAGTGAGCCTGGCGGGGAAAGAGAAATGGCTGCTCTTTTTTTCTGTCCATGTGTCACCCCCTGTCAGTGTGTTACTGGGTGCAGGTGTCTCCTCTGATGGTGTCTGGGCTTTTCTTTCCCCTCCCTTCCTTCTTTGCCTGCTTCTCCTTTGCTCCTCTGTCTCCGTTTCTCTCTCCCTGCATTTTGTCTCTTTCTATTCCTTCTTTCTTCCTTTTTTATCTTCAGATTTTAACCTGTTCCTTTCATCAAATGATGCTTATTAAATACATTTGGTGATTTATATTTTTGTTTCTAAGAAAGCTGATCAAAATAACTGTGTAAGTTCAGTCCGTGAAAAGACAATAATGATGACAGGCAGGCAGCGCTTTGGAGGAAGGAGGGTTGGGTCCCGGGTACCCCTGATTCGGTGGGTGTTTGTGCATAGAGTGGTACCTGCCTGCTTGAGGATAGGAGGCTTTGCAGCTTGAGGTCCTTGCTCCCTGGTGTGGGGCATCTGAAGGGCTGTGGTGGGAAGAGGGTCAGAACCAAGGCCAGATGCACCCGGAGCTTGCTGCACGCACTTCTGGGAGGTTTCCTCTTATTTTCTCTATTTTAATTTCTCCATTTTCTCTTTTCTCTCTTTCCTCTCTTTCTGGAATTCCCATCTATCTGATTTTTGACCTATTCATTCTATCTTTGAAGTCTCTCTTTTCTTTCATATTTTTCCATCTTCTTTTCTTTCTTTCTTTTTTTTTTTTTTTTTTTTTGAGATGGAATCTCTCTCTGTTGCCCACTGCAACCTCCACCTCCTAGGTTCAAGCAATTCTCCTGCCTCAGCGTCCAGAGTAGCTGGGATTACAGGAGCCCGCCACTGCGCCCGGCTAATTTTTGTGTTTTTAGTAGAGACAGCAATTTCACCATGTTGGCCAGGCTGGTCTTGAACTCCTGACCTCAAGTGATCCGTCCACCCTGGCCTCCCAAAGTGCTGGGATTACAGGCATGCGCCAATGTGCCCGGCACCATCTTCTTTTCTTTCCGTTCTGTTTTCTGGGATAGTTCAACGACTTTAAATACCCATATTGAAATGTTTATGCTTGCTCTTACTTTGGCTCTCTGAGGGCTCTTTCTATTCTTTCGTCATTTCTTATTTTGTAGCACTGTATCTTTGTGTTTCTGCGGCAATATCTTCTTCTATTTATTTAAAGGTATTAATTTGTTATTTTGTTTCTTTTTTGACAATTACTTCTGTTTCCTTCACTATCTTTTTTCCTTTGCTGTCCTTGTACTTGCTTGCCTGGATTTTCTTCTTCCTGTTTGAGACCTTCCTCCCAGATCTGTGAGCCGTGGTTGTTAATTCGCATTGAGAAGTGAAGCACTGAAAATTGACTGGAGTGTCTGCAACGTGGCTGCACATTAGCATCACCTGGAAGCATTAAAAACTACCTCTCCCGGGGGACAGTCTCAGGGCCATTGGATGAAGATCTGTTAGATTGGGGTCTGCATATTGATAGGTTGATAAATAAAGATATTGATAGAGATCGGTAGGTAGAAATACAGATTTTCCCTCCTCAGCAATTCTAATGTGCAAGCAGGGCTGAGCGTTGTATAGTCTTGGGTGACAGTGCCGGGCCTCTGGAGAGTTGGTATAATTACCGTGCAGCGAAACCACTCTGCGTTTTACTGTGCCGGGTGCCTGGAAGACTTTGATTGCATCCATATGATTCTTTTTCTGTACCTCTGGCAAATTGCAGATTGGGAGGAATTATATATCCCTACAGAGACTTCAGTGAATGAAGTTTCAGGGACCTATGAGCAAGAAGGATGAACTGGCTTCCCGGGGAGGGGCCAGCAGTCCTTCTGCCAGACAAGTCATCAGGGCTGGGACAGGAAGCATGGGAAGGGCAGCTGTGCAGAGCAGGATCCAGGAGGGGCCACCTGGTGGCAGGTGTGGCCACTGAGCAGCCCCTGGCTAGGGATGGAGCTGGAGCTGCCAGGGAAGCTTTGAGGCCAGGTAACTTGGCTCTTGGGCTCTCATGAAGCCAACTGTTCCTCTCCCAAGCTCTGAGAAAACAGTGGAGTCCTGGAGTGACAGGATATGGTAGCTCCATAAGGAGGAGGAACCTGTAGTTGGAGGGGCAACACCAGGAGGCCAGTGAGCGATACTCTGTACCTGAGAGAGGTGGCCGGAACCTGGGCCCCCACTTGCTGCCAGTGACCTTGCACCTGCCACACCTTCTCTTGGAGTTTTGGCTTCTTTAACTGGGACATGAGGATCCTGACCATCTCTGCCAAGCAGGAGAGGAAATGGGCTGATGTGTGTTGTGAGGCAGTAGAGACTGGGGCATAGGAAGCAAATTGACTCTCAGAGTTTATGGTATAACCTTCTCCCACGCTGTAGGGATCAGGTTTGCCCCTAAACCTGCAGACTGGCTAAGGCCAGGGCTGGAAAGGGAAAAAAGTAAGCAGAGGACAGGTCATGCTGCAGGCCGGCCCCTCACCCCTGGTGACTTGTGCTCTTGGAGTGAGGGCCCAGGAGGGGGTTGCCTGCCTATGCGTGTCTCTCCCTTTCCCCCTCCTGTTCTGTGGGGCTGGGCCTCACACGGCCATTCTTCGAAGGAGGAAGGTGGCCTTTTGCATTCCCTGTTGGTGTGTTACTTATTGTCACTTATTTTTGATTAAGGATATCATATTTAGGGAGAAATTATTTGCATTTTCTTTGTAAATCATCTGAAGAATTGTGCAACACAGGAGTGCATTCGGGAAGAAAATTCAGACATCAGAGATAAAGCAGAGTTCTCCCTTGGCTGCATCTACAACCTTCCTCTCCCTAGAGAACCACTCTGTGGTTAGTGTGTTTTCCTTCATTATCTTATATAAGCATTTATGCATGTGTAGATGTAGATGGCTGTGTTTTGTTTTTATGCACATAGAAGGTATCTGTGCATTGTTCTGCTGCCGGAGTTGTTCAGAACATGGTATTGTGGAGAACCACATGACTGTACACACAGGTCTATCTTAGAGACCTGCCTCATTTGCTTTAACTGCTGCAGAGGCTTCCAGGGACCGTGTGTACAGTACTAGATACTGTTTAATGAACACTTTCCTACTGATGAACATTTAGGTTGTTTCCTAATGTTTGCTGTCACAAACAGTGATGCTGGTGGGTTAATGCTTCTCTAGGGGAGAGAGCAAGAAGCAGAAGTGCTGGCTGTCATCTGCATTCTGCAGTTTACCAGATACTGTCAGGTTCCCTTCCCAAATGGCTACAGAGTGGTTTGGTCCCTGCAGTGTCATCAGTTCCCGACATTATAACTTTGCAGATGTGATAGGGAGAAAATCTCCATTTTATTTTTTCATTTCCTGGATTATTTGTGAAGTCAAGTATATTTGCCTGTGTTTACTGGCACATGTATTTTCTCTTTGGTCAATTTCCCTTTTGTAATTTTTGCTCAGTTTCCCATGGGGTTATTCGTCTTTTTCTTATTGATATCTAGGAAGGTCACACGTTCATGTGAGTGTTTGGGTGTGTGGGTATACAAGCAAAAAAAGGTTTAATACATCCTGGATGCTCATTCTTTGATACATTTACTTCGACTATTTTCTTCCAGTCTGTTGTCTTCTGTTTTAGGTGTTTTTTTTTTTTCTCATCCAGGTTTAAACATTGTTTATTGTTGTAGCTAAATAATTCACTTTATTTAGGGATTATAAGAAAATGTAGAAAGTAAATTTGCATTCTTTTCCTTTTTCTTAGTATTATGAAACTTATTTCTTTTTTAAAAAACCAGTCTGTTGAGGTAAGATTGCCATATAAAAGCTGTACACATTTTTTTTTTCCAGTGACTTTTTTAAAAAATATATTTAAAAACAAAACCGGCCGGGTGCTGTGGCTCACGCCCGTAATCCCAGCACTTTGAGAGGCCGAGAGGGGTGGATCACCTGAGGTCAGGAGTTTGAGACCAGCCTGACCAACATGGTGAAACCCGGTCTCTACTAAAAATACAAAAAAAAATTAGCTGGGTGTGGTGGCATGTACCTGTAATCCCAGCTACTCGGGAGGCTGGGGCAGGAGAATTGCTTGAACCCGGGAGGCAGAGGTTGCAATGAGCTGAGATCATGCCATTGCACTCCAGCCTGGGCAACAAGAGTGAGACTCCATCTCAAAAAACAAAAGACAAAACGACCTCCTCCCAAATAACCCCCAAACAAACAAAAAACCAGATTAAATAAAATTTACAGTGAATATACCCAGCAAACATTTGTATGTGCAATTCAATACTGTGTCTGTTACTGCGGCACGAACCTCAGACAATATATAAGCGTTCTGGGGGGTCGGGAGAGTCCCAAGTTTTAACTCTGTGGGGTCTAGGAAGACAAGATGGGGAAGTGAGAGAATGGGGAAATCCGTTTTGTTTATCTTAATTCTTTCCATATAAATATATTCATAAAGACCAAAAAGGAAAGGAAGCTTGGGATGTTAAGGTAATAGGAGAATAGGAGAGTGTGGGACTTTCCCAATTCTGACTGACCAAAAAATATGAAAGGAATTAATTTTATGGTGGGAGAAGAGATTTAAAAAATAAAAAAAAGAGGATGGGGGCCAGGCACAGTGGCTCATGCCTGTAATCCCAGCACTTTGGGAAGCCAAGGCGGGCGGATCACCTGAGGTCAGGAGTTGAGACCAGCCTGGCCAACATGGTGAAACCCCGTCTCTACTAAAAATACAAAAATTAGCTGGGCATGGTGGCGCGCGCCTGTAGTGCCAGCTACTCGGGAGGCTGAGGCAGGAGAATCACTTGAACCCAGGAGCCACAGGTTGCAGTGAGCCAAGATCATGCCACTGCACTCCAAAAAGCTGTACATATTTAATGTACAACTTTGTGAGTTTAGAGCGAAGCCAACCCCCATGAAACCATTGCCACAGCGTGTGCCGTAAACAGATCCATCACCTGCTCACGTTTCCTCCTGCCTACTTTATTACGATGATGATGATTTGTGATGAGAAACTCAACAGAAGATCCACCTTCTCAGCAGATTTTTAACTGTACAATACAGTGTTGTTAGCTGTAGGCACTGTGCTTTATAGTAAATCTCCAGAACTTACTCAGCTCGGACAGCTGATACCGTGTACCCTCGGCCCAGCATCTTTCCACTTCCCCTACCCCCAGCTCCTGGAAACCCCCATTCTACTCTCTGCTTCTATGAGTTGACTTTTTAAGATTCTGAATATAAGTGAGATCATGCGGTATTTATCTTTCTGTGCCTGGCCTATTTCACTTAATGTCCTCCAGTTTCATCCGTGTGGCTGTACATGGCAGGATTTCCTTCTTTTTAAAAGCCGAATAACACTCCATTGTAAGTGTATACCATGTTTTCTTTATCTGTTCATCCCTCAAAGGACATTTAGATTATTCACATATCTTGGGTATTGTGAATAATGCCGCAGTGAGCGTGGGAGTGCAGACTTCTCTCTGAAATACCGATTTCAGTTCCTTTGGATGTATGCCCAGCAGTAGGATTGCTGGATCATTCGGAAGTTCTATTTTTAATTTTTTGAGGAACCTCCATACTATTTTCCATAATAGTGATACCAATTTGTATTCCTATCAACAGTGCACAAGGATTTTCTTTTCTGCACATTCTCACCAACGCTTCTTATCTTTCATCCTTTTGATACTAGCCATTCTTACAGGTAATAGTGTGTTTTGCATTTCCCCGATTGGTCTTTTCCTTGATGATTTTTTATTGTCTTATTTAAGAAGGGCTTCCTTATACTGAGTATCTAACATTTTAGAGTCACCTATTTTACAATAAGTCTTTAGTCCCCTTGAAATTTATTTTTGTGAATAGCGTAACTCAGGGATATATATATAGCTTTTAAAAAATGAGTTGCAAAGTTTATAACCCATTCCCCCCACCAGCTGATTTGACATGTTACCTTTATCATATGGTAAATCATTATAGATGATGAGTTGTTCTGGACTGTCTTCTGCTGGTCTATTTGTATACTCTCGTGGAATAAAAAATTCTATGGTTTTATATCCTTCATTGTTCTTCTAGAGTGTTTCTGCAATTGTTTCCTCTGCCATCTGAATTTTATTATTCTCATTGGAGGTTCTTTTGGAATTGCACTGACTTTCTAAGTTGATTTGGACCAAATTAAAATACTTAAAATTGAAATATTTACTATATTAAAATGCAGTATTATTTGTTTTTATCTGGGAATGTAGTGTATTTTTTTCTTGAAAGTTTTGTACACTTTTGTTATGTTCTTTCCCTATATGCTTTATAGTTTTGTTGCTATTGTGTATGAAATATTTTTTATTATTACATTTTCTATTTGGTTGTTGCTGGTGCTTAGGAGAGCCATTGATTTATGTGTTAAACTCATACCTGGCCACCTTGCTAAACCTTTTTCTTAGTCCTAATAATTCGTCCGTTGATTCTCTTGGTTTTCTATAAAGACAGGAATATTGTCTGAAAAAAATGCCTCCTTCTTCCCCTCTTCCTTCTCAAACTGTACACCTCTTGAGATGTCTCTTTGTGTTTGTACTTCTAGGTAGGGTAACCAGCCCCAGACTGAAAGGTGACAGTGATAGCAGCCTTCCTAATCTTGTCCCTAAATTTACAGGGGATACTTTTATGGCGTCACTATAAAATGAGATGTTTTGCTGCACTTGGCTGATAAATATCCTTTATCAAGTTAAGGGAGTTTGCTTCTTGGTCTACCTTTTAAGGTTTATTTTAAATCAGGAATGGGTTGTCGAATTTGATGGCCATTATACCTTTTTCCTTTTTTTTTTTTTTTTTTTTTTTTTTTTTTTTGAGACAGAGTCTTGCTCTGTTGCCTAGGCTGGAGTGTAGTGGCGCGATCTTGGCTCACTGCAACCTCTGTCTCCGAGGTTCAAGCGATTCTCCTGCCTCAGCCTCCCGAGTAACTGTGAATACAGGCGTCCGCCCCCATGCTTGACTAATTTTTGTATTTTTAGTAGAGATGGAGTTTTGCCATGTTGGCCAGGCTGGTCTTGAACTCCTGACCTCAAGTGATCCACCTGCCTCAGCCTCCCAAAGTGCTGGGATTATAGGCATGAGCCACCACACTTGGCCCCATTTTATACCTTTTTCATGGAAGTAAACATTTTCTAATTCACAATAAAAGAGAAAAAAGTATAATAAACACAACATATCCATTGCCATATTTGCTTAGATTTGTTGTTAGCATTTTATTATATTTGCTACTTCTTTCCTTTTTGTCGATTTTTTTTTTTTTTTTGAGATACAGTCTCGCTCTGTTGCCCAGGCTGGAGTACAGTGGCATGATCTCGGCTCACTGCAACCTCCACCTCCCAAGTTCAAGCGATTCTTCTGCCTCAGCCTCCTGAGTAGCTGGGATTACAGGTGCATGCCACCATGCCTGGCTAATTTTTGTATTTTTAGTAGAGACGGGGTTTCACCATGTTAGCCAGGCTGGTCTCGAACTGCTGACCTCAAGTGACCCACCCACCTCAGCCTCCCAAAGTGCTAGAATTATAGGCACAAGCCACTGTGCCCGGCCTTTTTTGCTGAAGTTTTAAAAGTTGTAGCCATCATTATTTGGCCATATAAGTTCAGCGTGCACTTTAAAAATAAGCACATCTTCCTACATTTCCACGAGACCATTATCATAGTAACAGCATTCACAGTAATTCATTGATAACATTTAATACCCAGTCTATGGTAAACACTCTCCAGTTGTTACCAGAATGTCCTCTACAGCTGGTTTCTTTACCAGGGCCTGGTCACTGCGGAGACAGCACTGTGGGCCCTGATGTCTCCACTCCTTCTCTAACTGGAATGCACCCTCTTCCTTTTTGTTCCATTACACCTCTCTATTGCAGAGACTCACGTGGACCAGCTGTCCTGCATCAAATCCCATCTTCAGCGTTCGTCTGATTGCTTTCTGGGCTAGCATTTAACTTTTCTCTCTAGCTCTTGCGCTTCTTGTAAATGGGAATTTCAGTCCAAAGGCTTGTGTGTTTTTGCTGTGAAACAACAGCAGAATCTCATAGGACGAGAATTTTTCTTCCTGTTTGTAGGCAGGGTCAGCAAAAGGGCAGGTTTGTTCAGGTTGCAGGTCTGCTGGGGTAGCTCTGCCTGACATGTTTATTCTGAGACCCAAACTAGAGGGTAGGGGCTGCATGGGGCTCGTGTTGCCCATGGTGAGTCAGAGGAACACAGGAGGAGCGGATGGAAGCAGGAGATGGCCTGAGGTATAGCCTTGGGGCTTGCAGGTGGACGGTTCCCATTCCACTGTCGAGTATCAATGGAGTGGGCAGTGTGCTTGTCCCATGGAGGAGGAAGGGGTATTTGCTGAATGATTAAATCCAACCCACCAAAGCATGTTTAGATTCAGACTAAAAGTTCTTGGCAAGAATACTTCATAAGCGGTGGTGTATGCATTCTATTGCAGCATGTCACAATTCACATGTAATACGTGGTTGTCTCATTAGCAACTGATCTGACTAGTTACCATTTATTAATAAGATGCTGTGCTGAACTTCTGTTAACCTCAAAAGGGGAAAGCACCAGGTTCAAGGCTGAAGAAGAGACCCAGAGCCAGGAAACAAGAATTGGGATTTTTTTTTTTTTTTTTTTTGAGATGGAATCTTGTTCTGTCGCCCAGGCTGGCATGCAGTGGCGCCATCTTAGCTCACTGCAGTCTCCGCCACCTGGGTTCAAGCAATTTTCCTGTCTCAGCCTCCTGAGCAGCTGGGACTACAGGCACGTGCCACCCTGCCCAGCTAATTTTTTTGTAATTTTTAGTAGAGACAGGTTTTCACCGTGTTAGCCAGGATGGTCTCGATTCGATCTCTTGACCTTGTGATCCGCCTGCCTCGGCCTCCCAGAGTGCTGGGATTACAGGCGTGAGGCACTGCGCCTGGCCAAGACTTGGGATTTTATTAGGGGCCTGCATACAGGGGAGACGGATGGTGGTGGATTGGACCAGAGAACCGCCTTATGTACAGAGATGGTCCAGTGATGGGCTGGGCGTGGTGGCTCACGCCTATAATCCCAGCAATTTGCGAGGCCGAGGCGGGCAGATCACCTGAGGTCAGGAGTTCGAGGCCAGGCTGGCCACCGTGGTGAAACCCCATCTCTGCAAAAATACAAAAATTAGCCAGGCGTGGTGGTGGGTGCCTGTAATCCCAGCTACTCGGGAGGCTGAGGCAGGAGAATTGCTTGAACCCGGGAGGCAGAGGTTGCAGTGAGCCAAGATCGTGCCACTGCACTCCAGCCTGGGCGACAGAGCAAGACTCCGACTCAAAAAAAAAAAAAAAGAAAAGAAATGGCCCAGAGATGGCGGGCTGGATAACATATCGGCCTTCCTGCAGTCTTGTGGCAGTGGGCTGGGCAGGAAAGCTGCAACTTCTTGCCAACTTTATGCAGTTTATTTAGCATTTCTACTTAACACCCTCCTCTTAATGACCCCTACCCAGCAACCTTCATTTACCCCAAAACTCAGGGCCTCAATGCCCTGTATGGCCCGTGTTCCATAGGATGTTCCAGGGGCTCAAATGTTCCTCATAGACAAGGAACGAATCTCTGGGTTGGCCACACCTGATTCCCCAGCTCAGAGCACACACTCAGGTGCATCTGCCATACAGGGTCCTTCTGAGGGTAGGTTCAAGTTATCGCTGTCAGGTGCATTTACCCTACAGCTGGTGACAGCTTGAGTCTTCTTTTATAAAGTTTCTTATGCTTGAGACTGACAAGAAATCTGTGGCTAGTTCTTTGGCACCATGTATATGAACGGCCAGTTAACCCTCTGTTATCCATTGGTGATCCTGGCCTGAATCAGTTAATTCATTAGTTGTTGCAAATTGGTGGTTTCACAATTCTCTCATACTGTTTTCATTTATTAGCTGTTATTCTTCTGTAAAGAAGAGATTTTCCTTATCACCTGGAGCTGTTAGACCACCCTGAAATACAGTATCGTTAGAACAGGCCGGGCATGGTGGCTCACGCCTGTAATCCCAGCACTTTGGGAGGCTGAGGTGAGCGGATCACGAGGTCAGGAGATCAAGACCATCCTATCTAACAAGGTGAAACCCCGTCTCTACTGAAAATACAGAAAAAAAAAAAATTAGCTGGGCATGGTGTTGGGCGCCCATACTCCCAGCTACTCATGAGGCTGAGGCAGGAGAATGGTGTGAAGCCAGGAGGCGGAGCTTGCAGTGAGCCGAGATCCTGCCACTGCACTCCAGCCTGGGCGACAGAGCAAGACTCTGTCTCAAAAAAACAAGAACAAAAAAAACCAAATCCTTATTTCTCTTCAATTGTTAATTTTCAGAATAAGAAGTTGGCAATAGCCAATTTTAATGGTATGATACATTCTCAGGGTGTGCCATCTTCCCCTTTATGATATAAACCATTTTTGGTCATGACGTGTTAGTTTTTAATGCTAATAGTGAACCTATTTGTTAAAGTTTGAGGTAAGATCTTTGCCTCTCTCATGTTGGAGACTAGTTTGTGCTTATCCTTTCATAAAATAAATTGCTTCAGCTTTCCATCTCTTTTTTGAGATGTGACATCATGGTAATCTATTCCTTGAAAATGTAATAAAACGTGTTTGTCAATTCATCTCGGTCTGGCCTTTATTAGGTTACCTTGTTATTTTAAAATATCTTCTATAGCTATTCAGTTTTTCTACTTATTGAGCCAATTGTGGTAATTTATATTTTCTTAGAAAATCTTACATTTCATTCAGTTAGATTTGCAAATTCATTGGCATAAAGTTCTGAAAAGTATTCTCATAATTTTATAAATTTTTCTGCATCTGTAATTATGGGCTTTTCAGTTCTAATGTTTGTGTTTTCTTTCTTTTTCTTGATTTGTCTTATGATATGTATTCTTTTTATACTGGGCCAACTTTCAATTAATTACTGTCTTAATTTTTTTTAGTCTTTTATCTTTTTTTTCTTTTTTTTTCTTTTTGAGGCAGTCTTGCTCTGTTGCCCAGGCTGGAGTGCAGTGGTGTGATCTCAGCTCACTGCAGCCTCCGCCTCCCGGGTTCCCGCATTCTCCTGCCTCAGCCCACCGAGTAGCTGGGACTACAGGCGCCTGCCACCACGCCTGGCTAATTTTTTGTATTTTTCGTAGAGATGGGGTTTCACCGTGTTAGCCAGGATGGTCTCGATCTCCTGACCTCATGATCCGCCCACCTTGAAGCCTCCCAAAGTGCTGGGATTACAGGCGTGAGCCACCGTGCCCGGCCTAGTCTTATATTTTTCTAATTCCTTCATTTTGATTTTCACTTTTATTTCTTAGACTTATTTTATACATTAACACTCTTTTCGTTTTTTTTTTTAATTTAATTTTTAAGTTTTGGGGTACATGTGCAGGATGTGCAGCAGGTTTGTTAGGCCGGTAAACGTGTGCCATGGTGGTTTGCTGCACCTATCAACCCATCACCGAGGTATTAAGCCCCACATGCATAAGCTGTTTTTCCTAATGTTCTCCCTCCCCCGATCCCACCCCTGACAGGCCCCAGTGTTTGTTGTTCCCCTCCCTGTGTCCATGTTTTCTCAGTGTTCAGCTCCCACTTATAAGTGAGAACATGTGATGTTTGGTTTTCTGTTCCTTTGTCAGTTTGCTGAGGATAATGGCTTCCAGTTCCATCCATGTTTCTGCAAAGGATATGATGTCATTCCTTTGTATGGCTGCATAGTATTCCATGGTATGTATATATGTACCACAGTTTCTTTATCCAGTCTTTCATTGATGGGCATTTGGGTTGATTCCATGTCTTTGCTATTGTGAATAGTGCTGCAGTGAACATAGGGGTGCATGTATCTTTGTAACAGAATGATTTATTTTCCTTTGAGCCTATAAACCAGTAATGGGATCACTGGGTCAAATGGTATTTCTGGTTATAGATCTTTGAGGAGTCACCACACTGTCTTCCACAGTGGTTGAACTAACTTGCATTCCCACCAACAGTATACAAGCATTCCTATTTCCCCGAAACCTCGCCAGCATTTGTTGTTTCTTGACTTTTTAATAATCACCATCCTGACTGGCATGAGGTGGTATCTCATTGTGGTTTTGATTTGCATTTCTCTAATGATCAGTGATGTTGAGCTTTTTTTCATATGTTTGATGGCCACATAAATCTCTTCTTTTGAGAAGTGTCTGTTCATGTTCTTTGCCTGCTTTTTAATGGGGTTGTTTGGGTTTTTTTTCTTGTAAATTTAAGTTCCTTGTAGATTCTTGATACTAGACCTTTGCCAGGTGGCTAGATTGCAAAAATTTTCTCCCACTCTGTGGGTTGCCTGTTTGCTGTGATGATAGTTTCTTTTGCTGTGCAGAAGCTCTTTAGTTTAATTAGTTCCCATTTGTCAATTTTTGCTTTTGATGCAGTTGCTTTTGGCGATTTCATAATGAAATCTTTGCTGGTGCCTATGTCCTGAATGGTATTGTCTAGATTTTCTTCTAGGGTTTTTATAGTTTTGGGTTTTACATTTAAGTCTTTAATCCATCTTGAGTTAATTTTTGTATGAGGTGTAAGGAAGGGGTCCAGTTTCAATTTTTTGCATATAGCTAGCCACTTCTTCCAGCACCACTTACAAACAGGGAATCCTTTCCCCATTGCTTGTTTTTGTCAGGTCTGTTGAAGATCAGATGACATTAACCCACTTTTCTACCAAAAAAAAAAAACCCCTCTGTAGTAAATGTGTATATTTCCTAATGAGTACTAATTTGGCCATATCCCCTAGTTGTGATATCTAATTTTTTGTTCATGTCTAAAAATACATCATTTACATTTTGAATGCTTTCTAAGCCTCAGTTATTTAATGTTTAAGAATTTCCCAGGCATGTCATATTTTGTTTTGTTTTTGTTCTTTAACTATCTTTGTAGCAGTCTGGGTCCACTCAGGAGATGGGAACCCCAGGGGGAGCATCATATTTAATAGAATTATTAGGTATGATGAGAGAGTAGCTGTTAAGAGGTGGAAGTTCTGTGTGGTATCGTGGGGGTGGAGGGAGGGGGACCTAAGCAGGGGCAGACCTGGGAAAGCCCCAGGGAAGGACCAGCTTGTTAGGGAAGGTGTGGTTCAGCAGTGGAGAGCAGGGACAGCCGCTGGTTCAGGCAGTCCAGCACTGGTCTAGAGATGCTGTTGGTCACAATAGGCCACCCTCTGGAGTACAGGCTGGGGAGCAGTGGCTTGAGGCTGGGCCTGCGGTGTGAGTTCGGGCACCAGCACGTCCAGAGGTGCCGGACATGCAGAAGGAACGATTGCTCAACGCAGGACTCTCCAGACCACGCGGGCTACATGGGGTTTGTCGAGGGAGTCCAGAGGTGGCTGGCCATGTGGAGCTCTGGGTTCGAGGCCCAACAGGTGTGGCCCCAACAAGGCTGCAGGGTTGCAGAAGAACTAGGTGCCTCTGTGGCCTGAGCCGGGAACTGCGGGAACCGTTTTCCTCCAGCAATGTTGCTCCATCACCCTCTGCCCAGAAAGCTTAATGTGCTCACTCTAAAGGAGAAACATGACCGGGCCCGGTGGCTCACGCCTGTAATCCCAGCACTTTGGAAGGCAGAGGCAGGCGGATCACGAAATCGGGGGATAGAGATCATCCTGGCTAACATGGTGAAACCCCGTCTCTACTAAAAATACTTAAAAAAATTAGCCGGGCGTGATGGCGGGTGCCTATAGTCCCAGCTACTCGGGAGGCTGAGGCAGGAGAATGGCGTGAACCCGGGAGGCGGAGCTTGCAGTGAGCCGAGATGGCCCCACTGCACTCTAGCCTGGGCCACAGAGCCAGACTCCGTCTCAAAAAAATAAAAATAAATAAATAATAATAATAATAATAAAATAAAGGAGAAACGCTTAAGGGAATTCTGTTTATTCAGAGAACATATTGAGGGGTACATTCAGAATTGGGAGGCAATGAATTGATAACTGACACAACCTTTTTGTCATTCCTTTCTAATTGTCCCATTGTAGTCAGTGGGTGTAGCCAGTACAGATTCTTTGTAGAATGTCACATTTCTTTTGTGGCCTAATGCTACATAGGCAGTTTTGGTTAAACCCATGTGAGTATGTGTGTGTGTGTGTGTGTGTGTGTGTGTGTGTGTGTAAAACCTCCGCCTTCTCTATTTGTTAGGTACGGGGTTCTAAATAAATCTTATTGTTATTTAAATTTTTATATCCCATCTCATTTTTGTCTGGTTAATTTGATTTTAATCTCTCAATATGAATGTGGCTATTAATTTCACCTTTTATCATTATTTGCTTGGTTTATATTTTGAAGCTATGTTGTGAAGTTTATAAAGGTACATGATGCTCTTGGTGGATTATTTTTGTTATTAATGGGAATTTTTCCTTTTATGCCTTTGCATACTTTGTTGTTTACATTCATTTTGTCTGATTAATATTGCCATATGAGCCTTCTTTTTATTAGCACTTGTCTGGTGTATCTTTTCCTATACTTTTATTTTTAGCAGTCTTCGTGCCATTTTTTTCAGGTGTCATCAGAAGAGACTAAGCAACTCATGGCTTAATTTTCTAAAATAATCTGAAAATCTATGTTTTTCAACAGATGGACTAAAAGAGAGTATAAAGAGCACTGCATTCATTTGCTCAGGCTGCGGTAACAAAACACAGACTTGGTGTCGGAATCCATAGAAATGTATTGCCTCACAGTTCTGGAGGCTGGGAGTCCAAGATCAAGGTGTCAGCAGGGCTGGCCTCCTCGGGCCGTCTCTCCTTGGCCTTGATGCCCCTGCATGTGTTCTTCCTTCTGTGCCTGTTGTGTGCCCCTGGGGTCTCTCTGTGTACCCCAATTTATCTTTTTTTTTTGAGATGGAGTTTTGCTCTTGTTGCCCAGGCTGGAGTGCAGTGGCGCAATCTTGGCCCACTGCAACCTCTGCCTCCCCGGTTCAAGTGATTCTCTGCCTTAGCCTCTGGCAAAATGCCCTTTTCAATCCTCCCTGCCATTGGCTACTTTTAGGATCCTGCTGATTGGTGCATGTTACAGATTGCTGATTGGTGTGTTTTACAGAGTGCTGATTGGTGCATTTTACAATCCTCTTGCTAGCTACAGAGTGCTGATTGGTGCTTTTTTACAGAGTGCTAATTGGTGCATTTTACAATCCACTTGCTAGCTACAGAGCGCTGATGCATTTTACAATCCTCTTGTAAGACAGAAAAGTTCTCCAAGTCCCCACTCAACCCAGGAAGTTCAGCTGGCTTCACCTCTCACAACCACCCCAAGAAAGTTGAGGGTGAAGTGCAGGCCATGCACAGGATGCTGTCTTGATACTGAGAAAAGGAAGGTGGTGTTAACCACAGAATTTCATGGCCAGGGGTGAGAGTTAATGTAGCAGAGGGGCTCTCCTTGGAAGGGCTGTCTAGAAGAAGAGTGTGTAACTCTGGGCAGGATAGGAAGAGGTGACACCTCCATGAGAAAAGGGACTTTGTCTTTTTTGCCCCTGTCTCCCCAGCCTGTGGCTGGTGTGTGTCAAAGAGGCAGAGTCATTCCTGTGTAGTCATGATGGTTAGTTTTGTGTGTTAACTTTGCCCAGCTCTGGTGCCCAGTTGATTTGCTCAAACACCAGTCTGGATGTTGCTGGGAAGGTAATTTTTGGGTAAGATGAACATAGTAGACCTTGAGTAAAGCAGACTGTCCTTCATATTTGGATGGGCCTAATTCGATCAGTTGAAGGCCTTAAGACCAAAGGCTGAGGTTCCCCGAAGGGGAAGGTCGGCCCCCAGACCCCCTTGTGACTCAAGACTGGAATGTCAACTCCTCCTGGAGTTCCCAGCCTGCCGGCCTGCCCTGCAGATTTCAGATTTGCCAGCCTCTGCAGTCATGTGAGCCAATTCCTTGAAATAAATCTCTTTTTATATATCCTGTTGGTTCTCTTTCTCTGAAAATTCCTAATACTGTAGTTTTTTCATCTGGTGATCTATTTGGCTATCTCACTAACTTCTGAGTTGGGACAGCCTCAGAGTCAGAAGTCATGTGTCTCCTGGACCCTCCATCCCCAAAGCACAGCCCCATGCCAAAATATGCCTTTATGTTAGTAGCACTGCCCAGCCCTGTTCAGTTTTCTGAGATCCAGTTCCTACAAGACTGTGGCACTCAGTACTTTTCATCTCATTGGGTTCTGTGCCTCTGGGGCTGTTGCCTCTGAGACCAGATCCCGGATCCTTTCTTTGTGGGCTGCTCCACCCCTGCTGTGGAAATCACACAGAAGGCGGACAGTACATGTGGACAGGTCAGACAGACACACTGATTGGCCAGCTGCAGCATGGGGAGCATGGACTCTGCCCACAGCTGTGGCGAGATGGCTCTGTGGTGAGATCTGGGCTTTCTTGTGTGCTGAGGAATGGGAGCGTTTGCCATCCTTATCCAAGCTGCATCACTCAGGGCTGGCCCCTCTGAGGTTGCACTGTGGGCCCCACCCCAGCCTCTGAACGAGAATTGGCATACCAGCCAGATGCCTAGGTGATCTGTGCATGTGCTGCAGGTGGAGAAGGTCTGCACTAGACATCTCCAGAAGGACGATCTGGGATCAGGGTTAGACAAGGCCCACGTCTGCTGCCCAGCCCTCTCCTCTTTGATGTCCTTTCTGCACCTGACACCTCTTCTTGACATTCCCTTTCCTTGGTTTATGTGGTAAGACCTCTCTGTCCACAACAGGAATGGTCTTACCCATCTTCTTCTCCTACCATGTATTAATAGTTCCCTGTGCCTTAAACCCCTGATTCAAAACCTGCTTCCTCAACTCTCCAAAGTCAGCCAAGCGAGAGGTTATGGGCACAGTCTTCCACAAGACTGCCCTCACTTCTGACACCAGCCCCAAATTCAGGGGTCCTCAGGCCCATCCTTACTTCTTACCAGCTGGTCAGGGGTTCCCATGACCAGTCTTAAATTAGATAATTTGCTAGAATGACTCACAGAACTCAGAACACCATTATACTTAACAATGACAGTTTCATTATAGCAAAAATTTACAACCCAGAACCAGACAAAAGAAGGAACACCTGGCTGGGCGCGGTGGCTCACGCCTGTAATTCCAGCACTTTGGAAGGCCGAGGCAGCTGGATCACGAGGTCAGGAGATCGAGACCATCCTGGCTAATAACGGTGAAACCCCGTCTCTACTAAAAATATTTTTAAAAAATTAGCCGAGCGTGGTGGCGGGCGCCTGTAGTCCCAGCTACTCGGGAAGCTGAGGCAGGAGAATGGCGTTAACCCAGGAGGTGGAGCTTGCAGTGAGCTGAGATGGCACCACTGCACTCCAGCCTGGGCGACAGAGTGAGACTCCATCTCAAAAAAAAAAAAAAAAAAAAAAAAGAAGAAGGGACACCTAGGGTGAAGTCTGGGAGGCTTCCAGATGCAAAGCTTTGGCGTCCTCAGAGATGCATTATCCTCCCAGCATCCAAGTGTGACAGTAATCAAAGAGTATTGCCAAAAAAGGAACCTCACCTGAGCTTCAATGTCTAGAGTTTTTATTTGGGATTCTTTATGTAGGTATGATGCATGATGAATTGAATCAGTGAATTGATTAAATTGTTGGCCATGTGGTTGAGCTCAATATCTAGCCTTCCCAGAAGTCAGGCTGGTAGCCCGTGTCTCCTGTCTCAAAGCCCCAACCCTCTAGTAGCTAGTTGGCCTCTCTGGCATCACCAACCTCCATCCTGAGTCATCTCTTTTGCATAAACTTTGGAACGCACCACGAATAACAAGGACACTCCTATCACTTGGAGATTCCAAGGATGTAGAGGCTCCCTCCAAGGTACCAGAAGGCCAGCCAAGTTCTTTATTACACACCAACTGATTGCCATGACTTAGTGGTTAATAAAGAGTGGGGCTTGGGGTTCCTTTAGATTTCAGGCCTGACACAACCCCTTGGATATAGACTACATGAAATGAAAGTGTTAGGAAGGGTGTATGCATGCTATTTGTTTACTTTGAAGAGTGACACTTGGAACCAATGTCAGTTTTACAGGCTGCCCTGACTTGCTGGGGCACAGACTGTGAAGTGCATATTCAGAATGAATGAAGTGTTACCCTACAGCAGTGGCTCTCAGACTTGTAGGCATCAGAATCCCCTGGAGATCTTTTAACATGCAGACTTCAGGGTCCTGCCCCTGAGTTTTCATTGGTCTGGGGGAGGGCCCAAGAGTTTCTGTGTTTGTGGAGTTCCCAGGTGACACTGATGCTGCTGGCCCAGGGACCACACTTCAAGAAGCCCTGGAATAGACTCTGTGGTGGGTGTTTGAACTTTGGATTCTTGGCCATAGGTTTTTACATTACAATGACAGAATGGGAAGTTTGGCAGGAATAAAGATGACTTCCACCCACAGGCTCCCGGGGAGGTCCTTCTTCCCTGGGCCCTGGCCTGGTGTCTCTGTCTAGCAGCTAGCTAGCATTCAGGTCCCAGGTCTCACATTTTGGCTGGACTTTAATGGCAATTGATGGGCAAGTGCAGGCTGTTCTTGCAGGGGAGGGAGTGCTGCCTCTGCTTGGGCTGCTAGGCTTGGGGCCTGGTCACCTGGGGCCACTGCCCTTCCTTCAGTCTTGCCAGACAGGCAGAGGAGTAAGGGCTTGCTACCGGGGCAGAGAACATCGAATGATTGCAATCGTGGGGTCATTAGGATTAATTAGTAAATAGCCATCAGATCTTAAAAAATAGATTCAGGAACAGCCTGGGAGGGCATTTGGGTGTGGTTTCCCAGTTTGAGGGGAAAGCATGAATCGACTACTATCTCAGGTAGGGCTCTGGTGCTGGGACCCTGCTCAGGCCAGTTAAGTGACAGTGGATGTGGCCTGGAAATCCTGTTTCTCTCATGTTCAGTGAGGGTGGAATTAGGGGTGTGTGTGGGGACCTTGGGGGCGCCATGTGATGATTAACTGTAGTCTGTCTCAGTTGTGGAAGCTGCTAATGTGTTTTTCTGGGACATCATCATGGGATTTTTATTATTGATTTCAGCAGGGAGACTGCTGGCTCATTATGTGACAAGAAATCGATGTGGTGTTCCACGTTCGAAGCAGGGGTTCTCCGTGACGTGCGGGCCCTGGACCAGCAGCCTCAGCATCCCCTGGGCATGTGTGAGCAGTGCACACTCCCAGCCTCCCCCTGACCTGCTGAGCCAGAAGCTCTAGGGCTGGGAGCCAGAAGCCCCGCAGGTGGCTCTGCTGCATGGGAAGGAACTGTTGGGATGCAAAGCAGGCCAGAGAGGACAGGAGCAGACAAAGATCTGAAGCTGAATATGGACCCCTCAGGGTGCCAGCTGTCACCCCGGAGCGCCCCCCTACCTGGGGAAGCTTTGGCAACCTTCCTGGTTGCAAGCCAAGGCCCAGGGACTCCACCGCTGGTGACCCCCTTACCTGGCCCTGGCTGTGCCCTTTGGCTCAGGGCTGGGCCCGGGAGGCTGGAGAGGTGCCAGGGTTCATTGCCAGAGGCTGCCTTGCCCCTCCCTTGTGTCCTTGTAGGCAGAGCCCTCACCCCCCTATGCTTTCCCGCCACCCACCAGCCACACCTCCTTGCCCAGGCCTCAGTGCCTGACAGATGGCCTGAATACATATATATATATTTTTTGTCTTAAAAAACTATTTTTTTTAACATATCTACAGACTCTCCCCTTACCAGGTATTTCTTGGGGAAGAAAATGTTGCTTAGTAGACAAATGTCCCCAGGTCTCCTTCAGGGAGGATGAGCATCACCTGCATTGAGGAAGGGGTGCTTCAGCAGAGATGCTCACTTCAAAGCGAGCCTCACTAGTAGCCACAGGGTGCACAGCTAGGATGGGAGGCAGTGCTGCTGAGCCAAGGGGTGGTGGGAGCAGCTCTGGAGAAACCTGGTCGGGTGGTGGGTGAAGCTGCCTCCACCCCAGCAAGCGATATGGGGCCTCCCCACTGGACTGGGGAACTGTGTATGAGGGTTTGGGGTGCAGAGACCTCAGGTGGCCTTCAAAGGAGGGGTGGCCAGAGGCCCAGCAGGTGACTCCCACACCTCTTTTACATCATCTCCTGCTGAACACCCCAGAGTTCCCTGCTTCTTACAGTGGTAACATTTGTTTAGGAGTTGTGCAGTAAGTAGACCAGGCATGGTGGTTCATGCCTGAAATCCCAACATTTTGGGAGGCTGAGGCAGGCAGATTGCTTGAGTCCAAGACTTTGAGACCAGCCCGGGCAACATGGTGAGACCCTGTTTCTATAAAAAATACAAAAATTAGCCAGGCAAGGTGGTGTGTACCTGTCATCTCAGCTATTTTGGAGGCTAAGGTAGGAGGATTGCTTGAACCTGGGAGGTGGAGGTTGCAGTGAGCTGAGATCACACCAGTCCACTCCAGCCTGGATAACAGAGAGAGACCCTGTCTCCAAAAAAAAAAAGAGAAAGTTTTGCATAAATAAAGTTAAATTATTTAAAATAAAATTATTTAAAATAAAAGTTAAATTGTTTAAAATAAGCTAGGAGAAACTTGCTACTTAAAGACATCTTTTGGGAGAATTTTTATTCAGAAGATAATCATTTATCAAAGTGATTGAGTAACCTGTAATTTATCCAGTGGAGTTTAATTTAAGCATTTGAATTTCATGTTTACCCTTTTAGCAGCTATCATTGAACCCGTCTTGGTAGCTCCAAAGCACACTTAAATATGAGATGCAGCCCCTGCCTCCATTGGCTTATGGACTGGGTGGGTGTGTAGCCACCGTGTACAGAAAGTTAAAGATGGTTCTAGGGACCAGGCAAACAGCCTGGGGTGAGTTACCAGAAGGATGATGTGAATCATCGTGTGAGATTACAGGTTGCCCATCACCATGGCCAGTGCCTCTGAGGGTTTGTTGGGATTAGAGGGGCAGCTTCCAGGCCTTTCAGGAGAGGAGGGTCTTTACATGTCTTTTGTGGGTGAGGACCTGAGGCAAGCAGAGAGAGACAGCCAGAGTTACGTGGGGCTGGAAGAAATCAGGCCAGAGTGACTGGGACCCTTGACTCTCCTTGTTAGAGGGTGTGTTTGTCCATTTTGTCCTCTTATAACGTAGTACCACAGACTGGGTAATTTATAAAGAAAAGAAGTTTATTGGCTCAAAGTTCTGGAGGTTGGGAAGTCCAAGAGCATGGTGCCAGCATCTGGTGAGGGCCTTTGTGCTGCCTCATAACATGGTGGAAGGCATCACATGGCAAAGAGACAGAGAGACAAGATAGGGGCTAAACTTAACCTCTTATGAGGAGCCCTCTCCCTGGGTAATGGCATTAATCCATTCCTGACGGCAGAGTCCTCATGGCCTAATCACCTCTTCAGCATACTGTCTCTTAATACTGTTATAATGGCAATCAAATTTCCACATGAGTATTGGCAGGGACTTCTGAACCATAGCAGAGGGACTGCCTTCCCCATGGATCCTGGTGTCCTGCACCCTGGGCCCAGTCCACTCTCTGGCTGGCACCTCTGGTTTTGCCCCCCAGGACTCTGTAAGCTCTAGCCAAGGCAGCTGGTGCTGTGCTTGCCAGCTCTGTGCTTTGACAACAACTTCTGCCTTCCCCACACTGTCTGAACTCCAGGGTCTCCTCTTCGTTTTGGTGTTGGGGGACTCTGGCTCACCACAGAGCTCCTCTCCAGGCACGTCCCTCCACAGCACCTGGGAAATCCCCTTTTCTGGCTCCAAGTGACCTATCTTCCGAGGGCTACTTGGGAATTCACAGAACCTCAGCTATGGAGAAGCTCAGAGGATTGGGGGATTGAAACCGTAGGTCATCCTTGAATGGTTAGCTTTTGAAAATAATTGTGCATTTTTCCGTGGTATGGGTTGGTTTCCTGTCCTGTCTCCACAGTGCTGAACCAAATCAGCAACGCTGCACTTTGCAACTCTGACAGTTGAGCTTCCTGGTCCTGCGATTAGAGCCCTCAAGATAGTACTGAAGCATTAGGTGAACGGTGGGGACAGAAGCCCAGACTCTGTCTGGAGTAGGGGCCCTGGAGGGACACACACCCACTTCCTATTTGGCTCTGTCCTATATGCAGGCATTTTTTTTTTTTTTTTTTTTTTTTCTGAGACGAAGTCTCACTCTGTTGCCCAAGCTGGAGTGCAGTGAGGCCATCTTGGCTCGCTGCAACCTCCACCTCCTGGGTTCAAATGATTCTCTTGCCTCAGCCTCCCGAGTAGCTGGGATTACAGGTGTGCGCCACCACACCTGGCTGATTTTTGTATGTTTAGTAGAGACAGGATTTCACTATGTTGGCCAGGCTGGTCTCAAACTCCTGACCTCATGATCTGCCCGCCTTGGCCTCCCAAAGTGCTGGGATTACAGGTGTGAGCCACTACGCCTGGCGCATGCATTTTTTAGAAGGACCTTGAGATGATTTACTATTGTTGATCAAGGAAGAAGATGAAGCGGGGAGATATGCTGCCTTGAAAGTGTCCTTTGAGCATGCAGCCTTATTTCAGCTGTATGTCAGGGTGTGTGTGTGTGTGTGTGTGTGTGTGTGTGTGTGTGTGTGTGTGTGTGTGTGTGTGTGTGTATCAGGGTTGCTGCTGAGGAGTTGCATTGCTTCCCTAAGGCCCACCAGGGAGATTCCTGTGAGGGGGTCAGACAGGGCCTTTGAAGTTTTATGTGTTATTAAAGAAGGTCGTATCTTATTACCACAAAGACCTGGGATATCTGCAGCAGGGAGTGGTAGAGGAGAGGCTGTCAGGCCAGCCCTTAACAGCGTAACTCTCTCATTCCTTCCTCAGTTCCTCCTTATCCTCCTGGCATCCAGCTCCCCATCAGAAACTGTGAATCCTAAGATATGATGGGACCATGGACCCTTCACATTTTTGTCATATTCATTATAGTGGTTCTCAGCCTTGGCTGCATGTCAGCCACCCAGAGTGTCCAAATTCTCCTCACCCAGAAATTCTGACCTCATGGAGCTGGGGCAGGATCCAGGAATTGATATTTTTTAAACCTCCTCAGGTTGATTCTAGCATCCAACCGGGGTTTAGGCCCGAGGACCACAGCCTGCCAGTTTTCGTGTGGCGTGACCTTTCCTGCCGATGATAATGCTGATGATGTCAAGCCTAGCTGAACGCTGATGGGCAGTGTCTGATTAATCGAATGAAGTAAAAATAAACAGGTTTTAACTTAATGTACCTCCCCAAATCTGTAAAGAGATCCATGGATGACATCAGTGCTGTCCAGGATGGAGTAAGCCCACTATCGTCCATTCCACTCACGGATTAGAACTCAAAACTCTGAACAGAATGAAAAGCAACCCCATCGGGAAGGGGGTTGGAGCTTGAATGCGCAGCACATTAGAATAGAGTTTCTGTGGTTGGGTTTTTTTCCCTCCTTTGATCTGAGTGCTGACTGATTTGGGAAATAGCACAGTGGGCAGAGGCAGCAAAACTCTGTGAGAAACCCATCTTTGTGGCCAGAGGGTTGAAAAGAGGAACGCTGCAAGCTGAAGATTAGGAGGGATCACTGTTTTGTTTTGTCTTTTCCTCTCTCCTGGCCCTGCCAGACCCAGAGCAGTAGCACCTACTACCCTGAGAGAAAATCCAACTCTCTGGTTGGAGGAACCGGTTGTTGCATAAAGGTGGTGGGAAGAATCCCCATTTTTTTCTCTTTCTCATTCTGCTTTGCCCTCAGCAGGGGCTGCAGTTGCAAGAAACTGTGAAAGAGTGTGATGTGTTAGGCTAAAACTCTGGGAGAGCCCCAACTTTATGGGCAGAGGAACCAGGAAAAGGTGCATCTGGTAGTAGCGGAATATGGAAGAAATCTTGGAGAGGGGAAATCTGGAAAAGAGGGTTTATTTATGTTTCTGAACCAACTCCATGTATGGGATATACCCAGAGAACCATAGCAAAGGCTTTGGATTTAAGCTGCAATAGAAACCGTGGCCCGGGTCCCAGACTTAATCCCTGAATAGCTCGTGCTTGAAGCCAACTCACAGAGCACAGCAAAGGGTTTTGAAACCGCACTGACGTTAACTCCATCCCCTAACGAAGGGGAACCAGAGCTTGTGTTCTCAACCTGAGTGGATTTATCGTCTGATGAAGCAGACACATGAAAATCAACATTCTCTACATTCTCAACATTCTCTCTCATTCAACATTTTTAATCAGGGTTAAAATGTACATATTAAAGCGATCTGGGATGCAATCTACAATTATTTGGGATACAAAGAAGCAAAAAAATCTGACTAATTCTTCAGTCAATCAATTAAAAATATTTTTTAAATGACCCAGTTCTCAAGGGAAAAGGCAATTAACAAATGTCAACCCTGAGATGACATAGATGTTGAAATTATCAAAGACTTTAAAGTGACTGTTATAACCATGTTCCATGAGGTAAAAGATGGACAGTTCTGAAATTAACAGAAACATAGAAATTCGCAGCAGGGCAATATGAAAAAAAAAAGAAAAAAATAGGAATTTTAGAATGAAGTAAAAATATTACTGGATGAGTTCAAAAGCAAATGTATATGACAGAAGAAAGAATCTAAGTTAGCTCTAAGTAGATCAATAGAAATTATCCTGAATAAAAGAAAAATGAGTTTAAGAAATGAGTAGGCCAGGTGTGATGGCTCATGCCTGTAGTCTCAGCACTTTGGGAGGCCAAGGTGGGAGGATCATTGAGCCAGGAGTTTAAGATCGGCATGGGCAATATGGTAAGACCTCTTCTCTACTAAATAAATAAGTAAATAAATAAAATTTTGCTGAGCCTGGTGGCACACACCTGTAGTGCCATCTACTCAGAAGGCTGAGGCAGGAGGATCACTTGATCCCCAGAGGTTGAGGCTGCAGTGAGCCATATTTGTGCCACTTTACTCCAGCCTGGGTGACAGAGCAAGACCCTGTCTCAGAAAAAAAAAAAAAAAAGCAATTATTAAAAAAAGGTATCATTTACAATAGCATCCCCCCAAAAAAGAAAGAACTACATATAAATAAGAAAATATACAAGATCCGTATGCTGGAGACTAAAGAATACTGATGAGAGAAATCAAAGACCCAACTCATGGAAAGATATATTTATATTTTGGAAGATTCAGTATAGTTGTGAATTCTCCCCAAATCGACCTATAGATTCATTGCAATCCCAATCAAATTTCCAGCAGGATTTAAAAAACTAGATATTGATAATGGGATTCTAAAATTTATATAGAAAAATAAGGGATCAATAGTGGAAACAATGGTTAGATCCCTGGTGAAAAAATATTCCTGATTACATGCGGGAGAATTTCCCAGAAGATGAAAAACAAGGGAACTCTGAACTTTGAATAAAGGGCACATGATCCTTATGGACTTTCTTAGTTCTCTAGGGCTGCTGTAAGAAGTCCACAGACTGGGTGGCATAAACAACAGAAGCTTACTGTCTCAGTTCTGGAGGCTGGAAGTCCCAGATTGAGGTGTCCTCAGGACTGGTGCCTCATGAGGGCTGTGAGGGAAAGTCTGTCCCATGCGTCTCCGTTTGCTTGTGGTGGTTTGCTGGCGATCTTTGATGTTCCCTAGTTTAGAGCCCTGCCTTCATCCTGTTTGTGTGACTGTCTCCACAATTCCCCTCTTTAGAGGACACCAGTCCTATTGGGTTAGGGCCTACGCAAATTACTGTATGTCAACTAATTATATCTGCAGTAATCCCCTTCCTCTCTCTCTCTCGCTGTCTCTTCTTTTCTTTCTTTCCTCACTGTGTTGCCAGGCTGGAGTGCAGTGGCCCGATCTCAGCTCACTGCAACCTCTGCCTCCCGAGTTTAAGAGAGTCTCCTGCCTCAGCCTCCTGAGTAGCTGGGACTACAAGTGCATGCCACCACGTGTATTTTTAGTAGAGACAGGGTTTCACTGTGTTAGCCAGGATGGTCTCAGTCTCCTGACCTTGTGATCCGCCCGCCTCGGCCTCCCAAAGTGCTGGGATTACAGGAGTGAGCCACCACACCCAGCTGCAGTGATCCTATTTCTAAACAAAGTATATTCTGAGGTACAGGGGATGAGAACTTAAACATATGAATTTTGAGGGGACATAATTCAGCCATAACACGGATGTGGCTTATTTTAAATCTACACAGTACTGTATGCACTTGGAAATGACTAGAAAAATGTGAAAATCACAGGGCAACAAGCAGAAGCAGACTTTTCCCCCCGAGTCTTGTGGCCGCTTCTCTGGGGGTGACAGATTTCTTTGTCTCTGAGGATGGATCTGGTAGAGGGTGTATTTAGCAGTGTACTTCTTTGCACGGGGTCCTGGCAGCTGCAGAAGCTGCGCCCCTTTCTCCAGCATGTTAAGAAAAAGGTCAGTGCTGGTAACGTTCTGTGTTCAGTTGCCCTCTTATCTGGACCCTCGCTTTTCCCCTAAAGGCATCCAGGAGCAAACATGACATGCAGAGGTAGACTTTGCCAAGGCACCGCTATTTCCAGAAGTTCTTGTGGGAGAGAGTTGACTTCTTACTGTTAGACGTAACCCAGGAAGAACAGCAAATACCGGCCAGGCCAGAAGTGCACACAGTTACTCTGTTCCTGTTACGGCATTAATGCTGCTTTCAGGCGTGGACTACATTGTGAGATATTGAAAATGCCATTTCCTGGAGACTAGTATTGATGATGAAGGTCTGACAGCAATTTTAATGATGTTTAAAGGGCAGATCATCGCCCTTTGCGTATTTCGAGATGAGGATGCAGTGGGGCAGATGTCTCAGCATATTGAATGCCCAGAAGGAAGAAGTTAGGCCCAACATTAACCCCAAGCCTCTTCCAAGGGCTGCTGAGACTTAACACCCTTCCCACCGCAGAAATGTCACCTGACAGGTATGGCTGCCCAAGGCTTCCTGGGCTTTTTTATGCTTGTCTTTTTTATGTTATTTGTCTGTAGAAGTACTATAGCCAGGAATGACTAGAGGAAGGAAATAGGTACCATTGTCCCATCACTCGAAGGCAGCCCTTGCTAACGTCTTAATGCATTTCTTCACAGTTGATTCTGTGTTTATTTGTTGTGAATAAATCATAACAATACATATTACATGCTAAGCCTTTTGTAAATATTTCAGATGCCACAAAATTGTCTTGTGGAAGTGCTAACACTGATTTATCTAGGATCCTGTTATTGAAGGTTTAGTGTGTGCTCAATATTTTTGTCCATTTCACTGCCGTTTTCCAAAGAGAACACATCCCTTTGTGACCCTAAGCTAGGTTAGAGAGCCTTGCTTGACAGTGTTGGATATCAGTATTGTTTTTGGAAGATTAATTTATTAGTGTCCTTTCAGAGCTTGCGGTTGCCTGTGATCTTGAAGTGAAATACTTATTCGGTGACTTTTGTCTGGAATGCTTGGGCTGATTATACAAGCATTCTCCAGGACTGTTCAAACCCACATCATGTATAGTGTATAGTGAAAGCAACTAAATTATATTTGAAAGGAACAAAATAATATTATCTTTACAACATGTGAGACCAAATGGGGGACAAGATTGGTGTCAGGAACAATTTGGCTGAGTCTGTTTCTCATTTGTATGATACGTTTTCACCCAGCCTGTATTGTGGTCACTGAATAGCTATTTTTCATCTGGTCTGCTATATTACTAGCTCTTCTAAGCACCAGCTAATGCTATTTTCCCGTGCAAAAGAAAAACATGGTTTAGAATAAGGACACTGGAGCTCTTTATTGTTGACAATGAGCCTTTATTTCTCACATCTAATTAGAATGTTTCAGGAGGCGAGTGGTGAGCACGGTGTCGGGGGCCGCATTAGCTATTGATTTATGTGCTGTTATAGAATTAATTGAGTCTGGACATGGAGACTCATTTTCTTGGACATGTAGCAGGTAATCATGCTTCTCCTGTACATTTGAATTGCTTTCCAGATGGTGTGTTGTACAGGATTTATCTTTAATATGATTGACTAGAAGCAAAGGACCTGAGTGTGTTTGCATACATGCTCTGCAATGCAAAGCCCCCAGCCCCCACTGTAGAGATGGTTAACTCTCTCCTGGCCACACCCCCCCTGGGCTCATATGGGGACCTGGGCCTTGGATTGACACTGTATGCAGCAAAGACAGCGTCAAAGGGTCCTGGATAAAGGCTCTGGGAGGGGAGAAAAGGCCTATAGTATATTCTGAGGGAAACAGAATAAACAGCATTACTTATTATGCAAAACCAGGACATAATGTGGGTTCAGCAGGGGAATAGTTAGTGTCTTAGTCAGCTCAGGCTGCTATATCAAAAAACACCATAGACTTGGTGGCTCCAACAGCAGACATTTATTTCTCACAGCTCTGGAGGCTGGGAAGTCTGTGATCAAGGTATGGGCAGATTCAGTGTCTGCTGAGGTCTGTCTGCTTTCTGGTTCATAGGTGGCCATCTTCTTTCTGTGTCCACACATGGTGAAAGGGGCAAGGCAGCTCTCTGGGGTCTTTTTCTTCTTTCTTTTTTCCTTCCTTCCTTCCTCTCTCCCTCCCTCCCTCCTTCTCTCTCTCTCTCTCTCTCTCTCTCTCTCTCTCTCTCGTCTCGCACTGTCACCTGGGCTGGAGTGCAATGGCGTGATCTCGGCTCACTGCAACCTCCGCCTCCCAGGTTCGAGTGATTCTCTTTGCCTCAGCCTCCCAAGTAGCTGGGATTACAGGTGCACGCCACCATGCCTGGCTAATTTTTTTTTTTTTTTTTTGTATTTTTAGTAGAGATGGGATTTCACAATGTTGGCCAGGCTGGTCTCAAACTCAAGACCATGTGATCTGCCAGCCTCGGCCTCCCAAAGTGTTGGGATTACAGGCATGAGCCACCACGCCCGGCCTGGGGTCTCTTTCATAAGGGCACAGTCCCACTCATGAGCTCCACCCTCATGACCTCATCACTCCCCAAAGACCCCACCTCCTAATGCCATCACACTGGGGGTCAGGATTTCTACATGTGAATTTTGGGGGCGATGCAAACATTCAGTCTGTAGTGGTCAGATGATATCTATTCAGCTGGGAAATAGGATGTAGCCATTAAAATGATACCTATGGAGAGCTTGTGTTGCTTACCGCATGTTAAAAGAGAACAACATGGATTTGTGTTTACAGTAAGGTCTCGGCTATGCAAAAGAGATGCACAGATAAAAGACTGGAAAGAAAGAAACCACCAAACAAACACTGGCTTTCTATGGGTGGAACAACTGTGAGTGGGCATCCATTCCTCTCTATATTTCCTATTAAGAACACAGAGCAAAACAGATTGTAGTCCTTGTTGCTGGGAAGTAATGTGCCCTCAGAAACAGTCACCCTCTGAGTACAGAAGTCTGCCCACATCAGTTTCACAAATGATGTGCTAGATGATTAGTCATATCTCCGGCTCTCTCCTGCCCTCCTACAGGGCAGCTGTCCCCATATAACAGTTGTATCCCTAGAAGGAGTATGCAGTTAAAGTAATTGGAGATTCTTTGACCAGACGTTTTGAGAGTCTGGCAGCCCGGAAAGGTGGGATTTGGCAGCTATGTGGGACCTTCCTTCAGGCACTAAAGGGCTTCCTGAAAAAGTTGCTTACACATTGAGGTGTGTTAAATGGAATTCTTTATCATAAGGCTGCAAACTGCTTCTGTGCAAAAGGCAATGTGTTAGTTCCTTGCAGGAATATGCTTTTAGTGAACTCAATGAGATACCAGAAATCCAGTAGGAGAACACTTTCTTTGAAAGAACCACTTGTTTCTACCTACGTTTTTGCCCACCTTTCCTTCTCACCTCCCCTTGGCCACACCCCACTTTTGTGTCTTGGGAATTATCTGCTGTGCTCTGAATAGCCCCGTCCTGCCAGGCCACCCACCTTTGCCCTTGTTTGAAGAAGCTGGGGACAGTTGTCCTTGCTCTCCACCCCCTGGAGTAGGGGAAGAAGGCTTGGAATGTGGTGGGCCTAGGCTTCTTGGTGAGGGCCTTGTATTTGTTGACAAGGAGGTCAGATCCATTCCCTGGGCCGTCATCAGAGACCTGCAAGCATCTACTTAGGGCAGAGTTTTCAAGTGCAGTCTTTGGACCTCCAACATGAGAACCACCTGCAGCTCTAGACCTGGCCTTTGGCCCACAACCTTGGAATCTTGGGCCATGAACCTGCACACTCTCCAGGTGGGCCTTGTGCCCACCAAAGTGAGCGAATCACTGCATTGGAGGAGTGACTCTTGGCTTTTCACAAGGACCTCTCCCTGCTTTCCTCAGTCCCTCCAAGATGCACCCATATCCCACTGCAGGGATGCAATTTGCATACATAGCCAGGGACAGTGTCATCTGGCCACAGCCACTCCCAGCCACCTGTGTCAGCAGAGTTCCCCGTTCCCATCTAAGACATTCACCTCATCAGGCATCTCTCCTGGACCATTTCATTGACATTTTCCTTAACTCCCTTTATGTAGTGTTTATGGAGTTCAGGCCTGCACTGGTTGCTCTCTTCTTTAACTCGCTTCAAGCCCTGCAGGCACATACTGTCATTTTCAGTTTCCTAAGGAGGGGAAGGCCATCTCTCCATTAAATATCTTGCCCCAGGCCTCACAGTAAACAGAGGTCTGAATTGAAACAAGGACCTTCAGTCTTCATCTTTAACAGGCGGGCTCTTTGTCTTATACCAAAAGTGCCCCAGTAGGTTCCGTGTAATTCTGTGGAGTCTTTGAAGACGTGGCTGCCTTCTGGGTAGCTGCTGTGGGTCCCTTACCCTTTGCACTCATGGGAAAGAGAGCTGGATCAGAATGTCTGTGGTGTCAAACTCAGGAAAAGAGCTGCCATTAGCCAGCGCTAGCATTGTAGTCATGGTGAAAAACGGGATCATTACCAGTCCACAGCCAAGCCATATTGCAGCCTGAGGCAACAGGAAAAATCAGGAATACCAATCCTATCTTCATTTACAATTTTGATATTTTGTTCATCATGGATTTATTTTGCCTTAGTTTTGATTTCTAAAGCATTGCATTAAAATATTATTTATTTTTGATTGCTTAGGTTTTTGGGGCCTCCCTGATCTCCCCCTGGTTCAGCCATCGTAAAGTGAAAGCATTTTCATTGCAATGAGGAATAAGTCAAGGGTGCCTGTTAGTGCCATTGTTAACTCCTCAGGGAAGTGCAGGGCAGGGTAGTTAGACAAGATGACCACATGCCGGAAAGGGGAAGCAAAATGGTGACTTCTGAAAGTGACATCATTTACCTAGAAAAACATTATCAACTAAAAACTATTAGGATTTAAAAATAGCTTAGTAAAATCTATTTTTACAAAATCAATATCATTTTTTTTCTGTATGCCAACAATAACCAGGTAAATATATAAGGAAGAGATCTATTCGCAACAGCCACAGAAATATTATATTTAAGAAAAAACTTAATATGAGATGTCTACAGCTATAAAGAAAATTACAAAGCCGTTGAGAGACATTTAAGACTTCAATAAATAGGAAGATTTTTTTGGGTGAAATTGGGTAAAAAGACTCAGTATTGTAAGTATGAATAATTTCTGAGGCCGGGGCACGGTGGCTCACTCTTGTAATCCCAGCACTTTGGGAAACCGAGGTGGCTGATCACTTGAGGCAGGAGTTGGACACCAACCCGGCCAACATGGCAAAACTTCATCTCTACAAAAAATACAAAAATTAGCCGGAGGGTGATGACACATGCCTGTAATCCCAGCCACTCAGGAGGCTGAGGCACAAGAATCACTTTAACCCAGGAGGCAGAGACTGCCGTGAGCTGGGATCGTGCTACTGCACTTTAGCCTGGGCGACAGAGCGAGACCTTGTCTCAAAAGAAAAAAAAATTCCCTAAAGTAATTTATAACTTAAAGTTACTCCAGCCAAAATTTCAGTGGAATATTGGGGATACTTGGAACCACTAACTCTTAAGTTCTTTTGGGAGAATAAATGTGAAAATAGCAGGGGAAGATGACAAAATGAGAATAATGAGAGAGAACTTGCCTTATGTCGTATTAAAATATGCTCTAAATTCATAATAATGAAAATGGCATGGTACTGTTGCTGGGCAGATAGAAATGATGTAGACTAGAAAGTCCAGGGACAGATCTAAGTTTATGTAAGAATTTAGTGTATGATGGCTGGGCGGGGTGGCTCACACCTGTAATCCCAGCACTTTGGGAGGCTGAGGCAGGTGAATCATGAGGTCAAGAGATCGAGACCATCCTGGCCAACATGGTGAAACCACATCTCTACTAAAAAAAAAATACAAAAATTAGCTGGGCGTGGTGGTGCGCACCTACCTGTAGTCCTAGCTACTCGGGAGGCTGAGGCAGGAGAATCACTTGAACCTGGGAGGTGGAGGTTTCAGTGAGCCGAGATCACACCACTGCACTCCGGCCTGGCAACAGAGCAAGACTCAGTCTCAAAAAAAAAAAAAAAGAATTTAGTGTATGACACGCAGGGTGACCAGCCATCCCAGTTCCTGTGGAACTGAGGGTTTCCTGGGACATGAGACTTTGAGTGTTAAAGTTGAGATGGTTGGTCACTGTAAAACATGAGAAACAGAATAGTCTATTTAGTAAAGGGTATTGGGTTACCTGAGTAAAGCTGTGGTGCCCACACTTTGCTGTATATTGGAATCACCTGGGAAACTTTTATGAATACTGATGCCTAGTTCCTATCTGAGACATTCTAGGTTCATTGGTATGTGGTGTGACCTGGGCATCAGGGTTTTCAATGGGTAACAAAACTTGAAAATCACTGGGGTAACCATCGTGGAGAACATGAAGCTGCTCCCTACCTTGTGTGTTTACACTTTCTGATGGGTTAAATATTTCAGTGTCAAAAATAAAGGATTCTAGACAGTGACTGGATTTGCTTGCTCCAAGGGAAGAGGTTTGACCCCTCCCATGAAAAGTCTGGAACTTCTGGAGCTAGGGACAGGTGCAGCACACAGACTCAGGGAGTTTCAGGGGAGCACCTTATTCCTGTGCCTCTAGGAAGGGTGGACATTTTCCCTGGAAGCAAGCAGATCTGGCTGAGGACAGCCTATCTCTGTCATACCTAAAAAATACAGGCACCTCTTCACATCTCAACAGTGAAGTCCCAGATGACCACCCTGACTGCCTCCAGCTCACCATAAAATCCTCTCCCACTGTATCTTACACTGCCCAGCCATCCACCAGTCGCTGAAAGACATGCACTGGTGTCTCAGGGGCCCTTTGTTGCCAGCAAGAGCAAAGACAGGTCACATGCTATATCTTGCTGAAAAGTGAGTTAGTGTTTTGGAAGGTCAAATGGAGGAACTAATTTATACCACACAGAAAAAAATGTGAAATGGGTGCTATGAGTGTAAAGTTCAGTGATTTGGAGGGCAAATTCCAGAGATATTCCAGAAAGAGAAAAAGGCCATTAGGGAGAGAAATAAAAAAGAAATAGCAAGAATCTTCCTGTAACTAAAGTAAGATGTGGGACTTGATTCGGAAAGGGCTCACCAAATGAATCTCACATAAAATTAATGAGACCCTCATAAAATTAAAAAAGACCCTTATCTAGACATAGTTTGCTGGAATTTCTGAACTCTAAGAGTGGAGAGGAAATTGTATCAGCTTCCAGACGGAAGGAATAGATTTTTGTACCAAGGTAAAAAGAATCTGAATAGTATTAAAATGCACATCTGCGAGACTGTAAGCTAGAAGATAGTGGAACAGTGTTAGCAAATTATTGTGAAAAGGATGCAATACAATAATCTTATACCTAGCAAAGGTATCATTCTATGTGAGATCAGAGCCATTTTATAGATACAAAAGAGTTACCTCCTAAGTAAACAAAATGACTCTAACAATTATTTTTACAAAATAAAAATGAAATCCCACTAAATAGTTCAAGAGAAAGAAATGCAAAAAGTATAGGAAGCAGTGGTAAGTTATGAATTGAGTAATTATAGTCCAAATTATATTGTTGTCGTAGTGTTATACATCTGGAATAAATTTTTCTGAAATCATCTGAAGGCTTGGAGAGCTAATAGGAAACACCAGTGGAAAATAAACTCCTGGTTCTATTGTAGTTCTCCTACAATGTCCTCAGTGTTTTCATTTTTGAAAACTTGAATAACATTTTAATAGGATCTGGACTGTTCCATGTTACTGTAATGTGTATTTTAGTCCTTATGTCCTATATTGGCCTAGAGAATATTTTATTTAGTGTTGGTATACATATTTATATGTGCATATTACAGATTTTATCCCCCCGAATGACAGAGATTTTGAAGTTAAGATAGCAAGAGTACTGTGTACTTTAGTTTGTTCTCTTAACAAGGATGTGCATACCTTCAACGTGCACAGCTTGATGTCAGAGCCTGGCGAGAAACAGGGATGCTGTAGAGATGGCACCGCTATGCAAGGAATGGGAGCTGTGTGCTCATGTGCCAGTGATGTACCATCTGCCCTTTGCCGTCCTGACGTCAAGACATGGACGTCTGGTTGCATGTTAGCAGCTGCATTCAGCACATGCTTCTGAGAGACCGTTTTGAGGAATGTAGTTACTGGAGATTGTGTCTGAGAGTTGTGGTTGCTAAGTCCCTGACATCACTCCTGCAGCCTCTCTCTTGTGGCTGGCTGTCCTCTGTGAAGATAAGAAATCTGGTGACAAGTTATATGTGGTCTTTGAGGCAGCTCAGTGTTCTTGATGTGTCCTCTGACACATCTGGGTTGCAGATGTCTTAGTGAGTGCTGGCCCCTTGTTCTCTTCTAGGGAACAGCTCTTTCGAATTGTCCTGCCAGTTTCAGGGTTTGCGAATGGGGTGACGGGCCCTGCAGGGTCCATCTCAGTGACAATTTTCCTGGTGTGGGACATCTTTGCTGTCTGTGGGCCACTCTAGGGGGAGTGCTGTGAATTGCTCCGCATACCAGTGATGCTCCTGAAACACGGCCATGGACAAGCCTGTGCAGGTGGCGGAGTAAACATTGCTTCTTTAGATGTCAAGTGTCCTTGGAGTGAATTCACACGTTGGAAGCATGTGGCTCCATCAGTAATTGTGCCCACACTCTGAGTGTCTGGACTGGATGAAATAATTATCTCCTTCTTCGTTCTTTTGGGAATATTCATACTGCTGTAACCGTGACCATCTGGTACACTCAGTCTCATAACAAGATGTGTTTTGGGCACCACTACAAACAAGGTGCTGTGTTTGGAGCTCTGGGGGGATACACAATATGGAAGGCCTTGAGTTTGTGGCCTAAACTAAAGAGACAAGAGGGGAAGAGGAGGTACAGGAAGGCAAGATGAGAGCCCGGGCAGTGACTGCTGAGGGTCACTGATAGCTCCTCTTTCATCTTCACTTCCTGCTCCCATCTGAGCCCAGATCCCTTTGCTTCTGCCACCTAAGGTCCTCACTGAGCCACTTCTCCACTGTCCTCTCTACTGTTTTAGTTTAAGCTCTCCTTTTTTTTCTTTTTAAAAATTGCAGTAAAATAGACATAAAAAATTTAGCATTTTAAGCATTTTCAAGTGTGCAAGCTCTTAACTGGACTACTGGAATATGTTTTTTTAAATAATTGAACTATCATGCAAGCAAAAAGGCATGTGTAATGTAAGAGTACAGTTTAAAGAATATGACAAACATTTGGGGAAGCAATTAGCTGAAGAAGTAGAACGTTGCTGGGCGTGGCGGCTCACCCCTGTAATCCCAGCACTTTTAGAGGCCGAGGTGGGCGGATCACGAGGTCAGGAGATCGTGACCATCCTAGCTAACACGGTGAAACCCCGTCTCTACTAAAAATACGAAAAATTAGCTCGGCATGGTGGGGGACACCTGTAGTCCCAGCTACTCGGGAGGCTGAGGCAGGAGAATGGTGTGAACCCAGGAGGTGGAACTTGCAGTGAGCTGAGATGGTGCCACTGCACTCCATCCTGGGCGACAGAGCGAGACTCCATCTCAAAAAAAAAAAAAAGAAGTAGAACGTTAAGCAAACTTTTGGACGTCCTCTGTGCCACTTTCCTGATGCTAGCCCCTTGCTTTCCCCCAGAAGAGAGAATAGCCTTTTCACTGGTCTCCCTGCCTCTAGCCTCTAGCCTCTGTCCCCACGCCAGGCCCAGAGAGACAGGGCTAAAAGAAAAAATGTTGAAAATGGCTCAGTGACTGTGCACATGTCTTAGTCTGTTTTCTGTTGCTATAACAGAATACCTAAGACTGGTTGATTATAAAGAATGGAGATTTGTTTCTCACAGTTCTGGAGGCTGGGAAGTCCAAGGTCAAGGTGCCAGCATCTGGTAAGGGCCTTCTTGCTATGTCATCCCAAGGCAGAGGTGAGAAGGTGAGGGAGAATGAGAAAGAGAGCAAGAGAGAGCCAAACTCACTTTTATAACAAACCCACTCTCACAATAAAGAACTTCCTCCCAAGATAAAGACATTAATCCATTCATGAGAGCACAGCCCTCATGACCTAATCACCTTTCAAAGGTCCCACCTCTCAACACTGTTGCATTAGGGATTAAGTCTCCAACGCATGAACTTTGGGGGACATATTAAGGCCATAGCCGTGTGGTTTGGGGGATAAAGTGCAGAGTCCTGGGCACTGGGTCCAGGCCCTCTCCCAGTTTGGCCTGCCAGGTCTCTGCAGCTGCCCTGTCACCCCACGATACCTGCAGGCTGCGGCTGCACCCTTTGTCCTCTTCTCCCCATGGCCGAGCAGTGCTGTCCCCTCTGCTGAGCCCTCCAGCCTGCCACGCTGGGGACTTGTGTAGAGCTTTTCTGCACATTGCTCAGCCTGGATGGTCCCTGCGCATCCAGTTCCTCGGTGAACATTGTTCAGTTTGAGGGGGAAGAGGAGGGAGAGGATGGGATAAGCCTGAAGGGGAAGGTACCCAAGATAGTCTTTGAGGGGTCATGGATTTAGATTGGGAAGAGTTATTGTCCCTCCTCATTGGTCCTCATTATGTCTTCTTAATGAAAGCTGCTCATTTTCTTCGTGAGAGCAAACAACCTGATCTTCTGACCATTTGTCTTGGTCACCTGGGCTACCCAAACTGAGTGAGAAGTCAGGAATGAGCCGGTAGGTTCCTGGGGAGAGGCGTGTGTCCTCGTGAGTTGCCGGTGCCTCCCTTGACTGCTTTTCCCGGAGCTCTGTGTGCCCTCGTTCTCCTTGGTGTGGATGCGTGTTGTTCTGATGATGAGTTAGCGGGGGTGGGGATGGCGCACTGTTTGAACAGATGTGCCCTCACATGGCTGCGGGAGGACGTGGTGGGAGGTGCTGTGGTGAAGTGGCCCCACACATGGCTGGGCTTTGTGGGGTTTTGACTCTGTCCTTCCCAATGTTCCTCCCCACAGTGGCTGCCTCCGGGTGATGATGGCTGTGTGAACGACTGCCATGGCCCACCGGAAGCTTGAGAGCGTGGGGAGCGGCATGTTGGACCATAGGGTGAGACCAGGTCCTGTCCCTCACAGCCAGGAGCCCGAGAGCGAGGACATGGAGCTGCCCTTGGAGGGCTATGTGCCCGAGGGCCTGGAGCTGGCTGCCCTGCGGCCAGAGAGCCCCGCGCCAGAGGAACAGGAGTGCCACAACCACAGCCCCGATGGGGACTCCAGCTCTGACTACGTGAACAACACCTCTGAGGAGGAGGACTATGACGAGGGCCTCCCTGAGGAGGAGGAGGGCATCACCTACTACATCCGCTACTGCCCTGAGGACGACAGCTACCTAGAGGGCATGGACTGCAACGGGGAGGAGTACCTGGCCCACAGTGCACACCCTGTGGACACTGATGAGTGCCAGGAGGCGGTGGAGGAGTGGACGGACTCGGCGGGCCCGCACCCCCACGGCCACGAGGCTGAAGGCAGCCAGGACTACCCAGACGGCCAACTGCCCATTCCGGAGGATGAGCCCTCCGTCCTTGAGGCCCATGACCAGGAAGAAGATGGTCACTACTGTGCCAGCAAAGAGGGCTACCAGGACTACTACCCCGAGGAGGCCAACGGGAACACCGGCGCCTCCCCCTACCGCCTGAGGCGTGGGGATGGGGACCTGGAGGACCAGGAGGAGGACATTGACCAGATCGTGGCAGAGATCAAGATGAGTCTGAGCATGACCAGCATCACCAGCGCCAGTGAGGCCAGCCCCGAGCATGGGCCTGAGCCAGGGCCTGAGGACTCTGTAGAGGCCTGCCCACCCATCAAGGCCAGCTGCAGCCCCAGCAGGCACGAGGCGAGGCCCAAGTCGCTGAACCTCCTTCCCGAGGCCAAGCACCCCGGAGACCCCCAGAGAGGCTTCAAGCCCAAGACCAGGACCCCAGAAGAGAGGCTGAAGTGGCCCCACGAGCAGGTAGGACCCTGGCTGTCCTGGGGAAGGGAGCAGAGGGGCCCGAGAGCAAGGGACCTCAGGGTACAGGCCTTGCAGATGCTGAAGCGAGGCGGTGGGGGGTGCTGGGTGCCTCACAGTTCTAATGGTGGCTGAGCTCTTCATTGGTCCAGTTGGGAGACATGTTGCGTGGATGCTCCGGCCACTCTTAAGCTCACCGCTCAGACTCAGGACTAAAGCCGGTTGAGGGCTGAGTGGCAACTCGTGTCTCGCAGAAGACACCCCTCCTCCCACCCTAGAAGAGAGGTTCGATTTCTTGCCCACTGCCCTGGTCTGCTCATGGTGGGGCAGTATGTGTGGGAGAGCCCCTCAATCCTCAGGGGTGTACTCAGACCAGCAGGGCAGTGGCAAAGACGTGGGGGTGCTGGTGCTCACCCACTGCTGCGGCCAGTGTTGGGTGGCCTGGTGGCTGGGGTCGGGGCCAGAGTGCATTTCACAATGGACGGGTCTCTGAAAGCCCGGGGGCCTTGGCCTGATGGGCAATCAGCTGTGAATACCTATTTGGAAAAGGATTTTTTGAAGGTTTGACAAAACCTCGGGGAAGAAACGCATGCTAATGAGGGCAGTGGATGTCAGCATAACTGTATTTTAATTATAGCAAAGTCAGCGTGCATTCTAATAAACACATTTGAAAAGCCACCTTCCAAAAAAAGCCTCACTGTGAGTATATAAAGAAGATGTGATTATTGGACTTGTGTGAAGGAACTTCTATTTGGCCAATTATGTGGACTTCTGTCATATTTTTTTACAGCCTTAACTGTTAAATATTTTTTTCCGAGAAGAGTTCATGAATTTGAGTGTGTGTGTGTGTGTGTGTGTGTGTGTGTGTGTGTGTGTGTGTGTACTGAGAGCTTGGGTTTGGAATGGAAATCATTGGATTTTCAGCACTTATATTTTAATTGACTCCTGGATTTTCAGCACTTGTATTTTAATGTCTTGTATTCTCTCTAAAGAACGTTAAGTGTCAGTTGACTTCACTTTGGGGGTGTTCCTGTCATTCACAGCAATTCCGTGTTTACAGGGGGCTGTGGGATGCATAGGAGCTCCCATGGTACTAGTGGGTGTTGGGAGAGTTCACCCCTAAGGCCAGGAGGCTCTGGACCCTGGGTCTGGGCTTTAGGCCAAAGCAAAGTGTTTCTTTGGTCTTTAGCAGGGCCTGGGCTTGTCCCACAACAGTGGTGAAGGCACCTCAGGGATTGACGTGGGCTGTGCAGAGCGTGTGACATGCTGCGTCTTATTGTGACAAATGGCATCGCTAGCCAAGTTCTTGTCAAAGAAGATTATCTTTAGAGCGTGGTGGGGAGTAAGCAAGACCTGATATTTTCTGGTTTTGTGCTTCATGCTAACCAGATGGTAATTTGGGTAAAAACACAGAGATCTTGCGATTGGAGAGCTGGGAGGTAAATGAGTGGGAATGAATGGATGGATGGGTGATAGTAGCTGTTTAAAAGGGCAGGTGGAGGTAGGGGAAGTCCCCAGCCATTGTGGAGGATCAAGAGGATGTCTGTTCTTCCCAGAAGAGGCATTGAATGAAAAAGTATGTCACTTCTCCCCCTAAGGAGAATGTGTCCTTGAAGGACATGCTCTTGTCTGAGACACTGGAAAAGTTCATTTAAACTGGTTAATGATTGTATAGCTTTTGTTTTGTTTTGTTTTTCCCTCCCTCCCTCCTTTCTGTCCTTTCCTCCTTTCCTCCCTTCCTCCCTTCCTCCCTCCCTCCCTCCCTCCCTCCCTTCTTTCTTTCTCTCTCTCTCTCTCTTTCTTTCTTTCGCGCTTCGTCCCTTCCTCCCTCCTCCCTCCCTCCCTCCCTCCCTCCCTCCCTTCCTTCTCTCCCTCCCTCCCTCCCTCCTCTCTCTCTCTCTCTCTCTCTCTCTCTTTCTTTCTTTCTTTCCTATCAGTTCACAAATTAATTCTGTCAAGGGGAACACCTGCTAGTTCCAGAGTTCCAGGCTGACAAGTACCCTGGTGCCAGGGGCCCTGACTACTCTTTCTGAAGACTCTACCAGGCCCGCTGCACGTGGGCAGGGTCTCCACATTCTTAGATTTGAGTACCCCATTCCAGATGAGGACCTCTTTGAAACCTGACCAGAAAGAGCCGTAGAATTCATCTTGAAAGCAAGATTTTTTATGAAGGATGTGCACTGGGAGATTTGGTGCTGCCTTGCTTGAAATAACAACCTGCTTTCCTAAGAACAATCCCCTTCCTCCCCTGGGGGACAGCCAGGCCGTGCCAGGAGCCAACAAAGGCCTGGCCTCAAGCAGGTGCACAGGGTGCCATGTGTCCCATGCTCACCTCTCTGATCCCAGTGCTGTCCACATAGTGTAGTGATCCCTATGGTTGAGGCTGCAGTAAAAAAAAAATCTGAAGGGAGAAATGGGCAATATTGGTCACTTAGATGCTGTAGACTCCTGTTTTTAACCCTAACCCAGCAGCATTGGCATTACTGGGGAGCCCCGCCCCCACATTGCTGAATCTGAAATCTGCATTTCAACAAGATGCCACATTCCAGCTGTGATGCTGTAGGAGACTCACTTGGAGGAAATTGTGTAGCAACCCTCCCCTCTCTTCTACTCATTTTACAGCTTGAAAAAGTGTGTCCTGGATATTTTGAAGAGGACTGAATAGCATTTAGTCATTGCACGAATGGCAATAGTAAAATAGAGTTAGAAAAAATGGGAAGATGAAAAATGTATTCTCCATGGTCCCTACTACCCTAACGGATGAGCTATTTCATCAGTGTGCCTTTTCAGACCATAGCATTGAGCATAAATGATGTACGTAGCTGTCATCATAACCCAGATGTATTTTTGTCATACAGTTTTTAAAATCTGATGTATGATAAATGTTTCTCCATGTCACCATATAATTTTCATGATTATTTGTAGTGACCTTTCCATGATCCATTTGGGCGATGATGTGCTGTATAACATATTTCTCTGTACACACTCTACCATTGAGCATGCAGATTGTGAGTGGCATTTTCTCTTAGGTGTAAGGCTGCCACAGACATCTTTGTACAAACCATGTTTTCCTTCTTTGGTTTATTACCTGAGGATAAATCCCCATGCCGTACATCAACGTTGACCATTTCCCCTCGATGACCTTGCCTAATTGTTTCCCTTCTTCTGTGGATGTTGGATGCATGCCCTTTATCTTTTGGGGTTTGGATGCATTTCCATCTCATAGAAGCACTCTCTACACTGTAGGTGTGACTTCCTGTTGCGTATGTCCTCATCTTTAGTACATTTTCTTTTGAATTTTGGTTATATTATTTTCACCATCTCTGCAGCATTTTTAAGATGTTAATGACTCATCTGTGACCCCTCCACCTCCTTTCGGTACAGAGGGATTTAATTGGATGTTTCCTTCTTCCCTGTCTGGGTAGATGTATTCACAGAGGACATTGCTTTGGTCTGGTCGATACGAAAAATGAGTTGCCGGCTGGGTGCAGTGGCTCACACTTGTAATCCCAGCACTTTGGGAGGCCAAGGTGGGCAAATCACCTGAGGTCAGGAGTTCGAGACCAGCCTGACCAACATGGTGAAACCCTGTCTCTGCTAAAAATATAAAAATTAGATGGGCATGGTAGTGTGCACCAGTAATCCCAGCTACTCAGGAGGCTGAGGCAGGAGAATCGCTTGAGCCTGGGAGGCAGAAGCTGCAGTGAGCCGAGATAGCACCACTGCACTCCAACGTTGGCAACAAAGTGAGACTCCCACCTCCAAAAAAAAAAGAAAAGAAAAATGAGTTGTGCCTGTACTAAGAAGTAGGTTGTGTGGCCTTTGGAGCCCTCCTGAGCTGTAGGATGCCATGCATTTTGAAAAGGCTCCAGTTTGCAGGGAGCCCTCCCACCTGTGCCACTCTGCTGAGACCAAGAGGTCTGCCCGGGGGCTGGGATATGAGAGGCACAAAGGTGATAGAGTTTCTAAAATTGTAGGAAGACAGGTTGGGGAACAGAGATCTACACTTGAATTATTTTAGTAAAATAAAAAAAGGTTATTTCAAAGCACTGCAAGTTTACTGAGGAAAATTTGGAAAATACAGGCAAAAAAATCTTTTGCCATGTGGCATTGTAGAATTCCACTGTAGAGTTTTCAAATCAAAGAGACAAACCTAGGTCAGGATTTCCCAAAACACGCTCTTAGAGGTGTTGTGTAAACAAAGTACCATTTGATCCTTACTATTCATGGATTTGATATTTGCAACTTTGTTAACTTGCTAAAATTGATTTGTAACCCTGAAATCAATACTCGTAGCACTTTCCCAGTCATTTGTGGAGGTACAGAGAGGGGAAGAATTTGAGTCACCCAACTCTCACGTTCCCAGCTGAGGTTGAACAAGGCTTTGCCTTCTTGTTTCAGCTCTCATACTGTAAACAGCTGTTCTTTTCACAATCTATTTAATGTTCTTTGCATTTTTGTTGATATGTGTGTGTGTGTGTGTGTGTTGGTGATAAAATGGCCCTCAAGTGTGGTGCTGAAGCCTAGTGATCCTAAGCACAGAATGGCTGCCATGTGCCTTACATGTGCTAGAGAAGCTTCCTTCAGGGCTGAGCGACAGTGCTGACTCGTCTATGCTGCCACTCTGGGAGGTGCTAAAGTAAACTTCTGTAGCGTATGATGAAGTTAAGGAAAAGGTGGAGGAATGGCTAAATTTGCAGATTCATGGGACAATAACTGATTAAAAAACACATAGTGGACAGGTAGAAAACCCAAGAACTTTACTGTCTTGTGATCTAGGGTCAGGGAAATGTTAAACTCTTCTCAGCTAGTGTTTTATGTTAAAGAAATATTGCATATAATTAATTATTTATAAGAAATCTATATTAAACAAGGTGCGTATAAACAGAAACACACATAAAACAAGGTTCTGTGTTGATTCATTGACAAAAATGTGTCCCGAGGCTCATAGGAACCTAACCCTGTATCGCCCCTAGGAGCAATGTATTCAGTATTCATCAACTCAGTGCTCAGGGCAGCTTTACAGAACATAACTATGTGAATGAGAATTGGTTGTATTTGGTTGGCAAATGACTTTGGGAAACTTTGCTGCAAAGTTTTTCCCTTCTTGGGGGTTTACTGATTTCTCACACACAAGTAGCATAAAGTCCCACGTTCGCTATAGCGGAGACACCAGCCAGCCTGGCCAGTGCTTCCCAAACATGGTGTATCAGCAAGCCCTTTTCCCTCCATGCAGGGTCTGTGGGAGAATACAGACCCAAGCTTTACACCCTGGGGAGTAAAGGACCCGTACACATGAACTCCCAAGGCCTCTCCCTGTATGCTTCAGTTCCAAGATGATTCAGCAACCCCAAATGGTGATGATGGAAAGGTTGTCATTGTGTTATCATCAGGACCCTTGGCTTCTGCAGATTTAACCTTTCTTATTTTGTGGTTTGTGTAAAGTCCGTGGGTGCCGGTGGAGGTGGCAGCAGTGTTGGCGGTGACTGCCAGCACCATGTTAGGGGTGTTAGGAATATGATCGCAGTAAATCCTAGAGCAACCCAGAGAGAGGGAGCTAGGGTTAGTCCCGTGTTGCAGATGGCACAGTTAAGTAGCTCACCTGTGAATAGACTGTGGACTGTGTTATGCCAAAACCCGTGCCTCTGAACAGTGCATAACACAGCCCTTGAAGAACCTGAGAAGAGAAAGCGTCCAGTTCTGTTCAGTCCGCGTTTGAGCCTGCCTGCTGGAGGGTGAGTCAGTGTGGGGGAACTGTGCAGTGTTCCTCCTGGAGAGTGATGGTCTCTTCTCCTCTGTTGTCTGTTTCCTTGCTGTTGAAAGGCTTGGCGTGCCCTGTTGTTCTCAGTGAGTGGGATACGGTGCCAGTGAGGTGACCAGTAGATACGGAAGCCTCCGGTCTGTAAAATGTCCCCATCTCAGTGCTAACGTGTCCTAAGTTCACCAGGGCTCAGGCCACAGATCAAACAAGTCAAGTAAAGATTGTTCATGTGGCATTTTTCTTAATTTTTTTGAGCTTTGTTGACATAACGTATTGATTTTTTTTTTCATGCAGTGATTAAGGAATACATGAGTTGGGTCCAGCAAGGCTCGTATTGTGTGACCTGATGGAATTAGTATTACTACACCTACCCATGTGGCCCTCTACTATCAGGCAGTGAAGCGTGAGTGGAGGGAGGACCCCAGCTGGGCACTGGTACCTGGCTCAGTCTCACAGCTCCAGGGATGAGCCTGTGGACCTGGCACGTCCTTGGTGCCTTCCCTTGAAGAGAGTAGTTTGCTCATCAGTGCTTTCCCTGGGGCAACTCACCCACACTCCTGGGGGGCACCATAAGAGCGTTTGTCCAGCACCAAAGATCCTAGTTCTGTGGGTCTGTGGGGTGGCCCTGGATGGCATGTTCTCTGGATGCCTCTGGGTGGCCTGTGGAACATAAAGGGTTTGGCGAGGGCTGGACGGATTGTTTTGGAGCCCCATCCCACCTGTTACCTTGTGACGTCTATCAGGAGATACACTGAAAAGGTCAGCCCTGCCTGAAATTCTCCCTGTAGAGACTTACTCCTTTGGACCTTGGAGATTTCTGGAGCTGCAGGCATTCCTTGTCCAGGACCTCCATGGCTACCGAGTTGAGGTATTTGATTTACTCAGCAAGTGTAGAATAGCTCCACACCTTGGAATGGCAAACCAAATATGCGTTTTGATTATTTGGGGTTTTCATGATTTCTGTTTATCCCTGACCCAGCTGGTGCTTTCTAGAAAGAGCCTTCTGCCAATAGAAAAAAGAAGAAAAATCAATACATGGTAGCCAACTTAATACAAGTTAAAGGGAAGCATGGTCGAGGGCCCCGAGGCCACATCGAATGCAGAATTGTGCATCATTGCTCATTGTAGAGATGCTTTGGCCGTGACTTGGCATTCAGTAGAGGCTTGCTTTTTGAAGAACCTTCTGAGAGTGTGATAGGAGTCTGGTGCCAAGGGAGAGAAGGTGCTAAAAGCACAGGTAACTGGGTGTGTCCCCCAGGTGGGAGGCAGTGGTACCGTGTGTGTTCTGAGCCACGGCCTCACACACATGCCCCGCTGGGCAGCATATGAAGTGAGTGTCAGTATCTGCTTTACAGAAGAGGACTGAGACAAGAGTGGCATGGGGTTGTTGGCACCCAGGCGCCCCCCCTCCATCAGCGTGTGGTGGGGCAGCAGGTGTGCAGATGGGGTGGTCCTGCACAGAGGGGCTTTGGGGCTTGCACTGCGCCCAGGAGGGAGTGGTCTGGGGTTTGTCTAAACCTGGCCCACAGTAGGATGGAACTTGGGAAAGAGCCTGTAGGTGGTGCTGAGGGCAGGGGGTTATGGGGGGCATTGGGGCATGGTCTGCCTGGGAAGGGGAAGGTCCTCTCCAGCCCCCAGGCCTCAGTGGAGTAGTCGGCTCCCTCCTTTCTGCAGCCATGCCTCAGATTCTAGTGTCCCTTGCCCCGCCCACCCATGGCGTCAGGCCTAGCACTCCTGCTCTGCATACGGGGAGGCTGCACGGGAGGGTTCTTGGGGTGCTCCTGTGTCCCCTGTCGTCTGTACTGAACCCCTTCCCGTGCAGCTCTGCTCCCAGCACTGTGACAGGGTGGACACCGCACCTCCTGCTACTGATTCCCAGGATTGCCTTGAAAAATAAAATCCTACGGGTGTGCATTGACGTTTCAATCCTGGCTGGCTCCGCATGAGCTTCTGAACTTGATGTTCAGAAGCTCAGGGCCCATTTGCTGAGTCAGCACAGCTGCCTTCTTTGATTTGTATGAAGCCTTTTGATGTTTTGATGACATGTCACCATGGGTGGCTGTTATTTTCAGGGAGCAGTTTATCTATCAGGATCTGGGATTGCTTCGGGTACTTTTAAAATCTAGGTAAAGCCGGGGTTTCTAAAACATTGTTCTAAAACATTGTCAGGGCAGAGCATGTAAAGCTCTCCCACTACCACTAATAGTGATCTAAAAAGTGCCTCTCCCCTCAAACACACCCTAGTCCTCGGGGAGAAAGCAGAGTGCGGTGGTTAGGAATGCTGGAGCCACAGTCAGGAAGCCGGCATCCCACCCGGCTGCAGCAGCTTGGGGCCCGGGAACATTCTGGATGGGCCACCTGTGCCAGCAGCCCCCCATCTCGTGGGGCTGTGGGGAGGGGAGTTGATCTGGGTCAGTGTCTGTATGGGTGGGGAGGGGAGTTGATCTGGTCAGTGTCTGTATGGGTGGGGAGGGGAGTTGATCTGGGTCAGTGTCTGTATGGGTGGGGAGGGGAGTTGATCTGGTCAGTGTCTGTATGGGTGGGGAGGGGAGTTGATCTGGTCAGTGTCTGTATGGGTGGTGCGGGGAGTTGATCTCGGTCAGTGTCTGTATGGGTGGGGAGGGGAGTTGATCTGGTCAGTGTCTGTATGGGTGGTGCGGGGAGTTGATCTGGTCAGTGTCTGTATGGGTGGGGAGGGGAGTTGATCTGGGTCAGTGTCTGTATGGGTAGGGAGGGAAGTTGATCTGGTCAGTGTCTGTATGGGTGGGGAGGGGAGTTGATCTGGTCAGTGTCTGTATGGGTGATGCGGGGAGTTGATCTGGTCAGTGTCTGTATGGGTGGTGCAGGGAGTTGATCTGGTCAGTGTCTGTATGGGTGGTGCGGGGAGTTGATCTGGTCAGTGTCTGTATGGGTGGGGAGGGGAGTTGATCTGGTCAGTGTCTGTATGGGTGGGGAGGGGAGTTGATCTGGGTCAGTGTCTGTATGGGTTGGGAGGGAAGTTGATCTGGTCAGTGTCTGTATGGGTGGTGCGGGGAGTTGATCTGGTCAGTGTCTGTATGGGTGGGGAGGGGAGTTGATCTGGTCAGTGTCTGTATGGGTGGTGCGGGGAGTTGATCTGGTCAGTGTCTGTATGGGTGGGGAGGGGAGTTGATCTGGGTCAGTGTCTGTATGGATGGTGCGGGGCATGGAGTGCTTGTGCAGATGATGATGATGATGATGAGTTTTCAGTCCATGGGAAGCTCATCGGGTCTGGGGGAGGTGGGTGGGCAAGTCCCTGCACCCAGTTTGGGTACAGGCCATGCTGGGCAGGGGTGAGGACACTAGTGGACCTGTCCTCGGGAGTGACACAAAGGAGGTGGTGAGCCCTGCTTGTGAGATAGGATGAGAGGAGGACCAGGACTGGTCAGGGCCACACTGGAGCTGCTGGGGGTGAGGTCGGGTAAGGGCCTCCCAAGGTGCCCCCACGCTGTCCCCTCTGCAGGGCCCTCCTGAATGTGGCTTGTGCCCTGCTGGAGAAGTTCTCACATGCCTCTTTCTACTCCAGAGTCACTGATTTGGGAGATGGGGCAACAGCTGCACAGCCCCAAGGGCTGCCCTGATTTTCTCACACCGAATATCTAATAGGAAGTTAGCTGAGAAGCCCACACACCTCTTCTTCCAGGTAGGCAAGCTGGGCCTGGGACTACCTGTCTCTCACCGACTCCAAATGATAGCCAAGCCTCTCTTAACCTTGGGCACCTTTTTTCCAGTTTCCACCCCGAATTCACACTCTTCAAAGCCAGCTCCTCCTGCTGGGCTGCTCCTGATGTGGGGGGCCGGCCCTCCCTGCAAATCTCTGGCATGGCCCTTGCAAATTGGCACCTGCCACGTGGTTGGCACTGGGACTGCAAAGGTGAAAGTGGCATTATCCTGCATTTGAAACTCATTCTAGAGGGAGACGGATACATGAGACTCTCCCCGCCCCCATCCAGGTGTGGCCAGGCTCCAGACGAGTTCCAGGCAGGCTTCCAGGACAGGCTCCAGAGTTAGGGACAGGCGGAGAGGCTCTGTGACTTTGAGAGGGGCTTTGGGAAGTCAGCCGACAAGGTGGGGATGAACATAGAGGTGTGTGGGTGTCCTCAGCATGGAAGGGGCTGGAATCGTGATGTGGCTTTGAGCCTGAAACAAGACAAAGGGAAGGCGAGGGACATGGGTTGGGGGATGGTGATGAGAGAGAGACAGAGGGTTCCACTGGGGGCATGGAGGGGAGCCAGGAGAGAACTGGGGAGCTGAGGGGAGGGACATTAGGAAGGCCAGATGTAGCAGGGCAGTTAGGAGATATCTTACTGGGGAAGAAAGCACCCGTTGGCGGTGGCCACCTGTTGGCGGGGTCCCCTGAGCCTGAGCAGCTCTGGTGGATTGGGAAGGCAGAGGCATGGGAATGGTAGATGGACAGTGTCTATAGAGACTTGCACGGAGGGCCCAAGGAGGTGCCAGCAAGCCGAGGTGCTCATAGTGTGTGTGTGTGTGTGTGTGTGCACGCACGCTTGTATGTGAGATATTGACTTGCATTGTACTCATCTGCCGGTGGGGTGTCTAGGGCAGATTGTGGGGAGTGAGAGCATTGGGTATGGGACCCAGGCTGTCCACGTGCGTCTGCTTCTTGAGGCCCCGTACCTCCCGTTCTTGGGCCTCCGTGACACCTGGCATCATGCCTCTCTTGCACCAGAGGCTTGAGAGACACCCAGTTGGCAAAATCAGTTAGTCTGTGACATTCCCTAGGAAGTGCAGGGCTCGGTGCAAGAAGTTATAGAAGTATCTGTTTAGGAAGAAAGATCGCATGGCTGAACACGCTGAGATGCGTAATGTCACCCATGGTGTGCTTGCCCAAGATGTGATAGCGTGGTGATGGCAGACATGGGAGTTTTACCCCAAAGCATTCAGATCACAACCAGTGCCAGTCAGTTACTATGAAGACATGTGACTATGGTAATAGGGGGCTGACCTATTAGAATAACTCCTAATCCTATGTCAGATAATACCATGGGCAGCTCAAGAAAACTACGCACAACTCAGACATGTGGAGAAAGGAGATGTGGAATGGAATGGAGCCCTCTGGGCTGATAGAGGCCTCCAGGACTTGCCACACCCACGTCTGCCCCCAATTCCCCAGTCAGCCTTCACAGAAGAGAAGTTGGTCTCTCTCCAGCTGAGACCAAGCCAAGACCCAAAGTGCTGGAGCTGAAGGAAGTTTGGGCTAGGCTCACAGAAGCTATTGTCCCCTCCTCCAGTGTCAACAGCTACCCATGGTCCAGGCCTCCATCTGGTCCTGGTCCTTTTAAGAGACACTGGGTGCTGACTCACTTCTGGGTCTGTCCCACGGGTGGCCTGCCTGGTCTGCTGTGGGTGCAGCCAGACTGTGCAGGTTCGGGAGCCCGAGGTGGACTTCAGGTAGGGAGACGCTGCTCCCCAAGAGCTGCTCGGGTGTGACGTCAGGGTGGAGGCTGTTGCTGTGTGTGGCGGCATCAGTCATTTACCCTCTTTCTCATTAGCCCCTGTCCTTCGGCCCATGTGCTTGCAGGTGGCCTCTGATTCTGCTTCTGGAGACTGTCTGCCCCCTCTGATTCATTCATTGCGGCCCCAGTTATGTGAAAGATAGCATGTTCATTATTCATTCATTGGGCCCCACTTTTAGATATACTTGTGTTCATCTTCGAGAGAGGGAGGTCATCCAGCCATTCCCCAGTCCTCAAAACCCACTCCACAGGCAAAGCAGTGGTGGGTCAGGGCTCCTCTTGCTGCATTGCGGCCTTGTATTTGCTCTTCTGAGCCACAAGCATAGCGAGAAAGTACAAAAGAAAAGGATTTCAATGGTATTCACCCTGAAAAAGGAAGAAAATTGTGACACAGGCTGCAATATGGACAAACCTTGAAGACGTCCTGCTAAGTGCAATGAGCCAGTCACAAAAGGACAAGTACTGTGTGATTCTACTTCTGAGGCACCCACAGTAGTCAGAGTCATAGAAACAGGAAGTAGAGTGGCGGTGGTCAGGGGCTGGAGAGAGCAGGGAGTGGGGAGCTGGTGTTTAATGGGTGCAGAGGTTCAGTTGTGAAGATGGAAGCATTCTGGAGGTCATCGGTGGTGATGGTCGCTCAACAGTGTGAATGTACTTAATGCCACTGAATTGTACACTTAAAAATGGTTAAGATGGTAAATTGTATGTTATGTATACTTACCACAATAAAATAAATAAAGAAAAGAAGAGGTTTTTCAGTGAATAACTGGTTTGAACCAATTTGGATCCTCTAAAACCAAGTTGAGCCAGTCTGAACCCATGTAGCCATTATCACACCGTGTTAGGCTATTCTTGCACTGCTTTAAAGAAATACCTGGGGCTGGGTAATTTATAAGAAAAGAGGTTTAATTGGCTGACAGTTCTGCAGGCTGTAGAGGAAGCATAATACTAACATCTGCTTCTGGGGAGGCCTCAGGAAGCCTTCAATGGTGACAGAAGGCAGAGTGGGAGCCAGCACTTCACATGGTGAGAATGGGAGCAAGAGAGAGAGTGGGGGTTGGAGGGGGAAGCGCCACACACTTTTAAACAACCAGTTCTCTTGTGCACTCAAAGTAAAACCTCACTTACTACCAAGGGGATGGCCCACATCATTCATGAAAGATTCACCCCATGATCCAGACACCTCCTACCAGGCCCCACTTCCAGCATTGGGGATTGCATTTCAGTATGAGATTTGGGCAGGGACAAATATCCAAACTATATCACCCACAAAGAAGCAAAAACATTTTGGGCCAAATCAAAACTATTTAGATGTAGCCACAGTGGGGATGAACTGTGATTATACCCATTCAGGCCTGTGGACCTGTGGACCTGGCGTGTGTGGTCGTGAGGCGGTGGGTCGGCACATCCCTGGGAGGTTTCAGGAGGACATTCAAGACCAAAATGAGCCATGAGTAAATAACACAACCACATCCTGAGTGGGAGTAGGGGAGCCTCCCCTTCTCTCCTAGGTCTTGTATGGGTCATGATCCCGCCTTGGCAGGAGTGGAAGGAACAGATCCCACAGGCTGTGGCTTATGGTAAAGTGATTGTGGTCATGCCTTGTGAGTGTCATTAAAATAAACATATATCGTTAAATCCACCATCAAATAACAGCTATTTCTGCCATCCTCTCGCCTTTTCCACAAGTTTAAATATCCCAGATATTCTACTGTGTATATTCCTAAAAGCAGACAGGTAGATTTAGTAAAGTTAACTGGATCATTGGTACCTTCTTTATAGATCATCTGGTGAAACTTGTTTTTCAAATTATGAGTTGTAGGGCTTTGTTTTAATGTCTGTAGCCTTAGGCAGTTCCATTGAGACTAAGTTTTTTTCTTATTAAGACTAATCTTATTGACTGGAACTGTGGACTCCTCGTATTAGGAGAACAGAGATGTGGCCTACATAAATTAGTGGAAGTTAAATACTGTAGAAAATGCTCTCTGGAAACCAAAGTCTAACATCGACTTACTACTGGTCATTCAATTTCCTTTTGGCTTGGGCACCATCGTTACATTCATTTTTCAGATGTCAAGCTAGTTTTCTCAGAATGTGTGCAGGGCTCGAGGCCAAGTGTGGAGGCCACAGGGGAGGTCACAGGTCAAGCCTTCTGGGAGAACTGCAAGCTTGAGCCTCTGATAAAGTCACGCGATTGAATTTTAGCCCCAGTAGGTTGCTGTCGTTAAACTGTGCACACAGGGCTTCTTGCTTTTAAGTTAGCAGGATGGAAAAATTGCGGATGTTTGCAGCAAATGTGTAGAACCAGTGGCAGAAGCAGCCATGCTGGCCCCTAAGCAATGGTATTAGAAAGGGTTGATGAAGATTTTCTCATTTGAGAGTTGAACAAAACCAAATGGAATTCTCCCTAGTTCCGCAGCACTGGTGGGTGACTCTCCCTGGGCCGGTCTCAGCCCTGCAGAAAGGGGCACTGTCTGCTTAGCTTGGTCAGCGCAGGGTCTACTGCAGCAGAGTGCCAGGTGGATCACAGCCCTCTTGTGGGGGAAGGATGGGCGGAGCTCCCACCTTCCCCACAAATGGACACAGAATGGCACCTGGTATGTGAGGCAGGTGCAGGTGACCAGGAGAAGGGGCTGTCAGTGGTTGATGGACAGCTGCCTCTGCTGCCTGGATGACCCACCCCCTCCCCTGGACCATCTCCCACTTTGCCTGGGTGTCAGTCACTGGAGGGTTAGCTCAGTACAAGCTGGCGGATGACCTCCGTAGAGCTTAGGTGAAGGGGCTCTCACAGGGCAGTATGTTTGAGACCCTTAGAGGGCTCTCTTTACTCTTGCTTCTCCTATTATTTTTAAACTGTAGTAATACACACGTAACATAAAGTTTACCATTTTAAAGTGTACAATTCAGTGGCATTTAGTACAATGTTGTGCAACCACCTCTGCTCTTTAGTTCCAGAACATTTTCGCTGCCCCCAGAGGAGACCCTGTATTTATTAAGCAGTCACTCCCCATTCTTCCCTCCGCCCCCAGCCCCCACAGTGAAAAATCTGTTTTCTCTCACTTTGGATTTGTCTATTCCGGATATTCCATAAAGATAGGATCAGACAATATGTGCCCTTTAGTGTCTGGCTTATTTCATCATCATGTTTTCAGGGTTCATCCCTGTTGTAGTGTGTGTCAGTACTTTGTTCATTTTTGTGGCTGAATGATATTCCACTGAATGGCTATTTTACATTTTATTAATCCACTCATCCACTGATGGACATTTGAGTTGTTTCTACCGCATGATTAATGTGAATAGTGCCACTGTGACCATATGTGTACAAGCTTTTGTGTAGACACTTGCTTTCAGCTCTTTTGGGTGTATCACTAGGAGTGGAATTCCTGGGTCATGTGGTTATTCAGTGTTTACCGTTTTTAGGAACCACAGATGTTTTCCACAGTGACAGAACATTTTACATTTTCACCAGCAATGCATGAGGGTTCTGATTACTTTCAAAGGAAAAAAATTAAGCAGCCCTGTCACCTTGATGGTTTGGTCTCTGGCCTCACCGCTTCAGCTCCTCTGGCCTGATCTCCCAGGGCCTGCTTTTGTTCATGTGTGTGTCTGTTTATACCCTGGCTCATCCTGTGGAGGGTCTGAGGCTGGCAGGATCACTGGGTTCTGTCTCCACATTGGAAGGTGAGCTGTCCTAGGTCAGGGTCTTTGTTGCATGCATCGTCCTGTCCTTAGCAAGAGCTACCCTGTGCCATATGGGACATACAACAGGCACCTGTTCAGGCCTGGCCATGTGGGCCCACCTTTGGATGGTACTTGACAAAGCCTCAAAATGCAGTGACAAGTTTAGATAAATATGATTCTGTTCTGAAATGCTGCACTGGACACAGCCATCCACTGCCTGCCCTTTACAGGGCTCTGTGAAGAGACAGTGAACAATGAAGTGGAGGACGTGTGCAGGTGGCCCCAGTGGTCGGTGATGGAGGAGAGATTTCAGCAGACCAAGCACGGAGAATAAAGCCAGGCCAGAGTGTGCTATCAGCCTGTCTGCCCCCTAGAGCTGATGGACTCAGCAAATAACAGTATAGGGTACCCAGTTACATTCGAATTTAGACGGGTATAGGATTTTGGTTTTTCAAGATGAAAAAACTTATAGTGGTGAGGGTTGTACAACATTATGAATTTAATAACACTGAACTGTACACTCAAAAATGGTTAAGATAGTATATTTTATTGTATGTGTATTTTACCATAATAAGCAATTGAAAAAATAAGTTGTATTTCAGGTAGATAGCGAATAATTTTTTAGTATAAATATGTTCCATGAGATGTCTGGATACCGGGATGCAGGAGGGACTCCCCTTCCTCCTCCCATTCACAGGCCTGCCTAGAGATTTGTAAGTACAGACTGACTGGCTGTTTTTCCCAGTGTGTCTTGTCGTGATACTTTTAAGCCACAGATCCGCTTTGAAAAGATATGATCTCCCCCAGGGGAGTAACTATTATAAGAACAAATACTCTATCCAAGCTTCCATTCTCCTCAAGATAAACATCACAGGAGTGACCTGAATTGTAAAGAGGAGTGGAAGGAAAAGAACAATACCGTAATGTTTTCTGAGCCACGCAGATGTCAGGGGACGGATCCAAGGGCGTCTGAAAGAAGACGTCCACGCTGCTGAGTGAGACCTTCCTCTGTGCTGCTGAGTGAGACCTTCCATCTGACCAGGGGGTCATGCTCTCACTGCTCCTGCTTGGAGTTCTGGTGCTGTAGCGGGTCTCGGCCGCCCCTTCTGAGCTGGGTGGAGGAAGAAGTCCCTGTTGAAATATCAGATGAGTAGGGATGATCGCCTCTTTTGAAAACAGGAGCCGTGAAGGGATTCCCAGAGAAGATTGTCATCTAACGGAGTCATTCGTCCGCCCAGGACTTCTCTGTCACAGGGTTACGTTTGGGAGAATTTTCACAGGCCACTGGGGATGGCTGTGGCTAGCCTGGCTTTCCACTGATGCCCTCTATCCCTAACCTCAGCTCCTGACATGGCTGTCATTCCAGAGAGTGCTTGGAAGCATCCTGACTATGTTGACGATGGCCTGAGCGGAGTGAGTGTGCACTAGTTTGGTGTTGTTTCATCCAAAGCAATGTGATTATATTGCTGTACTTTCAGTTTCATCAAGCAGGCAAAATGAGAATTGACACTTTTTAAAATCCAAGCTTTAGTTTCACCACCTGGAGCCAAGGTGTTTATTAGAAAGATTTATTGGCATTAGTGTATTTTTATTACAAGCATTTATCTCTGTGCTGAACAGTTGCCCCTGAGTCCCGTGTGCTGTGAAGAGTCTGTGCCACACCACACATTAATTTTCTGTCCTCAGAGCTCCGGGGACACACGCTGATTCTCATGCTGTGCCTGCCGCCTTCTCCGAGTGATGGCTGATGTGGGTTTCAGGCCCCACTACAGTTACTCAGCGACAGATGGGACCCCGTGTCCTCTGTTGGCTGTAGGGAGTTGAGGCGACCCTGGCTGGCATCTTGTTTTGAGGGGTGGCTGGCTGCTGTACTTTGGGGAGGGCATAACAGGATTTAAATAGTATCTTTATCTAGGATGCCTGGAGCCCCAAATCCATGTGGGCCTCCCACTGTGTGAATTTCAGATGCTGCCAGCCCCCCAACCCCGCCACCCCTGAGATGGAAATTAGAGCACCAGATGGGCTCTCCCAAGGAGAAGCATCACAAGCCCACCCTCCTGCCTCTTTGGAAAGTAACCCTGGCTGTTTATTGTGAGATGTGGTTGTCATGGTGACAAGTGGACACCCGCTTGGGAGGGAGATAGAGGAAACGCTGTTATGGAGGAAAGGTCACCCCTAGAGACAACCTTGTGTTGCCCGTGGACACCCCATACTATGGCCTCCGTACTGGGGAGTCCCATGGGTAGGGCATGGGGGTGCAGCCATCAGTCTGTGTCCCCAGCCAAGCCTTGAGCCCTGGCTTGAAGTTGCATGAAGGTACAGTGGCTGGCCCAGCCCTAACCCGTGGTGGATGCAGCCCCTGTTGTGTCCCCCAACCCCTGACTTATCTGGCCGCCTGATGAGAGTCTGTCGCCCTACATCTGTGGCGCTCCCTCTGCCTGACAAATTAAATCCCGCCCAGCTTGCAGGAGGGATGTTGTTAACCTGATTTCATTTGCTGGTGGGCTGGTTGATTTCTTTGGGGTTTTTTTGGAGATGACCAGCACCTGTCCAGCAACTAGTAAGGCAGGGAAGGCCTCCAGGAACCCAAGTCCATGCAGAAGGGCACTGTGTTGGGGAACTTTCAGACAAGTGGGTAAAATACCGACGTGTGCTATGTGCACCTTGAAATAGCAAAGTGTCCTCAACAGAGCTCTCTGGGGGATGTCCCAAATAAGGTTTACTTTAGGAGAATGTGAGCGGCATCTGAGGCGAGATTCTCTTGTTGCATCCTTTGGAAGCTTTTGCTTGGTGTTCCTTGGCCATAGCAGGAAGATCAGTGCCAGGGATGGGTGAGGGGAAGAAACCTTGCAGGAGCGGTACCTGGGCCAGTCTCAGCCCTGCAGAAAGGGGCGCTGTCTGCTCCACTTGGTCAGTGCAGGGTCTACTGCAACAGAGTCTCGGGTGGTCACAGCCCTCTTGTAGGGGGAAGGATGGGTTTTGCTCCTGGGATGCTAGGCTTCGAAAAGCAGGGCAGTGTGCCAGCAGTCCCAGACAAACCAGAGCCGGGCCTTTGGTCATGCCAGGACAGCAGGGTGTGGTCTGGCTAGGCCTGTGAGCCCCTGTGGGGCTCAGGGGTAGGGGCAGCAGGACTGGGGGAGGCAGGGACCAACCAGACTTCAGAACTGCTGGGTCCCAGCTGCACCCCTGCACCACCTCAGCTCTAGGAAGGGCAGCCCCATGTAGCTTTCTTGAGATGTAGCAGCAGTGCTCTCCCTTCTCCCTCGCCATCCTTAAAGCCCGGTGCCCGCTCCCCTGCATCCCCCACTCCCATTGCCTCTGAAATCCGGTGGTGTCTGTGATCCTGGAGGGGAGGCTTAGCCAGCAATCATTCCAACTACCTGGGGCACGGCATATCTGCCCCCATCAGTGCTGGGAGGGTGGGCCCAGATCCTTTAATTTTTCTCAAAACCCCAGAGAGGCAGAGTTCCATCAAAGAGCAAGACACTGATAGACTAGGACAGGGGATAGGGCTGGCAGCCATGCCTCGTGGCATCACCTGACTCCGAGAGAAGCCAGCCCAACACTTGGGGTCTCAGTTTTCTCACCTGTCAAGCAGGGGGAAGAATATTCATTGTGTACACAAGAGGCTTTTGTAAACCCTAAGGTGCTAGGTAAATTAGGTAAATGTAACTTTTTTTTTGAGACTGAATCTCACTGTGTTGCCCAGGCTGGAGTGCAATGGCGCCATCTCAGCTCACTGCAACCTCCGCCTCTCAGGCTCAAGTGATTCTCCTGCCTCAGCCTCCCGTGTAGCTGGGATTACAGGCATCCACCACCATGCCCGGCTAATTTTTTGTATTTTTAGTAGAGACAGGGTTTCACCATGTTGGCCAGGCTAGTCTCAAACTCCTGACCTCAACTGATCTGTCTGCCTTGGCCTCCCAAAGTACTGGGATTACAGGCGTGAGCCACTGTGCCCAGCTGGTAAATGTAACTTTTATCATCAGTGTCTTCCTTGCCATCATCATATTGTTATTTCTCGATAATTTATTTCCAGAAAGTTCTGGAACTGGACTTACCATGCAGGCTCCGGAACCTCCTCTGGGAGGTGGACAGGGATTTAAGGGCTATGGATCTGGCTTCTGTCTTCTGGATGATATAAGGAACTAAATAGAGAAAATATACCTAACCTTAAATTTTATTAATTGAAGTAGAAGCAGTTGTAGTTTGGTGTCTTCTTTAAGAGAAGACTTATGACATGTACTTGGGGCATTTTCTATGTTGTAGTAACAGATTGGCTAATTTGCATTTATTCTCATCCAAGAATTTAGGTTTTTTAAAAATATGGCTTTTAACTTTTTGGGCACTCTTGGTGGGAACGTAAATAGTACTACTGCTGTGGAAAACAGTATGGAAGGTCCTTAAAAACTGAAAAATAGAGTTATCCTATGATCCAGTGATTTCACCTCCAGGTATGTACGTAAAGGAAGTGGAAGTGAAGACTCAAGAGATATTTGCACACCCACGTTCATAGCAGCACCATTCACAATAGCTAAGAATTGGAAGCAACCCAAGTGTCCATCAATAGATGACTGGATAAACAAGAGGTGGCATGTACACACAGTAGAATGTGATTCAGCCCTTAAAGGAAGGAAATTCTGCCATGTGCTTCAATGTGGACGACCCTTCAGGACATTTTGCTGAGTGCAATAAGCCAGTTCCAAAAGGGCACATACTGACTGCTTAATCACTCCACTTACATGAGGGGCATAGAGCTGCCCAATTCACAGAAACAGAAAGTAGAATGGTGGTTGGCAGGGGCTCAGGTTGGGGTTGGGGTTGGGCATATTGAGGAGTTTGTTTAATGGGTACAGAGTTTTAGTTTTGGGAAGAGGAAGACATTCTGAAGGTGGATGGTGACCATGGTTGTACGACAGTGTGAATGTACTTAGTGCCACTGAACTGTACACTTAAAAATGGTCAAATGGTGAACTTTATGTTATGTGCATTTTACTGCAATCAAAAGATAACAAATTTCAAAATGATTTAAAATAACTTTTTTAGAAGTATGAAAATAGAATATTAAGTGCATAGCAGTTTAAGTATAATTAAATAGACGTCTGCACACACACCTATACACATACAGACATACACATGCATTTTACAAAATTGTATCACATTGCATATTCAGGTTTTGCATCTTGCATTTCTCTAACATATAAAATCACGATCTTTAACTTCCCCGTTTCCAGGTTTGCAATGGTCTGGAGCAGCCAAGGAAGCAGCAGCGCTCTGATCTCAATGGACCTGTTGACAATAACAACATTCCAGAGGTAATTTTTTTCAAGGATGAGAGTTCTGGGCTGGAACACTCATCTAATGATGGAGTGGCCCACCGAGTTGTGGTCTGCTCACTTTGTCCATGATGTTCTCATCCCACCCGGTGCCTGGGGGAGAGGGAGTCCAGGTCAGGCCAAGTTGGTGTCACCATATGGTGAGGAGGTGAGGGCACACTGGCCTGGGAGGAGGGAGGAGAGGGCCTCCCTGATGTTAGGACCATGCCATGGAGTGCTCTTGTGTTGCAGATGGTGTGTGTGTGGGGGTGGGGGACCATTGGTACTACTTAATTTTATAAAAAGCCATTCTATTCATTGTCTGATAACCATGTTCTAAACTAGGGTTTCTCAACAATGACACCATTAACATTGAGGCCTAGGTAATACTTTGTTTTGGGGACTGTCCTGTGTATTGTAGTTGAGCAGCATCCGTGGCCTCAACCCACTAGATCCTTGTACCTACCCCATCCCCATCCCTGATTTGTGGTAACCAAAAATGTCTCCAGACATTGCCTAATGATGTCCCTTTGGGAACAAAAATCATCCCAGTTGAGAACCACTGTTCTAAATCAACAACAGGTTTTAACAAACAATTTCCTATAAGCTAACAGTGCTATGATGGAAGTTATTTCCCCTTTCTGGTAACATAGTTTAGATGAGATTATTTAACTTTGATGAAATAACGATGGCCACCGATGGAGTGGTATCCAGTCTCCTTTATCTTGCTTTTAAAGATGGGCCTGGATGGCTCTCATGCCCCCTGGTTGGAGCGTCATTGTGTTGGATGGTCCCTAGGCTCCCTTCTAGTCAAGATATGCTAGTCTGAGGGCCCCTAAGTTTTAGATGATGGGCTTTTGGGCCACTCCCCAACATCATGTTGCCTGCAGCAGACTGGTTTCCTGTATGGAGCTGACATCTTCAGAACACCATCACTCATGGGGGGTTTGCTTTTCTCATTATGGCTCATATCACAGCCCTGCTTAGCCTTCACCTTGTGGGCTACCTACTTAACAATTGTTATGTGTTTTATTTTTCCATATTTCCTAACAGACAAAGAAGGTGGCATCATTTCCAAGTTTTGTGGCTGGTAAGTGACTTTGAATTTTATTTCTCAAGGGGCAGTTGCATTTTACATCAAAATAAATGGTGCTTTTAGTTTGGGCATTCACCTGCAAAGCTTGTTTACAAAGCGTGCCTACCTACCAGCAAGGTGCTTGGCCATTGTCTGTTTGAACACTGTGTAGCCCCACTTAGTGGGGAGGGGAGGTCCAGCTGATCTGCCCGCTTTGATGCAAGGAACAGTAGACGATCTCCTTTAATTATACCCTCACTAATTGCATCACAGACGACACTGATGACTGAATAGATTGAGATGTGTCTTTATAAGCAGCTGGTTATAGCTAACACTTCTGATCAGGGTGGATATAATGCATTCAAATTCAGGCTTTTTTTTTTTTTTTAGATCCTTTGTTTTTCTTTACCGTTCCACCCTTTTTGAGGAGGTTAATAGTGCATTTCAACATTCAGTAAAGAATGAAACTGGTCGATATGTTCTGTGTCACTCTTGGGGATGGGGAGCACACTTGCCTGGCTTTGACGGAGCTGAGCATCTGGAGACCTTGCAGGGCCCCTGTAGGAGATCCACTGGGTTTGCTTCTAGTGCTCCAACCTCAGAGTAAAGAGCTTGTTCGGCAGGATTTCTGTCTTTGCCAGGAGGATGTTTCCTGCCCCTGCTAATGTGTTATAATAAACAATGTGAATTTCATTAATTCTTTCAATAAGCTGGTAATTAATTCTTATAAATATTTATGGGAGCAAGGTAAATTAGTTTTCAGAAATAAATGACTTTCAGCCCTTCCCATGCTGCTTTTCTTTTTTTAGCAAACAACTAAAGCCTGGGGAACTGAAGCCCCCAAATTCGCCTTTAGAGAACTAGTTTGAACCAGGCTAATCCAGTTCCAATTGGTTGAAACTGGATTAACTGGCTCAAATCAATTTTGACTGTTATAACTGGCTTAATGCTGCTCAGATTGGGTGAGAATCTGTTTTAAACCATCAGAATTAATATCATGCAATTGAGATAGACTTGGTTCCATTTTGACCAATTCAGATAGGCTAAAATGGGTTTTGCCCAGCAGTTTACATGTGGTTTTAGGTACATTTTATCTGGTTCAAATTGGTTTTCTTCAGGCCACAGCAGGTTATGATGATTCCTGGAAGAGACCACACTCCCCACATTCCCGCTTGTAGTGTTTGATTGGGTTCCTGGTTTATAGGAGCTGGCACCTCGTGAGCAGGGCGAATGCAGTACGTCACTGTGCCATTTTCCTTGGCAGGCAGAAGCCAGGGTGGGGTTGCCAGTCACACTGCTCCAGTGAGGCAGGGTCTCCTGGATCCAAGAAGCTCACTTGTCAGTGTATCATAGTGTCATCTGGACAGAACTCTCACACTAGGAGGTGATTTAGACATTAAATTCCCCGACCCTTGAACCAATCTCATATCTGCAGGGAGTGGGATCGTGAGGGATCGGGAAGCAGTGTCAGTGCCTGGGGTACCTCGGACTCTAGCTCCTGGCATCCCAGAAGACTTGGTTCCCTGCACCACTCAGACTGTTCCAAAGCAAATCCAAACAAGGCCGGTGGCTTAAAACAATTCAGACAGGCTAAAACTGCTGTGACCAGCTAGAACCAATGTGGAAAACCTGAATTTATAGTTTCTTCTGTAGGAGAGAAGCCCTTTGATTGTTATGAAAACATAGAAAACTGAAGCAAAACAACATCCTTTACTATTACAGCATTTATATGCAGCGAGGCCTTCATGGACCAAAATCTTACTCAGCAACAGGAAGAGATCATCATAATGGTGATGCCAAACCCTAGAATATAATGGATATGGGAAAAGTTTCTCCAAATTAAACACCGTTATCAGTTTGAATGCCTTTGGGTACAAGTATCAAAATCCCCACCTAACGTTACACAAATAGGTGTGTGTCTTACATAAAGAAGTCCAGGGTTGGACGTGGTGGCTCACGCCTGTAATCCCAGCACTTTGGGAGGCCGAGGCGGGTGGATCATGAGGTCAGCAGATCAAGACCATCCTGGCCAACATGGTGAAACCCCGTCTGTACTAAAATACAAAAAATTAGCCAGGCGTGATGCTGAGCACCTATAGTCATGCTATTTGGGAGGCTGAGGCAGGGGAATCGCTTGAACCCAGGAGGCGGAGATTGCAATGAGCCAAGATCACACCAGTATACGCCAGCCTGGCAACAGAGCGAAACTCCGTATCAAAAAAAATATAAAAAAAATATTAAAAAGTCTAGAGGTGGCCAGGCACGGTGGCTCATGCCTGTAATCCCAGCACTTTGGGAGGCCAAGGTGGGTGGATCACAAGGTCAGGAGTTCAAGACCAGCTTGACCAATATGGTGAAACCCTGTCTCTACTAAAAATACAAAAATTAGCCAGGCATGGTGGCGTGTGCCTGTAGTCCCAGCTACTTGGGAGGCTGAGGCAGGAGAATCACTTGAACCCGGGAGGCGGAGCTTGCAGTGAGTCAAGATCATGCCACTGTACTCCAGCCTGGGCGGCAGAGCAAGACTCCATCTCAAAAAAAAAAAAAACAAAACAAAAAACAAAAAAAAAAAGTCCAGAGGCAAGAGGCCGCCGGTTCGATGGCTCTGTGATGTCAGGATTGGCGCTGTTGTGTCTCTTGGCCTCCTCTTCAGGCTTGTCACCTCATCGTCACACAGTGTGTGGGCAGCCCCAGCCATTGCTTCTCGTTCTAGGCAGGAAGAAAAAAGGAGAAGGGCTGAAGTCCACACCAGCTGGACGTCCTCCCCTTGACATTAGGAAAGCAAAGGTTTTCTGTGGATTAAGAGGTGATGACTTCTCTGCATGAGAATCGGACCCTCTGTTACCTTTCATAGTGTGCTCCCTGGGTAACCTGAAAGGCAGCGTGTCAGCTGTGTCTCCAGGCAACATTGCTTATGGTGAGATGCTCTTTTTGATAAACTGTATCTAGATGGGAAAATTCTAATGCTTGCGGGGCAGGGCATCCAGGGCTTTGAGCTTCTCACAGTGGTGACTTTCGTGACTGGCATGTCTCTTGAAGGTGACCCTGGAAGCTATGCCCCACCCATGGGGTGATTGTGAGAGATACTGGCTGCTGGGAGCATGAGGCTCTTAGACCAGATGGGTTCCACATGCCCTTCTTGGTGGGAGTTTTGTACCCTTGCAGCTGACCCATCCAGGGAGTTCTGTACCATTGCAGCTGACCCATCCAGGGGCCCATGAGACTAGCTGTGTGGGTGCAGTGTGGACTCCCATCAGAGAGTCCAGGAGGCAAACTGGCGTCTGTCTTGTTCCCTTGGAGTAGACGGCCCCATGTCTAGCTGAGCCTTAGGACACTGCATGCTTCTGAATATCTAGTTGAACCTTACTTAGAAGACCCAGAAGCCTCTTCGACACACTGCTTATTTCTTTGTGGCCAGAGCTGTGTCACATGACCAGCCTCTCAGATGTTAGTGTTGGCCAGACAATCAAACCCTGGGCTTTTTATGAAGGCAGGGCAGGTCTGGAATCAGCCCTGGGTGCCTGCCGCCACTTCCCATCCCACTGCGGGCCCTTCCAGCCTCCTGGCGTGTCCAGTGCTGAGGCTGAGTATGTGAGTTCCTGGGAAGCCCCTGTGTAAGGGAGGAGCAGCTCCTCCACCCTATTTGTGTCTGAGAAGTTGCCCTGAAGGGAAATGTTCCTGGAGTATTCATGAGTATTTGGTCTCAGCTTATGCCTTATTTCATATCAGATAATTGTTGATAATAATGAAAAAAATAATAGTAACAATGCACATGATACCGTCTGAACCCTCGTTGGGGCCTGGTGTCCACTCCCTGTGCCATGCAGCATCTCTCTATTTCATGTCGCCTGGTCAACCACCACGTGAGGAGTAAGTACTTTCCCCCGTCTGATAGGTTAGAAAACTGATGCACAGTGAGGCTAAAGTCACTTGTGTGCAGTCCCATGGCTGTGCGGGGGACAGAGCCTGGACTTGGACCCATGTCTTGGTGCTTGACACATAAACTCGTAGCCGAGGTCATTCCTCCCTACCCAGCATGCCTTCATATACCAGGAATAGGTAAGACCTGTCAGGTGCTTTCTTTGAGCCAGGCCCAGATCTAAGTGTTTTAAGTATATCAACTTAACAATCACTATATCCACAGCTCAGGGAGAGTGAATCCCGGGCCGAAGGTCACCAGGTAGCAAGTGGCAGAGTTAGGATTCGAACCAGTCTGGAATCTGAGCTCATCACCACACTGCACTGCCTGGCGACCCTCACGCAGTGGGTGAGGAAGAACCTTCACTTAGAGAAGACCTACCATGCAGGTGCCAGAGAGTTCAGTGGAGGGGAGCGTTCCAGATGCCAGAGCTCCTGGCCTTGTCAGGCGCAGGATCACAGCCTTCTCTCAGCAGAGGCATTGTGAGGAAGGGCCTGCCACAATCACTGTCTGTGGAAAGTTCTCGGGGTCTAGCGACCCTCTCAGACTGGGAAGGTTAACGCTGCAGAGAAAACCTCCTTATGAAAGTGCGGATTGCACAGAGGATGCACTGCCTGTCCTGCGGGGAGGAATCCGAAAGCAGCCACCCTCAAGATGTCCCCTCCTACAGGACGTGGTGTCTGGCAGCAGCTTGAGCCCAAGCTGCTTAGAGGGTCACTGCCTCTGGATGAGTATATGTGAATGACCAGCTTTTCTATACAGGTAAACACGTGCTCATTAAAACCAAAAGGCTGATGTTAGTCCCAAGCAATGGGGCCTAACAGTGGCAGCTTCAGTACAAAATAACAAAGACTGGTAAATCTTACTCTGCTTTTTGTACTTTGTTCTCCTCATCCAAAGCTCATACAGGATGTTTTGAAACCCACCACCCCACCAGCAGCTTGAGGCTTATGCCAAAATGCTGCCAGGCCTTAGGGTCCTGGGGTCCTTTACAGCCTGTCTATAGCTCATCAACTTGCCCAGCTCCGTGTGGATCATGTGGAAGGCATGGAGATTACATGCCCCAGACCTGGAGCTGAGCTCACCTATCACCCCTTCCTTCTCTCAGGGGTCCTCACAGTGGTAAAGCTGCTTTGTTGGTTTCATACAGTGGGCACATGGGATCTGAGACTTAGTTTGCTCTTAAAATAGGCAGTTGGGGTGAACCTGTTCAGATAAGACTCTTAAAGTGAAGACATCTCCCACCTCCTCCTCTTTGGTGTATTTGGGTGGGGGATGGACGGGAGGAAGGTCACCCTGTGGGACCAGAGGGGATGTGGCGCATTCCAAAGAGGAGTTATGGAAACCCAGATGACTTTCCTTTTTCTACAAACAAGATCATGTTTCTCCTGTACTACATGCAGTCAGCAGGAATAGGGATTCGTCGTTTTAAAATCTGAACTTTTATTCACTAAGTAGAAGTTGTTAAAGATTTCTCAGAATAGTGCTTGTATCAGACCAAGAGCTGCAAGAGTTAAAAATGAGAAATCCCCACAGTACCTCTTGTTCTGCCTATACATCCCAGATCCCTAGTCCTTCTGTATAGTGGAAGCCACTTACATTTCTTGTGAATTTCTCCAGGAATTTCTCAGCTCATCCATAGGCCCTTTTCCTTAAATAGACATTGCACTGGCCACATGGCTCTGTACTTAGCTTTTTCCTTTCTTGCTAGATCTTGGAAACAGCAATAGGTCCACCTGATTATTTAAGCGGCAGCACAGGATCGGTTGAGTGGATGTGGGATGGGGTATTAACCAGCCCCCTTGGACTGATTGTTGGGAGATTTCCAGTCAGTGCAGCAGTGAACAGCCTTGTGGCTACGCCTTTGTGTTTGGGTGTGGGTTCTTTTATGGAGGCGGTTCCTGGCTATGGCAGGGGTACAGGCCAGGAGCACAGCAACTCTGATAGACACGGGCAGAATGCCTTCCCAAGGGGGGACAGCGTACGCTGCTGTTGGTCATGTATGAGAGTTGGTTACGTATGAGGTTCCCACACTGTTACCAACACTGCATGACCGGCTGTTTGATATAAGCTCCAGGCCGATGGGTGCAAAGAGGTGTCTTGTTGATTTCACGTGTCTTTCATAATAAGTGAAGCCAAACACTATTTCGTATGTTCATAGGTGGTTTTTCTTTTCAGTGCACTGCCAGTTTGTTTCCTGTGCTCATTCCTCTGTTAGATTTTCACCCCCAGCTTTATTGGCGTATAACTGACAAATAAAAGTTTTGTATATTAAGTCATACAATGTAATGTATTGATATAAGTTTACATGGTGAAATGACTACCACAGCCAAGCGCATTAACATAGCCATCACTTCACATAGCTACCTTTTTGTGTGTGTGGTGAGAACACTTCAGATCGATTGTCTTAGCAGATTACTAGTATACAATACAGGATTATTAACTACAGACATTTACTCATCTCATAACTAAAGGTTTGTACCATTTGACCAATATCTCCCCATTTCCCCCACCCCTCAGCCCCTGGCAATTGGGAATTTGGGTGTTTCTTATTGATTTGTATTATTCTTTACATATAAAGGAAATGAACCCTTTGGTTTGTACTGTAAAAGTTTACCCCAGCTTACCATTCTTTTCTTCTTCTTCTTTTTTTGGTATGCTTTTTACTTTGCTAAACATGTCATTTAGTCAAATATATCAGTCTTTTTCCTTTGAGCTTACTGAGTTTTTGAGGTTAGTGTGACCATCACACTCCTAAGATTATTTTTGAAAATAAAGTTGTTGGCCAGGCACAGTGGCTCATGCCTGTAATCCCAGCACTTTGGGAGGCCAAGGTGGGCAGGTCACCTGAGGTCAGGAGTTCAAGACCAGGTTGGGCAACATGGTGAAACTCCGTCTCTACTAACAGTACAAAAAATAAACTGAGCGCAGCAGCACGTGCCTGTAATCCCAGCTACTAGAGAGGCTGGGGCAGGAGAATTGCTTGAATCTGGGAGTTAGAGGTTGCAGTGAGCCGAGATCGTGCCACAGTGCTCCAGCCTGGGCAACAGAGTGAGACACCGTCTCAAAAAAAAAAATTAATTGATTAATTAGTTAAATAAAAAGCTGTCTTCCAGGACTTTGGTATTATTTTAAATTATTTAAATAATTGATTTATCTGGAATTTATCTTGGTGTATTTATACAGGAAAAGTTACATTTTAGGCATTTTGTCCCAATAGCTAGCCAGTTATGCCAGAACTATCCAAGGAATCTTTCCCTTGCAAGTTTGAAATGCTGCCTTTACCGTACCCAAATCGTCATGTGGGTCTCGGTCTGTTTCTGGATCTGTTACAGGGACGGTCCATTCAGGTTCCAGATCCAGGCTGCTTTATTTACTGGGGATTTATGGTGCATTTTATTACCTGGTAGGGCTACTTTCAGACCTTGCCACCATCATTCCATTTCAGATTTTTTTCCTAGGTATTTTTGCACTTTTATTTTTCCATAGTAACTTTAAAACTAGCTTGTCTGGTTATTCACTGCAAACTCTTTTGTTTGTTTTGTTTTGTTTTGAGACAGAGTCTCACTCTGTCGCCCAGGCTGGAGTGCAATGGCGCAATCTTGGCTCACTGCAACCTTCGCCTTCTGGGTTCAAGCGATTCTCCTGTCTCATCCTCCCGAGTAGCTGGAATTACAGGGGTGCACCACCATGGCCGGCTAATTTTTGTATTTTTAGTAGAGATGGGGTTTTGCCATGTTGGTCAAGCTGGTCTTGAACTCCTGACCTCAGGTAACCCATCCACCTCAGCCTCCCAAAGTGCTGGGATTACAGGCATGAGCCACCGCGCCCGGCCCACTACAAACTCTTACTGGTATTTTTATTAGGCATGCTTAAAGTCTGTCCATTTAGGGGAAAAAATGTCAGCTTTACAACATAGTCTTTCTAGCCAACAAAGGATTTATCTGTCCACTTGTTCAAGCTCATTTATCTTCATCGGTAAAGTTTTTTCATAAAAATTCAACACATATCTTGTTTGTCTGTTTCTTGTTGTTTTATCCCTTTTATTGTTTTTGTAAATGCTGACTTTCATTATTTTTCAACATGTTGCTGTTTGTAGGTACAAAGAAAGCTATCGATTTTTATATATTAAATTTGAAACCATTGCCTTAGTGAATTCTCTTATTTTTTAAAAATAGATTTTTAGTTGTTTTCTTGAGTTTTTCCTGGCATGCAATCATACCATCTGCAAACAAGAATGATTTTTGCTGCTTCCTTTCTTGTTTTCTATTACTTCTTCTTGCTTAATCAGATTGGGTAGAACAGAAGGAACAATTTTACATAATAGTAGAATATGGCTTCCTAAAAATAACACCTTTTTGAAAGATCTATGCTTTTAATTTTGTCATAAAAACTTCAAGCATATGAAAAAATAGCTTCAGTATTTACCCATTCATGGCTAGTGGTATTTAATCTACACCCTGACCCTTTCCCAGATTATTCTAAAGCAAATCTCAGATCTTACATCATAGCCTCTTTAAATATTTCATATTGTATCTCTAAAATATAGGAGTTCTGTTTTTAAAAATAATTTCAATGCTGTTATCACAACTAAAGTTAATATTTGTTTATGCCATTAAATATTTGTTTTTGTTTGCATTTTCCCAGTTTACAGGGCGCTGTTTGAATGGGGATCCAAACAAAACCCGTCTATTGAGATTGGTCAATGCATTTCATAATTCTTTTATGTCTCTTTTAGGTTGTCCATCCGTCTCTTTTTTCTGTCTTACAAATTTTTGTTGGTGTTATTGTGGAAGAATCTGTCATTTATCCTGTAGATTTTCCTGCAGTGTGGATTTTGCTGATTGCATCTTCATGGTGTTGTTTAATGTGTTCCTCTATTCTCTGTGTCCTGTAAAATAGTGGTTGTTTTTAGACATAGAGGCTTGATCAGATTCAGTTTGATTGGGCAAAAACTTTCGTACATATTTTTGTGTTGTTCTATTGAGGCACATAATATCTGGTCATCTCTTTTTTGGTGATATTAGCAACCATTAATGATCATTGTCTAGATCTAGTAATTGATTAGAAGTTGCCAAATGGTGGTGTTCTAATTTCATCATTTCTTCTTCATTAGTTAGCTGGAATTCTTCTATGTAGAGAAACTTTCCCTCAAGTATTTGGTTACCCTGAATATTGTTCATATAAGAAAAGCAGATTAAATGCTTGATTTCTTCTCTTTTTTGAAAAATTTAAAAATTAATGAGTTGGCTGGGCGCAGTGGCTCATGCCTGTAATCCCAGCACTTTGGGAGGCTAAGACGGGTGGATCACAAGGTCAGGAGATCAAGACCATCCTGGCTAACACAGTGAAACCCCGTCTCTACTAAAAATACAAAAAATTAGCCAGGCGTGGTGGCGGGCGCCTATAGTCCCAGCTACTCAGGAGGCTGAGACAGGAGAATGGCGTGAACCCGGGAGGCGGAGCTTGCAGTGAGCCGAGATTGCACCACTGCACTCCAGCCTGGGCGACAGAGTAAGACTCCATCTCAAAAAAAAAAAAAAAAAAAAAATTAATGAGTTTCCCCGACAGCCTTTAAAAGATAACCGGTGAGGTTGTGTATGTTGTTGTTAGCACAGTTGATGTGTTTTGTGTGTGTTACCATGATTATTGGTGCTCAAGTTTTCTATGGCCAATAAGAGCTTCTTTAGGTTGTTTTCTGAGTCCCGTCAATGTGAACCCAGTAGTCTTTGATTGTTTCCTTTCTTTCTGGTATATTCCAGGATCATCTTAAATATTTCTTGCCCCAGGTCTGGAACCAGTTGGTTCTTTCTCCATGGAGCCCTGTGAAATAACATTTAGAGACTGTAATCTGGGTAGTGTGGTTGCTCGTTGTTGTAGATTTGGTGAGAGTGTATATGTCTATGTGGAAGGCGCCTCCTAAATGGCCCCCAAGGACCCCTGCCTCTTGGTATTCATGGCTGTGAGTCCTTCCCTCCCCCTGTGTGGGGGATGGACTTACTGAGCTGCTTCTATTGAATAGAATATGGTAGAAGAGATGGGATATGGCTTCCAAGATCAGGTTACAAAGAGATGTGGCTTCTGTCTCAGCTTGTCCTTTCTTGTTCTCTCTTACTTGTTCCCTCTGAAGGAACCAAGCTAGCCTGGTGTGGTTGGCAGTTGCCCCATCCAGAGGCCCACGTGGCACAGGACTGATGTTTCTGGCCAGCGGCCTGGTGAGAGAACTTGGAAGTGGATGCTCCCCTCTTCAGGCATTCAGATGGCTGCAGCATCACTGAGTACCTTGCTGCCTGTGACAGACGAGAGGTCCTGAGCCAAAGTCACCCAGCTAAGCCACACCCAGATTCCCGATCCACAGAAACTCTCAGATAATCCACGGTTGTTGTTTTGAGCCACTAAATTCCCGAGTAATTTGTTATGCAGCCAACAATAACTAATACACAACATATTTTTTAAGATCAAATAACGTCATGATTCCTAATGATACTTTGTCAGGTTTATAGGTTCTAACATTTGTAGTTTCTTTTTCCTGTGCCCCAAATTCCTGTTCTCAAGGACACCAGCATAATTTTGCATTGGTTTTATTCCATTAAGCTTACAGCAGTCTCAGAATAACAATACCAAACACTGCCAAGGACACATGATTGTAGATACAGATTATGATTTATTTGCATTTACTTTTGTGTTTAGAATACATCCCACAAGGGATGTACAGTCAGACAACTGTGTTTTAAAATATTTTGGAATAGATCACAACTGGATACACTTTTAGATTCATTGGTTTCATTTTTCTCTTAGTTATTTGGACTTTGCTTTTTCCATTTAATTTTGTTTTATAATTATATAAAATAATTACATGGTATGAAATTCAAATAAACAACACAGGATGTATGCAAAGAGGTCAGTTTCTTCCCCTATTTATCCCCCCACCTCCCAATTTCTTCCCTTCCACTATAGGTAACCATTTTGAGCATTTTACATATTTTTATTGTAAGCATGTCTTCCCCTTTCTTAGGTAAATGGTAGTGGATTAGACTCCCATATCTCCATCTTGCCTTCTTCACTTCACACTAAACCCTGGCGGTGATGCCACAGCTCTGTGCTGTTCACAGGAGCATGGAGAGGATGTTCTGCAGAACTCCACTGTGTGGATAGATGTCTCCTGTTCAGGAGTGTTTGGGTGGTTTCCAGGTTTTTGCTATTACAAATAGTGCTGCTGCAGTGAACCGCCTATGCATATGCTTTTTCCCATTTTTGCCATTTTTTTTTAAAAAAAATTATTTATTATGCTTTTTCTGGGAAGTCATTCTCCCCACTGCAAGGGTTAGGATCTGTCTTGGGCAACTCTGTGCGTTTTCTTGAGCTTGGCTTTGACCTTCCTTCCCTGACTCTCTGTTGTGGCTTCTCTTCCTCCCAGCATCCAGTGACTTAATCTTGCTCATTGGGTGTCTAAAGTTCAACACTGTGGAACCCCCAAATCCCTTTTATCAGTGACAAAGCCTGTGCTGCAGGCCCAGGTGTGGCCACTCCCTGGTGAATGTCCCATAGGTGTGATTTTCAGATGGCGTCTTCTCTTTCGTATCAGCCATATTATAGGGTCACCTTCAGTGGGGGCATCTCAAGGCACAGGCCCTGGCAGTACTGGAGAGTCGGGCCTGGAGGCCACGCCTTAGCTCTGCAGCAGAAGGTCTCACTTGAGACGCCAGTTACACGACTCTGATACTCACCCACTCCTGCCTCCTTTCCCCACTCCAGACCTAGGGGGCACTTCAGGGGGCAGGCTCTCCTGCTGATCTGGTGGCTCGCCTCCTCCCAGTCCTGTCCTGCCCCATTAGAGCTGCAGCCCCTCCTCCCAGTTGAGGCCAGGTCCCGTCTGCACTTTGGAACCTCACACGATCTGATGTCGTTTGTCTCCTGTCCCTTTTGCTCGCCCCTCCACTGGCTTTTGACCACGTCTGTCCCACCCTGCATCTATCCACACCACCCCGCTCTACCTGCCCCTTTTCTTTCACAGCCGGAATCTGGGAGTGGCAGCCTCATTGTCTGCACCTCCCCTGCACCTCTCAGCCCCCTCTCTGGCTCCTGCCCCGGTTCCTCTGAAACAGCTCTTTGAGGTCACGACTGACTTCCTTGACACTGTGCCCAATACACGAGGTCTCCTTGTAGTTGGCCTCCTGCTAGCATGGGTGTAGATGGGCAGGCCTCCCTTTCTAAGCCCCTTCTTTTCTTGGTACTTAGCAGAGCAGAGTCCTGGGGCTTCATCCTGCCCCCTTGCCCATGACCTTCCTTGCAGACTCATCCATGCCTGCAGCTTCACTTGGCACCTGCAGATGGTTCATTCCCAAATCTGTTTTTCTAACCGGGACTCCCGAGTCCAGCCGCCTACTGAGCATCCAGGCTCCTGCCACTAAACTTGCCTGGAATCCCCAACCCAAGCTCAGTCCTCTTCCAGGCACCCTTTCTCAGTGAGGGGCAGGTCTGTCCATCGAGCTCTGCAACCATTGTCTAGCGTCCTCATCTTCTCTCAGACTCCAGTCCACCTTTCCGTCCTGTTGATGGACCCCTAAATCCCCATCTGTTGCTGTCTCTCCATTTCCGTTGTCACCCTGTCCGTACCATCATCACCACTCATGTGCTGGGATGGCTACAGTAGCCTCTCAGCTGCTCTCCCTTCTTCCTCTCTGCTGCCTGCCCCTCTGCCAGAGTTCATTTCTAATGAAGGAGTGGTTGGGCCACTTCCCTGATGGATACCCTGGAGTGACAGTCCTTATGGCCTGTCACCCGTGGCCCCAGGGTCCTCACATCTGGCCAGCGCTTCCTCCCCACCCTCGACTTGTCTCAGCTGCTGGCCCATGCCCTAGGCCTCGGCAGTCCAGACATCCTATAGATCTTCTAAGGTGTCATTGTCTCTGCACCCTAGGGCCTTTGCACCTGCTCCCGCCTCAGCCTGGGAGGCTTTCTCCTCCTTTTGCCTTATGGCTTGTTGATTCCTTCTCCTCCTCCAGACCTCAGCTTAAACAGCAGCCACCCCCAAATTCCTCACCAGAGCAGCCTCCCTGTCCCTTCCTTCCCAGGGCCATAGCCTCCCTTTTGAGCATTCACCATGGCCCATCCTGATGCATTTGTTCTGTGGCTGTGGGACTGATGTCAGCCTCACTGTGTAGCCTGTGAGCTCCATGTTTCTGTCTTAACACCGGTCTTTATACAGTGGGTTCAGAAATGCTGAGCACCTGAACTCATGACAGTGAACTTGGGCAAAGCCACGTGACCCACTTAGATGGTCCTTATTTGTAAAATTGGGACCCTGAGATTGCTTCATGGCGTGGTTGAGGACTGGGTGGAACTGTACCATTGTTGCACAGAGGTCTGGTGTGTTGGGCATGAGGGCTGCACTCCAAGACTCCGTGCCTTTGCAGAGAGCAGCGGGCCTTGTGGATGCACCCCCACACTCCCACATACACCTGTGCTCCAGCTCCACCCAGCCACCTCCTCCCAGACCCCCAGGATATACAGGGACAGGTCTTGGAGCTAATGAGACCCCCTGGGGCCACACTGGCACCTTAGAAGCCTCTGTCCACCACCCATGTTCAGGATAATTTTCTCCAAAGGTGGCAGGAGTGGAGACCCTCAGGCTTGAAGCTGTGGGACTCCCCTCCCCTTCCCTCTCCAGAGGGCCTAGGGTTTTCCTAAGCGGTGTTTCAAACAGAGGCTTCCTCTGGCAGGGGAGAACCTGGAGCGCCTTATTCTTCTCCAGACTGTGCAGATACACTGTGCATATGCCTATGTGAGTAAGATATACGGTGTGAAAAGGATAAATCACTCTCTGGGGAGACAAGATCTTTAAACCTGTATCTTGATTATCTTGTCATTTTGTCTCCCTCTGGTGGTCTCAGCTTAGGGTCAGTGCAAGACTTGAGCAAAATAACAGCAATTTCTACCCAAACATGTAGGGCTAGCTGCTTTCATTTTCTAACGAAGCTGTTAGATTTGGGTTCTGCGTTTCCTGCGGAAGTTGAGAGCTGTGCCCATGAATCTGATATACTCCCCACACCATGCCGCCCCCACTGGACTCTTCTCTGGGTCTGGGTTCTCCTCCCGTGGTGCGTGTGAGTGGGAGGCAGGATGCTGGGGCCACCTTGGACTCGATTGTTTCTCGCTGAACAAAAGAGCAAGGCAGGCATGGAAGGCCCCCAGGCAGAGGTGGGTGGTGGCTGGAGTTGCAGCAAGGCCCTTGAGTGCTTCACTGGCCTCATCCCGGAAGCAGACATCCGTGGGTGCCAGTGGTGACCCCCTGCCTGGGATGGGGCATCCTTCACACACAGCAGTCTGTGCCCAGATGGGCCCCAGAGCTACTGACGCTCACTTCAGGGGGAGACGAGGCCAGTCTTTCCCAAATCTACTCAAGGACATGGGTCAACATGGAAATGTGAACCTCAGAAGGGTCTGGTGCACTGACCAGGGCCACCCTGGGGGCTGGCGAGGGAGAAGCCAAGGGGCAGTGCCTAGAAAGGTAGGAGTCAGATTCCAAAGGGAGGGCTGGCCTCCCAGCCTCCCCAGGACCTGGGGCTGACAGGGTGCCAGGCAGCCCCTGCCACAGAGGGGACATAAGGACACTCGCCCAAGGCCCTGGTCACCTGCTGGGGCTGTGAGGCTGGGGTACCTGGGGCGCCTGGAAGAACCAGAGCTTTCCTGCAGAACAAAGTGACGCCATCTAGTGGTCAATGAGAGCCACTGCATTGGGCCCCACTGGGTGACTGGGGCTTCACTGGGGGGTGCCTGTTGAGCCATGCTCACTGGGGACGGCAAGGTGGTGTGAGGTAGTAGAAACAGGCCTACCTCAGGCGCTGGGAGCCTTCCCAGCCCCACAGCCCGATGCCATAAAAGGCAGCACAGGGCATGTCTGGCGAGCCTGTGGCAGCCAGGGCTGTCATACACGCTCTCCAAGCCCCCCAGCTAGGCAGATGTGCACACTTCACTCTGAAGAAGCGCCAGGGTATGGTGGGGGTACTGCATTGGGATAGATGGGTCCTGTTCCCTCTGTGGGGCTGCCTCTGATTCTCCTGGTGACAGGAGAATCCCGGTGTACCCTCTGAGAGACAGGTGGACAGGGGTTCCTCCCCTGGTGCCACCCCTGAATCCCGCAGTCCCCCACATTGGTGCCTGCAGCCCTGCCCAGCTGGGAGAAGGTTTATCGGCTCCAGGGCAAGGGGTGAATGGAGGATATTTAAAAGCCGTGGGAGGACCCCATTGATAGGACTCAGTTAGATGCACAGGGGAGGGATGGGGGTCCCTGTGGGGAGAGACGGCTGGGAGCACAGGTGATCCTCTGACCCCAGGGGCACGCAGACCCACTACTGCCCAGGAAAGCAGGAAGGAGGGCCAAGTGGGCTGAGCACCAACGCGAAGCTCCCCACTTGGTCTGTCTGAGCAGGTGAGGGAGGGGCAGCCAGGAGTTTGAGGCAGTGGAGGGGTCTGGAATAACTCTTGCATGGAGGAAGAGTCTGAGTTTCCCAGAGAGATAGATGAGAGTTGTGAGGTTGTTTGGGGGGCATTTGGGGTCAAGAATTTATAATACATTTATCATGGCACTCATTTGCCCTCTTGGGCAGCTTTTTCCAGCCTCAGGTCCAGAGAAAACAGGTTGGAGATTTGCTGAACTCCTGTGGGCAGATACACAGGACTGGGGTCAGGGAACTGAGGATACTGGGCGGATGTTACTGAAGTGGTGGATGGCAGCGCCCAAGCTGGGCCAGTTGATGATTTTAGCAACAGAATGGGTTAGAGGTGAGACCAGGGATCAGCTGGCTGAGGGAGGGAAGAGGTCAGGAGGTTGCTGGCGCGAGGGCTGGGGAAGTGCAGGATGGCTGGGCCCGTGATGCTGGAGGGACTCAGGGAGGGGCCAGCTGGAGCAGGAGGGGAGCCAGGAAGCCAGGGCCAAAATCCCCAATGGAAGGGGCTCTGGCCAGGAGGTGGGCAGTCGGGAGGGATAAAGCAGGTGACATGGCCAACATGGGTCTGAGAGGACAGCCAAGCCACGGTCTAGGATAGCTCAGAGGTCGGCTGACTGCAGCCCCAATCGCAAATCCTCCTGGCCCCCTGATTTTGCATATAAAGTTTCCTTGGCACACAGCCACACCTCCTGTTTTACATATTGTCTACGGCTGCCTTTACGCCTCAGGTACAACGGTGAATAGTTGCAACAGAGACCACAAAGCCTAAAACACGTACCATCTCCCCCTTTACAGGAAAGGTTTGCCCACCCCTAGCTGGAGCCTTATTGTCTGGCATAGGAGCCACTCAAGATTGGTTTGTGGGCAACATGGACAGGACTTGGGGGTTGGTTGGATATGACTCTAACATGTGGCTCTTTATATTTCAATTAATTAAAATTACATACAAGAAATGGGTCCAGTCCCTCAGCTGCAGGAGCCTCAGTGCCAGTGCTCAAAGCCACATGTGGGTAGCGGATCCTGTATTGGACACTGCAGAGATAGAACCTTCCATTGTGGCTGGCAGGAAGTTTGTTGGGTCACGATGGTCTAGGGGCAGCAGATGGAACAAGCATGATGTTGCCAAGCCTGGGCCTGCGGTGTGATGGGTGTGAGGAGCTACACGGGTGTCCTGAGAGGCTACAGACAGGCAGGAGCCCCTCAGGACAGATGCACAAGGACAGGCCAAGGAGAAGCCCAGGGCACAGTTTCAGGTCACCAGCATGAGTTCCGGGGCTGTGGGGAAGGCATGGAAAGTGCTGTCGTGTTTGGGATGTGACGCCTTCTGGATTTGCAGCCTGTGATTGTCATCTTGAGTGACAGTCAACTGGAATGCTGGCATTGTCCTCCTGACACTGTTTGTGCAGAGTTTTCTGGCCCAAGTGTTGATTTCGCGCAGTTACTTGCAGCACGGGGTAGTGAGGGAAGCAGACCGGCCGCCCGTGGCTGGCTGCAGATGGCGATGGTTGGGCCCTTCTAGTTTGCCCCGCATCCTGGCTGCCGTGTTCCTTGTGCTGTGGCCAGGCATGCAAGTTCTTTGTTCAGGGGACTTCTCCTCTAGGAAGACTCTGACTCTGTGCCCTCCTTCAGTTCCAGGGCCCTGCGAACCAGAAGACCTCATCGACGGGATCATCTTTGCTGCCAATTACCTGGGGTCCACCCAGCTGCTATCAGAACGGAACCCTTCCAAAAACATCAGAATGATGCAAGCGCAGGAGGCCGTCAGCCGGGTCAAGGTAGAGGTGCTTCGAGGGCCCCTCGCGGATGCCCGCACACTTTGGGGGGCACTAGCAGGAGGGAATATGGCGGGGCGTAGGCCCTCTTCCAGCTCGGACTGCACAGCCCTCAGCACAGGGGGCAGGAGCGGCCCAGGTGCCAACGAGGCTGAGGGAGGCTTGCGCCTTGGCTGGGAGAAAGCTGGCTGGGCAGAGGCAACCAGCTCCTTAACAAGAGGCCCACGGAATCCCAGAAATACGACCTTTAAAGATCATCGTTCCAAAGCATTCTAGTCATCAAACAATCCCAAATCCCAGTTCAACAGTATGTGTATTTTTAGTGCCATTCAGAGTGCTTCAAGAAAGGGTGAAAAATAAATCACGTTTTATTTAAATTCAGGACCTCAAGAAAAACTTTGACCTGCTTGTAGCTCTAAGTGCTCATTGGATTGTCTGGTTTTGAACATCGGGTGAGGCCGGGCAAGGGGAAGATGAGGCCACGTCAGCAAAATTAAATGGGGTCGGCGGGGAGGGGATGCAGCCATCTGAGGTCTCAGCTCTCTGAGCAAGACAGGATCTGCAGAGGCCCGCCAGCCCAGGGGTGAGAAATGGCGGCAACCTCCTCCCCAGCCCTCACCATACACAACCTCCTCTAACAGAAGCAGAGAAGCACCATGAGGCCATCCGGGGTGGGCAGGAGAAAGCCAGGTAACCCAGGGCAGTGCTGAGCCCTGCTGGCCAGTGCCTCTCAGCAGAGGCCCGGCCCTCCCATCCCAGACCCTTGCCTTGCTCCGCTGCCTGGAGCTCAGCTCCCCTTCCTGCCGGCTGATGGCATCTTTCCTGTCCTCCATAGATGGGGTGGTTGGCAGTCATTTCTAGCGCTCCAGGGACACCTGTGTGGGCTTCTCTTGGTCAGTGTGTGTGCTTGAAGTGGGCAATGGCTGTCCACCCGTCCCTGCTGGGCTTTGCTAGGCACCAGACCTGAGAGTGGGGGCATCAACCACCAAAGTGACATAACCTCACGCACCTTCCTTCTCTCTGTGCCAACTTGTTTTTCTTTTCTCTTCCATGCTGTCAGAGGATGCAAAAGGCTGCTAAGATCAAGAAAAAAGCGGTGTGTAGGGCCTTGAGGCCCTGGGACAGTGTTGTTTGCTTGTGTTTCCGTGGCTTGTCCTGGGCAGTGGGGGCTGAGGGGTTCCCCTGGGGATCTAAATAATGTTGCAAAGCAGCTTTTCCTCTTCCCTTGGTAGGTGAATCTTAGATGTTTGTAAATGAAACTACAGACACTTCATTTTTTTAACCACCCATTTATGGAAGGATTTATTAATTCCTCTTTCTTAGCATCTCCTGTGTACTGTATGGATAATGCTGTGATGTTCCTGTTTTACGTGGACATTTTAAATTGATATGACATTTAGTTGATATGACAACGTGGTGGGTGTAGGGCCTGGGCCTCCTGTGCAGTATTACTGAATTGTTCTGATAGTTAAAGATTCCTTAAGCTTAATTTACTAAGTCAGGAGGGTGAGTAGCTCAGTTTGCCCGTGTGGTGCTTTCTTTATTGGAAATGAGTTTTTGGGCTGGGTGCTGTGGCTCACACATGTAATCCCAGCACTTTGGGAGACAGAGGCAGGAGGATCATTTGAGCCTAGGAGTTTGAGATTGGCCTGGGCAACACAATGAGAACCCTGTCTCCACAACTTTTTTTTTTTTTAATTAGCTGGGCATGATGGCACATGCCTGAAGTCCCAGCTGCCTGGGAGGCTGAAGTGGGAGGAGCACTTGAGCCTGGGAGTTTGAGGCTGCAGTGATCTGTGTTTGCACCACTGCACTCCAGCCTGGGCGACAGAGTGAGACCCTATCTCTTAAAGAAAAAAAAAAGAAACAAAAAAAGAAAATAAGTGTTGAAACACTGGCAGACTTTTAAAAATGGGTTGACACTGAGGCCGGGCGCCGTGGCTCACGCCTGTAATCCCAGCACTTTGGGAGGCCGAGGCGGGCGGATCACCTGAGGTTGGGAGTTCGAGATTAGCCTGACCAACATGGAGAAACCCCGTCTCTACTAAAAATACAAAAAATTAGCCAGGCATGGTGGTACATGCCTGTAATTCCAGATACTCGGGAGGCTGAGGCAGGAGAATCACTTGAACTCGGGAGGCAAGAGGTCGCAGTGAGCCGAGATCGTGCCATTGCACTCCAGCCTGGGCAACACGAGCGAAACTCCATCTCAAAAGAAAAAAAAAGGATTGACATCGAGTCATTTGTTTGTCACCTGGTCATTTAGTAAATGCTAGAGCTTTTCCAATCCTCCTCATACAGAAAATATCAAAATAGTTGGTGTCACAAGGCCTGGGGCAAACCCCGGGGTCCTTGGCACTGGCTTATTGCCCACTGTTTTCTTCTGTTTAAACAGCAGGAGATTTAGTTCCCCCTCCCTGCTTTGAAGTAATGCCATTTTCTGGCGCTTTGGCCAGAAGACCCATGTGGGGACTCCCTCTTCTGGAGTGAGACTTTGGTCCACCTAGGATGTCTGCCTTTTGCCCAGCAGCGTCTCCTTTGATTCTGCTCAGGAGCAGGAGAGGAAGGATCATGCTCATGCTCCTCTTCCCGGGCTGATTTCCTCCAGGCAAGGCAGAATGTGCCACACATTGCAGACTTGCAGTTGGGGTGTGCTTTTCTCAAAAGAGAGGGGCCCTCGCTTGCAGCCTCCTAGTCCAGCTGGAGCAGGGAGTCCCTACGGACTGCAGCTGGCTTCTGGGACCTGCAGGTCCAGCAATCCTACAGAGTCGCTGCCGCCTTTAGAGGGGTTGGTACAGGCAGACCCAGCTCAAAAAGGCCTCTGCGGCCAGTCAGGTGGCCGCCTGATTACATTTAATTACGGTTTGTTCTTCCTTTTTGGAAAGTGGGATGCTCAGTGTCATTGCTGAAGGTCCCTTTCCTGGCCCGGCCACAGCCATGGGGATGACTGCAGGTCATGCCCCCCATCCACAGACATGCCGAGGCCCACCCTGTGGCCTGTTCTCTGGTGTCTGTAGGATCCGTACTGTCGACACCCTCCCTTCTTCTGCCAAGGAGGATGATGGGTGTCCTCTCCCTGCCCTGTTACTGATGGGTTTTCCACTGGAGGCTGGGTGGCTTCAGGCTGCCCCTCTTCTCCCATCCAGGGATCCCAGCCTCAGGTTTCCTCCACAATTGTCACTAATGCCAAGGTCCACCTGCAACTTTTCTCACTTCTGGCTTGACCTACTTTTTAGCAAGAGGATTTTGAGCCACAACCCATGAATATAACCTTTAAATGCATGCTGATGCTGAATATAACCCAATTTTAAAAAACAGAAAAAGTTCCTCCGCGGCTGCGGATTGTCAGCTGCACTGCTTTCAACTCCTTTCTCTTTCTAATGAGTTAAAAGCAAAGAAAGCCCAAAAGACCCTTTCCCTTGAAAATTGAGCTAAAATACACATTTATTATTACAATACCGGGCCTCTCTAAAACTCAAAATTCTTGAGGAATTGTCAGCAGGGAGATTTCTTATTTCAGATTTTCTAGTGAATAATTAAATCATAGTTTTTGCTGTTTCGAAATGGAAAATAGACCACCCTGGGCTCCCCAGTGACCATGGAGAATTATTCACCTCGGTGGGCAAACCAATAGAACTTGAAATTCATTGCCACCGTGCAGTGGTAATTAGGATTCTTACAAATGTAAAAACCAATTAAAGGCTATCCTAGTTTGGGGCAGACTCTGAAGAGTTCACTCAGCTCAGAAGAGCCCATGAAACTCGTCTCACAACCATATGCCAGACATACTACAGTGGCTACAGGTGACGAATTAGGCCATTTGTGTGGCACCTCTCTTGGCTTCTCTCTGTCGCTGTGAGGACAGCACTTAGGCCAGCCCCAGGGCTCAGTCCCCCAAGGACGCTGTGGGATGGACATGGTGGTGACTGTTTAAATCAGAAGGAAAGGCTGACATTTTCATTCAGCTTCTCTGACAATGTCTTCCCCATTTCTTAAGGATACTTAGAATCCCAAATCCAGGAAACGTAACCTGAGTCTATAAATTCCACAGGGGTCAGCCAGAGGGCCTTGCTTGCCACTGGCAGGAGGGGCTGTGGCGACAGACCCAGGCGTCCCGCCCCATCTCGGTCAAGCTCCCGGGGGCTGGCCCTCCTCCCTCCCAGGTGCCTCTTACAGACTGCCTCGAGAACTCACACTTAGCTAGATGATGCGGCCGGTGGCGTGCAGGTAGATTTCTGATGGCCAGTAGCATTTCCTTCTACGTGGACTCTGGGTAATTGTTAAAATTGCCGAGCCTTCCTTCGAGTTATTACTTTTTACATTGACGGATAAAATTGTATGTATTTGTTATGTACAACATAATATTTTGGAGCATATACACATTGTGAAATGACTATATCTAGCTAATTAACGTGCATTACATCACCTAGTTTTAATTTTTGTAATGAGAACACTTCATTCACTATCTTAGCAATTTTTAAGAATATGAAATATTATTAACGGTAGTCACCATGATGCACAATAGATCTCTTGAACTCATTTCTCCTGTCTAGCAGGAGCTTTGTGTCCGTGGACCAATACTTCCCCCTTCACTCCTTTGCCCCAGCCCCTGATAACCACCATTCAGCTCTCTACTTCTGTGAGATCGACATTTGTAGCTTCCACCTGAGTGAGATGGTGCAGTATTTATCTTTCTGTGCCTGGCTGATTTCACTTCACAGCATGTCCTCTAGGGTCATCCATGTGTTGGAAATGACACGGCTTTTTCTTTGTGAAGGCTGAGTAGGCCTCCAGTGTGTCTGCGCGCCACATTTCTTTATCCATTCATCGTGAATGGACTTCGGGTTGATCCCATGTCTTGGCTGTTGTGGATAGTGCTGCCGTGAGCATGGGAGTGCAGGTGTCTCCTAGACACGCTGATTTCACTTCCTTTGGAAATATGCCCAGCAGTGGGATTGCTGGATCACATGGTGGTTGTAGTTTGAATTTTTGGAGGAACCGCCATTCTATTCTCCACAGTGGCTGCACTGATTCACACCCTCCCACAGTGTACCAGGGTTCCCTTTTCTCCACCCCACGCCAGTGCTTCTTATCTTTTATCTTTTTGACGAGAGCCATTCTGACAGATATGAAATGATATATTGTTGTGGTTTTAATTTGGATTTATCTGGTGATTAGGGATGTTGAGCATTTTGTCATAATGCTATTTGCATGTCCTCTATTCCGAGTTGGTTTTTGGACTTTAACAATATCCACTGTCCTTCTTAGAATTCTGAGGGGGATGCCCAGACGCTGACGGAAGTGGACCTCTTCATTTCCACCCAGAGGATCAAGGTTTTAAATGCAGACACGCAGGTAAGCGTTTAAGACAGTTGTTCAAAATCAGGTAAACTCCTAAGTTCGACTCCTTCTTGTCCCATGGTATAGGCCCTCGTTCTCAGCAGCTTCTCTCCTGTGCTCTCTGCGCCCATCAACCCAAGGCCCATAGCCCGGGCTGCGGGAGGAGCAAGGAGCGCACAGCAGGTAGCAGTCGTGCTGGCGTCACCCCAGGGCTCTGCGGGCGGGAGGTAGGTGGGAAGACCTGCTGGGCTACCTGGGCCCTCCCCTGCTTCCCCACTCCCGGGTAGCCTGACCTCTGGGGACAGAGGAGGCAGCAGCCCCCACTATGTGGCTCACACTGCAGCCCACCACTCCCAACCCAGTGCCGTGCCCTGACCATCCTCCAGGCCCTCACATACCCTGATACGGGCACAGGGGCGCCCTTCCTCATCCCATGTCTGTCCTGTGTCCAGGCTTGCACCTTGTCCCACTGATCTTTGTGTCCTGCACCCCCCTACCCTGGAACCAGCCCCCTCCTGGAGCCTGGCACTTGGTGAAAACTCAGGGAGACAGGTGCCAGGGCTCAGGCACTGGGCTTGCGACGCTTCACAGACTTTGACTTCATTTTCTGATCTTTTGTGGGCAAACCATCTGGACTAGATCCCCCCACCAACCCTCCGAGCCCCATGCCTCATCACCCACCTGTGCTGGGTGTCCCCAAGACCATCACAGGCTGGGTGGTTTGGAGGACTGACAGGACTCAGTGAGCTCACAGCTGAGATTTATTTCAGCAGATGGCTCCAGAGCAGAATCAGCAAAGCGGATGCAGGCTTCCAGAGCCCTCCCCGCAGTCACACAGGACACACTGAACTCCCTGGCAAGGGGCTGTGACAACAGAGAAGTTGTGTCTACCAGGGAAGCTCATAGACACTCAGCCCAAGGTGTTTACTGGGAGTTGGTCATAGGCACCCTCTGCCTGGCAGCTACCAAAATTCCAGACTCCCAGAGGCAAAAGAGGTGTCCAGCCTAGACCACGTTGTTTGCACAAACGGTTTAGGCAAAAGGAACCATGGTTGTCAGTTCGGGTGCTGGGTACCCTCCTGAGATCCACGTTCCCAGATGCCAGAGAGGGCCAGCCTTGCAGGCGGGCCTTTCTGGGTACAGCTGCTAGGCCTGCCCCAGTACCTCTTCTTGCCAGTGTACATGGAGGGTGCCACACCTGGGGTGGGAGGATGGGCTTGGGGATTGAAGCTGAGCCCCATCCTCATGAGCTGTATAGCCTTAAACAAGTTCCTGAACATCTCTGAACCTCCTAATACCCACAGCCCCAGCTGAAAGAGTAACTCTTCCGCTGGATCCTGTGAAGGAGAGATGAGAAATCTCCTAGGCTGGCCCAGTTCAGGGTTTACTCCACTGGCCCCTTCTCCCTTCCTTTCCTTTCCCTTCTGGATCTTTGGATTCTGGACAGGGCATGCAAATTAAAGCTGTTGGGGCAGAGGAGCTGGAGAGGAGGGAACAGGTGAGAGACTGGGAAGGCCAAAGTAGCCATTCAGAGCAGGAGAGCAGATGCGGCCATGTTGGTAGGCAGCCTCTGTGAGGAGGAGGAGGGATCTGCCATTGATAGGAGCTGGGGAAGGAACATGTTTCTGACACCTGGGGATTGATTCAGGCATTTATGACAGTGACAGAAATCAGGAGATGCTGAAGAGCCACTCCAACTGTTTCCTTTCAGTGTCCCTCCCTGGAAGGTGACTCTTGTGGTTATGAAACAGCCTCATGGCTTTGGCCAGAAAAAAAGTCAGCAGCTGAGACAAAGGTGAAGCAGCATGCACTGCAAAGTGGATTCTGTGAGGAAGAAATGAGGTCCAGAGGTTGCAGAAACACTCGAGTTTCTTTTGTGAACAGAGGACAAAAGCATAAAAGACCAGTTGATTAGTTTTTTTGAGCTTTGTGTGCAGTCTTGTTAGGTAGGGGTTGTGGGCAAGATGCTGGCTGGAGATTCCTGTCCAAGGACAAAAAACCATCAAGAGTCATGGGCCTGCCAGAGGCCGAGGGAATTGAAGTCAGGTGGGCTACCTTGGTGTCTTTTGACCCAGGCCCAGGCTGTTTGGGCTCCCTGGGAAGAGCTCATTGAATGACAAACATTGGCCTTGATGCTTTCCTCTTCTGCACAGCAGGAAGGCCAGGCCAGGCCACTCTTGGGCCCATAGGAGAGCACCTCGTTCAGAAGGGACCCTTCTCCAGAGCCACTGGTGGCCTCTCATCCGGGAATGTATGGGTTTCACTATATGGCAAGCCCCTGCTCCAGCAGAGACAGCCCGAGAGCTCACCTGACATCACGCCTCCCTGGGTTCTGCACAGTCCATTTTGGAAGCTGGGACTGAGATGAGGGCAGAGTGACTTTGACTGTAAATCATTACCCTAAAACGCTCTGTTAATTAGGGCCGTGGTTCTCAACCAGTGTGATTTTTGTCCCTCAGGGGACATTTAGCAATGGCTGGAAATAATTTTCATTCTCACACTTGGGAAGAGGGAGGTGCTACTGGCATCTCCTGGGGAGAGGCTTGGAATGCTCCTAACACCTTGCAGTGCACATGACAGCCCTCCACAATAAAGAATGATCCGGCCCCAAATGTCAGGAGAATCAGGGTTGCGAAACCCGAATAATTGGAGTGCCTTTTTTTTTTTTTCCTTTCTTTTTTTTTGAGACGGAGTTTTGCTCTTGTTGCCCAGGCTGGAGTGCAGTGGCGCAATCTCGGCTCGATGCAACCTCTGCCTTCACAGTTCAAGCAATTCTCCTGCCTCAGCCTCCTGAGTATCTGGGATTACAGGCACCTGCCACCACGCCCAACTATTTATTTTATATTTTTAGTAGAGATGGGGTTTCACCATGTTTGCCAGGCTGGTCTTGAACTCCTGACCTCAGGTGATCTGCCTGCCTCGGCCTCCCAAAGTGCTAGGATTACAGGCTTGAGCCACCATGCCCAGCCCTGGAGTACTTTTCAATGGATTGTCCCAGTAGTGTTCCCTGACGTGGCACTGTCTCCCTCCCGACAGGAAACCATGATGGACCACGCCTTGCGTACCATCTCCTACATCGCCGACATTGGGAACATTGTAGTGCTGATGGCCAGACGCCGCATGCCCCGGTCAGCCTCTCAGGACTGCATCGAGACCACGCCCGGGGCCCAGGAAGGCAAGAAGCAGTATAAGATGATCTGCCATGTGTTCGAGTCGGAGGATGTAAGTAAGCCCTTGCCAGGGCACTCCCCTCCCAAAGTTCACAGCCCAGGGCGGCTCCAGGATCCAGGCGCTGTGGAAACCACCCTCAGGTGGAAAGCCTCCATGCTGTTACTGATGTTTCCAGTGGATCAGTGATCTTTTGCATACTCTTTGGGTTTGCAAAGATAGTGAATACAGTTTTATTCTACTTCTTGAAATAGGTTCTTCAGGAGCTGTTTATAAATTGAGTTGTGGTTAAATATATGAGGGAGCTATTTGAAGAAATCCCTTTACAAAACATTTTCTCTACTAAAAATGAAGTTAATCTTTGCATAACTTTTGTTATTAAAATGCAAATTTTCGCATGGCCCTGGCATGCTGTATAAAGAAAGCACATCTGCACATGAGGCTTAGTTCTGCCTTTGCGTGTGGTCTTCAGAGGAAGTAAAAAGTGATTCTGAAGTATAAGATACCAAAGACTCAGGAAAAGATCACAAGCCCTTTGGCTCCCTCCTTGGCTGGAGAAGAGTGTTGTTTTTAGCCTGGAGGGGGACAGAGGGGCTGAGGAAGGAGCAGCAGGGCCAAGAGGGGAGCTCAGAGAGGAACTGTCCTTCCTGGAGGCTGATCTTACTCACAGACCAGCAGGGGGCGCTGCTGGTGAGCCAGTTTTGTGGCTGTTGCCAGAGTGAAATTTTAAAATATGATCTATGGCTGGGCACGGTAGCTCATGCCTGTAATCCCAACACTTTTGGGAGGCTGAGGTGCGTGGATCACCTGAGGTCAGGAGTTCAAAACCAGCCTGGCCAACATTGCGAAACCCTAGTCTCTACTAAAGATACAAAAAAATTAGCCAAGCTTGGTGGTGCGTGCCTGTAATCCCAGCTACGTGGGAGGCTGAGGCAGGAGAATTGCTTGAACCTGGGAGGCGGAGATTGCAGTGAGCTGAGATCGTGCCATTGCACTCCAGCCTGGGTGACAAGAGTGAAACTCCGTCTCAAAAAAAAAAAAAATCTATCCTTCAGGGGCAGTTGGCCAGGGCGTTCTTTTTCACATAAGGACTTGAGGCTGTCTCAGGGACCTGGGCAATAGGGAAGGGTCCCCATATTGTCATGATCCTGACATACAGCATGGAAACTGAAGACAGGGTTCAAACCTTTGGCTGGCGCAGTCATCTTCTTCCTAAGAACTTGGGTCCACTTGGGTCCACTTGAAGTGCTTCGGCGCAATGGCAGATTTACAGGAGGGAGAGAGCATTTCAACAGCGCACTCACACATTCCTTCCACCGCTACACGGAGACCCTTCGAAACCTGGATGGGTATTTCTGTGTGACTGAGGGCCGAGGATGTGTGAGAGACCTGGCTTGGGGATGGGCCACAGGTACTGGCGGAATGAGGCCAGGAGCAGGCCCGGTGGCGAAGGACGGCAGTCAGCTGGTGAGAGTTTCCAAGGGGCACTGAGAACCCCCAGGTGCAGCCGATGCGGAGGGTTAAAGCCAGGGTATGCCGTATTGGGTAGATGAGGCCGCAGGGTGGTCCTGCCAGCAACAGCAGCCTCCTCTTCCCCACCTCTCCAGCGCCTGCAGGCTCTGCCCACAGCCCACTTGCAGGAGGCCGCTTGAGCCCTGAGGTGGGGCCTGGGCTGGGCTCCTGGACTCACAGCAGTGAACGCCCACAGGCTTGGCTGCGAGTTGGGGCCGGCAGGGCGACCCCTTCTCTGAAGCGCCAGCCGCAGAGAGAGCCCCCTGAACCCCACACCTCCCAGGAGGCAGCCGGTACCCGGCGTGGAGTGACGGGGAGGCGGCGGCTGGCGGCACACCAGCGGCCCAGATGACACCGGAAGGAGGCGCAGCCCCGCGGAGCCGGCTCCCCGGGCTTGGAGCTTCCGCGGGGGCGGAGGATGTCGTCCAAGGGGAGGAAGAATGGCGGTGGCCCGAGGGAGCCCAAGTGGAGTCCGAGGGCCGTGGGTGGTGGAGCCGGGCCTCCGGGGCTCCAGGGCTCTCAGGCCGTCCTTCCCAGCCAGGTGGCCTCGTCAGGCGGAGACAGAAGCAGAGGCCTGGGGGCCGCCCTCCGCTCTTCCCAAAGGCCCGACCCTCTCCTGCGCGGGCGCTGCCCCCGGCCCTCCTGCCGAGCTCCATCAGCTCGCCAACTCCGCAGGCCAGCCCGGCGGCGCCATCTGGCGGTCCCCGGGCGTCGCGCCTCCAGCTGGGTCTGTGCGCGCGGCAGAGATGCTGGGCGTGGGAACCGGCAAGTCCTGGAAACGGCTTAGGGCCCGTCAGGGAGGGCAGTTCCACGCCTGCTGGAGGGCAGGCCGCCTGCTGCGCGCTTCTAATCCGGCCCAGCTTGTCTTTCCCAATGCATACATTGATCTGCTGCTCTTACATCCTGCCACGTGGAGAGTGGGAAGGGAATTGAGGCCAAAGCCCTTGTTTTCACCTGTTTTGGGATCCTGTTGAGTAGGAGTTTGCTGGGGGCGCCCGTGCAGGACCCCCTTGAGGGCAGTTGGGGAGGCACGTGAGGAGCAGGACAGCGCATAAGGAGGGCTCACACAGCCCAGAGCCTGGCGGGAGGCCCCGCTGTGGGCTGAGGCGTCACCAAGGCCGCCAAGAGCCCCGCCGCGCTCCCAGGGCTGCACAGCTGCCAGCCTGCTTGGCGAGCTCCGGGAGCTCAGTACAGCCCTCACCTCCCACTGTCTCCTGTCTGCGCACCAGCAGGCGGCCGGCCAGGCCCTGAGTGCTGTTTCAGTGTCCAGGCCTTTGCCATGTCAGAGTCGGTGATGTCCACTGAAGCAGCTCAGCGGAAGTAGAAAGAAGTGACGTGCTTCATGGGGCCTGTGTGGAGTCCCAGGTCTCATGTCTTGCAGGCCTGGCCTGGCACAGCCACACATCCCTAGAAGAGCAGCCAGGCACACCCTCTGCCTCCAGTGGGCACTGGGTTCTGTTGCTACCGATAAATACATGCGGGGTAGACAACTAGCAGCACGATGCTCCCGGAAAACACACTGAAAGTCCATTTTCGGCATCAGATGAGTGGAAAGGAAATACAGATGGGGTCAGGTGCAGTGGCTCACACCTGCAATGCCAACAGTTTGGGAGGCCAAGGCAGGAGGATCACTTATGTCCAGGAGTTTGAGACCAGCCTGGGCAATATGGCAAGACCCCTATCTCTACAAGAAAACTTTTTTTAATTAGCTGGATGTGGTTGTGCTCACCTACATTCCCACTCCAGTCTGGGCAACAGAGCCAGACCTCATCTCGAAAGAAAAAAAAAGCAACAAAAATATGACATGTAGTAAATAATTCATTGTTGTCCCAGACTTTCTTTGAAACAGCTTTGACCTGGAGCATCTGGGCCGTGCCACAGCTTAGGCAGGGACAGTCAGGAGTAGACCCTTTGGGGTTCAGGGCAACACTGGGGTTCGCTCACGGTGGAGTGCTGGTGGGAGACAGCCTTCATCAGATGAGGGAGGGCCCCCAGTTTCTTTCTTGTTCTTCTAAGCCCGAGCAAGGGCTCCCTTGAAGGCTTATGGGTGCATCCTGCACCCAGCCCTGCCGCAGCCCCCTGCTGAGGAGGCTGCGGGGAGCCTGTGCCACGTGCCTGTCTCCAGCTGGCCTGCCCTCTGCACAGGCCCAGCTCATCGCCCAGTCTATCGGCCAGGCCTTCAGCGTGGCCTACCAGGAGTTCCTGCGAGCCAATGGCATCAACCCCGAAGACTTGAGCCAGAAGGAATACAGCGACATCATCAACACCCAGGAGATGTACAACGACGACCTCATCCACTTCTCAAACTCGGAGAACTGCAAGGAGGTAAGCCACACCCACCAGCCTCAGGGAGGCCACATTTGCCAGCTTCTGCTCCCTGAGCTCCTGCAGAGCGAGCCTTCCCGGGGTCCTCACGCACACCCTTGCCTTCCTATCAGACTCCAGTGGGGCCCGGAATGTGCACCTCGCTCCTGCCTTCCAGCTGAGCACTTGGGTGTGAAATGAGGTGTTTGTAACAAAGAAGCTGATTACAGTCAGCTTTAATGACCTCGAAAATGCGCCTTTTAATGCTGCTATTATCATCAACCAGCACTCAGCACCCAGGAGATATTTCTGAAAAGCATGTGGCATCTCTAAAGGGAGCTTGGGGGCTCTGGCAGAGGAGGCTGGAAGCCACCAGTAGCAGAGGCCTTAGCTGGTCCCAGTGGCTTCCCCCAGGGGACTTTGGAAAGTTCTTATGGGCAGAGGAGCAAATTCCCTGGGGATGGCCCATACCTGGACTGTTTGTTAAATGGCTGAATGATTGTGTCTGCTGTGGATGAGTGGATGGTCTCTGCTGCTTGTTGAATGGGTGAATGCATGATCCTGGTTTCTTGCTGAAGACATTCCAGGCAGTTTCTGAGACAGTGACCTTTGAGAGGAAATAAAAGTAGAAGGACTTTTCCAACAAGAGTGAAGGCCGGGGGCAGGATATGGGTATGGGAGCCTGAGAACATTCCTCTGGCCTCTGTGGGTGTGGAAGGAGCAGGAACCAGGACACTGGAGCCCTGCTTGGGGTGGGAAGATCAGTGTTGGGCACGGGTGGGGTTGGGGTCAATGCCAGGCACGGGTGGGGATAGGGGGTCTGTGCTTCCAGGTTCCCAGGATTGCTGGGTGGACCCCAGGAAGGTGTGGGAGCCAGACTGGGGTGAGGCTGGGGGTGGGTGGGCAGGGCTCCCAGCCCAAGACCTCTCCTGGCTGAGATGAGCCAGCCTTGGATCCCAGGGCAGGGCGGGATGTGCCAGGACAGGGTCAGCCTCATCCTCCTGTGGGTCCTTGGCAGAGGCCTCGGTCCTTGCCGCCAGCCCCTCTCACACTGCTGATCCCTTTGCAGCTGCAGCTGGAGAAGCACAAGGGCGAGATCCTGGGCGTGGTGGTGGTGGAGTCGGGCTGGGGCTCCATCCTGCCCACGGTGATCCTGGCCAACATGATGAATGGCGGCCCGGCTGCCCGCTCGGGGAAGCTGAGCATCGGGGACCAGATCATGTCCATCAATGGCACCAGCCTGGTGGGGCTGCCCCTCGCCACCTGCCAAGGCATCATCAAGGTAGGCACCCTGGGATCCTCCGCCCAGGGGTCACCTCAACCCTGCCTCACTTCATCCCCACTTTGCTGCAATCCCCACTTCACTGCAATCCCCACTTCACCCATGGGGAAACTGAGGCCCAGGGATACCCACCCGGTGACTGGTCGATGATGGTATCAGAATTTGAACTCAAGACCATTCCCCATGTCTGAATCAGAGGTGGACCCGGGCTGGCCTGGGGTGGGAAGGGAGGGGTTGTCTGAGCCCTGTACCGAGCCATGTGGCCCTGGGCAAGGGCCCAAGAACCAGTGAGTATAGGGTGACCAGCTTATCCTGCTTTGCCTGGGACTTTGCCAGGTTAGCACTGAAAGTCCGGCTTCTGGGAAACCCCCTCAGTGCTGGTGGGCTGGGGAGGTGGGGCACCCTGCATGGGTTGGGTTCTGGGACGCAGGTTCCCTTAAGTAAGGAGGCCACCCTGACCGTCAGACTCGTGAGCTTGCAGCTTTGGGAGGTGCTGCCTGTCGCTGTGAGGGGTCAGGCAGAAGGGTCACCGGCAGCTAGGGTGGGGGCCTTCACACTGGCCGCCTGCGAAGGAGTGGGTTCTGCCTGCTGCTGGCGGCTCCTGTGACCCAGCTGTGGCCTGGCCCCCAGCCCTCTGTGGCATGTTCCTCCCCACCCTGCTGTGGTCTTGGTGCTGGAGGAAGCGCCTTCCTCCTCTTTGTTCGGCATGAGAGATGAAGGGCATTCCCCAGGCCAGAGCATCCCATAGACTGGCTCTCGGAGCTGGCCTGGCAGAGCTTCTGCCCGATGGGCAGCCACACAGAGAGACATGGGAGAGGCCTCCACCAGTGGCACCAGAGGGCTCAGCAGTTGAGGCCCCCCCTCCCAGGGCTGCAGCTCCCAGGTGGAGGCTTGGGTTCCTCCCTGTGCCTCCTCACCCCCACCGGACCCCGGCGGCCTGGCGCACCCGCTGACAATTGCGTCCTCACTCACAGAGATTTGCTGTGCGGTCACTCCCTGCCCTGCAGGAGGTCCGTCCTTGGAGGGCATTGGGTTTTGAGGAAGGTGTCTCCACATCCTTCCGTAGGAAGCTGTCCCGAATTCGGCATGATGATGGCCCCCTTGACACCCTGAGGGTGACCTGGTGCCAGGTGCGTTGGTTCTGCCCAGTGGCACTCAGAACCTGGGCTCGCTCCTGCAGTGGCTAATCTTCCCCAGGGCAGAGGCACCCTGCGCATGGTGGGACAGAGGGCGCAGTGCTGCCCTGGAAACCTGGTAGCTCTGGTAAGGGCCAGGGCGAGGCTTGTCCCCGCTGCACAGAGGGGCTACCGAGGCTGAGAGGGGACTGCCTGCCTCTCCCATTGTGTGTTCTCACTGTCCCCGGCCTCCACCACCCTGCCAGCCTCGCTCATCCTGGGTCAGGCTTGATGTCTAAGGCCCAGCCTGTGACTCCTGTCCCCGTGCTCTGCAGGGCCTGAAGAACCAGACACAGGTGAAGCTCAACATTGTCAGCTGTCCCCCGGTCACCACGGTCCTTATCAAGCGGCCAGACCTCAAGTACCAGCTGGGCTTCAGCGTGCAGAATGGAATTGTGAGTTCCCCCTCCTGCTCTGGGCCACCACCACCACTGCAGGGCCCAGGGAGGGGGAGCAGCTCCCGTCCAATGGGGCAGGCTATGTCTGGCAGCCTGGTAGGACCTGGCCTGTGGTTGCAGCTGCCCACAGCCAGGCCACCTGGGGCAGGAACTTTCCATGGCTCTCTGGGAGGTCCTGGCTAGAAGGGGAGGGCCAGGGCATGGCCGTGGATTGGGCCCCTCCAGCCTTTCCCAGGCTCCCTTGTCCCCATGGTGGTTGTCCCCTGCTTTGGAGGGAGGGCAGCAGACTTCACCAGCCACTGTAGCTTGGACACAACCAATTGTGGCATCACTTACTGTGCTCAACAAACAGACGTTCACTCGTTCATTCATTCATGTACTCATCATTCGCTTGTTCACTCAGCCATTCAGCAGACATTTGTGAAGTACCTGCTCTGTGTTAGGCTTTGTACCAGGCAATGGGAAGGCAGGAGTGCTGCCTGGAGGAGGTGATGCTGGGCTTGAGTGAGTGTGGTTCTGGCCAAAAACCTGTACCAGTTCCCCAGGCCAGAGTTCTTTAGCCCAGAGTTTCCACCCTCTCACTGACCTGCATTTGACTGGCCTGAATTCTTTTTTCCTTTGTTTTTCCTCCTGCAAAAGACCCAGAGGGCAGAGATGTGGCCACTAAGTGGAGTAAAGAAGAAAAGGGCTGGCAATACCCAAATTGTTTAAACCAGCCCTGAGTATGAAGGAGCCCAGGAGGAGAGACACTGCGGGCTGGAGTGGGAGTTTTGTGGAGGTGATGGGGAGGGTGTGTGCCCACCCACAGTCAGGAAAGACAGTGGGAGAACATTCTAGAAGGACTACCAAATCTTCTCCATTGTTTTCTGGTGAAGCAGCATGGAGGGTTACACCCACCGTCAGGGTGGAGTCCCAGGGCTTGGGTTTAGGGTCCATCTCTGACCCTGCTGTGTCAGAGCAAATTTGCTGCTATAAAAAAGAGTCTGCAAATCTCCATATACTGAGAGCTTATTGCTTATTCATGCTGCAGTTTAATTTGCAGTGGGGGCGGTGGGGGTGAGCTTCACTCCACAAAGCCACTCAGGGGCCCAGGCTCTGCCCTCAGCTGGGCTTTGGCAGCCCCCACTGGGTGCTCTGTGTCTCGCTGGCACTGCAGGAAGAGAGGCAGCTCAGAAGACCTTGTGAAGGTTTTCAGGGCCAGGGCAGAAGTGGCCCTTGTCATTTCTGCCCACAGCCCACTGGCCAGATAGCTCAGCCACGGACCCATGGGGAGGCTGGGAAGTGGGGGCCAGCTGGTGCCCAGAACGAAGAGGGACAGGGGCATCGCCAGCGTCAGCCATACCTTCCCTGCTGTGTGACCCTCAACAAGTCACTGAACGCTCACTGGATTCCCCTCAAAAGGTGCTTGTGAAGATCAGCTGAGAAAATCCATAAAGTACCCCAAGCTATCCAAGGTGGGCCCGCTGGTCCTCGTCTCTGCCAAGGAGGAGGCCCCGTGGCCCCTGGACCTGGCACAGGTGCCAGGACGAGTTGTCTGCACCCCACTTGGGACTTCAGGACAGTGCGCCTGCCGCAGGAGCTCGCCAGCTGGTGGTCTGGCCTGGTCCGGCTCTGCCTGACTGCTCTGCACACATGTGACCTGGGCACAAGCAGTTGCCCCAGCTAATTTGGGGGCTCTGCAGAAAATCAGCTGGAGCCCTGTCTGCAGCTGCTGTGCGCACTTTGTGGATGGGCATGGCTGGGCCCCAGGGAGGAGGGCTGGGACATCCTTCTGGGCTACTGCACCCCCGACCATCACCAGGCCCTGCCTGTGTGCCTCCCACCCCAGCACTGGGGACAGTGGAGGAAGCTGGGGACTGACAGCCCTGCAGCCCTCATGAGGAGCCGTGCTGTGCAGAGCCTGGGGTGCTGTATGGTGTCCCCTGGGCTGCCCCTGCCTGGCTAAACCTGGTGACCACACTGCCTTTGCCTCCTGAGTGGCACTGGGGAGCTGCTTGTCCTGTTCCTGCACCCCCTTGCCCAGCCTAGGAGGCAGGTGGGCCTGGGTTGGTGGCCAGTGCTGCTCACTGACAGCCCTGTCGCTGTGAGCCCTGCAGGAGAGGCTGGCTTTCCCCACCATGGGGTGGCCTGGGGGCTACCTACTCGTAGGGCCTGTGAATATAGCCCTGCCCGGGATGAGTTTGATGCCCCCTCAGTCTGCTGGTCTTCCCCAAACTATAACCCCATGAGGAGCACAGGAACTGGAGAAGCTGGGGCACACAGAGGTTTAGTGACTTGCCCCAGGTCACACAGCCATGTGGAGCACTGGTGGGGAGAGGGGGAGAAGAGATGAGGAAGGGAAGGACTCCGGTTTGTGTTTTGTGGGGGCTAACATGAATGGGAAAGGAGGGGACAGCCTGGAGCAGCCCAGCCAAGCCCAGGTGCAGGGTTCTGTGCCTTTCTTCCCAGAGAGCTGGAGAGTGCAATGGGCAGGTGTGAAGTCAAGGCGGAGGGCAGCAGACGGGGACCAGGGCTCGCTCCAGCTGCCTTCTTGGGCAGGTGCAGAGGGGTCTGGAGTAGCTCCCAAAGATGGGGCAAGGTGGGTCCGAGTGGCCAGGAAGCTGAGGGTGGTGGTGCGGAAGGGGGTTTCTCAGAAGATCAGGGGGTGCAGGGTTGAGGGCAGCAGCAGACTTGCGGGGCCTGCAGTGAGGAAGGAGTCATGTGCAATTCTGAAGACAACATCTCCGGGGTGGCAATACGAAAGAGAGGGTGCCACCCACGGCTCGGTGTCTCTGCCCTGGGTCTAGGGTCTGAGTTCCGGAGTGATGGAGGGGGCCAAGCGTCTGTGAAACTTGGGGGGTGGTCTGGGTCACGACTGGGGACGAGGAGGGTCTGGAGGTCCCAGCCCTGCTTGTGGATGCGCTGTTGTTCCACCCTCTGGCTCTGCCTCCCTGTCTGTGAAATGGGGTCCCACTTCCTTGAGGCCTCAGTGCTCAGGATGCAGGGGAGATGCTGGCAGCCGAGGAGAGGGGCAAATGCTGGCTGTCAGGGGCTTTCTCCAGGATACAGGACAGCTCACCCTGAGAGTGCCAGGGAGGGTTAGATGAAGCAAATGAATAGGCATGGTTATGATCCATCTCCCCAGTGATCCAGAAAATGGCATGCAGGCGGCCATATGGATCAGTCACCATCTCTGAGTGGCTCGGCTGCCTGGCGGTAAACACCGGGCCCTTCAGGCCCCCAGGTGCGGACCACACCCTCTGCACCTGCTCCATGAGTGCCCGTGGTCATGGTGGGGGTTGAGGGTAGGGGTCTGGCTGTCCCCATTTGGCCCTCTGTGCACCTAGACACAGAGGCTGTCACAGTGGCTGCCACTTGTGCCCCTGCAGGCCAGGGCTCATCCACCCCAGGGCCATGTCCAGGCATCTGCCTGGCTGAGGTGCACTGGGGCTCCACTGCCCAGCCGGGACCTCCAGGGAGCAATGAGCCTGGGATAACATTCAGGAGACCCGAGGGTGCTGGCTACTCTGGTCCAAGCCCCTCGTCCCTCACAGCGTGCTCAGGATAGGACCCGCAGTCCCAAGGGCCCTGGCCTCTACTTTCAGGAGCCTGGAACCCCGGGCTCCTGCTGTCCCCGGCCCTGCAGCAGTGGGGCGCTTCCCTTGGTGTCACCTCTCTGGGCACCCCCATCCCCACCATGCCCAGTGAAGCTCTCACCTGTGTCCTCCCGTCCTTGCCAGGCCCTTCGCCTGAAGTCCTAGCTCCAGCTGGCCTGGGGCAGCCACTCGGCACCTTGTATCCCGGGAGCTGGTGGGCAGGGACTGGGGTTCCCCTCAGCCTCCATGTGCCTGGCCACCTGGGGAGCATATGCAGGCGCTGGAGGATGCCTGGCTAGGAGTCTATCAGCTCCTGTCCCGACCTGCAGCGGTTCTCCCTGATGACCACAGAAACATTCCCTGTGGCAGGTGGCAATGCTTAGCACCCAGAGCGAGCAGTCAGATGAGATATGGGCCAGCTGCAGAAATCTGGGTGCTGGTGTGTAGGAGACGGGGAGGCCCCCTCACAGTTGTCTGTGTCTGCATGTGTGTGTACACGCATGTGTGTTTGGGACAGGTGAGTCTGTGCTTCTCCCATCCCAGGCCACTCGCCTCCTCCCAGGGCTCAGCACAGTCTCCTTTCTCCAGGATAAGAGGGCCCTGGGGTGGCGAAGGAGCTGCCTTGCGGTATGGAATCTGCCTCTCTCCACCCCCTTCTCTTCTAGTCCTAATTCTCCTTGGACATCCATTTTTCCGGTTTTTGTTTTCATTTAAAAAATAACTGTGGTAAAATATATCTGTAACTTAAAATCGAGCATCATAGCCATTTTGAAGTGCAGAGTTCTGTGGCAGTCAGTCCATCTGCATGTCAGGCAGCCATGGCCACTGCGCTCTCCTGCACGTCTTCCTCCTCCCCAACAGGAACTTTGTCCCCACTAAGCACCACCGCCCATTTCTCCTTCCCAGCCCCTGGCGGCCCCCCACTTCTACTTTGTCTCTGTGATTCTGACTACCCCAGGTACCTCATATCAGTGGCATCACACAGTGTTTGTTCGTGTGCCTGGCCTGTTTCATGCAGCATAGTGTCCCCGAGGTCTGTCCGTGTTGTAGCACACTTCAGACTCTCCCTCCTCTCCAGGGCTGAGTACTGTTTCCCTGCAGGCCTAGAGCACATTCTGTTTCTCCGCTAGTCCGTGCTGTCACCCTCGGCTGTTGTGAACACTGCTGCTGTGAACACGGGTGTGCACGGCGCCTGTTTTCCATTTTGTCCAGTCTCGTGGTCACAGGCGCTCCCAGGCCCTCCTGTCCATCTGTTTGGCGTCACTTTTAGGCTGGAATGGAAGCCCCCACCGCTGCACTCCAGCCTGGGTGACAGAATGAGACCCTGTCTCCAACAAAACCAGAACCAGTATGTTTGGCACAAAATGCCCTTACGTCACTTGGCGGGGGGGGGATGTAGGAATAAAGTGACTCTTCCCTGTCGATGTAGACCATTTGGGCATCCGGCAAACAGAGCCTTCCCTTGACAGAACAGATGCCCCACCTTTCTGGTGGCCAGGGGACAGGCTGCCTCTCCTTTCCCGCCCGCCCATCAGCTAAGTGCCTGTCTTCCAGGATGGTAACCAGGCTGTGCCGTAGGAGGCCAGGTGGCAGTGGCCTTGGGCTGTGTCACCAGTCTCTAGCCTGACCACAAAGGGAGCGGCCCTGGGGGAGGTGCAGCTGGGGGACAGGTTCCACCGTGGGAGTCAGAAAACTTGGTGGTTCCCCACACACCATGGCATTAACTCTCTTGTTTTAAAGAAACATACTGCATATCATAAGGATCTCTGTCTGTGAGTCAGCGAATTGCACGTGCACGTATTCATCATGTGGCGCTTTTCCCTCTGCATGTCCCATCTTTGGGGACGTGGTGGAGCGCCTGTCGGGTGTGGCGGGAACACGTGTGCTGACCTGGCCATGTCTGCTTAGATCTGCAGCCTCATGAGAGGGGGCATTGCTGAGCGAGGGGGCGTCCGTGTGGGCCACCGCATCATCGAGATCAACGGGCAGAGCGTGGTGGCCACAGCCCACGAGAAGATAGTCCAAGCTCTGTCCAACTCGGTCGGAGAGGTAAGGAGGGACTTTGAGTGTGCCTCTGCATGCCGGTTCCCACGTGCTCCCGCCTGCCCTCCATGAGCCTCCCCCGCTCCAGAGGACACAGGGCATCTGAAGGTCAGCCAGGCTGTGTCTCCCATCGGGGCTGCTGTGACAAGGGTGAATGGAGCGGCAGGTGATGCGGAGCCATCCCGGTCTGGCTCTAACTGAGCAACCGGGAGGGCACAGGCTGCTGGGGGTGCTCCCTGGACACTACTTTTGGGACTGGACCTGTATGTCCAGTTCAGAAGCTCTGCAGGGCACACAGCTCTGGCCACCCTGGCAGGCTTGCCTCTCTGCCCCTGCTGGCCATCCCCTCCCACAGCCAGGCTGCTTGCCCTGTCCCACTTCACTGGCTGAACCCCCCGCAGTCCAGTTCTTTCTGGCATCGCTTCCACGGCAGTGTGAGGATGGTGTGGGGGAGGTGCAGGTTTTCCTCCAGAGCTCACAAGGCGGCAGGATCATTGGGAGGGGGGATGGTGCTGGGGAGGTGGCACATACACCGGGGGAGGCCTGGCCAGTGCGCAGCGGGTGTGCGTGTGTGTGTGTGTGTAGTGTGAGCGAGTGTGGGTGTGTGCATGTGGATGTGTGAGAGCATGGGTGTGTGTGGGATGTGATGTATGAGTGTGGGTAAGTGTGGGTAGGTGTGGGAAATGAGTGCGCGTGCACATGTGGGTGTATAGGGGTGCATGAGTGGATGGGTGTGGGTGTGTGGCTGTGTGAATGTACCTGAGAGTGTGCGTGTGGAGGAGTGTGTGTGTGGGTGAGTGTATGCGGATGTACGTGTGTGTGTGAGAGCATGGGGTGTGTAGGAGTGCGAGTGTGGGTGTGTGCAGGGGTGTGTGGCTGTGGGTGTGTGAGCATGGGGTGTCAAGCATGAGTGTGTATGTGTGCACGGCTGTGGCTGTGGGTCTGTGAGTGGGTGTGAGGCATGGGGTGTGAGGAGAGTGTGAGTGGGTGTGTCTGTGTGTGTGTAGGGGTGTGTGAAGGGGTGTTCAGCACAAAGGGGCTGCAGGCTCTCTGGGAAGCGTGGTGGCCGCACGAGGCGGGAGGCTGAGAGCTGAGGAGCCCGGCCTACAGAGGGGCCCGCTGGGGACCGGGCAGGGAATTTGGGTCTGGGGACAGCAGCAGCAGGCCGGGCCGTCTGTGGTGCTCCCCCTGGTGGCTCTGTGAGGCTGAGTGCGTGGCGACCATCCTTGCAGCCTGTGGGTGGGCGGGTGGGTGGAGGGGTCTCTAGTTCCTGTTCTTCGGATGAGGTCTCCCGGAGCCACATCGGGACACTGGTATTTTGTGCACTGCAGGGTCGGCTGGGAGCTGGGAGGCCTGTTTTCCCTGGACTGGTGGGGGCAGGGGTCTGGCTCAGGAGGAGGAGGGGCCAGGCGGACACCAGCCTCCCTTTGATGGCTTCAAAGAAAGGAAAAGCCAGTGTTCCCAAGTAGATGCTTTGAAGCGGCCGCCCCCACGGCCAGCAGCCCCACACCTGTGAGGAAATCCACCCGTGGAGGAGCGGGCGGGAGAACGGGGAAGAGGCAGGAGGCGGCCGGGGCGTTGGAATCCTTTCAGCCCTGCCGAGGTTATGGTGCCTGTTTCCAGCAGCTCTGAGCCCACGCGGAACATGAGTCGCTGATAAACAAGGCTTGCAGTTGCGAGGGGCCTCGGGGTGGGTTTCTGGCTGAGGAACGCCGGGGAATGGCTGATGGAGGAAGCCCCTGCCGGGAGCAGGAGCAGCGGAAACCTACATCGGCCACACAGATCCCGGCGGGGGAGGGAGGGCAACGCTCAGAAGCAGAGCTGCGCGATGTGCCTTTCTGGGCTGCTCAGCCCAGGGCCCGAGACCTGCTTGCCTGAGGAGGGGCAGATGCACGGCGGCTGCACCCCGTGGGGAGGCCAGCATGCCTGCGGCAGCTGACCCTGGCAGTGCGAGGGCCCCCCATCCGGAGGCCGCAGCCTAGCACAGTCCCGGGCAGGACAGGGGAGAGCGTCGTGCTCAGCAGAGGAGAAGTGGGCAGTAGAGCTCCCTTTCCGTTCTTGAAGCAGACGTTTAGAGTCTGCTCCTTCCCAGTGTCCGCAAAGAAGGATTACAAGGCGCGCCACCCACACGGTTGGTCTCCCTGGGGCGGTCTGAGGCCTTGCTTGTATACCCAGCTCCTTTGGAGTCAGGGCTCGAGGCCAGGCCCCAAAGGGTCATTTGCTCACCGATCCCCAAAGGCTAAGAACTTGAGGTGCCCTGGGCCCCAGCGAGCCTGTTCCCAGCCCCCAGCACACTTTCCTGGCCCGTGTGTGTTTTGTAAGAAGGGGTGTAGGCCGGGCGTGGTGGCTCAAGCCTGTAATCCCAGCACTTTGGGAGGCCGAGGCGGGCGTATCACGAGGTCGGGAGATTGAGACCATCCTGGCTAACACGGTGAAACCCCGTGTCTGCTAAAAAATACAAAAAAATTCGCCGGGTGTGGTGGCGGGCACCTGTAATCCCAGCTACTGAGGAGGCTGAGGCAGGAGAATGACATGAACCCGGGGGGCAGAGCTTGCAGTGAGCCGAGATTGCACCACTGCACTCCAGCCTGGGCGACAGAGCAAGACTCCGTCTCAAAAAAAAAAAAAAAAGAAGGGGTGCGTGTGTCTTCCCCCATTGAGCTCCTCCTCACTGAAGCAGAGTGCATCCCTCGCAGTTTCTGCCGAGGCCTGGCCACCCCCAGCCAGCCCCAGTGGATGGGCAAACTGTTGTCACCACTAGAAGTCCAATTTCTCACCCCTCGGGTGTCAGCTGGACTGGAAGCAAAACTAGCACTCAACTGTATTGACTCCTCTGGAGCCAGGGGTGGGGACCTGGAGTCTCAGTCTGCTGCATCTGGAAGGCATCATAAGTGTCCCCAGGCCTGGGCAGGCTGGCCTTCCTCCTTCACTCTAGGAGATGGGCATTTGAAGCAGAACTCTGGGGGGTTTGCCTCTGTCCTTTGCTTTCACCTGATTGTGGGAGGGGAGGTGGGAGGGCAGCGGCTCAGCCTCCTGTTTCTGTCCGCAGATCCACATGAAGACCATGCCCGCCGCCATGTTCAGGCTCCTCACGGGTCAGGAGACCCCGCTGTACATCTAGGCCACCCCAGCCTGGCCACGCAGCCAGGACACCGGGCAGGGCCGCCCGGGCCCAGAGGAGCTGGGAGCCGGGCCGCAGACTTGACCCCGACGCCACAGCCCAGCCACGGACGCTGGCTCCCCAAAGGGTGTGCCCTCACCACCCACTTGATTTTTTTCATTTTGCCAAAAAGGGGTATGTCTTTATCAAAGGAGAGTCACAGAACAAATGTTTGTTTGTAAAGCGTTCCAAGTATTTTGCCACGTTCTGGACTGTCTTCTCCCTGCACAAGCCAGGGTGTGTCTCGGTAGCTGTGCGTGGTGTGGAGTGTGTGTCTTTCCTCCCTGAAGCTGTGCGGAGCGAACTGGCGCCTCCGAGGGACGCGGCTCCCGGGGCAGGGCAGCCGTCACCCCTGCCTCCCGCCCCCTTGGCTGGGACGTCTGGGGTCCTGTGGGGCCCCCACAATGGTCCCAAACAGCTGCCTCTGCCACTGACTGCAGGGACACGGGCAGCCTGGCTCCCAGGACACGACTTGTAATGAAAGTTTGGGGACATGTGATTGATTGATTGATTGATTGTAAATAAAGGATGATGGCCACAACATGAAAACTCCATATTTATTTAGATGCTATTATTACTGTTTGGACTTTTATTTTGGCAGGCTTTTTTCCAGACTCTAGGGTTTTCCAATGTGACTAATGACCACACCTGCCTCTCCCGTCGTCTCTTCTGGGCACCCTCCCACCCGGCTGCATACCCGGCCAGGGCTCCCACAGAGACAAGGAGGGCACAGGTGTCTGCCCCCTCTTTAAAATCGATCTACACACATCCACGCACATGCGACCCCGAGGAAACGAAACCCACTCTAGAAAACGCGACCTTGGCCGCACCTAAAGCAGCCAGCCGTGAGTGCAGACCCCTTGGCCAGCGTGGCGCAGTGGCCCTGAGCAGTAGTGGCATGTGTGTAGATCAAGTCGGATCTAGTCCAGCTCGGTTCATTAGCGATCCATGTAATCTGACGTCATCTTGTCTCGAAGTCTCTTTTTTTGGCCCAGGCCTTGAAGAATACACTGTGACTTAAGAAGCCTTACCACGCAGTAACTAAAGCTTTAGGATGACTGTATTCGAGGAGTGCCGTGTGTTGCATGCAGCTACCCGTAGGAAGACTTCGCGCATATCACTAATAAACCTGAAGTCGTGATGAAAAGCCGTGTGTGTGACTGGTCTGTTACCTCAGCGGCAGGTGCCCGCCTGTCCTTTCATTCATAGCTTGGATGCGGCTCTGCAAATTCACTATGCGGTGGCAGCCACAGCTGCTCTGTGCTCCTCCTGGATCCTGAACCTTGGAAGCTGTCACTAATGAGTTCGGTGGGTGGGTGCTCTGGGCACCAGGTGTCAGCTGGGCAACGCCACGCTGCAACTGGAGGTGCCAGCAATGCTACCAGGTCACGGGGTCAGCGCCAGGTTCTTGACCCACTTGCCCCAGCAGGGAGACACGTCCGCAGAGCACTCACTAATGGAATGAGGGAGCCAGGGAGCCTTGGGCTTCTTCAGATTTCAACGTAAATGGCCCCTGGGAAAGGTGTGCATGCGTGTGCGTGTGTAAAAGCCGGACCGCCCATCCCAGCACCCTGTCTGCACCTGTGGGTCCTTTGCAGCCTGTCTAGAGTGACAATTCTGGCAGCTCTGCCAGCACTTACTTACCTTTCTTCATGGCCACCGTTCTGGTGTCACCTGGTGTGGGAAAGCCAGGTAGCAAGCATGGGCTTTGTTCAGAGGCGGTGGCCTGGGGTCCAGCTGGGTTAGGCTGTGGGTCTTGGATGGGCAGGAGCCCTCCTCTCTGGCCTGCCCACAGCAGCGTGAGCTCCTTGCTGTGGGCACTGACCACCTTCACGGCCCAGGATTCTTGGGGAACTGCAGAGTAAGGAGAAGACTTACTCTCACCTAGCCGCCCAGAGGGTGTGGGCCAAGGGCTTGCTCCAGCATGACCTTGGCCATCAGGGGCATATAAAAGAGACAGCCTTTCAAGGCGCACACCAGCTTTGTGCCTCCCTCTTCCCAGAAAGTATACATGGTAGAGGCAAAGAAAGCTGTTCCATAGGAGACTGTCACAGAGAGCTGCGTATATGCCGAAATGTATATGCACTCGCTCTGAATGAATATGCTTAAGAATGAAAAGCAAATACAATTCTCGACGTGGCCAACAAACAAGAATGCCAGGGATGGCCACATCCTTGGGGAATGAAGAGAAATGTCGCCTGAGTCAAAGCTGGAGGGAACGGGATTCCACTCAGGAGGCCAAGGGGGACATTCCTGCTGTGCCCAGGACAAGGCAGGGAAGCAGGTCCCAGGGAGAGAGCCCTGGCTAGCTGAGGACATGCAGGCAGGACTCCCACCAAATCATACACATCTTTAAAAAACCTGTATTTAAGAAAACATTTGAGCCATGGCCTGCATTCCTCCCAGCAGCCCTTGGAGGCCATGTCCATGGAGGGGCTGCCATGGCCAGCGTGGACGGGCGTGGGTGTGTCCAGGCCCTGGCCCTCCCCACTCTGCCCCGGAGTTGACCCTCTCCGGAAGGCTTCTGGAAGCACAGCTGAGTGGCATGGGTATCTCAGGCTCCCCGGCTGGCTACTGCAAGGTCCTCTCAGGACCCTGCCCCTGGCCACTGGGGTACACAGCCTCTCAGCCTGCCTCTGTCCCAGTTAGACCTCAGAGACACAGAGGCCAGAAATACTTCTTTTTATTAAAACACGGATCATTATTAAAACACCTTGAGGTACATTAAATAAATACAGCCTTTCCAGTTGTACAGACAGGTCTCTGGTGGCTTGAAAACAATTTCCTATAAATTCTGCCTTAGCAGCCTCTGAGAGTCAGCATGGGTGGGGAGAAGCATCTGTGTGTAGCGAGCTTTCTGTGGCCTGGTGTGTTACAAACATTTAATGTGGATCCTCATCTCCAGCCAAGGGAGACCTGAAGTCCTTGCGGATGATGCTCCCCCTTCTGCGATCTTGCTTGCCATAGAGTTGGGGTCCATGTTCTCCCCACTCAGCAACCTTGTGGCCCCCAGGCTGGGGTCAACGGTGGTGTCACAGCAGGTGCCAACCCCCTTTGGGTCTCAGGGGAGGGCAGGGGATGCCCGGGGCCCAGCTGAGTTGGAGAAGGAGCGTGTCACCCCCAAAGCAGCCACAGTTGGCCCATTTCAGATCCCAGAGGGAGCATGATTGGAGCGGGGGAAAGACGCATAGGGAGGGGAAGCAGCCAGCTTTCTCCTGGGCTGTGAGCTGACGTGCAGCCCGGGGCCTGGGCTCTTGCTGCTGGTACCCGGATACCGTGGAGCCGGGGCCAAGGGGACCACAGCTGCTGGGTCAAGTTGCCAGCACATTCCCTAGTCTACCAGCACCTCTCTCTTCTGGGGACCTTCCCAGGAAGCCCAGAACCTGGACCCTCCTAGAGTCCATGAGTGGCCCTGAGCAGCGGGGCTGATGGGGGCACCCCACCCCGTCCCTGACTGCCTCATTTCGAAGGGGCAGAAGGTTCCAGCCCAGCGGCATCAAGTTGGGTACAGTTTCCGTATCCACAAAACAGAGCTGCCACCAGCGCAAACCCAGAGCTGGGTGAAGGTGGGGTGCAGGTGAGGGGCCCGCAGGGAGGCACTGCTGGGGCAGCAGCCCCATTGGCCATTGGGACCGGGCCCTGCTGCAGAGAAGGGAAGGATGCTGAGCAGCAGGCTGAGGGGGTCCAGTAGGCCTCTGCCCCGGCTGCATGAGGAGAACACCCCAGAGACCGAGTCCACTGGGTGGCTGGTGGTCTTGGCCTCGCTGGAATTGCAGCCATGTCTGAGGACTGCAGCTCTAGCCCACCCAAGGGCTCAGCCCAGGGACAATGCTGTGTGAACCCCCAAGCCCTAGTGTGGACCCCCCCAAGCAGGTGAAACCCCTGCGGTGTGGCCCCAGCGCACCTCAGAGACAGTGGAGATTCAGAGGCCAGGGCGTCAGGCGTGGCTGAAGCTCGGCTCCAGGGCGGCCATTCTGAAAATCCACCAATTAATTTCACCTGCAAAGGGACTTGCCTTGAGGGAATTCAAAAGCCCCCACTTGAGGAAAATTAGAGATTTCCTGTTTTATAGTCTGAATAAAGTGCTCAAAAATTCATCTCTAGTACGTCTCTCCTGCAAAAGTGCAGGTTGTCATCAAAAGGCCTGGCTTATGTGTTTTCAGCTCTCTAAAGCAATCGAAGCCTTTTCAGCCGACCACAGCTGAAGGAGTCCCACACCGCAGCCCCCAGGGCAGGGATAAAGGACTGGAGGAAGGCTCTGGGCACCTGGATTGGAACCTCACCCCCTTCCCAGCTTCCAGCCACACAGAAGCTCCCCAGCACACTGGCCACAGTGGCATTAGGGAATTGGGGGAGCTCAAGGACAAGCCCCACAAAGCCGAGGGAACAGCAGCGTGAGCCCCCTGCCCTGGCACCCAGGAGTGGAAGACACCCTCTGGTCCCCCTGTGCCCCCATGCCAGGCTCATGGGCTCTCTGGGGAGACCTTGGCCTCTAGGCTGTTTTGTTCACCGCAGGGCCCACCCAACGCAGCTCAGGGGCTGTGGCTGCTAGTGGCCCTGAACAGGCATTTCCATCACTGCACAAAGTTCTCGTGGATGGCGCTGTTCCACGGCCATTGTTGGGAGCAGCTGCCACTGATGCCACCAGAAAACAAGGGGATGGGGGCTAAGAAAGTCCAAGGTCCCCAGGCTGTCCCCAAGCTGGGCGTGTCTGCTTCTCCATAAGCAGCACGTTGGGTGTCTGCTTCCCTTCTCGCGTGGGTTTGTAAGTGGTTTATGATCCTCCTGCGCAGGTGTGTCTGCTGCCGCATGCCCGGGGAAAGGTCAGCTCTGGGTCAAAGGGACCTGCTTTATCAGGAGGGGCTACTTCTCAGAGAAACCGGCCTCTCTCCTGCAGAACTGTGACCCGCTGAGCTCAATCAAGTGAGCTCAGACACAAAGGAGCTGGGAATCGGCACTTGTTGTTACGGATCACACAACTGCTCCAGGGACAGGATGGGAGCCTGGAGAAAGGGGGCCCAAGAGGAGGGGGGGAAGGCACCCCACGGAGGGAGGCCGAGCTCAAGGCCCAGGAGATGGTGGGTTCCTCCAACCCCCGCAACACCGGCCTGTTCCCTGGGGGGGGCCGGGCTATGGCAGAGGCCCGCACTGCACATTTGTTTGCACAATAGCCCTGTGGACAGAAAGTTGGGCCCAGGCTGCCATCTGTGCTAACACTACCTATTTCCTTTCACAGGAAATAGGCCAGAGCGTGATGAACGCCTAATGATAGAGCCATCGAGCCACATGAGAAAATGTTTCATGACTCGATGTCACCCTCTGTCCACTGAACACTAAGTTAAATGGGGGATGGGAGACTCCTGCTTTGGAAGGCCCTGATTTTGGAGATACTTTGAGTCTTTAGGTGACGTAAGTGTCGCCTGTTGCTGTATTCACATTTGTGCAACACTGCTCAGTTCAAGGTGCTGCACGCCAGATAAAACCAGAGAGTTCACTGTGGACGTGAAAGTCATCTTTCCGAATTACTGGGCTAGGCAGGAAATGCAATCCCCAAAGAGACACTGCTCGGCTCCCCTCGAGAGAGGGGGTAACAGTTCCCTGCCCACACCGCCCCCAGATCATCCTGGGTGTCCCCCCCACATTTATCCTCCGCCAAGCTGGGCCTGAAGGCCTCTTTGTCAGGCATGATGGCTTCTGCCAAGAACATCTGTGGCGCCAGGCGTTGGTGTCCACGGTCAGAAATGTGGCTCCTTCATACCTGGTCCAGAACATCAGCGCCGAAGACGGCCTCCTCCTCGAGGCGCTCCTCGTTGGTGACAGCCAAGCGCATGGCACCCACCATGTGCTGTGCCTCGGTGGGGAGGGCACAGTGTGAGTGTTCCAAAAACTTGGCCACCAAAACCCTGGCGTCCGCATAGGCCTTGCTGTCCACTAAAGAGCGTGGCCGCTCTTTGGAGGTCGCTGGGAAGGGCTCTGGTGTTGGCCGTTGGTCAGTTTTCCAGGTATCTGGGTCCCCCGCTGGTGAAAGCTGGGCCCGACAGGCAGCCGTGGCAGAGCGAGACATGGAAGCTAAAAATCAAGGGCAAAAGTGCAGTTCAAAACTCACTGAAATAAGAAGTTAACTCAAAAGCAAAGAAAAGCCTGCTCGGGAGGAGCCTCCTGCTGGGGTTTCTGTGTTCCTGGGGCTGGCGCTCTGGGCATGCCCTGCTGTCCCCATCCCTCCTCCCCTTCTCAACCCCAAACTGAACTAGTGTCAACCTCCAGGGGCTGCAGCCTCCAGGAGCGAAGGCCTGGGGGGAAGGGCCACCACAGCAGGCAGCGACCCACTTCTGCCCTCTGCTAGAATCCCAAGGGCACAGGGGCTGGTCCTTCCCAGTCTTCTCGCCTCCACGACCTTTGCCCCTTTGGGTCTGATCTCTTGCTGGGGCAGAATCATGGCATCTAGAGACAGGGTCTGCCTTAAGACCAGAACTGGGGGTGGCAGAGGGAACATGAGACCGCCCCCCCCATCATGCCAGGTGCAGGCAGCCACCACTCAGTGCCCTGCTCCACTGCCTGCCAGGCCAGAGGCTGGGGACCTGGCTCCAGCTCCCCACAGAGCTGACAGCCTCTCTGCATGACCCACAGGCTGGACACTGGGCTGAGGGTCCCTGTAAGACGGCCAGCTCCGGGCTGTCAGTGGCGAGGGACGCCAACAAGGACCAGCGAAGGCCCGGCTTGCCCAGCCTGAGCTTCACGCCACACAAAGTTGGAACATTCTGGGTCGTCTGTTCTGGTGTCTTGTTTGGTGGCAACTGGAAAGCCTAGCAATTAAACATGAGAAATTAAGAAACTCCCAGGTGGGGCCCATCTACCCCAGATGAAATCTCATAAAGTGGGCTGAGCAGTCACAGGTGTGTTAAATTAGTGCTAGCCCTGGATATAAGTGCACCGAGAGACAAAGGAAGAGAAAGGCCCTCAAAGCCAGACAGTGGGCAGCCCCCATTCCCGGGGGTGGGGTGAGGAGCTGCATTTGGAAACAATGTAGCCAAGGACCCACCAACACCCGCCCCACCTCCCAGCAGGCGCAGTCAAAGCGCTTTAGAAAAGAAGCGTCTCACCGCTCCCAGGCACAGCCTCAGACAGTCCCGCTTCCAGGTCCTGGCTACACGACGGCCTGTGTGAAGAGGCATCGCCTTAACCAGAAGGAGAATTCAGTGAACACATGAAAGGAAAAAGGAATTCCTGAGAAAGCTATCATAACCCGCCTGTGACTAAGACATTTTAGATGGCGAGCAAGCAGGAGAAGCCTGCTGAGCTGACACCCACCCAGCGGCAGATCAGACAGGAACCGCCCTGCAGCTGGCCAGGCCTGCCGTGGGTCAAGTGGTGTCCCAGGTCCCACCCTGACACAGTGCAATGGGCCAGTGGCTCAAAGAAAGCCCAGCACCCTTCATGGGAATTCCCACCCTCACCTGAAGGGCTCCAGGCACCCTGGAAGGCACGTGCCTGCGGCGTGCACATCAGCCTAGCCAAGAGGGGACAGAGGCGTCAGGCGGGTGTGTGGGTGCCGAGGTGTGAATTTCACTGAGAGGGACAGGCCCAACAAAGCCATCAGGGGGCCACAGAGTGGACCCATGAGCCCCTCCAAGTACAGGGCATCCTCCTCCAAACCTCAGTGAGTGAATGTGAGCATGGTGGAGAGAGGTTCCGGAGCTCAAGAAACCAGCAGAGGGGGGTGTTTCAGAAGGTTTGACGGGACTCTCTCCCTGTGAGCTGGCAATGGGATGCAGGAAGGAGGAATACAGAGATGACCGCAGCCAGGGAGTCCACATGTGCCAAACCTGGTATTTCCACCAGGAGGGTACCTCCAGGCAACTGGCCACTGCGGGCCCTGGTTCCTTTCAGGGACTCGGTTCCGGGCTCCAGTAGAGATCAGCTGGGCAAGACCATCGAGGGGAGACTGAGCCAGGACCCACTGCGCCCTCTTCAGGGTTCCTGCACTTCCACTTCATGAAAAGTCCCCACAGCAATGGCATGGAGGTCAAAGGCCCACCAATCTTTATTGGCAGAAACTGTGCCTCCTCTCAAAAGACAGTGATGAGGACTGGGTGTGAGTTCTCCAGCGCCGGGGGTGCCCAAGACTCCCGGGGAGCTACTGTGAAATGCAAATTCCTGCGCTGCTGGCCACAGGGACCTGGTGCCAGGTCCTAGGCTCCAGGGCACTGCCCGCAGACACAGTCGCATGGGGCGATTTTTGAAAGCTCTGGGCTGTGTGGAGAGCCAAGCTGCCTGGGAAATGCTGCTGAAAACGCACCTGTGTCTGCGTGGGGCGGCTCCAGCTGAAGACACCCCCATGCCCAGAGCTATCGTTGGGGGTCATCTGTCCTGTGCCAGACTCTAGGCCTTTTCTGGGCCCTGGAGCACGTGTGCAGCACTTATAGCTAATGTCCTGGACTGGGCCCCGGGCCCCTTGAATCCTTCCTCCCCTGCCAGAGTGACAAGCCTGGTGGGGTGCAGAGGGGCCCACAGGCTGCTCCCCACCCACCCCTGGCTCAGGGGTCATCAAGACCACATTCCCAGTGTGGCCCCAGACAGGATCTGCAGGGCCGGGCCTCCACTCTCAGGGGTCACTGAGACCTGCAGCATCCAAGGAAAGCTGGCCACACTCTGGGGACATGGGTGAGCCTGGCCAACCTACCTGCCATGCTAGATGTGCACAAGGTGGGGTCGCTGGTGGAGCGGGACACATGCCCGGGACCTGGCTGCACCTGTGAGCCCATGCCAGGATCCTCTGGAGACACGCGGCCAGGGGGAAGGGCAGGTTCGGAGGGTGCTGGGGCGCCCACAGGGCCATCGGGGGATGGGCTGGAACCTGGCGTAGCAGTGCCCTCGGACACCAGGAGGCTTGTGCTGTCAGCTGGTACTGCAAGAGAAGGGACATGGCATTAGAGTGGGCGGCCGCAGGGGACGCTGTCGTGGGACAGGCCTGCCCCTCAAACTCCAGACCTAGATGAACTCTGAAACCCTGGGGGTGCGGAAACACTGGATAAGATTGACAAATGCTGCTTTATGCTGTTGAAAGTTGGGGGCACCAGATGAGCTCCCAGAAATCATTCCAGGAATGGCATGGTTCGGGGGCTTAGACCCTTCACACTACACAAGAGACTAAAAGTCAGAAATCAGACACTTTGGTCACAAGACGCTTTGGTCTGGGTGAACAGGGCCAGTGCAGGGGTACACAGCAGCCCCAAGGGACATCAAGGCATCCCCACCAGGTCGCGGCAGGCCAGATCTCAGGCCCGCCCTTGCAGGGGTGCAGCCCCGGGCCTGGAGTGCAGCCAGACAGGGTGGTGCAGGCAGGTGGGATAAACTCCGCCCACCAGACACTGGCCTTGGCTCTCAGGGTGTGGACGCCACGCCAGCAGCAGCAGCAGCCTTGCCCTGGGAACAAGCGGGGAATGCAGACTCTCAGCTGGACCCCAGACCCATGGAAGCAGAGACTCTGGCGCTGGGCCCAGCCACCGGGGTTGAAGCGAGCCCTCCAGGGAATTCTGATGCCCTCCAAACTGTAAGAACTGCTGGTCTGGACCGGGATGCTGGTCAGGGCTGGGCTCTTGCCGGGAACCACTCTACGGGGGCTGGATCGGAGTCTGTTTTAATACCATCTCCACGGGGTGTGCATGCATGTGACAGTGTGATAAGCTGCTCCTGCACTCTCCCCTCCCATCACCAGGTGCCCTCAGAGCCCCCTCCTGGCGCCACAGTGGAGTTGCCTGCATGGGGGACACTTCATAGATCACAGAAGCCTGGACTCCTCCAGGCGTGGGGGCTTTGGGTCTGTTCCTGCCATCCCTTTCTGTTTTTCCCTGCGTCTGTGAGCCTGCCCATGGGCAACAGGCTTTTCAGGCCACCTCCCACTTCATCCTTCCTGTCCGTCTGTGAGGCAGCCCCAGGTTACCCCCACCCTACAGCTGCAGAAATGGGCTTAGACAGGGAAGGGTTGAGGGTCACACAGCCACCAAGGTGGTCCTCTACTCAGGAGAGTCCTGACCCCTGTACCCCAGCAGAAGCCTCGGTGCTGGAAGCTCTGCTGGTCCCTGGGTCAGCTGTAGAGTTCACCGCCGAGGTCCCAGGAGGGAGGAAGATCCAGCCCTGCTGAATTCTGGGTGAGGAGCACCCCTGTCTATTTCCACCTGCCCTGAGATGGGAAACAGGAAGGGGCTCAGGTAGCACCAGCCCCCTTCAGCCCAAACCCTGGAATGCTGCAGGTGTGGCCGCCCTGTGACAGTGACTGAGATACACTGTACCCTGGGTTGGCCGTGGGAAAGTCACTGAATACCTTCTTGAACAGCCTCTGATGGCTTGGAGTGACCAAAGGAAGGAAAAGATTGCTTCCAAATCCCACGACTGCAAAGATGCTGCGCTCTACAACCCCCGGTGGCCTCAGAAAGATGGCTCCTTCCTGTTTCTCTTAGATGCTGAGTGAGTGTTCAGCAGGGGACAGAGCGCCCTGGGGCGATCATCCTGGCCCTCTGTGGGATCACATGAGTTATCTAACTTTGTTCTCCAAATAAGCCAGCCCATGTGACCCCTCGCAGGGGCCTCAAGATGGTGGCTCTCTGGCTCACTTGGCCTCCGTGCCCTTTCTCCCTCTGCTGCTAAGGGCCCTTCTGCTTTCCTGGAGCCTTAGACCACCTCCCCCGCCCCGGCTCTGCACGCGACACCCACCCTCTGTGTCTGGGGATTTGACCCTTGCACACGTGTCCTTCAATGCCCTCAAGGACATGACTTCCAGCCTGCACCCTCCTGCCAGCCGCCCAGCCCAGCCACCTTCTTCAGAGGGAGGTGCCGTGTGGACATTTGCCCGGTAGGTACAACTTTGGCTCTGGAAAGGGGACCCTAGATGGAGTCGTGCTCTTCTTCAAATCCATATCCCTCAAGTGAGAAAGTGGGGCAGAGGAGGACAAGGTCTCCCCGGAGAGCGCAGGAGATCTCCTGCATATGCTGACTGTAGTGGATGCAGACACAGGAAGAAATGTGGGGATATACAGGGTATTTAATGGGAAAGACTGCTGCAAACTCCACCCTCTTAAAGAGTAAGAAATGGAGGGAGGAGGAGGAAAAAGAGAAGAGAAGAGAAGAGAATAGGACGAGGACGAAAAAGAGACACCCTTGAAAACAGGAACACCCCACTTCAGGAGCTGAAAGAGGTAAGCTTACCTGGAGTGCTGAAGCCAGCACTGGTGTTTGGGTCCCCGGAGCTGGACTCGGCCACCTGCTGACCTATACTTGTAACCTACAGTAAGAAACAGAAAGCGTCAAGGCGGCTGGTCCGTGGGAACGCAGCACAGCAGCCTCCAGTAGTGTAGGCGCTTAAACTTGTCTCCTGGTGGGAAGCGCTGAGAGACGTTCATCCACACCTCCACTCTTCTCCCCTACATTTATGAGGTGGGGTGTGAGGGTTCAAGTTGTCCTTGCCAAGGCCAAAGTCTAGTTTTCTTTTTTCTTTTTTTGAGACGGAGTCTTGCTCTGTCACCCAGGCTGGAGTGCAATGGCACGATCTCAGCTCACTGAAACATCCGCTGCCCGGATTCAAGCGATTCTCCTGCTTCAGCCTCCTGAGTAGCTGGGATTACAGGTGTCCACCACCGTGCCCAGCTAGTTTTTTGTATTTTTAGTAGAGATGGGGTTTTGCCATCTTGGCCAGGCTGGTCTCAAACTCCTGACCTCAGGCGATCCGCCTGCTTTGGCCTCCCAAAGTGCTGGGATTACAAGGTGTGAGCCACCGCCCCTGGCCGAAAGCCTATTTTTCTGAACTTTTGCAATCAGAGAGCCTGGCAGGGCCACAGAGCCACCTGAGCCTACGAGTTGCACAGTCATCGAGCTTTTGTGGCTTTCGATTTCTTTTTCTTTTCTTTATTTATACATTTTAGAGACAAGGTCTCGCTCCATGGCCCAGGCTGGAGTCCAGTGGTGCAATCATAGCTCACTGCAGACTCGAACTCCTGGGGTTAAGCGATCCTCAGGCCTCAGCCTTCTGAGTAGCTGGGATTATAGGCATGAGCTACCACGCCCTGCTTTTTTCAGCTTTCTTCTTGGATATACTCCGATTCCGCCTGGAGAGGCCTCAGAATAAGGGGAAGGCTATACCTCCTCTGCTCTCTGCCCCATCTTCATTTTGCCCATTCTGCGTGGGCCATGGTTTCCACCTCAGAGGGCATCAGGGCCTCCCGGATGCGATGTTTGGATGTGATGCCAGCTACACACATGTTGCATGAGCACCCCCATGCACCCCATGCTACCTCAGAAAACAATTTTTTGAATCCCTGTGTTATTTCAGAATTGCTTTGGGGATACACTTGCAAATAATGAGCTCCAGAGGAGACTGGGAAGGTGAGGGGGGCTCCTGCGACTTGGTCTGATTCCAGCTCAGGTAATTACATTTCTGCCTCCCTTATCTCCCGCCACTTCAATCAGATAGCTGGTCTCCTTCATCTCTCCTCTTCAACCAGGCTGACACCAGGGCGGGGGCTGGGGCTGCAGCCTTCCCACCCACACAAAGGGTGTGAGCTGCCCCCACAGCGTGGGGCTCGAGAGGTGGTTCCGAGACAAAGAGAAGACGGAGAGCTGCCCAAGTGCGTCCTTTGATCTCACTAAGATGCTTTCGCATAATACGGTCCATACTATTTTTCTTCCTTAGCCCTCTCATTCTGCTGGGAGGGAGTCGGTGAGGGAGAATTCACCCCACCATCAGCACCCACCTGCTTTTTCACTGAAGTCATTATGTGCCAATAACCAGTCCTGGAAATCTCTGTCCAGAACCTTCCACTGAATCACAAAGAGCGAACAATGTCCTAACGGTTTGTTTCATCCTGTGTCTCCCCTCCCGTATCTAACCCTCTCTCGGACTGGCTTTTCTTTTGGATCGTAGACGGGTGGTTAACTTAGAACTCCGCTGTCTAAAAGAAAATCTTCTGGTAATAAAGAAATATAAATAAAACAAGAGAAAGAAAATATACAGTGGGACAAGGTCAGGAGGAAACTGGATTCACTTCATGTTGTGCAGAAGCATCATTCACTTCCTTCTGGCTCCCGGTCAGATTTGGTTTCCAGAGGAGGCAGCTCCTGGGAGCCTATCTATCACCTCTCGCAAGCAGACTGTCAAGAGTTTAATTTAAATGTGGCCCTTCCCTGATGTCAGAAGCCACCTTGCCACGCTAAGCCATGGGGAAAATAGCACTTCCTTTCATACAGCATTTTTGATGAACTATAACAGCAGTAGAAAAGGGTGGGGAAGAAATATATTTGTGGCATAGAATTTAAGTTGAAATTTGAGTTCAGTGAGGAAGCTCATAAACACAGCTCCTTACAGAAGGACAGCGGGGAGAGGGCTGTTGACAGGAGACGCTGTGGGAATCACTTCACCTGGGTCTTACTGGTTTGCAGATGTGCTATTCTGAACAGTCATCGTAACTGGAAAATAAGTTGGCTTTTCAACAAATAATTCAAATTGTATGAAGCTAAGACACTTGCATGGAAATTCTGCCCCATTCTGTAGTTTCCCACTCCTGGGTGAGGCCAACCATTAGAAACAGATTTATGAAGAGCTCTTCGTTTGGGGCAATTCCAGCGATTATGGAAAATGTGAGTTAAAATTTTAGGCTGGTGGCTCAAGGCAAACTTTGAAGACACTTTGCTAACAGATTTTATGTGGATCGTAAGTGTCAGGACCTGGTGCTGCTCCTGGACTCTGCTGGTCCCTCTCCCTTCTCACAACTCCTTGTCTCGCACTCAGGTTCCCTTCCACCTGGCATGCTGCCACCAAATTAAACTCCTAAAGCATCACTGGGTCGCACCCAAGACGCCAAACTCCTCAAGGGCACTTCTACAGTTTGACATCCAAAGCCATAAAATATCTGCCCAAATGATTTCAGCCCTGGGGTGCTGAAGCTCCCACAGCCAGGCTCCAGGCTGTCCTGCCATGCGCCTTAGCTGGTGCTGTGACCTTCACCTGCACCACCTCCCCCTCCTTCACACACCCCAGCCCCCATCACCTCCCCCTCCACACACACCCCAGCCCCCATCACCTCCCCCTCCACACACACCCCAGCCCCCATCACCTCCCCCTCCACACACACCAGCCCCCCACATCGCCTCCCCCTCCTCCACACACACCAGCCGCCCAAATTGCCTCCCCCTTCACACACTCCATCCCCCCAAATCACCTCCCCTCGACACACCCCAGCCCCTCACATCACCTCCCCTCCACACACACCCCAGCCCCCCACATCACCTCCCCCTCCTCCACACACCCCAGCCCCCCACATCACCTCCCCCTCCTCCACACACCCTAGGCCCCCCACATCACCTCCCCCTCCTCCACACACCCCAGCCCCCCACATCACCTCCCCCTCCACACACACCCCAGCCCCCCACATCGCCTCCCCCTCCACACACACCCCAGGCCCCCCACATCGCCTCCCCCTCCACACACACCCCAGCCCCCCACATCGCCTCCCCCTCCACACACACCCCAGGCCCCCCACATCGCCTCCCCCTCCACACACACCCCAGGCCCCCCACATCACCTCCCCCTCCTCCACACACCCCAGCCCCCCACATCGCCTCCCCCTCCACACACACCCCAGCCCCCCACATCGCCTCCCCCTCCACACACACCCCAGGCCCCCCACATTACCTCCCCCTCCTCCACACACCCCAGGCCCCCCACATCACCTCCCCTCCACACACTCCAGTCCCCCAAATCACCTCCCCCTCCTTCACACACACCCCAACCCCCCACATCACCTCCCCCTCCTCCACACACCCCAGCTCCCCACATCGCCTCCCCCTCCACACACACCCCAGGCCCCCCACATCGCCTCCCCCTCCACACACACCCCAGGCCCCCCACATCACCTCCCCCTCCTCCACACACCCTAGGCCCCCCACATCACCTCCCCCTCCTCCACACACCCCAGCCCGACAAGCCCCCCCATATCACCTCCCCCTCTACACGCACCCCAGCCCACCCAGATCACCAGGCCCGATTCCTCTGCAGAAGCCTCAAAGGAGTTCGTGTCTGTCCGGTCTCCATGTGAGAGTGCGAGAGTGCCACGACAGGGGGATTCTGTCCTACATCCTCTGGAGGGCCACCGTCGTCAGTGGCCCCTGAACCATACGCTTGCCACCCAGACAAGAAGATCAAACTGGTAATTTCTCAATCACTTTCCTGCTATCAAAAGAAACTCACTCCTTGAACACTGGCTGAAGAGTACAGCCTCAAACCACAGGAAAGAGAATGGCATCTGACCTGACCTAAGCCGGAAGGGAAGTGTGCACGGCCCGTCACCCATGCGAGTGCTCACGGAGCCCACCCTCGTGGAGGCCGCCCCCTCTTGGGTTAAACCTCTTCCCCAGCACACCCCCTGCCCCGCCCCAGAGTCAGCTCCTCCCCGACAGAGCCCGCCTTCTGCAGCCTCCTCTCTTTATCCAAACTGAGGCCGAGGGCACTTTCTACGCCATTTGTCCTAACAAGGAGGAGCACTACTGACCCTGCCTCGCCCGGGCTGCGGGGTCGTGCTGTGAAGGGGTGCTCCTTGCTGTCTAGTCAGAGGGGCCTTGCTGCCTGGGGAGGGGACAGCTGGTGGTGCAGCTGGCGGCACGGCCTTCCCTCTGTGGACGGTAATGGGTTTCTTTGACTTCCAGACTCCCAGACACGGCCGTGAATTGAAAAGTGCTCCCAGGCCATGGGGTCAAAGACAGTGGGCCCGAGGGCTCTAGCGGCCCCTTCATCACCAGATGCTGCCCTGCTGCCAGGCGGGCGCCCAGGGACAGGCCCTGCAGGCGGTCGTGCTGTGCCCCTGCCAGCACTGGGAGCTGGGGGTCTCCGAGCCAACACATGCTAATTCGAGATCAGCCTCTGGCCTTTCAGCTGTTCTCACCGCAGTTCTGAGAAAGAGATCTCAACTGAGAGAATTCCCCAGAGTTCTGGAGAAGGGTGTCGTATTGGTTTCAGAACCAGCCAGATCCCTTCCAATATATTCTATTCTTCAGAGAAAACAGTAAAACTATGAACACAACAGGAACCCATTCCTTCCGGGGGCCGCTGTGAGGTCAGACATTGAATGGCACACCCAGGTCCAGAAGCTACTTCCAGCAGGCAGGGCCCTTGGGAAGCCAGGGCCTGGGCTCCACGGACAGGGGTTCCTGTCGTCAGGAGGCAGAGGGGTCCAAGGGGCAGGGAGAACCGGGAAGCAGGCTCAGAGCCAGTCCCAGTGCAGAGCCGGAATTGTGATGGCAGCAGGCAGGGTCACTGAGCAGAGGCGGTGAAGGGGACAGAGCTGCCCCCGCGCCACAAGGCAGCCATGGGGAACCACACACCCCTGCCGCCTTCAGGGGTTTCCGGGTACATCTGCCGCCCTGCCCGGTGCCCCTGCTGGCTACAGCATGGAGCTTCCCATTGCACCCTCGGTCAGCCTCCCCTCTGCCTTCCCAGGGGCTTCCCTCACGGAGGGCCCTGTCCTGGGCCTGCCATCCCCAGTATCTAGGTCCTTCCACATCTGCCTGGTAACCTCCTCAAGGTCCTAGATCCACACTCCCCTCTACCTACCATCCCATCTTCTCTCCTCTTTACCAAACATCCTGCGAGAGTGATCTACTCCTGTTCTCAAAGTGGGAGCAGCAGCAGGGCTGAGGCTTTTATACCCCCAACTTCAATACCCCAATTACTGACTCAGGAGCCCTGGGGGTGGGCCCAGTCATTAGGATTTGATTATCAAGTTCCCCACAGGGACACCCACTGGTGTCTGAAAACCACAGCCACACCTGCGCTCCCCTGCGCACGTGCCGTCCACTCCTTTACCTGGTGTGGTCCAGCCCTGCCCTCCATCCCATCAAAGCTGCTCTGCCAAGGTCACCAGCAGCCCCTCCATGGTGCGCCACGTGGCCCTGGATGTTAGCTTCTGGACAGCACCTGACCCATTGCTTTCTTCCAGAACTGCTGGTTTTGGCAAATCCAGGCTCCTGGGAGCCCTGCCTAGTGCCCTGTAGCCTGTCGTGTGTGGGGGTGCCTTTCTCCTGCCACCTGCAATGGTGTCATTCTGTAGGGCTCCCTCTCTCACATTTCCCAGGCCCCAGTGACAGCGGCAGCTAACTCTGATCACTATGAACTACAGCTCCTGTCATCTGGTGGACACTCACTCAGAATTCAACCCACCACACCCAGACAGGTCAACACCCATGCACACTCATCCGAGACTCTTTACGGACGACCTTCTGTTTGGGGGATACGCTGTGCCTGTCCTTCTTCCCTCTGAGCCTTTGCACAGGCTGTTCCCTCTCTCAGGAGCCCTTCCAGCCCCACTCCCTGCACCTCGCATGCCTGATGCCCACCCAGCCTGACCTCCCAGACCTTCCATGGACCCCCAAATTGGGCCTGACATCATGACAGGTGCCCCACAGTGTACTGGGCTCCCCTTGCAGTGCTGATGACAACTATTATCACAGCCAACTGTCTCCACTGATAACATTGATTTGAATTATTTTTATCATAAATGGAAAACTAAACAACATTGGGAAGGCAGAGGTCCCAGCTCAGCTTTATAAAAACACCTAAGAACATCTCCATTACTGCCAGTTCAGGAATGGGATTTCAGGGCCATGCCCACCTCCTGACTAAAGGATTCCTCTCCACAGGCAGCTCCCACACATCTGCTTCTAGCACCCACAGTAAAAAGGGGGTCCTGGCCGGGGCTCAGGGGGCCACTGTCTGCAGCCTGCCTGGCTGCTCCAGGTGTTTCAGGGTGGCTGCTTGGGGACTGTCTGCTTGTGTGAGGATGTGCTGGGGGCTCACGGGCCAGCCGGAAGCTGATCTGGCCCACCACAAGCCACCCTGAAGGAGGTCCCTGTGGTATATATGACTCCCCAGGTGCGGGGCACCTTACAGCGTCTAAATGCGCTGTCCATATATGACTCCACAGGGCACAGAGAAGTCACATCTCTTCCTGTCCTAAGACCACCCTGCCTGCAACGGTGACCAGTCCTTGTGGGTGTGATTGTCGGAAGGGCTTGTGAGCTTATTCAGCCAACATGGAAACTGCTCCTCCACCCACAGAAGCTCCTCAGGGTCAGCGCTGCCTTGGTCACTGGTTGGGACAGGGACCAGCATTGCCACCTGGCTTGCGTGCATGTGGGCTCTCGGGATCTCAAAGTGACAGGGAGAGCATTGGGGGTGACATCAAAAGGTCTGAACCCTGTGCTAGGGTGTCTTTACAGGAGTCAGCAGACAGCGAGCAGCTGGCCAGGCCTGATCTGATGCCCGGTACCAGTGCCTGGCCAGTGATCTGGGTAGAGATAACCATCCGGGGCTCCACGGCTGCTGAGAAGCCCAAAGCAGGTGCAGTTCTGGGTGGGCCTGGATGCTTCTGGTCATGCTGTCATCTGCTCTCCTCTGCTTGTTGCTTGGGCTCAGAATTGGCTTCAGCCCCTACCCCCGCCCCTCCCTGGTGAATCTGCAAGTCTCCCCTGCCCACGCCCTCTGCTCCAACTCACTGCTGTGTTCCCCAGCCATGCCCCAGTCCCCGAGGCCTCCAGGACCTCCTTGGCCACCTGTCACGGGAGTTCTCTGCATTTCCTAAACTGGACTGTCGGCCTCTCTAGCAGGATTGGGGCAATGTTCATGGATGATATCCTAAAATATGTTTTCCAGTCGTTTGCTTTCTCTCCCTGTATTTCAGGGACACCAGTGAGCTGTCGATTTGGTCTATTTACATAACCCCATGTTCCTTGGAGGGTGGGTCCTTGGAAGATCCCTTGCACTATGGGCCACGTGACTTTTCCAGATGTCCCCATCTCTCTGTCCTGGCTAGCAGCATTCCACACTGAGTCATGACAACAACGATGATGAGGAGGAAACAATACCCCAAAAGGGTGACTGACTTGCTGAATTCAGAACTTCCCATGTTCCAAGTCCTGTTGGCTCCATTACGGACAACATCCCATTTCGTCCCATAACCCTGGTACTGTTATGATCCTCATTTTACAGATGAGGAAACTGAGGCTCCACGAACATACTGCCTGTCACGTGTCAGGCACCATGAGGCTGCAGGAGTGCCTGGCATGCCCAGCTCAGAGAAGGCTGAAAGGACCTGGCAACTGAGGCACTTCCCTGGCCTGAAGCTTCTTGGCCTCAGACAGGACCAGGGATCCAGGGCTGCTTTCTCCCCACCCCAGAGGGCGGTGATGGCAGTGTGTGATCAAGACAGGCCGGGGCGCCCTGGGTACTCGGTCCATGGACCCAGCTCTGCTCCTGGGGGCTCTCCCCTTGGGTCAGGAGCTGTCCCAGGTCCTTTTACCTGGATCCCAGACCACCTACCAGCACAAAGCTCAGACGCACCTGGGCTGTGACTCGTGGCTGCAGAAATGGAACTGGGGATCTAAGGGGAAAAGCACCAACACTGGGTTCCCCAGGCCCGGGCTGGCGTCTCTGCAGGTGCCGCTCTCTGAGCCTGTGGCCTCATCTACAGCACAGGGCTGATAAGACCAACATCCCACAGGTTTGCTGAAAGGCTTCAAGAGAGATGAATGCATCCGGGGGCCTCGGCACAGGGCACTCATGAGTGTTCACCTCACAGCCAGCTCGGACCTGGCGCGGTGTGAGGTGCCTTCCGAGGGCAGGCCGGGACGGTGTCCCTAGCATTCCCACGGGAACTGGCTTTGTCTGGGGGCCCAGGCCTCACCTGGCTGGCAGGGGGCTGGCCCACCACCGCCTCGTACGGAGGGGGGAGCTCAGCAGGATAGAGCAGGCCGGGGCTATTGATGGCCACGTCATACAAAGTGCCGAATGGAGACGGAGCAAAGTCCAGGTGGAGGCCCCTGAAAAGACAGAATCATCACATCGTCATTGCCCGAAGGAGGAGGCAGAAGTGCTGACAGCTCTCAAAGCCGCCAGAGCAGGGGCGGCCAGGGCTTCCCCTCTTCTAATACTTCCCATCATTGTGAAATCAAAGCTTCAGTCACTGGGCGATTTGCACTTTTGTTTTTTTTTTTTTTCTGGAACGACATCAACATTTTCAATAAACTCTACTGACCTGTCCATTAAAATTCAAATAATCATACAGCTGATTACATCTTTCATTAAACTGTACATGTTACACAAATGACTGCAACGTGACCGCAGCTTTGCACCTCATGAGAACTTAAGGCAGCAACACCTGTCTGCCTCCGGCTTCTTTCGGGTTGCGTTGCAAAGGTGCCACAGGGAACGCTGTATGTCTAAGACCCTCTCCTTCCACTGCCCCTCCTCTGTTCTCACCGCCATGCCTGCAGGTCCACTGCAACTCCCACCACCCGGACACTGCTGCCCATCTTAGTGGTTTCGAGATGGGGGCAGCCGCGGGAGACCAACCTCTGGGCCTCAGTGGACGGTGTGCAGGTGTACTCTGGGGGGTAATAGGGTGGAGGCGGGAGTGGGGGGATGAACTCGTCGAAATCCAGGGTCTGGTGGAGAACGGTGCCGTGAGGAGTCACGCAGGTGGGGTTGGCAGGATGTGACCTCTGCGGAAGGAACTGGAAAACAGAGACAACCACAGAGTTATCTGGGACATCTTGTGTGGCTTGTGTCTCATTAAGCTAATTATACGAGAGCTTTAATGATCAGTTTGGAATGCCTGTAATTTCAACTGTCAAGCCATGACTGCTAAGCACACACTTTAAAATGAAGGCGCCAGGAGGAACGCCTCGTCTCAGAAGTCTCAAAACGCTTTGTTGCCCACGCTGTTATACAGAATGCCTCTTTTTAAAGAAAACATATGGTCTGGGAAGTCTTTCATGCTGTCCCTACCACTCCAACTGGCCCCTCTGATGACAGTACTCAAAGACTGCAGACGGAAGGCTGCCTGACGTGCGTGGTTTAAGACGGCACTTCGGCTGGGTGTGGTGGCTCATGCCTGTAATCCCAGCACTTTGTGAGGCCGAGGCGGGTGGATCACCTGTGATCAGGATTTCGAAACCAGCTTGGTCAACATGGCGAAACCCCGTCTCTACTAAAAATACAAAAAATTAGCTGGGCGTAGTGGTGCATGCCTGTAATCCCAGCTACTTGGGAGGCTGAGGCAGGAGAATTGCTTGAACCCGGGAGGCGGAGGTGGCAGTGAGCCAAGATTGTGCCATTGCACTCCAGCCTAGGCAACAGACTGGAGTGTTTTTGAGACTCTGTCTGAAAAAACAAACAAACAAAGACGGCATTTCTCAAAGTGTGTTCATGAGAAAACACTAGACCCTCCCCTCGAAATGTCCCCACCCCACCCCAGAATTCCCGTGGTCAATCTGTGGGAAATGCCACATGCTCCCTTCTTGGAGTCCTGCATTGTGCATTCGTGTGTTAAAGGCTCTGAGAAGGGCTGTGCTGAAGTACTTATTTAGCTGTTTAACATTTTAACCCAGCATTTCTCAAATATTTCATAATGGGCCCCTTTGGACACGTAGTATCTATTAATATTTTGCAGTCTCAGGATTTCACACAGTTTGTAAAACACTGCTCTGAGGAAAGAGAGACAACTTCATGAGTTCCAGAACATTCTACTGGCCAACCTTGAACACCGAGATGCTGCTTTAATAGTGAGGTGAAATCACTTTAACAAAAATGAAACCTGTTTCTGCCTAGTTTTCCGTTTCTGAAGGACTAACCAACAACCAACTGCTTTTCTTTCCACCTTCACATCTCTGCTGCCCAGAGGTCACCTGTGGCGTGAGATGCCTGGGACATTGCTCCAGCTCCAGTCAATGCCGCCCTATGAGTGTCTACACGGCAAGAAGATCCATGCTGCAAAAGCTCTGGGCCAGGGGCCCTCCTGGCGCAGGGCAGGTGAGGTAAGGAGAGGAAGGGTGAGTGCGTGTGTGTCTGTATGTGTGTGTTGTGTGTGTGTGTGCATGTGCATGTGTATGTGCATGTGCATGTGTCTGTGTATATATGTATGTGTGTGTTTGTATGTATGTGTATGTGCATGTGTATATGTGTATGTGTATGTGCATGTAGATGTGTGTGTCTCTGTGTGTATGTGTATGTGTGTGTATGCGTGTGTGTGTGTGTGTGTGTTGAGGGGAAGACAGGGACCCAGAATCACCCTACACAAGCAAGGACAGCTCCATTAGAAAACAGTGAGGTCTCCAAGCACTGTGTGGGGACTGCGCTCCCCAAAGCATTCATGAAGAACGCATCTGAACGGGTCTTGAAAGATTGGTGGGATTTCATCTAGTGGGCGCTCAGGGAGACACTCAAGCCCCAGAACAGGTGAGCCAGGGAAGGATGTGTTTAAGAAAAGCAAATAGATAAGGCTCTGGAAGTCAATTCTTAATTCTGGGGCACTGGGGAGCCTGTAAGGGTGTTGGAGCTGGGGAGCAGGGGGACTGGAGCTGCGTGGTAGGAGGTGCCTTCTGGCAGCAGGGGTAGGGTGGGCTGGAGCTGACAGAGGCCAGGACGTGAAGCACTTTTGCACGGGTAGGGGTGAGGTGACGATTCTGAATGGGGTCAAGCGCTGTGAAATAAGCATGCTCTAGGTTGACGAAGAAAGGCTGGTGGCCGTGTCTAAAGGTCTAACACATCACAGGAAAATGGCTCCCGTGGGCCTCCTAACACACGGAGCACACTCCTCGCCTCTCTGGCTGGACCGACCCACGGCTGCGTGTGTTTAATTGTCCGAAACAGAGGTGAATCATCCGCTGTGAGCGGGACGCATGTGCGTCTGTGGTCCTCCGCCTTGGAGGCTGTCAGTCCTGATGCCTGCTGCACAGAGCTGAGAAGCAGGGCGAGGGCAAATGCCCTCAGGTCTAATCAGGAAATATTTTCAATTAGTCTCTATCAGAAATTAGAAAAAATATCAATGACATACCCAAGCAAAACTAATGACATGCAGACACCAAAACACTTTCCAGTTCAAGGCACCATTCCACCAGGAAGGAGAACAAGCATTTGAGGAGGGGCAGAGGTACAAGGGACCCTCTCCGCAGGTGCAAGTGAGCAGAGGCTGCCACACACTGGAGGCTATGTAAAGGTCAAAGGACGCGGCTGCATCTGCTCCGGGTCGCCTTTCGGGGACATGTTGGCCCCACCTTCCTGGACCCTTTTCCCAGGAATCCTTTGACCTTGACTCCTCAGCCTCCCCAGCGAGAATCCTGCAAGTGGCGCTTGACGTCTCCCCTCTCTTCCCCACCATCAGTGTGTGTTTAATTAGGTCTGGGTGTGTCTCGCGGCCCAGGGTGGCCAGCTCTGTCCTCTGCTCTGCAGGCTGGGGCTGGAGGTCTGCAGACTACGCTTCCCAGGCTGCCGTGCCTGGGCTGCCGGCAGGCTCCGCCTGTAGGGGGTGCCAGAGGGCACCTGGCCGGCCTGCGGGGCGAGGAGGGAGCTGCGGGTTTCCTGCGCCTTCCCACCTCCTCCCTTCTGTTCCCCGGCTTTGCGGGCTGAGAGCTGCCCTCCGCACTTATTCCACTCTCTGTAAGCTCAGCACCCTCTTCTGTTCCTTCAGCCTTCCACACCCAAGTAACCTGCTCCCCGTAACTGTGTTGAAATCCTAAGGGCAATTTCTTTTCCTGACCATCTGGGGCACATCTATTTTACCCACCTCTGTACCCGTCTCACAATCGCACACAGCGGGTACTCAGTAAACTTCTGCAGAGGAGACGGGCAGACGCCTCCTTGCGGGGCAACTCCACTCAGCCCCTGTCCACCTCCTCCTCGCAGGAGCTTCTAACCTGTGTGCCTCTCTGCCTTGATTTTCTGTCTCTGTAATTTGGTCGCCATCCTGCTACCACAGCTGTTTTTAAATCAATCTGATGAGGTCACTGCAGTTGAAAAGACTTTAATGAGACCCTGGCTCACTGAACTCCATCTGGTTTCCAGCTTCCTAACCCAGCGCCCCCAAACTCCCCGCTCTTTGAACAAACCAGCTCTAATCCCTACTATCAAACACGTATTGTTCCTTCTTCCCAGCTCCCCACCTCCCTTTCACCTGGCGCCTCCCAGTCACCTTCAGGACCAGCGGAAATGCCTGTGACCCTGAAAAGCCAGTGGGCAGCCACCCCTCCCCCATCCCACCCAAGCTCCAGGCTCTGCAGCCTCACCTGCATGTTGACTGCCAGGTATAAAGCTCAACTCTGCACCTGGAGGTGGAGGGCAAAAAAGGGGCTGTGAACAGTCCCTTCTTTCCCAGGTGGCTCTGTTTGCCCTGATCTGTAACTGTCTTCTCTGATCCATGTGGTGACAAAGGTACACCTGTGTCTGGTGCCCAGCTGGGGCTCATGCACCCGATGTGGGCATCACTAGTGCCCAGGGCTGTCCCCGCACAACAGGAGTGAGGATTTGAGACCCCGCTGGAGAAGAGCCCCTGCTCAGTCTGCTCCGGGGAGAGGGGATCCGAACTCAGGTGTGTGCTGTCCACCTTCTCAGGTGGGTGCACGTGGAAGTGATGGAGGATGAGAACTAAGGCTACCTGGCCTTGGGCAGCTTCCCAAAGCCCACTTAACACAGAGCCCCGAACATTTCAGTCTATCCACACAGCCCAGAGTCTGGGATCTGAGGGAGATCGTGAAGAGGTCAACCTGCCTGGGACCGGGAGTCAGACCGCAAGTCAGTTGTCTCTGGGCCCTGCCTGGGCACTGAGGGCCCACAGGATGTGAGCACATTTCTGATCCTGTGAGTCTCAGTCCCCTTCCCTGAGAAGCACCATTGCTCACACAGACCCAGACAGCAGTGCTGTGTGGCTGAAAGGAAGGCTTGGATCATTAGTATGAGCTCATCCAGCCCATGCCTCCATCTCCTGCCATCGGGAACAAGGTGGGGCAGGGCAGGCATCAGGGGTCTGTGGACAAGGGCCGGGGATTTGCAGAAACACCGTGGAGCTCTGAGCTGCCTGTTCCTCCAGGTCCCAGCCGGGTCTGCTCACCTCCCTTTATATTTAGTGGTTTCCTGCCCAGCACCCACTCTCCCTGCTCCCTCTACCAATGTCCTTGCCACATCCTGGCTCCTGAAGGGAGCACACACACCTCTGAATTTTTCCAGAAAGACTCAGAATTACAGGGAAGGGCCTTCTCCCTCTGCCTTCCTTAGACTTGGTAGAAACAGCAGGCTTGTTACTACCGAAGTTTGCTGAATCAACTTCCTCCTGGACAACCCTGCAGATGAGCTGGAGCTCCCGCTCTGTGCTCCAGACCCTGGGGAGAGCCCGCCCTGCGGCCCCCTGGTCCTGCCGCCACCCCCAGGTAGGTTCCATGCCCACCCAGGGCTCCAGGGTGCCTTACTGCACAGGGTGAGGCCTGTGTTCATTATGACTGTAATTGCATAAGGAAATAGGGATGCAGACAGGAAGAGCTGCTCGTTCTGTGAAAACCAAGTTGAATGCTTTGGAAAGACTCAATAAAGGAGGGCAGCCAAGCAGAAACCGCTGCCAAGTCAAGTCCAGGCAAGGCAGGTCTAAGAGCAGAGAAGAATCATAAAAATCTAGGGAAGGTCTGTCTCCCCTGGCTGGCTTCCCCTGGCTGGCTCCACTTTAGAGGAACTGAATCTGAAAATCATTGATGGTGTGATTTCCACAAACTTTCTGCAAGAAATACACCCAGACAGGACAACAGACCCATAACCAAAGGGATGACCACAGCCCCAAATGAGATGACTGGTTGACAGATGCTCATTAGCATATCTGACGTCAAAGAAAAACGATTGTGTGTCCACATCATTTTTATGATTGTCTGCATTAGCTGTTTGGATGAAGTTCCTGGTCTGATAGATAAGTAGCACCTACTGTCCAGAGACAATTCTGTGGAGCCCAGGCCTCAAGGACCTCAAGGTTACTGTGGGTCCCCAGAGTGCCCTCTCCAGCAGGTGCAGCCAGTGCTGGGGTGAGGCGGAGAGAAGACACTGGTGAACTTGGTGATGCTGTGGCTCCCATGGGGTGGTGTCGTGTCCCTGACCAGCCAGCACCGCTTAACCAGCTCCATGGGCAAACCCACAGTTACCACGCGATGGAAGGCACAGTGCCCCCTCTGCACTGTCTAAAGGAGGTCAACTCTGTAGGGCAGACAGCTACCTAAATGACAATAATGAAAGATGAAGTTAATAAGCGCATGCCTAATGGAGATACATGTCATAGTAGATGATATTCCTGAGGCTGCAGCAGCTGGCGAGGAAGTAAGTGAAGAAGAAAACAATGTATCAGAAAAGTGGAAGAATGAGATGACATTTAAAAACAAAAAAAAAATGACATTACAGACACTTAAATGATCAAAAACCTTTTCTGCTAAATGATGTCAATCAACCACATTGTATCATCAGAATGTCTTTTGCCACGATTTCCACACATATTAGAGTAGCTCAGCTTCATCAGTTCTGACAATAGGCAGAACGCTTTGCTTCTCATGGATACAAGCATGCATTATGCTAGTTCCATCGGCAGTTAATGATCCCAAATTGCTGATCCACAGAAATAAGATGGGAGTTTCAGGTTCTTTGGAGACTTGTTCTTGCTATTCCTAGATTCCCACCAGCACTGGACACATAGCAAAGCCCCTGAGATAATTGCTGACTAACTGAATGAATGAATGAGTGAGCAAAGAAGTGAACAGATCAGTAAACACAAAACTGGGACTCTTCCTGAAAAATGGTTACGGCTGGAATTTTGATCAATTGTGTAAGTTGTCAGCACATCAATCACAATAGAAATCACAGCCTGGGTCCTTCCTGCTAACATGGAGGAGCAGGGAGAGGGGCTGGGAAAGTGGGGCTGAGACCCGCACAGTGGAGCAGAGTTGCCAGGCTGCAGGGCTGCCTTGGGGGCAAATTGGGAAGAGGTGCTCCTTCCTGTGGGAGGTCAGGGCATGGCTGTCATCCCCTCAGCCCAGCACCCCTCTGTAGGGCGCAGCACAACAGGGCACCAGAGAAGGGCCGTGGGGGCTGGAGCTGTGGCTCGGGGGGCTTCCCACAGGTTCTTTCTGAGAAAAGAAATTAGTTGATTGGGAAAGGGTGGCCGAAGGGCTTACACACACTTGCCCACAGTGACCTTCCTCCTTAATTATGCTCCCTTTATAAATTAGTGCTTCTCACTTGGAAGGTCTCAGATACAAATAAACACCAGAAATGAAGAGTTAGTACAACCAAAGCCACAACTGAATGCAAGAAATGAAAACCCGCTCAGAACAAAGAGGCCGACATACAGGAAGGTAAAGAACACAGAAACAGCAGTGAGCAGTAAAGCTTCTATAAAATTAAATCTAAAGGGGTCATGAAGATGTGAAGGGATGCTGTGATTTAAGGGCTAAGGAGGAGTGACATAGAAAAGACATCCCAAAGAGCTTACACTCTAACACATTTCGCCTGGAACTAAATGACTTTAAACCACCGCAGGAAAACCCAGAAGCTGGCCATGGTGTGGGAGGAGGAGGGAAGTGACGCACTCCAAAGAAATGACAGGGTAAGAAGAAAGTCATGCTGAGGAAAGCACAAAACACCAAGACACACAGATGCCAAGAGACGCCTTCTTCTCTGGGACTAGTGGTTGCCTGGTTAATGAATAAGAAAGTTATTTAAAGTGGGGAGTTTCACACACACATACACATGCAAACATAATACATACATACTGAACCCATTTTACTTTAACTTAAATCCTGTATATGTGGAGAAATTCATAGAAAGACACAAACTACCAAAACAGACTTGAGAAGAATAGAAAATGTGACAAGAGATTGAATTAGTAATAATACAACTACCCGCAAGGAAAAGTGCAGGCTCAGATGGCTTCACTGGTGAACTCTATCAAATATTTAAAGAAGGGCCGCGCATGGTAGCTCATGCCTATCATCCAAGCACTTGGGGAGCCCAAGGAGAGAGGGTCACTTGAGCCTACGAGTTCGAGACCAGCCTGGGCATCATAGAGGGAACCTGTCTCTACAAAAAAATTAAAAAATTAGCTGGGCATGGTGACGTGTGCCTGTAGTCTCAGCTACTTGGGAGGCTGAAGTGGGAGGATTGCTTGAGCCCAGGAGGTAGAGGCTGCAGTGAACCATGATCGCACCTCTGCACTCCAGCTGGGGGGACAGAGTGAGACCTTGTCTCAGGAAAAAACAAACAAAAAAAAACATTTAGCCGGGTGTGGTGGCTCACACCTGTTATCCCAGCACTCTGGGAGGCTGAGGCGGCTGGACCACCTGAGGTCAGGAGTCCAAGACAAGCCTGCCCAACATGGTGAAACCCCATCTCTACTAAAAATAAAAAAAATAAAAAAATAAAAAATTAGCCGGATGTGGTGGCATACATCTGTAATCCCAGCTACTAAGGAGGCTGAGGCAGGAGAATCACTTGAACGTGGGAGGTGGAGGATGCAGTCAGCTGAGATCAAGCCACTGCACTCCAGTTTGGGTGACAGAGAGACTCCATCTCAAAAAAAATTTAATGAATAATTAATACAAATTCTTCATAACAATCTTCCAACAAACGGAAGAGGAAGAAACACTTCCAAACTCTTCTATTAATATGAAAAGGATTACTTATCATAACCAAGTGGGATTTATCTCGCAAATGCAAGGTTGGCTTAACATCAGAAAAATCAATCTGTGTAATTCAACATATTAATAGAACAGAGGACAAAAACCCTATGGTCATCTCAATAGATGCAGAAAAAGCATTTGACAAAATCCAACTTTCTTTTTGATAAAAAAGACCCAACAGGCTGGACACGGTGGCTCATGCCTGTAATCCCAGCACTTTGGGAGGCCGAGGTGGGCAGATCACGAGGTCAGGAGATTGAGACCATCCTGGCTAACACGGTGAAACCCCGTCTCTACTAAAAATACAAAAAAATTAGCCAGGTGTGGTGGCGGGCGCCTGTAGTCCCAACTATTCAGGAGGCTAAGGCAGGAGAATGGCGTGAACCCGGGAGGCAGAGCTTGCAGTGAGCCGAGATTATACCACTGCACTCCAGCCTGGGCGACAGAGCGAGACTCCATCTCAAAAAAAAAAAAAAAAAAAAAAAACAACCAACAAACTAGGAATAGAAGGGAACTTCCTGAATCTGATCAACAGCATCTATGAAAAACCCACAGCTAACATACTACTTAATGGTGACAGACTGGATGCTTCCCCTAGATACAAGCTAAGAAAGTCCACTCTCACTGCTTCTATTCAACATCGTAGTGGAGGTTCCAGCCAGGGCAATCAGGAAAGAAGACAAGATGAAAGACATCCAGAGTGAAGTAAACTGATTTCTATTTGCAGGTGACATGATTTTGCATATAGAAAGAATCCAGAGAAAAGCCCAACAACAATAAAGCTCAAAATGAGTTCAGCATGGTTTCAGGATATGAGATCAATATAAAAAATCATTTGTATTTCTATATATTAGCAATGAATGATCTGAAAATTTAATTAAGATAGTAATTCCATTTATGATAGCATCAAGAAGAATAAGATACTCAGGAATAAATTTAACAAAAAAGCAAAACTTGCACACTGAAAACCGTGAATATAACTGAAAGAAATTAAAGAACATCTAAATGAATGGAAGGGTACCTCATGTCCATAGGTTGGAGGACTTACTATTGTTAAGATGACAATATTCCTGAAACTGATCCACAGATTAACCACAATCCTCATCAAAATCCCAGGTGGATTGTTTGCAGAAGTTGACAAACTCAACCTAAAGTTCATATGAAATCAAAGGGCACAGAATATCCAAAACAATGTTCAAAAACTACAGAACTGGAGGGCTCACACGTCCACACGTCAAAACTTACTATGAGGCTACAGCAATCGAAACCATGTGGCACTGGCATCAGGACAGACATAGGTCAATGGAATAGAATTGAGAGTCCAGAAATAAACACGTATATCTATGGTCAATTGAGTCTGACTAATGTTACCAAGACCATTCAACGGGGAAAGATTCATTTTTTCAACAAATGGTGTTGGAAACAGAACAAAGCTGGACCCCTACCTCACACAGTGTATAACAATGAACTCAAAATGGTCTAAACACCTATGTGCAGGCCGGGTGTGGTGGCTCACGCCTGTAATCCCAGCACTTTGGGAGGCTAAGGCAGGCTGATCACAAGGTCAGGAGTTTGAGACCAGCCTGGCCAACGTGGTGAAACCCCGTCTCTACTAAAAATACAAAAATTACCTGGGGTGGTGGCACACGCTTGTAATCTCTGCTACTCGGGAGGCTGAGGCAGGAGAATTGCTTGAACCTGGGAGGCAGAGGTTGTGGTGAGCCGAGATCACACCACTGCACTCCAGCCTGGGTGACAGAGCAAGACTCCATCTTGGGGAAAAAAAAAAACCAAAAAACCCTAAGTGTAAGAGCTAACAGTAACACTATAAAGCTCTTAGGCATTGCTTTCTTAGATGTGACACCAGAAGCACAAACAACTAAAGAAAAAAGCAGAGAAACTGAACTTCATCCAAATTGAAACTTTTGTGCATCAAGTGAAAAGATAACCCACAGGGTGGGAGAGAAATTTACAAATTATATATCTGATAAGGGGGTTGTGCCTGAAATACAGAAATAACTTTTACAACTCAGTAATAAAAAGACAAATAACCCAATTTTAAAAATAGGCAAAAGGTCTGAAAAACATTTCTGTAGGGAAAATATACAAATAGCCACAAGTGCATGAAAGTATGTTCACCATCATTAATTATCAGGGAAATGCAAATCCAAACCACAATGAAATACCACTTCACCACCACTACGATGGTTATAATTAAAAGAAAGATCATAAGTGTTGGCGTGGATGTGAAGAAACTGGAACCAAAATGAAATACCACTTCACCACCATGATGGTTATAATTAAAAGAAAGATCATAAGTGTTGGCGTGGATGTGAAGAAACTGGAACCAAAATGAAATACCACTTCACCACCATGATGGTTATAATTAAAAGAAAGATCATAAGTGTTGGCGTGGATGTGAAGAAACTGGAACCACAATGAAATACCACTTCACCACCACTAAGATGGTTACAATTAAAAGAAAGATCATAAATGTTGGAGTGGATGTGAAGAAACTGGAACCCTCATGGTCTCACGGTGGGAATGTAAAATGGCACAGCTGCTTTGGAAAACAATCTTGCAGTTCCTCAAAAACAGAATCATCCTTATGACCCAGCAATTCCCCTCCAAGGTATATACTCAAGATAAATTAAAACATATGTTGACACAAAAACTTGTACAAGGATGTTCATAACAGCATTATTAATAACAGCCAAGAAGGCAAACAGCCCATATGAACATCAACTGATGAATAAGCAAAATGTAGTATACTGATACAACAGGATATACTGTTGAGCCGTAAAAAAGAATGAAATGTTGGTACATGTAGAAACATGAATGAACCTTGAAAACATCATGCTAAATGAAAGAAGCCAGACACAAACGGCCACATGTTGTATCATTCAATTTATATGGAACATGCAGAACAGGCAAATCCATGGATACAGAAAGTAGATTAGTGGTTTCCTAGGGCTGAGAGGTGGGAAGGAAATAGGGTGACTGCTAAAGGCTATAGGGTCTCTCTTGGGGATAATAAAAATGTTCTAAAATGGATTGTGGTGAAGGTTGTACAACTCTGTGAAGATATTAAAACCGCTGAATTTTAAATGGAGGAATTGTATGATAGGTGAATTGTATCTCAAGACAGCTGTTACCCGATCCCCCATCTCACAGATCCCTGGTAAAAGAAAAAAACCATTTATAAAGTGTCCCTCTGAATCCACAAGGAATTGCTTCCAGAACCTCCTCTGCCACTGGATACTAAAATCGGTGGAGGGTGAAGTCTTTTACATAAAATAATGTTGTATGTGGACATAACCTACACACATCCTCCTGTATACTTTGAATCATCTCTAGAATACTTCTAACACCTAATACAATATAAATGCTATGGAAATAGTTGTTATACTGTATTGTTTTTTATTTATATTTTTGTTGTTGTTTTGTTATTTTTATTGTGTTTTTTCCTTGAATAGTGTCGATCCACGGTTGGCTCAGTGGGGGCTGACTGTACATACATGGACTGACCTTTTTCTGCCTGAGTAAAGCCTTTTCTGAGAGTCAGTCTGCTGTGTGGAGTGCCTCGTGGTCTTTCCTGCATAAGCTGCATCCATAAGACATGAATCTAACAACCCTTTTCTGTGTTTTTAAAGTGGGGCTAGAGCTGAAAGGCACTTGTCAAGCAATGTGTATGTGGACTCCCTCCAGATTTTTTTTTAATTTTTTTTTTTTTTTAAGTCTCAATCTCGCTCTGTCGCCCAGGCTGTAGTGCAATGGCACAGTCTTGGCTCACTGCAACCTCCGCCTCCCAGGTTCAAGCCAATTTCCTGCCTCAGCCTCCCGAGTAGCTGGGATTATCGGCATGTGCCACCATGCCCTGCTAATTTTTGTATTTTTAGTAGAGACGGGGTTTCACCATGTTGACCAGGGTGGTCTTGAACTCCTGACCTCAGGTGATCTGCCGGCCTCCCAAAGTGCTGGGATTACAAGCGTGAGCCACCAGGCCCGGCTCCTCTAGATTTTTATCAGCATTTATCGCAACCGCCATAGTTGTCTCACTTGCATCTAATGGACAGCAATACATTCAGCAGCACCCCCTTTCACCGAACCTTTCCAAAGAACTCGACTGTGCTGTACCAGAAACAATTATCTTTCTGCACTCATATTTCATGGCTTTACATAGTACTAGAATATGTAATTACAACAAATATCACTGGCATAAACTAGTTAGGAATAGCTACAACTGTCCCTTGGAAAGCTCATGGCCCAGCTTCCTGGAGCAGAAATGGCGCAGGGGTGAACTGCGGAAGCTACTGGTAGGGAATGGTTCGCACAGCCAGCCTGGCTCAAGCCTCGGCCCACATGGCAAGAGCCGACCTCCATGTGGCCACCACGTTCCTTCAAATCCCATTCCCACAGATGAGCGGACTCATCCCATCAGCAGCTCTGTGAGGACAGCAGGGCACACGCTTCATCTTTAGAGCCGAGGAAACGGGGTCCCACAGGCAGTGATGTGCCCAAGATTGTGCCAGTCCCATAGGGCGCCATGGCCACCCTCTGAATCCACAGGGAAGTGTGGATTCACCCACCACCAGCTCTCTTTTGCCTCGCCCATGACTCTCAAGCCCGGCAGCAGAGCCGGGGGTCTCATCACGAGAGCAGAGCCTTGGGCTCCCGCGGTACCCGTCACAGACCGGAAAGGATGTGCTGGCAGGAAGCCGGATATTTCTGCTTCCAAGCCAGGGTGTGAGGCAAACTCACCCACAAAGTACTCAGCGAGGAAACAACAGGGCTTCTGACGGCAGCCGCTGTCGCCGCAGCCTGCCTTTCCCTTGCACAGTGTTTTCTGCTGGTAAAGAGCCTCAGCCCACCGCGTCTGCAGACATTGCTGCGACGTCCCAGTGACAGACTGATATTCCCTACACATTTCAAATCCAACACATCACACGTATTAGGGATCTCCAGGCATCCCATTCATTCCACTTCACAGGTGAGGAAACTGAGGCACAGGAAGGTTCAGTGACACACCCAGAGTCACCTGCCTCGAATGCAGAAGAGGTGGGACTCAGACCCTGGAGCGCCTGGCTTGAGAAGCACGGCTCCACGCCTGCTCATGCCCCACCCATCACAACTACAGAGCGACTCTGCACACTGCTGTTATAATCGTATATGCTCTTATAAAGAGAATTTACTTTATTCTTATTTAGTTGGCAATTTTCATTTTAAAGCATAAAACCAGGAGAATGCAAACTTTTAGCATTTACATGCCTTTAGTTCTGTAAGTTTGGTCAAATGGATGTGATATTTACAGATCAATAGTAAAATCTGCTGAGGTGAGGAGAAGCCCCTGGTACTTAACCTTTCCTTTACAGAACACGTTGGAGAAAATTGCCAACATGAGGCCCCGATGAACAAGGGCAGAAGTTCATGGCTACCTTAGAACTGCTTAATTAGATACCTTTCAGAAAGGGCAGCCTGGCTGTGACAGCTGTGTGGATATACACCGGGAGGGAGAGACTCCCATGGCATGCAATTAGGACCAAAGAATTTTTAACGTCTTGGTAATGATGCTCTCTGGCCCTGTATCTTGATTAACTGGATGTTGACTGCCACAGGGTGAATGACAAAGAAGAGCACATTAAAAAAACCCACTATAAGAACCAGCTGCCTTTTCTTGCATAAGATGCATAAATCATTGCGTGGGAAGCAGCGTAGGTCTCAAAGGGGCAAATTGAGAGACAGAGAGACAGAAAGAGACCGAGGCAGAAAGACACACACAGAGACAGAGAGAGACAGACACACACTCATACACACACACACGCGTGCGCATAGATATTCCTACCCTTACCATGGAAGAACAATATTTTTTCATCAATTTCTCTTTGTTGTACTCAGTAGCATTCTGATCAGTAGGCTGTGTTCCATTCACATTGAAACAGGAAGAGCGTTCATTATTTATGAGATGTGTATTTAGAAATGTGTATTAATAACCCACATATTATAACATGTGTTAGTGAACCATGCTCCGGGCCTCCTCGCTGCCCCTGGGAGTGACAGGTCTTCTTGTGTATGACCCTGGGCAAAGGGTCAAATGATGGCCAGTGACTGGCCGCTGGAGTATGAGCTCAGGGTTCATTAGCAAATCAAAAATGCACAGGTTAGCAATTTTCCAACTGGAAAAGAACTGATCTTCTAACACCTCTAAACTTCCCGGATTAAAAGAGAATTCTGAAGCCCGAGGAAGGCACCTTGCTTTGGAGGTGCTGGGTCCAGGGGATGTCCAGGGCTGCAGGAATTTCACTACATGACTCAAGGGCACATGCCAGGGGCCATCCTAGAGAACACGACAGTGGCAGAACCCTGTCAATATGGAGCTCCAACAACACCTAAAATAAATACATCAGCGGCGCCACGTGTGCAGATGCTTGGTCTTCCAGAGGGCAACACAAGGTGGCCTCCAGGTGCCATGGACTGTCAGGGGCCGCTGTCCTCACAGCATCTGGCTGAAGCCAGAAGCGTCCACTCCTACACTGGTTTCAAACCGCGCAGAGGAGGAGGGGATCAGGCCACTCACCATCTGCAGGACATCGGAGGAGACCATCTGCATACAGCACATGGCTGTGGCCAGCGCACACACGATAGTGGACAGGACGTTGAGGGCACACACGCTGAAGAGGAGATCCTGCGAGGAAAGGTGCAGGAGAATGTCAGCCTCATCCCGAAATAGATAGCAGAATCCTTAGCCCTCCTGCCAGGGCCCAGAATGAGCGAGGTCGATGACCATCCACTTCATGGAGGTTTTGTTTTGTGTGTGTCTGTGTTTTCCTCATAATCAAAATTGGCCTTTCATAGAAACACATTCGTTTATTCCGTTACAATGATGAGCAAAGTATTCATAATACTCAACAATGTGTTTTACAATTTTGATAATTATTAGGTAGTCAGTAACATGTCTAAGGAAATCATAAGGTGGCCAACATTTAAGGAGGTGGGCCATTTTTATCAAACACAACCTATAACTCAAGTGAAACTTTTTATCTTGAGATAATTGTATATTCACATGCAATTGTAAGAAATCCTACAGAGAGATCTTGGGTACCCTTTACTCATTCTCCCTTAATGGTAACATTTGGCAAATCTATAGTACAATATCACAGCCAGATACTGACATTGGTATAGTCAGGATGCAGAATAGTCCCATCACCACACGGGTCCCCCCAGTGTTGACCTTTTATAGACACACTCACCTCCCTTTCCCTGCTCCCCATTTAACCCCCAGTTCTGATCCCCTGTCAATCGCTAGTCTGTTCTCCATTTTTTATAATTTTGTCATTTCAAGAATGTTGCATAAGTGGATTGCACAGCATGTAACCTTTCAGAATTGGCTTTTTCCACTCAGCATAATTCCCTTTAGACTCATCCAGGTTGTTGCATGTATCAGTAGTTGACTTCTTTTTATTGCTGAGTGGTATTCCACCATATGGATGTACCACATTGGTTTAATCCTCAACAACTGAAGAATATCTGGTTTTTTGGTATTCCAGTTTTCCAGTTGTGGGCTATTACAAATAAAGCTGTTGTGAGCCTTTGTTTATAGGTTTTTGTGTGAACATAAGTTTTTGTTTCTCCGAGATAAATGTCCAGGAGCACAATTGCTGATTTGTACAGTAATTGCATGTTTAGTTTTATTTTAAAAACTGAAAAAATGCCTTCCAGAGTGGCTGAACAATTTTTAATTCCCACCAGCAGTGTATGAGTGATTGGGTTTCTCTGCATGATTGCCAACATTTGGTGTCACTGTTTGTGTTTTAGCTATTCTCATAGGTGCATAATGATACTCCTTTATAAAATGTTTTATTTTGCATTTCCCTGATGCTAATGATGTCGAACATCTTTTCATGTGCTTATTTGCCATCTAGAGATCCTCTTTGGTAAAATGTCTGTTCATGTTTTTTGCCCATTTTCTAATTGATTGTAATGTTTACTTTTTTTTTTTGTAGTGTTGAGTTATGAGAGTTCTTTATGTATTCTAGGTACTAGTTCTTTGTCAGATAGGTGGTTTGCAAATATTTTCCCCCAGACTGTAGCTTGTCTTTTCATGTTTCACATAGAGTCTTAGTCAGCTCAGGCTGCTATTACAAAAATACCATAGACCAGGTAGCTCTAACAACAGTCACTTCTCACAGTCCTGAAGTCTGGAAGTCTGAGATCAGGGTGCCAGCCTGTTGGATTCTGGTAAGGGCCTGCTTCCTGGTTGAAGATGGCTAATGTCTCACTGTGTCCTTGCTTAGTGAAAAGAGGGCAGGGGAGCTCTCTGGTGCCTCTTTTAAAAGTGTATTAATCCCATCATGTGGAATCTACCCTCATGACCTAACAACCTCCCAAAGGCCCTGCCTCCTATTAAATAATAACATATTGGGAATTAGAATTTCAACATATGAATTTTGGAGGGACACAAGCATTAAGTCCATTATATCTGAGTTTTTAAAGAACAAAAAATTTTAATGTTCTTGAGATCCAACTGATCAACTTTTGTTCCATACTTTTGGTGTCAAGTCTAAAACTTTGTCAAGCCCCAGATTGTGAACAGTTTCTCCCATTTTTTTCTGAAAGTTTTTATAGTTTCATAGTTTGCATTTAAGTCTATGCTCCATTTTTGTTCTGAGACAGGGTCTTGCTCTGTTGCCCAGGCTGGAGTGCAGTGGCACAGTCATGGCTCACTGCAGCCTCGACCTTCTGGGCTCAAGTGATCCTCCCACCTCAGCCTCCTCAGTAACTGAGACCACACATGCATACCACTGTGCCCAGCTAATATCATCCATTTTAAGTTAAATTTTGAATAAGATGTGAGTTTTAGGTTTAGGTTCCTTTTTATGTTTTTAATTTCATTTTCCAAATGTTGTTAGTACATAGAAATGTGATTGATTTTTGTATGTCTATGTGATATCTTGAGACTTTGCTGAAATTGATATCTTGGGACTTTGCTGAAATTATTAGTTCTAACAATTTTTTGAAGATGCCAGGGGATTTTCTGTGTAGACAATCAGGCCATCTGCAAGTGTTTTATTGATTTCCTTCCATTTTATTACCTTTTATTATTATTATTGTTCTTTTTTTTTGCCTCGTGGTGCTAGCTAGAACCTTGAGCATTATAAATAAAAATATAAGATGACTAAGATCATGAAAGCAGACATCTCCATCTTGTGCTCTTAGAGGGTAAACTTGATGGAGTTTTAACAGTCGAAGTGCAATATAGCCTTCATTGAGAAGCTTACTCTCAAATCCATGTCAGAAATAGAAAAAAAAAAGATCTAGAATGATAGTATGTCCTTCAATTAAATCTTTTCATATACAAGTGTACAAAATACTGGACACACTCAAAAAGCTATCAGAAAACATGAATCTTTCACCACAAAGGCTATGGCATTAATCAGATTAGTTTCAGTTATCTAATCAAGGGGTTGGCAAGTGCTCAAGAGGAGACGGGGAATGCCACCCTCACTGACATGCTCTGTGCGTGTGCTAGGATGTGGGCACACAGAGTCTAGCAGCATCCTCAGGGCTCGTTCATGTATACATGAGCCCATGTGTTCCAATCTGTAACATCCTCTGGACAATTCCCTGTTCTCCTACAAACATCACTGCCCAATCCCCTTCCTCAGAAGCTGCTCATCAGTTCTCAAGCCCACACTGTGAAACAGTAAAGAAGTGTGATTAGGATAATATCATGGAAGGTGGTTAACATACAGTGTTTAAACACTTTCCCAAGTTTATAGAACCCCATGCACATGTGAAGGCAGAAAAATGAGTCCTGAACTTAAGAAGCGTTAGGCAGAACCGGCCGGGCGTGGTGGCTCATGCCTGTAATCCCAGCACTTTGGGAGGCCAAGGTGGGCGGATCACGAGGTCAGGAGATCAAGACCATCCTGGCTAGCACCGTGAAACCCCGTCTCTACTAAAAATACAAAAATTAGTCGGGCATGGTGGCCGGCGCCTGTAGTCCCAGCTACTTGGGAGGCTGAGGCAGGAGAATGGCGTGAACCCAGGAGGTGGAGCTTGCAGTGAGCCAAGATCGCGCCACTGCACTCCAGCCTGGGCAACAGAACGAGACTCCATCTCATAAAAAGAAAAAAAAAAAAAGAAGAAGCGTTAGGCAGAACCAAGGCAAGGCTCAGTTTAGGGCTAACTATTCCCCACTTTGGAGGTAAGGCCTATCCGAGTCCCTGAATGATGTGGGAACAGGCACTGTTCCTGTGTGAGCACCAGGCACTGTTATCACTAATCCTTTCAGGCAGTTCTTTTCCCAGACTCAGGTCGTTTCTTCATATGCACGTGCTAACCAGCATCCAACTGACAACTCCAGGCAGACCCTCTGAAGACCCCCATGTTTCTCTCCTGGTGCAGCTCTGCCCTCGATGGTGCTCTGTCCTAAGAACTCTTGTCTCCAGGCCTTGATCCCCCTCAGACTCTCAGCCCTCTACGCCCACCCCAGGGAGTCTGCAGGGACCCTGCTGTGTTCCCTTTCCAGCACTGAACCTGGAAACTGTCTCAAGGCAGTAAGCTGGGGCAATCGTAGGGCTCACCTCATTTATCACCCACCCCTCAGGGATCAGGGTTCTTCATTGCCTGATAGTGTCTTCCTACACTGTGTTCATTTTGGGGGGCTGTTTCAGGCAGGAGGTTAAATCCAATGTCCTGCTACTCCATCTTGGCCAGAAGCTCTTGGTGGCTTTTTTGTTTGCGTTTTCTAATGTTTGTAGCAGGACTAGGCGGACTGCCTTAGGGATCCTACTATAGGCATCTCCACTGCCCTCCCTGCTCCTACAGCTGCTAGACATGGAGCAGGATGGGGGCTTAGTTGTGGCAAACAGCAGGCACAGGTGGGGCTGGAGGGAGGCTGAGGAGCCTAGATTGTATTTTGCAGGTAATGGAATGCCACTGAAGATGTGTGATGCTGGGAAAGAGGTCATACAACCTGTTTTTTGTTGTTGTTGTTGTTTGTGGTGGTGGTGGCGTTTTTGTTTTGTTTTGTTTTGTTTTTGAGATGGAGTCTTGCTCCAGTCCATGCTGGAGTGCAGTAGCGTGATCTTGGCTCACTGCAACTTCCATCTCCCAGGTTCAAGCGATTCTCCTGCCTCAGCCTCCTGAGTAGCTGGGTCTACAGGTGCCCGCCACCATGGCTGGCTAATTTTTTTTGTATTTTTAGTAGAGATGGGGTTTCACCATGTTGGCCAGGCTGGTCTCGAACTCCTGACCTCAGGTGATCCACCCTCCTCGGCCTCCCAAAGTGCTGGGATTACAAGTGCAAGCCACGGTGCCTAGCCCATGCAACCTGTTTTGAGAATTGATTGAGAAAGACACCTTTGCAGGGAGGGCCTAGCACAGAACTATAGATGGAGTAAACATCGGTTGAAGTGAGACTGGACACAGGGCAGTGACCCGTGAGGCGGTACCGGAGAGGAGTCAAGCAGAGCCCAGGAGGAGGCATGCAGATGCCGGTCTGAGGGTGACTCTGAAGTTCAGAACAAAAGGGCGTGGCTGTTTACTGGAGTAGGGGAGACCGGGATGAGGGTGCAGATATAGTAGAAAGATGATTCTGGTGAGTGGAAACATGAGATGCCTGCGCGTGGGCCAGGGACTGTGGGAGAGAAGCAGTCTTAACGAACACCTCAGCAGGCCAGGCGCAGTGGCTCATGCGAGGCGGGAGGATCACTTGAGGTCAGGAGTTCGAGACCAGTCTGACCAACATGGTGAAACCCCGTCTCCACTAAAAATATAAAAAAATTAGCCGGGAGAGGTGGCACATGCCTGTAATCCCAGCTACTCAGGAGGCTGAGGCAGGAGAATCGGTTGAACCTGGGAGGTGGAGGTAGCCGTGAGCCGAGATCATGCCATTGTATTCCAGCCTGGGCGACAAAGCGAGACTCTGTCTGGAAGAAAAAAAATAAAAAATAAAACACCTGAAGTGGTCTGGGACATGTGGAGGCTGAGTTACCAGTGGGCCTGACCCACTGAGATGTTGGCAAATGGTTGGAAATTTGGGGCTGGGGCTGACGATGGAGATCAGAACTGGAGGTGTGGACCAGGAGTCATCCCTACAGAGTTCAAATGTGCCTTCACCTTGCGGATGTCCTTGATGTATCTGCGGGCCCCTGTGTGTCCTCATTCCCCTCTCCAGATCCATCAGACTTCAGGGGCCTGGGGGCCTCCGCAGGCTCCCTACAGAAGAGGGCATTTCTTTGATGAAATTACCATTCTCACCTCAAAGATACACCTCAGCATAGTTTTCCTCTAAGTGACATGAATTTTGTGCTGGATTCTAGAAAACTGACAGATTTATCCATGTGCGCAGTAGCTGGCTGGGTGCCTTTTCTCTCCTGTGAGGAAGAGCTTCTAAAATGTCTTAAGGCTCAGCCAGAAGCTTTAGCACATTTTTGAGCAGGAAGTTGGACTCACTGTAGTCTTAAAACAATCCTGCTGGTGAATGAAGTCATAATTAGAACTCTTAAGTATGTATTTTATATATCTCAGGAGAACAATTCAAAGTTATAACTAAAATAGCGACATCTTTTTTTTTTTTTTTTGAGATGGAGTCTCGCTGTGTCGCCCAGGCTGGAATGCAGTGGCGCGATATCGGCTCACTGCAACTTCCACCTCCCAACTTCAAGTGATTCTCCTGCCTCAGCCTCCCGAGTAGCTGGGATTACAGGCATACGCCACCACGCCCAGCTGATTTTTGTTATTTTTAGTAGAGACGGGGTTTCACCATGTTGGCCAGGATGACCTGAGGTGATCCAGCCGCCTTGGCCTCCCAAAGTGCTGGGATTATAGACGTGAGCCACTGCTCCCGGCCAATAGCGACATCTCTTAATGTACCATTGCTAAAATATAAGCAATACCTTTACTTTGTCCTCAATCTAGAAATTTCAACTTTATTGACCACATAATCCACTGTCATTTAAATGAATGCCTTTCTACAAATAATATTAATTTCGCATATGCTACCAAATGAAACTACTCACAGACAGAAACACCAACTCTGACCTCTGTTTGCATACGCATCATGAGGCAGCCTGCTTTACGTCTCATGAAAGGTATTCATTTGAAATACATGCCAGAAAGACTTTTCCCCTCCAGCTGTTTAAATACTTGATGTTTTTCTAAGTAACCGCAAACCACCTGGTATTGCGTTTATGTGTTTCTTCAGAATTCTTTTTTGGCTTAAATGACATTATCTCTGCCTTTTTTTTTTTTTTTTTTGAGATGTAGTCTCACTCTTTCGCCCAGGCTGGAGTGCAGTGGCGTGATCTCGGCTCACTGCAACCTCCACCTCCCGGGTTCAAGGGATTCTCCTGCCTCAGCCTCCCAAGTATCTGGACTACAGGAGCACGCCATCACTCCCATCTAATTTTGATGTATATTTTTTTAAGTAGAGATAGGGTTTCACCATGTTGGCTAGGCTATCTCTGCTTTTTGAAAGTTTTATCAGAGTCCTTTACAAATACTGAAATCCACATTCTATAAAATTCTTTTACAAGGTGATTCAAAACGGCGAATATGAGAGAGAGGCGGGTCTTTCATTGCTGATACTGAGTTTTGCTACTGGATATTCTGATGTTATTAGCTTTTTGATGTTATTAATGTTATAAAGTTAAGGAAGTTATGTATCTAATAAATGATGTATAGAACAAAAACAAGAGAAAAAAGTTTTAGATACTTGGGCAAAGCTACAGTTGATAAATTATTTTGAAAATCTCTCCAGTCTACGTAAGTTATGGATATTAATAATAAGATTAACAGAGAAAAGCGACAGCAATGACAATGTACATACATATAGCCTACACGTTAAAAACATTAAACAGTTCAGGACATTGAGCGGGTCGTGGTAGTGTATCTGGAATTGGTGGGTTATTGGTCTCACTGACTTCAAGAACGAAGCTGTGGACCCTCGCGCTGAGTGTTACAGCTCTTAAAGGTGGCGTGTCTGGAGTCTGTTCGTTCTGATGTGTTTGGAGTTTTTTCTGGTGGGTTTGTGGTCTCGCTGGCCTAGGAGTGAAACCACAGACCTCCGCGGTGAGTGTTACAGCTCTTAAGGCGGCGTGTCTGAAGTTGCTCATTCCTCCCGATAGGTTCGTGGTCTCGCTGGCTCCAGGAGTGAAGCTGCAGACCTTCACGGTGTTACAGCTCATAAAGGCAAGGTGGACCGAGAGAGTGAGCAGCAGCAAGATTTATTGCAAACAGCATAATAACAAAGCTTCCACAGCATAGAAAAGGACAGGGCCGGGTTGCTACTGCTAGCTTGGGCAGCCTGCTTTTATTCTTATCTGGCCCCACCCACATCCTGCTGATTGGTCCATTTTACAGAGAGCCGATTGGTCCATTTTACAGAGAGCTGATTGGTCCGTTTTGACAGGGTGCTGATTGGTGCGTTTATAATTCCTGAGCTAGACACAAAAGTTCTCCATGTCACAACTAGATTAGCTAGATACAGTGTCCACACAAAGGCTCTCCAAGTCCCCACCAGAGTAGCTAGATACAGAGTGTCGATTGGTGCATTCACAAACCCTGAGTTAGACACAGGGTGCTGATTGGTGTGTTTACAAACCTTGAGCTAGACACAGAGTGCCGACTGGTGTATTTATAATCCCTTAGCTAGACATAAAGGTTCTCCAAGTCCCCACCAGACTCAGGAGCCCAGCTGGCTTCACCCGGTGGATCCCGCAGGTGGAGCTGCCTGCCAGTACCGCGCTGTGCGCCTGCACTCCTCAGCCCTTGGGTGGTGTATGGGATTGGGTGCCATGGAGCAGGAGGCGGCGCTCGCCCGGGAGGCTCGGGCCGCACAGGAGCCCACGGAGACGGGGGAGGCTCAGGCATGGTAGGCTGCAGGTCCTGAGCCTTGCCCAGAGGGAAGGCAGCTAAGGCCCGGTGAGAAATTGAGCACAGCAGCTGCTGGCCCAGGTGCTAAGCCCCTCACTGCTCCAGCAGGCAGGGCCAGCTGGCCACTCCCAGTGCGGGGCCGCGGAGCCCACGCCCACTTGGAACTCCTGCTGGCCTGCAAGTACCACGCGCAGCCCCGGTTCCCGCCCACGCGTCTCCCTCCACACCTCCCTGCAAGGTGAGGGAACCGACTCTGGCCTTGGCAAACCCAGAAAGGGGCTCCCACAGTGCAGCGTGGGCTGAAGGGCTCCTCAAGTGCCGCCAAAGTGGGAGCCCAGGCAGAGGAGGCACCGAGAGCCAGGGAAGGCTGCGAGGACTGCCAGCACGCTGTCACCTCTCAGTAGCTCACACCTGTAATCTCAGCACTTTTGGAGGCTAAGGTCAGATCATCTGAGGTCAGGAGTTTGAAACCAGCCTGGCCAACATGATGAAACCCTGCCTCTACTAAAAATACAAAAATTAGCCAGGCGTGGTGGCAGGCACCTGTAATCCCAGCTACTCAGGAGGCTGAGGCAGGAGAATCACTCAAACCTGGGAGGCAGAGGTTGCAGTGAGCCAAGATCACACCACCGCACTCCAGCCTGGGTGACAGAGTGAGACTCTGTCTCAAAAAAAAAAAAAAAAAAAAAAAAATCAGGACGTTGATACCTTTGCTTGCTGGACAAAATGAGGACAAACTATCTTACATTTATTTCCGCTAGTTCATTCAGTAGTTTTTTTCCTATGTCTTCTCTCTTTGAATAGGAGAGAGGTCTCATGGGAACCTATTATCAGTCAAGATATAATGATAGAAGGTATGATGATAAGGAGAGTTCCACAGCATAAAACACAAGCGGAAGAAATATCCAGCAATAGCTGTATATGTGGTAATAATTATAAGGGATGGGTGTTGGGCTTTATCTGAATTATTATCTTAAATGCCCACACCATTTATTCTTTGTTGCCTTGTGATGGTAGACATTGGTCATGGACCTGACGTTCCGTGCAGATCTATGTTGGGAGAGGCAGTCTGCCATGGGCCCTGAGCATGCCCTGAAGTTCCTGCTGGGTATGCCAAGAATGTAAGGCCTTGACTGCTCTTTACCTGACCCATTTCCCAGGGCTGTGTTTGCACCAAGAAACCTTGAGGAAGGAGGTAACGTCTCCCCTAGACAAAGTGTAGGTTCTCTACAAAGACAGGGATTCCCCAAGCTCAGTGTTTCTGCCCCATAACGCAGCTCACCACACATGTGCAGGCATCCGTGGTGGGCCCTTAGCATCACCCTGAGACCCCAGGGCATGGGGAACTGACACACACTAGCCTAGAGCTCTGGCTACTGCTTTTGCCATGAATAATAAAGTCCCTTGTCTCTGAACCAGGAATCTCATGTCTTTTTGCCAGGAAAGTAACAGTAAACAGTAACAGACTAGTTTGTTAGCTTGAAAGTAGGTTAAAAGCTCAGACCCTGCAGTTCCTGGCAGTTTATTTCCATCTCCATCTTGTAAGAACATCAAGAGCAGAGACCAAGTCTTTTGCTACTCTGTATGGTAGAATATCTTATTCAAAATAGGTGGTTGCTAAATATTTGAAATTTTACAGGCTCACTGTTCTCTTCTGAATTGTAAGTTCAGACTAGAAGGAAATGCATAATTTCCAAGCTTCTAACCACACACAGAAAATTCACCTTCACCTTTAAGTAAAGTAATGCAGCACACATAGGATCATGGTGGACGGGAGGCAGGACTAGATTGCAGCTCTGAACAGAGCAATGTGCAGAGGCTTGCATTGTGAATTTTAGCTCCAGATCGACTGCAAGAACAAACCAGCAACCCCGAGAGGACCGACAGACCTCTGAAGGAAGCAGACTGCTCTTGCAGGACCTGGAAGACACCCCAAATACTGTGAGTGCCCAAACTGCGGAAGTGGGAAAGGGAGAGCATCCTCTCCCAAACACACACGCCCACTGGAGAAAAGGAAGGTCTGTTTGCAGGAGAAGTTTCCGACCTTACCTGGAGCTGAGTCAATTTAGAGAGTCGAGCGAAATACAGAAGTAGAGGAAGCAGCGGGAAAGGCCCTGGGAGCTCCCTGGGTCCCCAAGCAGGTCATTCCTGCCTGGCACCACAGGGATCCACCAGGAGGGCAGCCAGAGGAGCGAGGGTAAAACTCAACAGGGAGAAGGAAATCTCTAGCTGAAATTTGTAACAATTTGAACAGGGTTAGAAGCCTCCTGGCCAGAACTCGGGGGAGGGCGCAAATCTGGTGTGCAGATTCTCCACAGGTGGGAAGAACAAGCCCTTTCTTTTGCAGCTGGGAGGTGGGTAGCCTGAGGCAAGTTCTCAAGCCTGTCTCACCCACTGCCCGAAAACAGACTTGGGGCGGTTGGATGGGGGCATGGTGGGAGTGAGACTGGACTTTCAGTTTGCATGGGAGCTGGGTGAGGCCTGTGACTGCCAGCTTTCCACCACTTCTCTGAAAACCTGCATGACTCAGCAGAGGCAGCCATAATCCTCCTAGGTACATAACTCCAGTGACCTGGGAATCTCACACCCATCCCCCACAGGAGCTGCAGCAAGACCGGTCCAAAGAGAGTCTGAGCTCAGATACGCCTGGCCCCACCCCCACCTGATCGTCCTTCCCTACCCACTCTGGTAGCAGAAAACAAAGGACATATAATCTTGGGAGTTCTACAGCCCAGCCCACAGCCAGTCCCTCTCAAACTACTACAGCTGATGCTTTCTGGAAAGCGCCACCTCACAGCAGGAGGCCAACCCGCACAAAAATAGAGCATTAAACCACCAAAGCTAAGAGCCCTCACGAAGTCCACTGCACACCCCCCACCACCTCCACTGGAACAGGTGCTGGTATCCATGGCTGAGAGACCCATAGACGGTTCACATCACAGGACTCTGTGCAGACAACCCTCAGAACCAGCCCGGAGCTGGGCAGACTTACTGCGTGGCCAGACCCAGAAGAGAGACAACAATCACTGCAGTTGGGCTCACAGGAAGCCACCTCCATAGGAAAAGGGGGAGATTACTCCATGAAGGGAGCACTCCATGGGACAAAAGAATCTGAACAACAGCCTTCAGCCCTAGACCTTCCCTCTGACAGAGCTTACCCTAATGAGAAGGAACCACAAAACCAATGCTGGTAATATGACAAAATAAGGCTCTTGAACAGCACCCCCCAAAATCACACTAGTTTACCAGCAATGGATCCAACCCAAGAAGAAATCCCTGATTTACCTGAAAAAGAATTCAGGAGGTTAGTTATTAAGCTAATCAGGGAGGCACCAGAGAAAGGTGAAGCTCAATGCAAGGAAATCCAAAAAACGATACAAGAAGTGACGGGAGAAATAGCCAAGAAAATAGATAGCTTAAAGAAAAAAAAATAAATAAAAAATCCAGGAAAAATTGGACACACTTATAGTAATGCAAAATGCTCTGGAAAGTCTCAGGAATAGAATTGAAAAAGTAGAAGAAATTCAGAGCTCAAAGACAAGGTCTTTGAATTAACCCAATCCCACAAAGACAAAGAAAAAAGAATAAGAAAATATGAACAAAGCCTCCAAGAAGTCTGGGATTATGTTAAATGACCAAACCTAAGAATAACCAGTTTTCCCGAGGAAGAAGAGAATTATAAAAGCTTGGAAAACATATCTTTAGGAATAATAGAGGAAAACTTCCCTGGCCTTGCTAGAGACCTAGCTATCCAAGTGCAAGAAGAACAAAGAACACCTGGGAAATTCATTGCAAAAAGATCATTGCCTAGGCATATTGTCATCAGGTTATCCAAAGTTAAGACAAAGTAAAGAATTTTAAGAGCTGTGAGACAGAAGCACCAGGTAACCTATAAAAGAAAACCTATCAGATTAACAGCAGATTTCTCAGCAGAAACCCTACAAGCTAGAAGGGATTGGGGCTCTATCTTCAGCCTCCTCAAACAAAACGATTATCAGCTAAGAATTTTGTATTCAGCAAAACTAAGCATCATATATGAAAGAAGATACAGTCTTTTTCAGACAAACAAATGCTGAGAGAATTCGTCACTAACAAGCCACCATTAAAAGAACTGCTAAAAGGAGCTCTAAATCTTGAAACAAATCCTGGAAACACATCAAAACAGAACCTCTTTAAAGCATAAATCACACAGGACCTATAAAACAAAAATACAAGTTAAAAGGCAAAAACAAAAAACAAAAAACCAAAGTCCACAGGCAACAAATAGCACAATGAATGCAATGGTACCTCACATCTCAATTCCAACATTGAATGTAAATGGCCTAAATGCTCTACTTTAAGGATACAGAACTGCAGAATGGATAAGAACTCGCCAACCAACTATCTGCTGCCTTCAGGAGACTCACCTAACACATAAGGACTCACATAAAGTAAAGAGGTGGAAAAAGGCATTTCACACAAATGGACAAGAGAGTAGGGGTAGCTATTCTTATATCAGACAAAACAAACTTTAAAGCAATATCAGTTAAAAGAGACAAAGTGGGACATTATATAATAGTAAAAGGCCTTGTCCAACAGGAAAATATCATAATCCTAAAAATATATGCATCTAACACTGGAGCGCCAAAATTTATACAACAATTACTAATAGACCTAAGAAATGAGATAGACAGCAACACAATAATAGTGGGGGACTTCAATACTCCACTGACAGCACTAGGCAAGTCATCAAGACAGAAAGTCAACAAAGAAACAATGGATTTAAACTATACCTTGGAACAAATGGACTTAAAAGATATATACAGAACATTTCATCCAACAACCTCAGAATACACATTCTATTCAACAGCACGTGGAAATTTCTCCAAGATAGACTATATGATAGGCCATAAAACAAGACTCAATAAATTTAAGAAAATTGAAATTATATCAAGCACTCTCTCAGTGGAATCAAACTGGAAATCAACTCCAAAAGGAACCTTCAAAACCATGCTGATACATGGAAATTAAATAACCTACTCCTGAATGAGCATTGGGTCAAAAACGAAATCAAGGTGGAAATTAAAAAATTCTTCGAACTGAACGACAATAATGACACAACCTACCAAAACCTCTGGGATATAAGCAGAGGTGGTGCCAAGAGGAAAGTTCATAGCCCTAAACGCCTACATCAAAAAGACTGAAAGGGCACACACTGACATTCTAAGGTCACACCTCAAGGAACTAGAGAAACAAGAAAAACCAAACCCAAACCCAGCAGAAGAAAGGAAATAACCAAGATCAGAGCAGAACTAAATGAAATTGAAACAAACAAACAAACAAAAATACAAAAGATAAATGAAACAAAAAGATGGTTCTTTGAAAAGGTAAGTAAAACTGATAGACCATTAGTAAGATTAACCAAGAAAAGAAGAGAGAAAATCCAAATAACCTCATTAAGAAATGAAACAGGAGATATTACAGTTGACACCACTGAAATACAAAAGATCATTCAAGGCTACTATGAACACCTTTACACACATCAACTAGAAAACCTAGAAGAGTTGGATAAATTCTGGAAAGATATAACCCTCCTAGCTTAAATCAGGAAGAATTAGATACCTTGAACAGACCAGTAACAAGCTGCAAGACTGAAATGGTAATTACAAAATTACCAACAACAAAAAATGTCCACGACCAGACAGATTCTAAGAAGACTTTCTAAGAAGAATTGGTACCAATCCTTTTGACACTATTCCACAAGATAAGAGAAAGAAGGAACTCTCTCTAATTCATTCTATGAAGCCAGCATCACCCTAATACCAAAACCAGGAAAGGACCTAACCAAAAAAGAAAACTACAGACCGATATCCTTGATGAACATAGATGCCAAAATCCTTAACAAAATATTAGCTAACTGAATCCAACAACATATCAAAAAGACAATACATCATGATCAAGTGAGTTTCATACCAGGGATGCAGGGATGGTTTAACATATGCAAGTCAATAAATGTGACACATCACATAAACAGAATTAAAACCAAAAATCACATGATCATCTCAACAGATGCAGAAAAAGCATTTGATAAAATCCAGCATTGCTTTATGGTTACAATTCTCAGCAAAATTAGCATACAAGGGACATACCTCAATGTAATAAAAGCCATCTATGACAAAACCACAGGCAACATAATACTGAATGGGGAAAAACTGAAAGCGTTCCCTCTGAGAACTGAAACAAGACAAGGATGCCCACTCTGACCACTCCTCTTCAACATACTACTGAAGTCCTAGCCAGAGTAATCAGACAAGAGAAAGAAATACAGGGCATCCAAGTTGGTAAAAAGGAAGTCAAACTGTCACTGTTTGCTGACGATATGATCATTTACCTTGAAAACCCTGAAGACTCCTCCAGAAAGCTTCTATAACTGATAAAAGAATTCAGCAAAATTTCCAGATACAAGATGAATGTACAGAAGTCAGTAGCTCTTCTATACACCAACAGTGACCAAGCCAAGAATCAAATCAAGAACTCAACCCCTTTTACAATAGCTGCAAAAAAATAAAATACTTAGAAATATACCTAACCAAGGAGTCAAAAGACATCTACAAGAAAAACTACAAAACACTGCTGAAAGTAATCATAAACAACACAAATAAATTGAAACACATCCCAGGCTCGTGAATGGGTAGAATCAATACTGTGAAAATGACCATACCAGCAAAAGCAATCTACAAATTCATTGCAATCCCCATCAAAATACCACCATCATTCTTCACAGAATTAGAAAAAACAATTCTAAAATTCATATGGAACCAAAAAAGAGCCCACATAGCCAAAGCAAGACGAAGCAAAAAGAAAAAATCTGGAGGCATCGCACTACCTGATTTCAAACTATACTATAAGGCCAAAGTTGCAAAACAGCATGGTACTAGTATAAAAATAAGCACATGGACCAATGGAACAGAATACAGAACCCAGAAATAAACCAAGTACTTAAAGCCAACCGATCTTTGACAAAGCAAACATTAACATAAAGTGGGGAAAGGACACTCTTTTCAACAAATGGTGTTGGGATAATCGGCTAGCCACATGTAGGAGAATGAAACTGGATCCTCATCTGTCACCTTATACAAAAATCAACTCAAGATGGATTAAAGACTTAAATCTAAGACCTGAAACTATAAAAATTCTAGAAGATAACATCGGAAAAACCCTTCTAGGCATTGGCTTAGGCAAGGATTTCATGACCGAGAACCCAAAAGCAAATACAATAAAAACAAAGATCAATAGCTGGGATCAAATTAAACTAAAGAGGTTTTGCATGGCAAAAGAAACAGTCAGTAGAGTAAACAGACAATCCACAGAGTGGGAGAAAATCTTCACAATCTATACATCTGACAAAGGACTAATATCCAGAATCTACAACAAACTGAAACAAATCAATAAGAAAAAAACAAAGAATCCCATCAAAGAGTGGGCTGACATGAACAGACAATTCTCAAAAGAAGATATACAAATGGCCAACAAACATATGAAAAAATGCTCAACATCACTAATGATCAGGGAAATGCAAATCAAAACCACAGTGTGATACCACGTTACTCCTGCAAGAATGGCCATAATCAAAAAATCAACAAACAGTAGATGTTGACATGGATGTGGTGAACAGGGAGCACTTCTACACTGCTGGTGGGAATGTAAACTCGTGCAGCCACTATGGAAAACAGTGTGGAGACTCCTTAAAGAACTAAAAGTAGAGCTACCATTTGATCCAGTAATCCCACTACTGGGTATCTACCCAGAGGAAAAGAATTCATTATATGAGGAAGATACTTGCACACGCATGTTTATAGCAACACAATTCAATTCACACTTGCAAAATTGTGGAACCAACCCAAATGCCCATCAATCAATGAGTGGATAAAGGAACGGTGGTATATATATATGATGGAATACTACTTAGCCATAAAAAGGAATGAAGTAACAGCATTTGCAGTGACCTGGATAAGATTGGAGACTCTTATTCTAAGTGAAGTAACTCAGGAATGGAAAACCAAACATCGTACGTTCTCATTGATATGTGGGAGCTAAGCTATGAGGATGCAAGGGCATAAGAATGATACAAAAGCATAAGAATGATACAATGGGGAGAATAGTGGGAGGCGGGAAAGGGATAAAAGACTACAAATAGGGTGCAGTGTATACTGCTCGGGTGTTGAGTGCACCAAAATCTCACAAATCACCACTAAAGAACTTACTCATGTAACCAAATACCACCTGTACCCCAATAACTTATGGAAAAAAAGAATTTAAAAAAACCTACTACACATAGTTACAAACCCAATAAAGAAAGAAAGTAATGCAGAGAAAGACTCTGTACAAAGACTCTTGTTGGTAGCACAATCAGCGTGTGTGTGTAAAATCTGTAATTTAAATTTTCCACGAAATTTCTAGAGTGATGAGACACATCCTGGGGCAGATCTAGGACTGTTTAATTTGTCTCTGTAGAAAGCAGTTATAGTCTACAGAGGTCTTTGTGGCGGGCTTAAATACTGATCCTACAAAAGGAGCTAAAATTAGGCTGTCATATGGAGAAGGTAAGTGATTCATAGAGAAATCTGTGAAGCTATAATTTCAAGAGGCAAACATCCATTTACAATCCCTAAAAATGTCGATGGATTTTGGCCTTGCTTTGGCCACTCAGGCACCACCAGTAACACATGTGCTGCTCTAAGAAGGCAGGATTGCTCCCCACATGGTGCCTGCTGTTTGCTCAATGGCACTTTTAACTCTGGGCAAGGACCCAGGAGGGAGTTCACACACTCTCCGCAAGGGTTCAGAACTGCACCCTATTTGATAATTGAAAACCTGGCTTTTGTCATCTGAAACAATAGCTTTTACTCTTTAGTGGATGGCTGTAAATTGCCTACATGATCATCTGTGTAAATAATCGTAGACTAATTATTTTCTTACAGTTCTACGAAGTTTTAAGAAGAAAACTATTTGCCATTTTTCTGATATTCAAGGCAAAGTAATGAGGCAAAAAAAGTTTCTGTGTGTATACACACTTTTGTATCTTTGTGTGTGTATATATGAGATAGATTATACACATACATGCATATATACATACAGAAATCTTTCCTATAAATTCTGGATTTCTGAAGACTCACTGTGATCCTAATGAGCCTCTAGCTTTAAAACAATGTTGAACAAAACACCATTTTTAAATATTTGGCTTTAACCTAAATTTATGGGAATGAAGAAAATAAACAAGCATTGTCAAGAACATTTTGGGAAAAAAAAGGCTTTGCACACATCAAAATGTACCCTAAATCTACAATAATAGTATAGGGTGGCATCAATAAGGGACAGAATAGAGATCCTATTATAATAAAAGAAGTACACCACATTACTTGTGTTGGGATAATTGGCTGTCTTTAAAAAACAAGTAAGACAGATCTAGATGTGAAAAGAAGAGAGGAAAATTCTTCCTCGTGAACCTAGATGCAAAAGTCCTAAATAAAATATTGAAAAATTAAATACAGTAGCATTTTAAAAAACATATTATGACCAAATGTGGTTTATTCCTATATTACAAGGATGTTTTAACATAATGTAATTTATTAATGGAATTCACTACATTAAATGAGAAAAACTATATGACAATCTCAATAGATGCAAAATAGCAGTTGGTATTTCAACACTAGTGTAAAAGCCTCTAATAAACTTGAAATAGACAGGAGCTCCCTAAACTCAAGAAACCCTACAGCAAACATCTGGAAGGAGATGGGGATTGCTGCCAATATCACTTCTGTTCTACACAGGTCCCAGTCATTGGAAGAAGACAGGCAAAAGAAGTAAAGTGTGTTCAAACTGGGAAGGAAGAAAAACTGTCCAAGATGATACAATTATTCATACAGAAAACTCAATAACATTTCCAAATATTTAGAACTAAATATAATAGTTGTGCAATGTTGCTGCATATAAAATCAATATGCAGGCCGGGTGCGGTGGCTCATGCCTGTAATCCCAGCACTTTGGAGGGCCGAGGCAGGGGGATCATGAGGTCAGAAGATTGAGACCATCCTGGCTAACATGGTGAAACCCCCATCTCTACTAAAAATAAAAAAAATTAGCCAGGCGTGGTGGCGGGTGCTTGTAGTCCCAGCTACTCAGGAGGCTGAGGCAGAAGAATGGCGTGAACCCGGGAGGCGGAGCTTGCAGTGAGCTGAGATCGTGCCACTGCCCTCCAGCCTGGGTGACAGAGCGAGACTCCATCTCAAAAAAAAAAAAAAAAAAAAAAAAATCAATATGCAAAATTCATTCACTAGCAACAAACAGCAAGTATAAGTTTTTTAAAGATACGATTTACAATAGCAAAAAATGTAAAGTAGCCAAGAATAAATATAGAAAAAGGTGGAAAAATGTGTTGAGAACAAATAAATAATGAGATCTTGTAGTCATGAATAGGAAGATTCAATACTATAAATACATTAATTCTTTCCAAATCAACTTATAAATCCAATGGAATTCCAACAAAGACCACAACAAGACTGTGTGTGTGTGTGTGTGAGTGTGTGTGTGTGCATAGTCTGTGACAGGATCATTTTAAATTCCTCATCTCCCTTCTCTCTCCCACCCCTGCTGCCCCACACCATGTGAGGACACAGTGACAAGGCTTGCCTTTGTAAAACAGGAAGAGGGCGCTTGCCAGAACTCGACCATGCTGGCACTTTGATCTCAGACTTCTAGCCTCCTGACTGTGAGAAATAAATGTCTGCTGTTTATACCACCCCATCTAAAGCATTCTGTTACAGCAACCTGTCTTAGTCTATTTTCTGCTGCTGTAACGGAATAACAGACTGGGTAATTTACAAAGAATGTAAGTCTATTTGGCCCACAGTTCTGGAGGCTGGGAAGTCCTAGAGCATGGGGCCAGCATCTGGTGGGGGTCCTCCTGTGGTGGAAGGTGAAAGGCAGAAAGCTGAAGTGAGTGTGTGAGACAGAGAGAGAAGCCAGATTTCCTTTATAACAACCCACTCTCACCATAACTAACCTCTCCCATGCTAATGACAATCCATACATGAGTGCTCCACTCTCACGACCCAATCACCTATTATTAAATTCGACCTCCAACACTGACTGTGGCATTGAGGATTATGTTTCCAACATATGAACTTTTGGGGGACTATTCAAACCACAGCACAGCCTGAACTGATTAAGACAGTGGGCTTTTCTATCTTCTATCATTAAACCATCCGAAACACCATTAGTCCTCTGACTGCAGGTCCAGCTGTCCTGAGCAGTTCAACATTTCATATTTCGAGGAATGCAGGTTCACTCATAAACAACACCTGTGACAGAGCCACCCTCACTCACATCCTGGACACTCTACTGTCTGTTCACCCCTGTGCATTCCAGGATGTAACAGGCAAGATGATCCCAACTCAGGCACAGCTGCAGTGTCTACAGCTGCAGGAGGTCCTGTCTCCCTCCTGCCCCCAGCAAGAAAACCCAAGTAAGGTATTTTTTTTTAAGGTATAGTTTTTTTCCTTCAAGTTTCTAATTTTGACACAATGAAAATATTGTATTTATATTAGCAATACCCGATTAGCAATTTCATGTAAAGGCGATTAGGTACTCATAAAAGGTCTCAAGTACTCCAACTAAATCAGTCACTGGTTAATAACAATGATCCACGAGCTGTTTTCCTGGTTTTCATGTGGAATAATTGGCAAGGAAAACCATACATGAAAAAAGAAAAAAGAAAAAGATCAGCAACTTTGCAGCTTTAGCCACTATGTGATGTGCTATCAAAAAGCCACCTAGAATCTTTTTTCATGAGTTAAAACACTACTGTCATCTATAATCCTGAACGGTAAGGTCTAGAAACCAATACTGACAGAGGTGTCCAAACAGCTCCTCTTGCAGTGCTGTGGGGCACATTTCTTTTAACCTTAATTGACTTCAATTACTGTGCTTCATCTCCCATGGCAAAATAATTCCCCAAAGAAACAAAGAGTATTAGAGTGTTTTCACTCATGAAACAGCCCGTAATGCACCTCTTTTGCTTAGGAATTGGAAGCCAACTAGATTTGAGCCTGCTTGAAAGAAAATCTCATCACTGAAGAATCCATTAGTGGGCCCTCCAAAATCCACACAGTCTTAAGGCCAGGGACCAACTGGACTTCAGGAATAGGATCAAAAAAGCCAATTCCAGTTCCATCGTGATGTACTGATTTAACTTTGATTGTGAAGGACAGTAATTTATTGAGTAATTTATCTTGCTAACCACCATATTAATCCAGTATCCAATCAGCACTTCTCTCATTCAATTCCAAGGAGCAGGAGTCCTAGATGGTTGGAAGTGTCAGACAGGAAGGGAAGAGTGTCTTCTAGTGTCTTGCCCAGTAATTGTACGGGGCTCCAAACTCCTGGGGAGGGGGAATGATGTCTGACTTGGAGCAGGCCAGTGGGGATGGACAGAGAAAAATTTCAGCAGGTGCCCATTGCTGGAGTGCAATAAGTAGAGCCCGGGGTGATGAGAGGCCTGGGGGAGAAGGGAGAGGGAGGGATGACAGAGAGGACAATAGGAACACAGGGTCCCTTGCCCTTCATAATGCCCTTGATTCTTGTTAAAGGGAAATGCCACGGATGTGGTTGGTGGAGCCAACATCTCTGCCTCATCCTTGATCATCCCACACACCCCACATCCAAATTCTCCCTGGCGTGTTGACCCGGCTACCAACCTCACCTGCAATCCTCCCTGGGCTCCAGCTCCACCTGCCCTGGCTGAACCTCCCCCTCTCACCTGGACTCTGAGGTGGCCTCCCAGTACCTCAGGTCTACTCTTCCCTGTCAGGACACCTGTTTTAGCCTAAGTCGGCTCCTGTCCCTCCCAGGTTACAGTCTGTGGCGGGAGGCCCACCAGTGATAAAATCTCCGCGCCTTCCCCCGTCCCTGGCTGGCACCCTCTGCAGCCTATTTCTGCCTCATTTCCACGGAGGCTGTCTCCCATTTTCTCTGCAGACCAGCCCCCAAGTACACATCGTGCTACCATAGTTCCACACTGGTCTAGCTCTCTCCGCTTCCCAGTCCCCCGCCCAGGGAAGGGGCTCACTGAACCAGCCTGGGCACGTGTCCACTCCCAGGACAGTCCACTGCAGGAATGGGCGGGGCAGGGTGCACAGGAGGGTGCTGTAAGCTGGGCCTGCTTTCTAAGCCAACCTGGGTGATTGGGGAGCCAACTCACCATGGGGCCGCTGCCTAGCCCCTCTGCTTCTACGTGACTATGATAGAAGACGGCACTGAAGCCTTCCCTCTGAGAAAGTTCTCAGATCTTCTTTTGGTCACTTCTGGCTCACACCCCACAAAAGATCCCCTGGACGGAAGCCTCAGCTCTCTTATTTCTGGGGATGTGGCTTTGAGGGTTTCCTCATCGCTCTGAGCCTTGATCTCATCTGTGAGGGGATGACTGGCTTAGACTTTAAACTCAAGTAGGTGAACCCCGGGGCACTTGGTAAAGGGAAGCCCTCCTGGGAGGATTCCGCCAGGGTGTGCAGAGCCACCCGTGATAGCAAGTGATCTCATTACTGGAAGGTTCTGAATCGGGGGGAGATGGTCACCAGCACCTCGGAGGGTTGGGGCACCATTCATCTTCTGATTGGTTATCATATTTGGTTTGATTTCAGTCACCCCAGAGGACCAAAATGACTAAAATAAGTAAGTTATTCATCTATAAACATTATGAAGCATTTTCAGGCATTTAACAGATGTAATAATTACCTATATCTAAGTCATATTTGAAGGGTAACTAAATTTTAATTGCTTTATAATATGTCTTATAATCTTTTTATTAGCAATTATATAAGCAATTGATTGTAACTATCTGTAAGTGAAAACTAATATCTGGATAGCCAAAAAAAAAAAAAAAGCCAAAAAATCCCACTCTTTCATTTAGATGACTGGGGAATATTGAAGAGTCGGGGAAATAGCAGGCTCTATTTTAAGCATCATTTTAAAGGAAATATAACACAATCTTAATCGTAGGTGGAAAAAACTCCAAAGAGTACTTGTTATGATTGCAAATTCCTAAGTAAAAGCCATCTACAGATGTGACTTGTTTCCAGGTATTACTCTTGATTTTGGGGACATGTCTCTTCCCTTGATGGGAGACCCCCTGGGTCACTGCATCCCTTGTACATCAAGGTTTCTTTCATGGCAGATGTCATGTCATTTTTTTCTCCATGTATCAGAACGACAACTCATTCCTTGCATGACAATGGAGTGGAAATGCAGGGAGACCTCAATGACATTTTATTCAGCTGACAAGGAAGAGACAAACTGCCTTGTCCCAGGAGTCTGTGAAAACTAGAAACACGGCCAGGCACGGTGGCTCACGCCTGTAATCCCAGCACTTTGGGAGGCCGAGGCGGGCAGATCATGAGATCAGGAGATTGAGACCATCCTGGCTAACACGGTGAAACCTCGTCTCTACTAAAAATACAAAAAAATTAGCCGGGCATGGTGGCGGGCGCCTGTATTCCCAGCTACTTGGGAGGCTGAGGCAGGAGAATGGCCTGAACCTGGGAGGCGGGGTCTTGCAGTGAGCTGAGATCGCGCCACTGCGCTCTAGCCTGGGCGACAGAGTGAGACTCCAACTAAACAAAACAAAACAAAACAACAAAAAAAAAAAAGAAAACTAGAAACACCTCATACTGGGAACTATAAAGCTTTGCCACTGCCACTGCTTTGTAAAACAAGAACTTTTCCCTGCCTAAGGTATCTATTTCATAGGTAGAATTCATAACACACTAAAACCTTTGACTTGGCCTGCTTGGTATAGAAAACTTATGCATCACAAAATATTCTGCTCAGAGTATAAGCACATAGGTAATGCATGAATTTGTGGTTTATCAATTTTCAAAGAACCTTTTACAAAGACACTGAATATATATGAGAGTAAACATGTTGTGATTTTTGGTAGTTCAGACAGTAATCAGTTTCTCGCTGGGCCTCAGCTTGTTCTGAGCATTCAGGTCCACAGTCCTGAAGCTAAGCTAGTGTCCCGGGTAGCAGCCTGGTGTATGTATCACTGCATATGGCGGTGAGAGCCAGGGCTCCAAAGCCAGACTGCCGGCCTGGGATTCTGGCTCCACCTTTACAATCTGCATGACCTTGGGGAGTTACTAAATTTCACTGTGCCTCAGTATCCTCACCTGTAAAATGAGAATAAATGATACGTGTACCTCACCGGGTTCTTGTAAGGGTAAGATTAGTTTCACAAATGTGCTGCCGGTAACGCTTAGCACACAGCAAGGCTCAATCAACATTAGCTATGACTATCATACACGATTAATCATCTGAGTGTCTGATCGGATTGAAAACACAGGCTCCTGCAGACAAATTCAGCAGAGGACTTTCAGGCCTCATGCATGAATGCTTAAGGAAAAGAGCCCTAAAGATTATGAGACGCCCATCCAAGAACATCCAAGAATGCGTTTTGCAGTCTGAACTGATTCTCCAGGGTGCTCCTTGTGTTCAACTGATGGGACAGGAACGCTGATGTTTGTCCATCTCTCTTTTTCTTCCTTTTTGAGACGGAGTCTCACTCTGTCACCCAGGCTGGAGTGCAGTGGCACGATCTCGGCTCACAGCAACCTCCACCTCCCAGGTTCAAGTGATTCTCCTGCCTCAGCCTGCTGAGTAGCTGAGATTACAGGTGCCCGCCACCATGCCCGGCTAATTTCTTTTGTATTTTTAGTAGAGACGGGGTTTCACCATGTTGGTCAGGCTGGTCTCGAACCCCTGACCTCGTGATCCACCCGCCTTGGCCTCCCAAAGTGCTGGGATAACAGGCGTGAGCCACTGTACCCAGACTGTCCATCTTTCATTGCTCTACTTTCTGGGTCTTGATCGTCCTCTCTCATGACTACTTCTTTTACTCCCATCAAGGTAAAGTGTGAGTGAAAGTAGTTTGATTAAAGCCCAGGCAGATTAAGGACGAAGCTAAAAAGAATGAAGAGACACTGGTAGGAAATACTGGCTGACATGCAGAAGTAATTTCAACGATCTTATTAGCCTTTCGCCTCTTGAGTACTTGGTTAATGTTCATAACCAGAAGTAATGTCTCTAATCTGCATTTAACTGATATTCTAACTCTTCCTTAAAGATACAGACCTCTTTTCCTCAGGCTTCATAGGCTAGACAATTCTCCTTAAATGTCCTGAGAGCCGTGGCACATAGGGGATGAGTGGTGGGGGGGCACACTCATTTGCCTGGAGTGTGGGAGGAGCCCCCACCTTTCCTGATTAATGCAGCTGGTAGTTCTCAGTGTGTGCAGCTGGGTGGGCCTCCAGAACAGTCAGTTTGGGGGCCATGAGGGGCAGGCTCTCCTGGATGGTGACAATAATTTTAAGAGAGGGGAGGTCAGTAGTTGGAAGTGGGAAGAGGCCAGAGGAGAGAAGAGGGTGGAAGAGCAGAGAAGCATCCCTCCTCAGCTCACCAGACAAAGGATAAAATGGAGGAAGTCACAGGACCCTTTGCCAGAGAAGCCCCCAGGAAGTGTGGCACATGCAGGGCAGGAGCCACGGGCCCCACTTCATGCTGAGGTCCTTGCCAAGCCCATGGCCCGCAGACCCTGTTGGACGGGGCAGCACCGTGCACCTGAAGGCTGAGGCCGGGCCCCAGGAGGGGTTAGATCTCTTTCCCTCCTTCCCTCCAGGTCGCCAGGCTTTGCTAATTTCATCTTCCAAATATTTACCAAGTTAATGCCCTTCTCCTCCTACTCTGATGTGCCTCTGCAGTTTTGGTCCCATTATCTCTGCCCAGGTTGGTGTCTGTGCCCTCTCTGGGCCTGGCTCTCAGTCCTGTCCCCTGCTGCTGCTGGATGATCTATTTCTGTAATGCATCTGGCCACTGCCCTCTCTTCCCTGCTACCCCAAACACCCCAATTCAGTGTCTCCACGTTGCCTGCAGCTCTGATACTGCAGGGCCCAGGACTTTCAAGAGGTAGAGCCAAGGGTGGGAGAAGGAAGAGTTGGAGGGACGCCCAGCTCTCCACCTGGGAGCTGAGCAGCTAGGGGTGGTGGTGATAACATCGACAAGGTTGGAAAGAGAAGCAGAAGCTGAGCCAATGGATTCCCTCTGGGAGCGGCTGGGGGAGGATGGCAGGGAGTGATCCGAGGGGTCCCGCTCTCGTGTATGGGACTCTGTCATGTGAGTACACATGTGATGGCTGGCAAAAAAGCAACTGTATGGCAGGATCCTCATCCACGGGAAGGACAGGGCTTCTATTTTAAAATACACTGAACAGCAAGACTGCACATGCTTTCTGGAATAGAACATAAATGCATCTATGAATCAAAGTCAGAAAATATATTGGTGGTTGTTTTCTTGCTTTATTTTGCGCTCTCACAGGTGTGACTATCAGTTTTCAGGAATATATTCTTTGCTCAATATGTATCTTCTTCCTGCCCTCCTTGCTTCCTTTCCTTCCTCCAGTGCACACAGATCGAGCCCACAACGCAGCAAGCACAGAGATGAAAAGAGGAAGATAGACGCGGGGTCTGCACCCACGAAACTCAGTCTAGAGGGACACAGGGGTGCCCTGGCCAGCATCTGGACTCGTGAGGCTGATGCATCAAGCCACGGCAGAGCTGCCTGGGAAAGGTGCATAGGGAGCACTCTCAGGGGCCAGAGGAAGGGACATCCAGGCGGCACCGGGCAGTGAGGCAAGTCAAGGGTGGCGGAGGTTGGTGGGGACAGTGTTACTGGGAGAGGGAAGGCTGAGTGCAGAGGTGGAGGGTAGGGATGGGCAGGGGCAGAAAGCACTGTGAAGGGAGCTTAGTGGAAGAGGGTGGGCGAGGGGAGGCAGGGCGGGAGGGATACAGGGAGAAGGGTGGATGTGCTGCAGGGACACCCGGGTGGTGACAAAATTAAAGTGCCTAAAAATACTCAAGGAGAAATGAACTTTGTTAACACAGTTTCTTTAAGAATGTAACGTGCCTGTAATCCCAACACTTAGGGAGGTTGAGGCAGGAGGATCACTTGAGTCCAGGAGTTGGGGACCAGCCTGGGCAACATAGTCATGCCTGTTTCTACAAATATAAAAATAAAATTAGCTGCATATGGTGGTACGTGTCTATGGTCCCAGCTACTCCAGAGACTGAGGCAGGAGGATGGCTGGAGCCTGGGAGGTCAAGGCTGCCGTGAGCTGTGATTGTACCACCGCACTCCAGCCTGGGCAACAGAGCAAGAACCTGTCTTAAAAAAAAAAAAAAAAAGAAAGAAAGAAAGAAAAGGAAAAAGAACCGGTTACCATCTCAATGAATTAGAGAAGACAGAACTAAAGAATATTTATATCCTGCCCAAGTGTTCACAATGCATCTCTCCGTTTTCACAATGCACCTTTCTTACCTTCTCTCTGTTTTTTGTTTTTTGTCTGGACTAATTGCTAGTCAGACTGTTCTCCTCTCTGCAGTCCCCTGAATTCTGCTTGTCCCTGGGGCCTGGGCGAGCGCTAGAAAGGAGAATGGGCCAGTAATCAGCTCGTCCCACAGTGAGACACATATCCTGGTCATCTTCCTTTGCTCACCCAACTTCCCCTTAAGTTTCTGCTAAGATTTGCTGACCTCCCTGCCCTATAAAAGAAAAGCCCTTTTCTGATTGATTTTGAGATGTTTACAGTTCTTGAGTTCCAAGGATTCTCCCCTGTTAGTTGCAAGAGTCTTTTTGAATAAATCTTCTCCTTATCTAAGACAAGATTAGTTTTGCTTGACAATGCAAATGACCAGAGGGACACAGAGAACTAAGAACATTTTTTAAAAGGGAAAGGTCTTGTTGAAATTAAATCTATACTTAATCAGTATCAGATCATCTTGTATTTGAGACTTCCTATCTTGTGTCTTGAGAAGGGCAAGAAGCAGTCTGGTGATACTGAGCTATAAACTAGAAAGGTTTTGCTATCATCTTTGCAGAACTGAACTATTTATGTGGCCTACAGGCAGGTTTTCTGCAGGATGTTGTATTTGTTATATGTTTATGGGAACCATTCTTCTCTCGAAATAACAGGCTAAATTTGCCATTAGGACATTGAATTTACCCACAAACTTTGTAATAAATACTCTTCAGGCTAGGATGGTAATGGCTTTACTTTGGTCTAACCAGTCTCTAAGTAAATAGTATGAATATTCTTGCTGGTTTGGAACTGCTCTCCGCTCAATTTCATTTTCCTCCTGGACAGTGCAAGAACACTAAATGTGGTGAGTATAGGAGCCATGTGCAAATGCACAATGCAAATTCCTTTTTTTCTGCAAGAGAAGAGGATGAATATGATAGATATTTAGGAAGACTTAGTGAATAATGGCACTTGGGAGCAAAGGAGAGGAAAGAGCCATTCCATGGTCTGAGCAATGGGAAGCCATTCTCTGAGTGGGATGGCTGAAGGGGCATGGAATTGCCAGGAGCTAAAGGGATACTGAGGATGAGCTTAGTTTGAGTCATCGGAGTCTGCGTGGTGTTCCACAGTAACTGCGTGGATCAGGGCCGGAGTCGTCTTTTTTTTTTTTTTTTGAGACGGAGTCTCGCTCTGTTGCCCAGGCTGGAGTGCAGTGGTGCGATCTCAGCTCACTGCAAGCTCCGCCTCCCGGGTTCACGCCATTCTCCTGCCTCAGCCTCCCGAGTAGCTGGGACTACAGGCGCCCGCCATCACGCCCGGCTAATTTTTTTTTTTGTATTTTTAGTACAGACGGGGTTTCACCGTGTTAGCCAGGATGGTCTCGATCTCCTGATCTCGTGAGCTGCCCACCTCGGCCTCCCAAAGCGCTGCGATTACAGGCGTGAGCCACCGCGCCCAGCCAGGGCTGGAGTCTTAAACTTGGGAGTGGCCAGTGCAGAGATGGGACTGATGCTATGGAAGCAGATGAATTTGCCCAAGGATGGTGTGCTCAATACAGAGAGAAGGGAGTTTGGATAAGGACCCAGAATCAGGAGCAGGAAGAAGAGTCTACAGAGACGATCATGATGAGAATGACCAGAGAGAAAGACGGAAACCAAGAACAGGAGGACACATGGACAAACCCACCATAGGAGTGGAGGAACACATTTGTCTCAATGTGTCCAGCAGACAACTAGTTAGTAAGGACATAGAAGAGCTGAACGTGCCAGATCTAATGGACATGTACCATATATACATTTACCTGTCCTCAAAAAGATATGTATGACTTACTACAAAAATTCACCACAAAGTCGTGCACAAAGCAAAATCTCAACTAACACCAAAGACTTGTTATTAGACACATTGTAATCAGGTTACCTGACTACAGTACAATTAAATTTGCTATAAATAATAAAAAGTAGGCCAGGCGCACTGGCTCACGCCTGTAATCCCAGCACTTTGGGAGTCGAGGCAGGCGGATCACCTGAGGTCAGGAGTTCAAGACCAGCCTGACCAACATGGTGAAACCCTGTCTCTACTAAAATACAAAAATTAGCTGGGTGTGGTGGCACACGGCTGTGATCCCAGCTACTCGGGAGGCTGAGGTAGGAGAATCGCTTGAACCCAGGAGACGGAGGTTGCAGTGAGCCGAGATCACGCCACTGCATTCCAGCCTGGGTGACAGAGCAAGACTCCGTCTCAAAAATAAATAAATAAACAAAATAAAATAAAATAAAAATAAAAAAGTAACGGAAAAACCCTCCATATATCTGCAAAATTTAAAAAATACTGCTAAATAACCCAGGGACTGAAAAATAAATCATAAGGAAAATTAAAGAAGTCTCAGAACTGAATAAAAAAGTTACTAGACATCAAAACTTAGCGTATGCAGTTTGCCTGCTTATATGAGGAAGAAAGACTGAATTTAGTAACAGCATACATCGAGAGAAGTGAGAAAAAGAAAAAGGAATTTGGAAGGAAGGAAAAAATGGAGAAGAGAGCAGAAACTAATGAAATAAGAAACAAAGCAATGACAAGATCAATAAATATTAAGCTGGTTCTTTGAAAAAAAACTGACAAAAATAGGCAAGTCTCTGGCAGAGGCTGATTAACAAAGAAAGAAAAGGAATAAATTAAAATATTAAAAATTAAAAAAGACATAACTAGGCATAGCATATACATGAATTTGAAAACCTAAACAAAATGGACAATTTATTCCAGAAAAGCAAAACATTCTAACATAGTCTCAAGAAGAAGGAGGAAATCCAAGTAACCTATAATCCACTGAATCAGTACTTAACTATCTACTGACTGCAAAAGAAATTACCAAGCCCTGGTGATTTTGTAACTTTTACCAAACATTCAATTCAAGAAATAGGTAAGTTTAATCTTCTGCAAACTTTGTTTTCAGAGGGAAAAAGAGGGGAACACCTCCCAGCTCATCTTTCTAGGCTAGTGTAAACTAAAAAATAAAATAAAATTAGGCAATTGCAGTATGAACAAGGGAAAGCTTGATTCATATAATTTATGAATAATGATGAAAAATCTTTAATAAAAGAAAAGCAAAGTAGATTTTCATAATTATATGAAAATATTGTGCCTAAGTTTTATCCCAGAAATGCAAGAACGGTTCCACATTAGAAATCCATTCTACATGAATATATATTCATGTAGTTTCATGTATATTCACTATATTAACAGAATACAGTTATATGTGTATGAATGTGTATATACATATATACACACACATATACACATACAAATACACACATGCATATATACTTATCTCAATAGATGCAGCATTTGCTAAAATTTAAAACTCATGGCAAACTCTTAGCAGACTGGTAACAAAATGGGATTCCCTTCATCTGGCAAATAATATTTAGTATTAGAAATTTTCAGCAAACATTATTCTTAATTATTAAACTCTTTCCTTTAAAATCGGGAACAAGACAAGGATGGCTACTGGCTCAACTTCCATTCCATTGTGTTGAAAGTCCTAACCAGTGCAGGAAGATGGGAAAAATTAAGAATCAATGTGAAGACTGGAAAAGAAGAAACAAAACTGTCGTTATTCCCAGATGATGGAACCCTCTAAATAAAAAGTCCTAAACAATCTACAGGCAAACTGTTAGAGAATAAAAAATTTAAAGTAAAAAAAAGAATTTTTTTTTTTTTTTGAGATGGAGTCTCACTTTTTCACCCAGGCCAGACTGCAGTGGCGCTATCTCAGCTCACTGCAAGCTCCGCCTCCTGGGTTCATGCCATTCTCCTGCCTCAGCCTCCCAAGTATCTGGGACTACAGGCGCCCGCCACCGCACCCGGCTAATTTTTTGTATTTTTAGTAGAGACGGGGGTTTCACCGTGTTAGCCAGGATGGTCTCGATCTCCTGACCTCGTGATCCGCCTGCCTCGGCCTCCGAAAGTGCTGGGATTACAGGCATGGCCACTGCGCCCGGCCAAACTAAAAAAATTTTAAACTCCCTACTTTTCCAATAAGGACAAAATGATATGACACCTAGGAATATATATTTAACGTAAGTTGATCGAGACTGTATATTAAAAATGGTAACATTTTTATTGAAAAACAGAAGGCTAAATGAAAAGCTGTACCAAAAATGATAATTCTCCCCAGATTAACCTAAAAATACAATACAGTTACAATGATGGTGTGTGTGTATATATGAGAAAGAAAGAGAGAGAGAGAGAGAAGGGAGAGAGAAGAGAGCTCTCTCTCCATCTCTCTTGGAGGAATGAGAATGGCCAAGACAGTTCTAAAGAGGGGAAGAGTGGGGATTTACCCTATTAACTACAAGACAAATACAGAACCAGTATTTCCCGTAATGTGGTAACAAGAGAGACAAGCCATAGACCAATAAAAAAAAAGAGCCCTCAGAAATAGACATCTTCAAATATAGAAACAGATTGGTGCTGTAATAATTGATGACTATCCATACACAAAAATAAATACAACTAGATCCGTATCTCACAACACACAAAATTAAACCCCAGGGGGATTACTGAGCTCAGTGTGAGAGGCAAAGTTTTAAAACTTCCATGAAAATACAGAAAATTTTTATCACTTGGGGATGGAAAAATAGTTCTTAAAATGCAACACTAAAAGGACACATCATCCAGGAAATGAATTTGCCTGCATTAAAACTGAAAACTTCTCTATCACAAATGATGCCCAAAACAACTTTGAGTGATGAGTCACTGATCGTGAGAAGACTTTTATGACAAAGGGAAATCGTTTAGAGTAAAGAGCAAATAACTCAGCAGGAAAAGAGAAAAAACCAGGGAGTTAGCAGATCAAAACAAATAGCCATCAGTCACACAGAAAGCCTGAGGACATCGAGAAGCAAGGCTGCCTTTTCCACTGGCCAGGAGAGCGGGGATCCCTGCCATCGCTGTGGAGTGCGGTGACTAAAGTCCTGCAGATGCACTTCCCCTGTGAGCCAGCAAGTCTGCAGGCTGGAGAAAATGCAGCAGGTGCACACACGCTGCCGAGTGCACATCACTCCGCATTCTAGCACTGTTAGAATAATGAGAAACTGGGAACAACCCAGTGTCCATGAACAGGAGATGGAGAAGCAACCTGTGGAATACTCGCTCAATGCAAGACCATGCAGAAGCCCCACGAAGATGACTAAGGCAACCCTTATCTACATGGATCAGTATCACAAACCTGATGGGGGTGAGAATAGAAACTGGCTTACGGTACCAAATGCGTCAACTTTGATGTAAAGTTTCAGTGAAGCAGACAACTCTGCAGGGGAATGAAAAATTCCCTGATGCCTCAGGATAGTGGCTGCTTCTGGACAATCTCTAATTTCAGACAGAGGGAGGGACAGAGAGCCGTGGCAGTGGAGGGGACTCAGATGGGTCTGCAACAATGTATGATAATATATTTCTTATTTAAAGAAAAAGAATAGAAGCAAATATTGTAAACATAGTAAGATTGAATAAATCTGGAAGGTATTATATTATTCTCATACTTTTCTGCACGTTGAACTAGCTAGTAACTTTTTTTTTTGAGACAGAGTCTTGTTCTGTTGCCCAGGCTGGAGTGCAGTGGCATCATCTTGGCTTACTGCATGCAGCCTCAACCTCTCAGGCTCAAGTGATTCTCCTGCCTCAGCCTCCTGAGTAGCTGGAACTACAGCCACGCACCACCACATCCAGCTAATTTTTGTATTTTTAGTAGACACGGGGTTTTGCCATATTGGCCAGGCTCGTCTGAAACTCCTGAGCTCAAGCGATCCGCCGGCCTCGGCCTCCCAAAGTGCTGGGATTACAGGTGTGGGCCACTGCACCCAGCCACTGACAACTTTTTTAAGGGTGCAGTGCTCAACTTTCAGATGTGCCAGGAGATGCACAGAACAAGGACCTGCTGAGGGCACCGCTGGTCATTTGCACGGAAATGACCCATTGGCTGTCCCCTGCTCTGCTGCGATTCTTCAGGCACCACCTAGTCTCCGTCTCCTACTAAGCGGATCAGGTTGGAAGTGGAGGAAGCAATGGATCTGGCATTAAAGATGGAAATCTGGATCTACCACCAGTTGAGTCTGCAGCTCAGCCCCTGCACATCCTGGGGCCTCCATTTTCCCATCTCCTCATGGAAATCATGAAGTCCGCCTCATGGACTTCACTGCGGTTGGGGTGGTGGTGGAGAAGACAGCTCATGGGATTTGAAAGGGCTGCATAAACCAGTTCCCAAAGGATGCCTATGCAGCGAAACCAGCCCGGGACCAGCGCAAAATAATACTAGTAGGTTTTATGTCTCCCATGGATGCTCTGCTCCTTTGTCCAGTGCCCTGTCCTGTGGCCCCTCTCACTTTGGGGACCATGGGACATGGAGCCTACCTGGAGATCAGAGGTTATTTTTAAAGCATTTGGTTATTTCAGGGCTCTAAATGAGTATCAGAATGAGAGAGAGGAGAAGGCAGTATTGAACGGTATGAGACCATGGGTGTGGTGGTGTGTGGCCGTAGTTCCAGCTACTCAGGAGGCTGAGGCAGGAGAATCACTTGAGCCTGAGAGGTTGAGGCTGCATGCAGTAAGCCAAGATGATGCCACTGCACTCCAGCCTGGGCAACAGAACAAGACTCTGTCTCAAAAAAAAAAAAAAAGTTATTAGCTAGTTCAACATACAGAAAATATGAGAATAATATAATACCTTCCAGATATTGTCCCAGCATGTTGGCCAGGCTGGTCTTGAACTCCCGACCTCAGAATATCAAATTGCTCAGAACAATTGTGCTCCACTCCCCTGTGATTATAGGATTCCCTGCTCAGCTTCCTGGAACCAGTGCCTATCGGTTTCGGAATCACACCCAATGCCCTCCATGCATCTCTGAATTCATGCATTATTCCAGTCCTATCTTTCCTGCCTTTGCTTTTGTCCTTTGTTCTTCCCCTGCTCACTTACCTGTCATGAAAACTTCCAACAGCTTCACTGAGGTAAAACTGGCACACAACGAAGGGCACCCATTTGAAGCATGAGTCTGATGAGTTTTCACACAGTACACATTCTGTGCTTTCATTTGCCCTGCTGCCATTTTTAGGTATTCTTTTCCACGGCCCCTTCTTCCCATGGTCCCTTTTTATTTATTTAGAGACAGAGTTTCGCTCTGTTCCCCAGGCTGGAGTGCAGTGGTGTGATTTCAGCTCACTGCAACCTCTGCCTCCCAGGTTCAAGCGATTCTCCTGCCTCAGCCTCCTGAGTAGCTGGGATTACAGGCGCCCGCCACCACACCTGGCTAATTTTTGTATTTTTAGTAGAGACAGGGTTTTGCCGTGTTGGCCAGGCTGGTCTCGAACTCCTGACCTCAGGTGATCTGCCCACCTCGGCCTCCCAAAATGCAGGGATTACAGGTGTGAGCCACCACGGTCTCTTTATTCTAGAACATCTCATATGGTTCAATATTGCCTTCTCCTCTCTCTCATTCTGATACTCATTTAGAGCCCTGAAGTTACCAAATGCTTTAAAAATAACCTCTGATCTCCAGGTAGGCTCCATGCTGTCCTCTCCCGTTTGTTTACTCATCCATCTGCAGCACTTTCTCCAGTCTGGTGTTTGGCCCCCGAATGGGGCGGTGGAGCTCCTCCCGTACTTTCTGTTTGGACACTAGAGTGACTGGGGTACTTTAGAGTGTGAAAATGGGTCTACTAATATCTATGCTGGACCATCTTCGACCATGTGGTGTGTGCTAACCCTAAACAGAACCCTCTCCTGAGATCCTGACACCCAGCCTGTGCTGGCATGGCAGAGACCACACAGCTGGAAGGAAGGAGGGACTGTCTCTCTGTAGTTCCTTTTATCTGAATGTGCTCCGAACTGTGGGTCCCTGCATTGGGGGAAGGAGGGAGTCTGTATGGCATAGCCATCTGGGTCCCAGAGTCTCCCAAGAAGCTGCCCTAAATCCTGCCACATCACAGCTGCCAAAAAACTCCAAAGGCAGCACCTCCCTTAGTGGTGGCTCCAGAATTTCAACTCTGGGACTGCAATCTGGAAGGAGGCTGTGTGTGCAGGGGAAGGAGTGGTATCTTAAAGCTGTGTTTGCACAGCACATTGCATTAGACCTTAAAAATGTCCACCATCCATTTCAAACAGTGGGAGCACTACTTATAAAAATTATAAAGGCCTTTAGAACCCACCCTCCCCATAAATTACCACCGGCACCATAGGTGATTCCACATCTGACCCATCAAACACCTATCAGTCCTTGTTCTTCAAAATGAGGGCATATTTGAGACCTAGTATGGCTTCCAGTAACCTCCCAGAAGGCCTCATAAAGCTGAGTTGAAAGTTGTTCTTTCTCTTTCTTTGTTCTGGTCTTATATGCAATATGTCTGGCAGAAAATTCTAGAACATTCTAGAAAAATGCAAGTGATGCATTGGCCATTAAGGAAGGGTACAGGTCTTCAGCCATTTTTGTGTAGGTTTTCTGTCATTTCAGCTAGGATTAGAGGTGAGGTATGTGTATACATGGCCAACCATCTGTGTTCCCATTACCACATACCTAGAGCTGTGTTTGGTATCATTCAGCAATAGAATCCCAGATTTTTTTCATATATTCCCACTTCCTCAGCTTCTTAGATGCTACCGTTCTTTTCCTATAGCTAACCTACCCGTATATCACCCATACACACTGAAAACTGCATCCGTCATCCTACTCAACAAAATAATGGCTCTCTTTCAGGACAGAGGGAAGGATTGAAAAAATTTCTAAGTTAATATTTTAATTTCCTGTCATAGTGAAAACACAACATATTACACTGTCACTGTCTGTTTTTCTTTCTTTCTTTTCTTCTTTTTTTTTCTTTTTGGGACAGAGTCTCACTCTGTCATCCAGGCTGGAGTGCAGTGGTGCGATCTCTGCTCACTTCAGCCTCCTCCTCCAGAGTTCAAGCAATTCTCCTGCCTCAGCCTCCCGAGTAGCTGGGATTACAGGCGTGTGCCACCACGCCAGGCTAATTTTTGTATTTTTAGTAGAGATGAAGTTTCATCATTTTGGCCAGGCTGGTCTCGAACTCTTGACCTCAGGTGATCCACCCGCTTCAGCCTCCCAAAGTGCTGGGATTACAGATGGAAACCACTGCTCCTGGCCAACTGTCTGTTTTTCTTGTCTGTTTCCCCCAGTAGACTTGGAGGGCAGAGTCAGTGTCTCTTATCTCTGTACATCCAGTGGCCAACCCAGACACAGAAGAGGTGCTCAAAAATTTTCTCTGAATGAATAAATTAAAAACTCTTATTGATTTCAAAAACAGTTACTGGGTATAATTTGTGCCACGCCCCTCGCTGTAAGCCAGAAAAAGACAGGAGAAATGCCGGGCAGTGAGGAGGCCAGGTCAGGCTGGTGACCACAGACATATAAGCTGCTCACCCACAGGCTGTGCGGTATGCTCCACTGGTCTTGTTGCTCAGGATGCAAACAAAGAGATAGCAGATATTTGGGCTCATCCAGGGATGCCTGCTAGCCAGGGAGGCACCACAGAAAAGCAGTATGAGAAGGAGCTCTCACATACTGGTCCAGGGATGGCTGAACAGGTGGACATGGCTCATGCATAGAGAGAGGGGCGGTATCGCACAGTGGAGTCTGGCTGAAGCTGGACAGCACTCACCATGGGGCTGTGTGAAATATTAATAATAAGATATGTATTATGTGTCTTTGGTCTCTGCTCCTCAGTCCCTGCTAAAGAGCTGCTAAAATCCTTGTCACTTCCTGAGTGACAGGGGCACTAGGTAATCTTTTTGTTGTTGTTTATAGTTAGTTTTTCTTTCTTTTTTTAATTATACTTTAAGTTTTGGGATACATGTGCAGAACATGCAGGTTTGTTACATGTGTATACATGTGCCATGGTGGTTTGCTGCACCCATCAACACATCATCTAGGTTTTAAGCCCTGCATGCATTAGGTATTTGTCCTAATGCTCTCCCTCCCCTTGCCCCCACCCCCTGACAGGTCCTGGTGTGTGATGTTCCCCTCTGTGTCCATGTGTTCTCACTGTTCAACTCCCACTTATGAGTAAGAACATATGGTGTTGGGTTTTCTGTTCCTGTGTTAGTTTTCTGAGAATGATGGTTTCCAGCTTCATCCATGTCCCTGCAAAGGACATGAACTCATTCTTTTTTTATGGCTGCATAGTAGAGAATCTTCTGTTTTAGTATTTGGTGTTTGACCCCAGCTCCTAAATCCTTTGGAATTTCCTGGGTGATAGGAGTGTCTTTTGTTCTAATGAAGCGACTCTTGATGGAATTCTAGATGGGTGCTGGGTCACCAGAATGACCAAGCCATGATGACGAGCTTGGGGCTTTCAGCCCCACTCCCCATTCTCCAGAGAAGGGACAGAGGCTGGAAACGGAGTTAAAAATCGATCCTGCCTACATGATGCAGCTTAAATAAAAGTCCCTGAACGGAGGGGTTCAGAGAGCTTCTGCGTCAGCGAACACATCCCCATGCCAGGAGGGTGGCGTACCCTCGCTCCTCGGGGACAGGGGCTCTTGTGCTCAGGACTCCCCCAACCTCGCCACATGCATCTCTCCACCTGGCTGTGCACCTGCATCCTGCCTCATATCCTTTATAATCAACAAGGGCATGGAAGTAAAGCCTTTCCGTGGGTTCTGTGAGCCACTCTAGCAATTCAATCAAACCCAAGTAGGGGGTTGTGGAAGCCCCAGTTTATACCCCATTGGCCAGAAGTACAGGTCACAACCTGGGGCTTGTGACTGGCATGAGAAGTGAGTGTGGTCTTGTGGGGCTGAGCCCTTAACATGTGGGATCCAACGCTGTCTCCAGGTAAAGAGTGTCAGAATTGAGTTGAACTGAGCACACCCAGCTGGTGTCTGCTGGAGAATGGTTTGGTGTATGGGGGAAATGAATACATCTGGTGTCAGAAGTCTCGTGCTGAGTGGTGTGTGAGAGTAGAGCACTGGAGGCTGGAAATTGTCTTGCTTTTTTTTTTTTTTTAACTTTCTTAGAGACAAAGATAAGAAAGCACATAAACTCAATAACTGATTGATTTCTTGGGAAACTTTTATCTCCTTGTCCATTGATAAGGTTTCTCTGGGTAATTTGGTTTATTGTGGCTCAGTAAATTAAACCAGGTACATGAAAGAAGAATAAGATCTTTAACTTTGATTTGAATTAGGTCACTATAATAAAAGCATAAGGACATTGTTGAATACAGCAAAGCACTAAAGGTGGCTAGATGCAGTGTCAACATGTTACGAAGCATATTTCACCAGTTAACAGTTCTGATTTTTGTAACTTAAAAAAAAATACTGTGAATACTGGTCCAAAAATATGTCACAGTCTTGCGCTGGGTTTGACTTGGCAAAAATGGCCATCAATCTACCTAAACATCTTTTTATTGTTTAAGCATTTATTATGTCATTTTTTGTTACAAAAGCCGAGACACTGTTTCATCAGGAACGGGGGTCTGTAGCCTTGCTTTTTCAGTAGCACTTGTCCATCACTGTCAAAGGCTTTGAGAAGGCAGATACTGAAATCCTAATTTTTAGACCCTATTTCCTGACTATTCATAATGAGATGCCCAGAGGCAGGCCCTGTCATCGGGAAGCAGGGACATGGGTCCTGGAGGGCTGAGACACTCAGATGGTCCCTGCCCTCCACCAGGACCTGCTCAGGAACCCAGGAGGAGCCACCTGCCCTCTCTCTGGGCTGCAGCCTTCACACCTGCACCATCGGTCAATGGACCCCAGGATGCACCCTCCCTCTGGCTCTACAATTCTGTGAATCCCTGTGTGGTGTGGTGGAGTTCCAGGTCCCCTCTGTGCCCTCTGCCCTGCTCCTCGCTCAGCCCCATAAGGAGGTAAGAAACCATCAATATCCTCAAGAGAGAGGCTTGTTGGCCCCCAGGGGTTCTCTGCTAAAAAAAAAAAACAGAGAATCTAGGAGCAGGGCCAGTCAGGAAGGGCAGAACAGAGATCCAGGGGTTTCGGGGCCTCCAAACCAACAAAAGACAATCCGAGGGATGAGTGAAGCAACATCTGCATGCTCTTCTGGATTCCAAATTTATTCCTCCTCGGCCATGAAGAAAGTTGGTTTCTGCTTTTTTCCCTGAGGATGGGCTGTGCCTGTACAGCCTTCCAGGTATGGGAGGGGAGGAAGGAGGGGAGGGTGCCTGACAGGAAGCAAGTAGTTGGACAAATCTCATTAAGTCAGTATCAGTTAATTCAAACACAACTAAAATCAAAGTGCTTTGATTCCCAAGCCAATTATATAGGATTTCCCCCACATAAATTGAGTTCATTACATAGTAAGTATAGATAATCCATAATTTAATATGGAAAATTCAGACATGGAGTGTTACTAATCAGATAAACAGAGCCTCAAATTAGACTATGGAAAAGATCAATGGACCTGCTCTAATTGCCAACCAAAAAGAAGCAAGCAAAAGGGAAATTAATCAAAGGAACATTCTCCTTTGCTCCTTCTTTAGCTAAGCGTCAAGAACATTTTGCAGGTGATAGGAAGGGGCTGTCCTGGATATCCGTGCAAAAGAGTAGAGCAGCCTCTTCCCAGAGTGGCTCCATTTCCAATGGCCCATATTTGTTCTGCTGCCCAAGAGTTTTAATAAAGCAACACCGGATCCCTGCAGAAGATCCTTTCACTGCAGTCAAAGTCATCAGGCACAGCTTGGCTTGGATGACTTTTCAAGAGTAAGGATTATATTAAAAATGACTGCACCACTAATTATGAGAAAACTAGATAATGTGGCACATGACTCTCAGAGGAAGAAGTATCTATAATTATGGGAAGGAAGTACAAAATCTTAATTATGCTAACTATTTAAATAGAGCATAAGGCTTGAGATAGAATTTAAGGGTTAGGAATCTGCCTTAGTGCTTTGAAGTATCCATATACTTCAGAAAAGGGATCTGAAAAAGATATAAAATACACTGAAAACTCCACTGTAATTAACTAGCTAGAGACATCCATGGGTGCAAACCGTAACCAAGGAGAGAAGGCTGCTGCAATCTCAGGGATAAAAACGAAGACACAAGGGCTCATGGAAAAAAAAGACAAAGACAGAAGGAGCCGAGGAGGGAGTTGCCAAGACTCAAGATCACATCGCAAGCAGAGGAAAAAGGTAATGCCTGCTGCAGAAAACAGCCAGGAAGAGAAGCTTTACAAAAACCGAACAGGGATAGGGGCAGTGGCTCATGCCCATAATCCCAGCACTTTGGGAGGTCAAGGCAGCAGGATCACTTGAGCCCAGGAGTTCGAGACCAGCCTGGGCCAGTGAGATCCTATCTCTACAAACAATAAAAAATTAGCTGGGCATGGTGGCATATGCCTACAGTCCCAGCTACTTGGGAGGCTAAGGTGGGAGGATCTCTTGGGCCCGGGAGTTTGAGGCTGCAGTGAGCCGTGATCACGCCACTGCACTCAACCTGGGCAACAGAGTGAGACCCTGTCTCAAAAGAGTTTGTTAAGTCATTCATGCTACATTTCCAATGTGGGTAGGGTGCAGGACGCTCTGTTCATTGTAGTGACCCAGGCTGATGGCACTGCCATCACCTCTACTCTGCCAATTACTGTGCCAGTGGGAAAGAGAGCTCTGGAAGACCTCAAACCACATTTAAACATTCTGACTTGAAAGTGGTACATATAAGCTTTGCTTACATGGCCCCCAGCAATCATGAGGGGACAGGGAAGTACAATCTTACCATGTAAAAGGAAGTTGGAGAGCTAGACATGTTTTAAAACAGCATTAATGACCATCACATACCTAAAGGGGAGAAAGCATTTGGCTGACTTTCAGATTTTTCCCTATACAGATATTCAATGCAAAAGAGAATAACATATCATCTATAAACCCCTAAGAGAAAGTTTCCTCAAGAATTCTGCACCCAGGGGGAAAAATGATGTAGAACATTATTCCAGAACATTATTCCAGATTCTGCTGAGGATGGAGAAAGCTGGAAAGAACATTGCCCCACCATTACAACAACAAGAAGAAGACATTGGGTTCTGCAAATTCCCAACTTAAGGTGAACCCATCAGACAGCTGAGGTCACAGGACAGCAAATTCTAAGGAAAAGACAGAGTCTCCAAGGAGAGACATGAGCACTTACCTGGGGCGTATGCAGTCAGATACCAGCTCTAGTGGAAAAGGTGGACAAGATGGAAGATCACTGAGGTAAGGTAGCAGAGAGGTGGAAGCAATGAGGAAGAGTCAAATGCAAATACTAGGAATTAAAAACAGGCACAGAGATGAAGAATGCCTTTGATAGACAGGGTCGGCAGTGGACTGGACACAGTTGAGGAAAAAATGACCAAGTGGGGTTTATCTTGGGAATGCAAGGCTGGCTTACCACTCAAAAGTCAGTGTTATTCACCATTTGAGTGGACTGAAGAAGATAATGTATAGCAACATCTAAGCAGACGTAGTAAAAGACTGATAAAATTCAACAGCCATTCGTGGTATTAAAAACAAAACAAAAACCACTCTCAGCAAACTAGGAATAGGAGGGTACTTCTACAACCTGATAATAAACATCTATGAAAAACTTAGCGCTAACATTATACTTAATCCCTAAAAGCAGGAACAAGAGAAGGACATCTGTTCTCACCATATCTATTCAACACTCTACGGGGCGGTCTAGTCAGTGTAATAAAACAGGGAAAAGAAGTAAGGGGCATCCAGATTGCAATGTGTGCTGATTTATTTTAGGTGTCAACTTGACTGGATGAAGGATACTCGAGAACTGGCAAAGCATTGTTTCTGGGTGTGTCTGTGAGGGTGTTTCCAGAGGAGATTGGTGTGTGAGTCTGTGAACTGAGTGGGGAAGATCCACCCTCAATGTTGGGGGGCAACATCTGATCGTCTGGGGACCTGGATAGAACAAAAAGGCAGAGGAAAAGCGAATTATTTTCTTTTGCTCTTCTGGAGCTGAGACACCCTTTCCTGCCCTTGGACATCAGAACTTCAGGCTCTCTGGCCTTTGGACCCTGGGACTCACACTGGTGCAACCACTCCCCGCAGGTTCTTGGCCTTGGACTGAGAGTTCCACCATTGGTTTCCCTGGTTCTGAGGCCTTTTGACTTCGACTGAGCCAAACTCCCAGCTTTCCAGGGTCTCCAGCTTGCAGATGGGACTGTCATAGGACTTCTTAGTCTCCATGGTAATGTGAGCAATTCTTTCAATAAATTCCCTCTCACCTATCTGTATCTGTCCTATTGGCTCTGTCTGGAGAATGGAAGACGTAAAATTGCCTCTCTTTGCATAGCACATGACTGTCTACATAAGAAAACCCAAAGAATCTGCAAAAGAGCTACCAGAACTGAGTTTAGTCAAGACCACAGGATACAAGATTGGTAACAAAAATCAAATTTCTATGTGCTAGCAGTGAATAAGAGACCATTAAAAAATACCATTAGGATAGCACCAATAAATGTGGAATACTTTAAGCATAACTATTACAAAATATGTTAAGATCTATATACTGAAATTTACACAAGACTGATGAAAAAAAGAAACACTGAAGAAATGAAGTATGACTTAAATAAATGAAGAACTAGATCATGAATATGTCAAGTCTCTTCAAAGTGACATGTGGACTCCATGCAATCTCAATTAAAATCCCAGCAGGATTCTAGTAGAAAATGCACAAGTGGATTCTAAAATTTATATGGAATTACAAAGGAAATGATAGCTAAGACAATTCTGAAAAGCAACAAAATTGGACGACAGCAATAAACAGATACTCGCTTCCAATAGTCCCTGGTCCTCTTGATCTCAGATGAAAGTCAGTCCCTGCCAAGGCTGTTGCTCCTTGCATAGGCCCTCAGGTGGGGGACAGGGGCAGGCTGCCTCTTCTCCTAGCACCTAAGCCACTGCTGCCACTTCCAGACCATTGGCCTCACACCTTAATCACAACTCCTGCCTCCTTTGAGCCTCCTGCCACCAGTTTTGATAGTTCCTATCTCTAAGTAGGCTTTGTACACAAATTCATGAGGGAGTTTAAAATAGTGTAGTCTTTCCTTTGCTTTCAACTCTTACCAGTGTCCTGGGCAATCTGAATACCCATGGGGATGTGCCATGCATTCAGCTAGGCTCCCAGCCTTCCCTGGAACTTCTTGACTTCAGTGGCCTTTACTCTATGCCGTTTTTGCCACCTCATACCAAGGGCTTTTCTCACCAATGTACCAGAACAGTGAATAAGAGTGAGACTGCAAGGTCACCAGCTCCCCCTAGACCTGAGACTGCATTCTTAGAGACAGTGTTGTTTTTTCACCAGCATTACCTTTCAAGCCACAGTCACTGCTGCAGGGGCTGGAGAGTCATGAAAACCGGGTCCTGCATCCCATGAGTGAAGGCGTTCAAGGGGGACGCCAGGACCTTAGAGGAGCCTGTTGAACACCCCAACCAGCCAACTGAGGAACGGGAGGTAACGTGAGGCCCAAATGCATCCCCATACTCAAGAAAACATTCCCAGGTTGAAGAAGTGACTTAGCAGTTGTCAGAATGAGATCGCAGAGTGAGCAACGGCTGCCCGTGTCCCCTCCCAGGAGGGCTGTGAAAGGCCACAGCAGACCTCAGGCACTGACCCAGGCAGGCTCCAGGATGCAGTGAGGTAGAATGTGGGCGTAGGTAATGTGGGCAGCATGAAATACCTGGTCCCATGATGGGATGGGCCCTGGAGTGCTGCAGTTCTTGATTCCTCCAACCCCGCTGCATCTGTCACTCTGGTGAGCTGCTGGGACCATCCAACTTGGACCATTCCTCCGTGCAAAACATGACAGGCGCTGTGAGCCAGGCGTAGTCCTACCATGGAGATGAGCCGCATCCTCTCTCTCTGTACATCTTTGCTTGTCTACCAGCCGGAGACCACCCATGGAGGACTAATCACAAGCACTCAAGGTCAACGCTTTCCTCCTCTCCCCAGATCCGAGGTGGCTCTCTGCAGTTTCCCATCCCCTGCATACTGCATTCCCTACACACATGCTAGAACCCCCTCCATACTGCAAACACAATTTTACCACCAACTAAGAGTTCCTTGGACTGTGCCACATCTTTTTATATTTATTTATCCATTTTTTTCTTTTGAGATGAAGCCTTGCTCTGTCACCAGGCTGGAGTGCAGTGGCACAATCTCGGCTCACTGCAACCTCTGTCTCCCAGGTTCCAATGATTCTCCTGCCTCAGCCTCCCAAGTAGCTGGGACTACAGGCGCCCACCACCACACCTGGCTAATTTTTGTATTTTTAGTAGAGAGGGGGTTTCACCATGTTGGCCAGACTGGTCTCGAACTCCTGACCTCAAGTGGTCCGGCTGCCTCAGCCTCCCAAAGTGCTGGGATTACAGGCGTGAGCCACTGCGCCCGGCTTGTGCCACATCTTTTTAAAAAGTTTTGGCACAGTTTTATTCAGGGGAAACAGAAGAATTGGGTTCACTCTTCTTATGTATTTTTAAGTAGCCAATTTTGCTTTTCAGAATAAAACACTCGGAAGAAAAAATAAAATAATATAAACAATTTTTCCAAATCACTTTTTTTTTAAACATCAAATGCTACACATAAGAATAGACTCCCAGGGGAGACTGTCTGATTTTTTTCCTCCAAATATCTTTTAAAAAGCAAAATAAATCCCCATTTGTTCCCTGATGGTATAACAGCCAAAAATGTCAGAAAAGCCGTAGAATGATCCCATCATCATTTGTAAAGACCTCTTTCAACCATTTGCATCCGAATTTGCAGATGTCAGAGGTAGGACAATGAAATGGCAAAAATGCAAAGTGAGATCCAGAAAGCAACACTTTCAAAATCAAAATATATAATCCTTTCAAATGTTCTCTGGAAAGATATTCCCTCTTGCACTGAACCTACCCCGGGAAGTTAAGAGCTGAAAGGAATCTATATGTTAATAAGGCTTCCTAAACTGTCTGTAAGGCATGGAATGAAATGCATGCACAAGCAGCGCCCAGCGGGGTCACCTTCAAGGTCAGCCTCACAGCGTTGCAGTTCTCCTGCAGCGGGTTCAGCTTCAGCGTCTCCCCGAGGTTGCTGCAGCCGGACGACTGGTGCTGCAGCTCACAGCAGACACACACCTCCACACTGTCAAACTTAATCTAGACAGAGGAACACAGACAGACCTCACCGTTAACAGGCATTCGACCCCCGAGGGTACGCGTGAGTGACACAGTTCAGAACACAGGAAAATGGCTCAGTTCAAAGGAGCCTGTTTCAGTGTGTTTAAGTAGTACAGCAAAAACAATTTCTATTGACCCAGGCCATCAGGAGGACTTCAAATTCCTATCTTAACAGCAATGTATAGAAAAAGCAAAAGTACATTTGAAGAAACTTAAGCTATACATTAGAGAAAATGGCAGGTGGATTACAAAATGAGATAAAGGTAAATAGATTGAAAGTCACTCATGCTGATGTATGCACGGAGATGTGCTATCCTAGCTCTGTGCCTTGGCTCATTCTCCTTCCACAGTCAGAAATTTCCTGCCTCACTTCATGGCCTATCAAACTCCTGCTCATCCATCAAGACCCAACTCCAGCGCCACCCTCGAGGCCTTGTCTGGTTTTCCTGCCTCACTGCTACTGAAGACTGACTTTATCCAGCTACAGGTGCATCTTATCACCACAGTATTGACAATGGCAACAAGTTGTAGGTGTTCAATAAATGCTGAATGAATAAAAACGGCTTGGAAAATGGAAAACCATGGAAGAAAAAAATGCATTTCAAGTATTTTAAAAAGCAGTGTTAGACGAAGAGAGAGTATGAGAGTCTCAGTGAGAGGGAAGAGAACAGAGTTACCAGTGCCTAGGAGAAAAGCAGCTTTAAAAAAGTAAAGTCCTAGCCAGGTGTGGTGGTACACCACCTGCATTTGCAGCTACTCGGCAGGCCAGGGCAGGAGGATTGCTTGAGCCTAGGAGTTTGAGACCAGCCTGGCTGGGTAACATACTGAGACTCTGTCTCAAAAATACGTAAATAAAAAATAATAAAGTCCTAGATGTAAAACTACTAAAAAAGAAAATCAGGCCAGGCGCGGTGGCTCACACCTGTAATCCCAGCACTTTGGGAGGCTGAGGCGGGCAGATCACAAGGTTAGGAGTTCAAGACCAGTCTGACCAACACAGTGAAACCCCGTCTCTACTAAAAATACAAAAATTAGCTCGGCGTGGTGCTATGCACCTGTAATCCCAGCTACTCAAGAGGCTGAGGCAGGAGAATCGCTTGAACCCAGGATGCGGAGGTTGCAGTGAGCTGAGATCATGCCATTGCACTCCAGCCTGGATGACAGAGCAAGACTCCATCTCAAAAAAAAAAAAAAATCAGTAAAATCTATGCAATTTTATTCAAAATAACACTGAACATGAAACAAGTTATTTTCCTTAGACTAAGAAGTGCCCTGCTTTCCAATAGATAATATGTTTACAGCAGCCAACTCGAAGTACAAATACTTTTCAGACAAATATTGGCCATTTATAACCATAACAAATAATTTTTCATTGCATGAATATTGCTGAGACTGAGGCCATACTTATAAAACCTCCAGGTATCAACATGTCCGCCTCTCCTAAATACTGGGGGAGGGGTAATGGAGCATCCTCAGAGCCAAGAAATGTGCTGATATTCACCAGAGGAACTCAGCTTAGCTTAAGACTTAGCCCCTGCCACCCCCTGCTCCATGTCAGGTGGGCTTTGCGAGTGGCTTTCAGCAGGAGAATATGGGTAGAGGTGTCAGCTTGCAGCTTCTGAACTTAAGACCTCCACAGGCTTCATGTTTCTGCACCCTCTCCCTGGAACTTCCAATATACAGCAGGAAAAGAACAGATTCCAGGGAGCTGCCAGCTCTCCAGTCCCAGCAGGAAACCCGTGGAGCACCCCTGCAGAACTGTTCTGCCCTATGGTACATGCACACACAACATTACTAGGTAAGATCAAACCATTTTTCAAATAATTCAAACAAATTATACTCCCACCAATAGGGTGTGAATTCAGGCTAATCCACATCCTCACCAATGCTTGCTAATGTTGGACTTAGACATTTTTGTCCATGCAGTAACTAATATAATAGTATCTAATTTGGGGGTGGGTGGGTTTGTTTTCATCTTTCCTCATTTTCTTAACCGTTCATATTGTGAAACCTAACACACATACACAAAAAGTGCACAAAGCAAACATATTCAGTTCAATGATTTATCATTAAGCAAGCACCCACCGGCCCATGGCCATGTTCCTAAAAGGCCTTCCATGCCTCATTCCCTGTCATTCCTCCCACTTGCTGCACCAAAAGCTCACCACATTCCTTACTTTTTAAATAATCACTTCTAGGCTTCCACCTTTATACATTTACCACTATAGTTTAGTTTCACCTGGTTTTCTAACTTGATACAAATAGAATCATACAATATTTTTAGTATTTGGCATCTTTCATTCAAAATTACAAGATTCATCTACCTTACTGCATATAAATATAGTTGATCATGTTCACTGTTGTATATTACATTGTGTGAATATGCTGCCATTTATATATCTATTCTCTTGTCACGGGACGTTTGGATTGTTGCTAATTTTTTTGCAATAAGATTAATGCTGTTTGATATTCTGTACTAGTCTGCTGGTACATACATGTGCATATTTCTTTTGGGTACAAAATACCTATTGATCAGAGCTGCTGGGTCCCTGGGGATTTTCAGCTTTAGCAGAGAATACAAAGCCACTTTCCAAAGTGGCTGTACCAATTTACACACTCACCAGCACTGTTCGAGGGTCCCCATTACTCCACATCCTGGCTTGTGCTTGTTTTAGTCTTTTTAATTTTAGATAAGAAAGTACTGGAAGAGGTACTTCTTCCTTGAAATGAGGGACTAAGCCAAGAAAAAAAGGGAAGATGGGATCTAACACAGAAAAGAGATAGAGGAAGTTCTAAGAGAATGGGAAAAGGATGTCCTAGCATGGTAAATATATAGACTGCCTATAGGCTGACTTGTTCAGACTGAAGCAGGAAACAGGCTCAATGGAAACGTCTCTAAGAAAATGAAGCTGACAGAATGCCTGATGGGTAGGACTGTATTCAGAGGAGATTTTCAGTTCTCCTGGGAAGTTTGAGAGTAAATTAGGAACAGAGACACTAAACAAATAATAAAACAATTTTAACTCAGCATAAAAGACAAATCATATATAGTACATGGTTTTGTTATATATGCGGCTTGTAAATATTTTCTCAGTCTATAGTTTATCTTTTTATCCTCTCAAAAGGATCATTCATTGAGTAAACGTTTTAAATTTTGATGAAGGCCAACTTACATATTTTTGCTCCTACACTTTTGGTGTTGATCTAAGAACTCTGCCTAGCCCTAGATCTTTCTCCTATGTTTTTTCTAAATGTTTTATAATTTTATTTTTACATTTGATTGCATGACCCATTTTCAGTCACTTTTAGTGAAAGATATGAGACTTGGGATGAGGTTGACTATTTTTGCCTATAGATGTCCAATTGTTCCAACATTTGTTGAAAAATCTATCTTTTCTTTGCTTAATTCCTTTTGACTTTTGTCAAAAATTAGTCGGGCATATTTGTGTGTCTCTATCTGGATTCTCTCTTTGTTCCATTGATCTATCTTTCCACCAACCACCAAGTCTTGATTACTGTGGCTATAAGTCTGGAAATCAAAAAATTAATTCCTCCCATTTAATTCTTATTTTTCAAAATTATTTGTCTCTCCATATACATTTTTTTTTTGAGACAGGTCTTGCTCTGTCACCCAGGCTGGAGTGCAGTGGCACCATCTCAGCTCACTGCAACCTCCGCCTCCCGGGTTCAAGCGATTCTCATGGCTCAGCCTCCCAGATAGTTGGAATTACAGGAGCACGCCACCATGCCTAGCTAATTTTTGTATTTTTAGTAGAGACAAGGTTTTGCCATGTTGGCCAGGCTGGTCTCGAATTCCTGGCCTCAAGTGATCCTCTCACCTCAGACTTCCAAAGTGCTGGGTGTACAGGCGTGAGCCACCACACCTCGTCTCCATATACATTTTAGAATAAGACTGTCATTGTCTCCAAAAAAAGTGTTGCTGGGATTTTGATAGGGATTGAATCAAACCCAGTTTCTTTTTTTTTTTTGAGATGGAATTTTTGCTCTTGTTGCCCAGGCTGGTGTGCAATTGCGTGATCTCACCTCACTGAAACTTCTGCCTTCTGGATTCAAGCAATTCTCCTGCCTCAGCCTCCTGAGTAGCTGGGATTACAGGTGCCCGCCACCAGGCCCAGCTAATTTTTTTTGTATTTTTAGTAGAGATGGGGTTTCGCCATATTGGCCAGGCTGGTCTTGGACTCCTGACCTCAGGTGATCTGCCTGCCTTGGCCTCCTGAAGTGCTGGGATTGATTACAGGTGTGAGCCACTGTGCCCAGCCCAAACCCACATATTAACTGGGGGGAAATGGACATATTTACTACATTGAATTTTCCAATTTATTTATTTCCTCATTGTTAACGCAGTTTTCAGTGTATGTTTTGTTAGATTTACACTTATGTATCTTTTTAAGCGATTTTTAATTTCAGTGTCCATATGCTATTAATATGCAGTATTACTGTTACTATACAGTTCACTATTAATACACAAGAAATACAATTGAATTTTGTATGTTTATCTTGTATCCTACAACTTTGCTGAACTCACTTATTAATTCTAAGAGGCTTGTTTGTTCTGTTTGTTTTTTAAAGATTCTTTGGGATTTTCTACATAGATACTCATGTCATCCACAAACAGAGTTAGTTATATTTGTTCTTTTCTAATCTTTATGCCTTTTATTTTATTTTCTTGCCATACTACATTGGCTTGAAATTACAGCATTATGTTCTATATTGAAAAAAATGGTACGAATGAGCATGCTTGCCTTGTTCCTGATCTTAGGGGAAAAGCATTCAGTCTCCATTAAGTGTGTTAGCTGTAGGTCTTTTGTAGATGCTCTTTTTCAAGTTGAGGACGTTCTCTATGCCTATTTTTCTAAGTTTCCTTTTTAGTTATGAAAAGGTGCTTGAGTTTGTCAAATGCTTTTTCTCCAACAATTGATACAGCCATGCAGTTTCTCTTCTTTAGCCTGTTGATATGATAGAATAAATTGACTGATTTTTGAATATCAAACCAGTTTTGAATCCCTGGAATAATCCCTCTTGGCAATGATGTATATAACTCCTTTCAGATATGTTGAATTTTATTCGTTATTATTTTGTTAAGGATTTTTGTATCTATATTACATTAATAAGGGATATTGGCCTGTAATTTTATTTTTCTATACTGTCTTTGTCTGGATTTTGGTAGCATGGCAATATTACTTTCACAAAAATCAATTTGGAAATGTTCCTTCTATTTTTTCAGAGAAATTGTGTAGAAATGGTATTAATTCTATAAATGCTTAATAGAATTCTCCAGTGAAACCATCTGGACCTGGAGATTTTGTTTTTGGAAGTTTTAGAATTATAAATTCAATTTCCTTAATAATTATAGGGCTATTCAAATTCTCTACTTCATAGTGTACGAGTTGTGTTAGTTCGTGTTTTCCAAGAAATTGATCTATTTCATCTAAGTTGTGAAGTTCATTTGTGTAAAGCCATTCCTATTATTCCCTTATTATCCTTTTGATGTCTGCTGGGTCTGTAGTTATATCCCGGTTTCTTCCCAGACATTGGGAATTTGTGTCTTCTAACTTTTTTTCTTGCTAGAGTTTTGTCAATGTTGTTGATGTTGTCAAAGTATCAGCTCCTTTTTCATTGGTTTTTCTCCATTGGTTTTCTGTTGTCCATTTCATTGATTTCTGCTCTTTCATTTATGATTTCCTGACACCTATTTGCTTTGGGTTGATTATGCTGCTCTTTATCTAGTTTCTTTTTTTAATTTTATTTTTAGTTGAGAAATAATTCTATATTACATATTTATGGGGTACAGTGTGATGTCTTAGTAATGTTTACATTGCAGAATGATTGAATCAAGCTAATTCACAAATCACCTCCCATTTTAAAAATTTTTTTTATTTTACTTTAAGTTCTGGGATACAGGTGCAGAATGTACAGGTTTGTTACATAGGTATATATGTGCCATAGTGGTCTGCTGCACCCGTCAACCCATCATCTAGGTTTTAAGCCCTGCATGCATTAGGTATTTGTCCTAATGTTCTCCCTCCCCTTGCCCCCAACCCCTGACAGGCCCTGGTATGTGATATTCCCCTCCCTGTGTCCATGTGTTCTCACTGTTCTACTCCTACTTATGAGTGAGAACATGCAGTGTTTGGTTTTCTGTTCCTGTGTTAGTTTTCTGAGAAAGATGGCTTCCAGCTTCATCTACATCCCTGCAAAAGGCATGAACTTATTCTCTTTTATGGCTGCATAGTATTCCATGGTGTATATGTGCTACATTTTCTTTATCCAGTCTATCATTGATGGGCATTTGGGTTGGTTCCAAGTCTTTGCTATTGTAAATAGTGCTGCAATAAACATACATGTGCATGTGTCTTTGTGGCAGAATGATTTATAATCCTTTGGGTATACACCCAGTAATGGGATTGCTGGGTCAAATGGTATTTCTGGTTCTAGATCCTTGAGGAATTGCCACACTGTCTTCCACAATGGTTGAACTAATTTACACTCCCACAACAGTATAAAACCGTTCCTAGGCCGGGCACGGTGGCTCACGCCTATAATCCCGGTACTTTGGGAGGCCGAGGCAGGCGGATCACGAGGACAGGAGATCGAGACCATCCTGGCTAACATGGCGAAACCCCGTCTCTACTAAAAATACAAAAAATTAGCCAGGCGTTTTGGCAGGTGCCTGCAGTTCCAGCTACTGGGGAGGCTGAGGCAGGAGAATGGCGTGAACCCGGGAGGCAGAGCTTGCAGTGAGCTGAGATCGCGCCACTGCACTCCAGCCTGTGTGACAGAGCGAGACTCTGTCTTGAAAACAACAACAACAACAAAATTGTTCCTGTTTCTCCACAGCCTCACCAGCATCTGTTGTTTCCTGCCTTTTTAATAATTGCCATTCTAACTGGCATGAGATGGTATCTCATTGTGGTTTTTGATTTGCATTTCTCTAATGATCAGTGATGATGAGCTTTTTTTCATGTTTGTTGGCTGATATATTTATCTTTTTGTGGTGAAAACATTTAAAATCTACTCTTAAGCAATTTTGAAATATACGAGGCATTATTTATTTTAGTCATCATTTTGTGAAATAGATCACTAAAACTTACTCCAATCTAACTGAAATTTTGTACCCTTTGATCTATATCCTCTTTGGCTTCAACTGTTTCCCTTTGCTGTGATCAACTGGACAGGAGTCCAGCTCTCCTGAAACAGTTCACTCTCCCACGTCTCAAAAACATTCAAGGAATTATCTCATATGATCACATCTCTAGGCTAGGCATTAAGATTGAAGTAGCTATCATAAATGGCAAGACATTTTCCTCAGTCTGAAGGATCATCCGGGGAAAGGGAGGGGAGATCAGCTTGTCTGGAAAGCATGATTTATCAAATAAAATAACCCTTCAATGACCCCAGGGAATAGACATCCAAATAAATCTTTTCCATCAGTTATTTCACTGAGTTTGTGATTAATTCTTAGGAAAATTCTGAAAACCTCCTGGTTAGTTCCCTGACCTCGACATCTGGGTGTGCAGGCGGCTGACAGATTTATTTTAAGAGTACCCCTCAGTGTTCGGGTCATTGGGAACGACACCGCAGAGCTTTGCAAATGAGGCCACAGTAATTTTTCACAAATCTCTTTGGGGCACTTAACAGCTAGCCTGCCCCCCTTATTTATGGTCTATCAGCCTGTCTGGGAGTAGAAAGGGCTTATACAACAAAAAGAGGGGGATGCCCCCACGATTCTCTTACAGAAGTACAAATGGGATGGGTATGTGACCTTCAGATATTCTCAAAGGGAAGGCAGTGTGGGAAGGCTGAGCATGTAGGCAGAGCAGGGCAGAGGGCTGGGAAGAGGCTGGCATGTGTCAAGCCCGAGAACTTACAGTGGGCACACCAAGGCCAGTATCCTTGGATGTGAGGAGCCTGTTTCGAGGAGGAAGGAGGCGCAGCACGGGTGACAGAGTCAGACTACTCACAGTCCTAACTGCCATGGAGTGACCCAGGACAAGCCATGTGACCTCTCTGGGCTTCAGGTTCCCGGACCCCAGTGAGGATCAAATGAGATTAGACAGGTAAAAATGCAGAGTGCCAACGCTATTTGCCGGTGTTATTGATGTTGCTATTATTTACATTAAAGAAAAAATTTGTAGAAACTAGACCCTAAGTTTTCTTCCCAAAGGTTCAAACAAAGCTACAAAAACTAGACCCTAATTTTTAAATTGTGGTAAAATACACACAACATAAAATTTACCATCTTCACCATTTGTCGGCATACAGTTCAGTGGCATTAAACATATTCACCTCGTTGTGCTACCATCACCACCATCCACCTCCACAACTTTTTCATCTTTCCAAACTGAAACTCTGTCACCACTAAACAAATCCCCATTCCCTCTCCCACAGGCCCCCAACAACTCCCATTCTACTTTCTCTCTCTGTGGATTCACTACTCCAGGTACCTCCTGCAAGTGGAATCAGGCAGTATTTGTCCTTTTGTGGCTGGCCTATTTCACTCAGCATGTCTTCAAGGTTCATCCATGTGGTAGCACGTGTCGAGATTTCCTTCCTTTTTAAGGCTGAAGAATGTTCTATCAGATGCATCTACCATATTTTCTTGATAATTCATCTGTAGATGGACACCTGGGATGTTTTCAGCTCTTGGCTGCTGTGAATAATGCTGCTATGAACATGGGTGTGCACATATCTATTTGAGTCCCTGCTTTCAATTATTTGGGTAAATTCCCAGAAGGGGAATTGCTGGATCATGTGGCAATTCTCTGTTTAATGATTTAAGAAAATGTCATAATGTTTTCCACAGCAGCTGTGCCATTTTACGTTCCACCAAGAGTGTACAAGGCTTCCAACTTCTCTACATCCTCACCAACACTTATTTTCTGGGTTTTCAAAAAATCATAGTCATTGCAGTGGGTGTCAGGTGGTATCTCACTCTGGTTTCGAGTTGCATTTCCCTAACCATTAGTGATGTTGTGCACCTTTTCATGTGCTTACTGGCCATTTGTATATATTATTTGGAGAAATATCTATTCAAATCCTTTGCCTGTTTTCAAATTGGGTTGTTTGTGTTCTTGTTGAGCTGTAGGAGTTCTTTATACATTCCGGATAGTAACCTCTTATCAACTATACAATTGGTAAATATTTTCACCCACGGAGCCTCTTCTGTTGATTGTGTTCTGTGATGAACAGAAGTCAATTCAACTTTTTGAATACTTGTAGGTTTCCATCACTTTCACAAAAACTGTCAGTAACCTGTTGATTTCTCCCTAACCCAGTAATTTTTGCTTCCTTTGTCTCAAGAATGAGCCACCTTAAGTCTTGCTGCAGAGGTAAGCATCTCACTTGCCTCACTCAGTCCTTGTCCTGCTTTCTGAGCAATGCCACTGTCCTGCAGCATCCCTGCTGGTGGTGGGAGAGGGTCCCCACAACACCAGCCCCAATGACACAGGACGACATAACTGCCTTTCTCTGGACTACTATTAACAAATACCACAGACGGGGTGGCTTATAAACAGTAGAAATTTATTTCTCAGAGTTCTGGAGGCTGGGAAGCCCAGGATTAAAACACCAGCAGATTTGGTGTATGGTGACATCCTGGTTCACAGATGGATCACTGTGTCCTCACCTGGCAGAAGAGACAAGGCAGTTTTCTGGGACTTCTATTATAAAGGCACTAACCCACTCATGCGGGCTCCACCCACATGACCTAATCACCTCCCAAGGACCCCACCTCCTAATACCATCACCATGGAGGTTAGAATTTCAACATAGAAATTCGGGGGTGGGGGACACAAACATTCAGACCACAGCAAAAACCCTTATGCTGGTGATGCTCAAGGCACTTAAAGGCACTGGTAAGACCCCAAAAACTCCAGTAATCACAGTGCAACATGGGTGGACCCTGATGACATTATGCTAAGTCAAAGAGGCCAGATACCACAGATCACACCCCGCATGATTCCATTCAACATCCAGAACAGAAAAACCCACAGGGACAGAAACCAGCTTAGCAGTTGTCTGGGACTCAGTCGGGGACAGGGGCCAATCCGGGGTGCGACATAAAGGGTATGGTATGTTTTTTTGAGGTGATGAAAATGCTCTAAAATTGACTGGGGTGGTGACGCACATACGGTAAATATACTAAGAAAACACTGAATTTTACACTTTAAGTGGGTGAATTGTATGATACGTGAATTATATCACAATAAAGGTGTTTCAGAAAAAAATTACCACCACACGTAATTACTAACTCATTTAGTTTGGTTTTAATCCCTTCCGTGTTCTGCCTAAACGTTTTATATTCACACACGTGTCACCAACATCGACAGTTTGGGACCAATCAAAACTACCTTCACCACTGTCTCCCCGGCATAAACTCAGGGCCAACATAGACATGCTCCGTAGGTTGGATGACACGGAGCCACTTTCCCGCGAGTGGCTCAAAGCTACTCGCCAAGCAGCTCCTGCAGCAGTGCCCTCAGCCAGCCCCTCCAGCTCTTCCTTACTCCAGAGCATCAAGGACTGGGCACCTTTTTGTTCCTGGAGAGATGCTGAATGCAGTCCCTGCCAGACCTGAGGACAAAGCCGGCCCATTATTGGGGTGTTTCCCCTGTGCTACACACTAGGCGTGGAAGCATTTGGACTGGCATTGTGTCCAGAATTGGTTCCCGCCCGTGGCTTCCTGGTCTCACCGACTTCAAGAATGAGGCCGCAGACGTTCCCAGCGAGTGTTACAGCTCTTAAAGATTGCACGAACCCAAAGAGTGAGTGATAACAAAGTTTATTACGAAGAGCAAGAGAACAGATCTTCCACCTCCTACGAGCGGTGTGCCGCTGCCGGTTGGGGGGCGGGGGGGTGGCCAGCTTTTATTCCCTTATTTGTCCCCGCCCATGTTCTGTTTCTGTCCTATCAGAATGCCCTTTTCTCAATCCTCCCCCACGATTGGCTACTTTTAGAATCCTGCTGATTGGTGCATTTTACAGAGCGCTGATTAGTGCATTTTACAGAGCGCTGATTGGTGCATTTTACAAACCTAGCTATAGGGTGCTGATTGGTGCGTTTTACAATCCCCTGGTAAGTCAGAAAAGTTCTCCAAGTCCCCACTCCACCCAGGAAGTCCAGCTGGCTTCACCTCTCTCTTCCTTACTCCAGAGCACGAGGGACTGGGCACCTGTTTGTTCCTGGAGAGGTGCTAAATCCAGTCCCTGCCAGGCCTGGGGACAAAGCCAGCTCATCACTGGAGGGTTTCCCTGTTCTGCACAATGGGCGTGGAATCATGTGGATGGGCGTGTCACTGAGGGATCCCCCCAGCCTCCCCACTAGGTTGGGAATGCAGCCATCAGTGGGGGTCACCCCACCTTCCCTGCCAAGCTAGGGACACAAACCCCCACGCTGGCCCCTCCTAGCCTGTAGCCCCCCTGTCCCCTGGGGGGCTTACAAATGCCGGGACTTCTGAGAACTGAGACTGCCTTTTGTGTCCCCTACAGCAGGGATGGCAAACACAGACCACACATCCCACCATTTCCCTCTTTTGCTTTCACCCTCCCCTCCCCCCACCCTGAGTCCAGATAACAGCCTTAGAATCCTACTCAACACACTGTTCTGGGCACTTAATGCCAGGCAGAGGAAGCTGGCACACAACGTGAAACCTACTTGCCATCCCTGTCCTACCTATAAGTAGATAGGGCCAAAAATAGGAGAAAATAAAATGTTTATGACCAAATACATAAAGACATTGTAAAATGTTGATGCTTGCTAGGAGGGAATTAGCTGACTCCTTAAAAACATGTGTCATCTACTTTGAAATGATCGAGAAATGCTGGCAAATAGGGCAGCCTCAGAGTGCTCTCAAGCCTCTGCCCAGTGGCAGGGGAAGCAATTCTCTCTGTGCTTCTGCAGGAAGCGACAGCTGAGGTTTGAGGGAGGCGCCAGCACACCACAGATATCAGATTCCTCAGTAAACAGAACTCACATACACCCCTGGTGGGAGTGAAAATTAATACGAACAACTTCGGAAAACACACAGTTTGGCAGTATCTACCAAAGCTAAACATACCTATACCTATATACCTATAGGTATACCCTACATCCTATAACCTACAGACTTCCCCTCTGGTGTAACCAACAGATGGATGTTCATCCAAAGCAATACACGAGAATAGCCATGCCTGTGTATCCACAATAGCCTCACACTGGGAGGAGAGTGGGGAAAACAAAACTGCGAGGTACTCACACAATGGAAAATTGGAAACCAGAGCTACTTGCAACAAGATGAGTGAATCTAACCGACATGTTGAATGAAAAAAGCAAGAAATAAAAGGGTCAATTACATATGATTCTATTTATAAAGCTGAAAGCCAGGAAGAATTCTTTTGTGACATTACAAGTTAGGATAGCAGGTGCCCATGAGGAGTGTGGTATGAGTGACTGGGAGAAGGAGGGGCGGGGCTCCCGGGGATGCTGGAGATGTTTTACTTCTGATCTAAGTGTTGGTTCCATGGGTTTGTTCACCTGTCAAGAGTTACTAGGTTCAGTACTTACAATGTGTGCTTTCTTCTCTGGCTATGTCTGAGCTAACACAGAGGATTAATTTTTAAAAAATACACAAATCTGTCTGGTCGTGGTGGCTCATGCCTGTAATCCCAGCACTTTGGGAGGCCAAGGTGGGCAGACTGCCTGAGGTCAGGAGTTGGAGACCAGCCTGGCTAACATCGTGAAACCCCGTCTCTACTAAAAATACAAAGATTAGCTGGGCGTGGTGGTGGGCACCTGTAATCCCAGCTACTTGGGAGGCTAAGGCAGGGATATCACTTCAACCCAGGAGTGAGAGGTTGCTGTGGGCCGGTATCACCCCACTGCACTCCAGCCTGGGCAACAGGGAGAGACTCCGTCTCAAAACAAAAACAAAAACAAATAAAAAATACACAGTAGTCCAGGGGAGAGTCTGTTGCTTATGACTGAGTGGACCTCAAGGCCTGCCTCAGTTTCCCACAGAGAGAGAAGGACCATGGTCATGAGGAGACCTTCCAGGGATGGTGGAAGCAAAAGAGAAAGTTGCATTTTGATTTTGGTTCCTCCGCCTGGAAAGTGCGGGTCTCACACAGGGAAAAGGTGGGCTTCTTCCAAGACTCAGCCTGAGCATCTCCCTCTGCTCTCGGGGACTGAGTTTCCCTCTTCCTGTGAGTCTCTCTGTGCCCTGGTACCCCTGCAGGGTCACTCTACCCAGCTGTCACCCCCTCAGAGCACAAACTGCTCCCTGGCATCGGGTGGCTGCTCACAACTGACTCTGAAATTAGTGGAAGGATGTAAAAGTAAAAAGTTGGATGCAAAAGTGTCACCTGGGTTAATTCAACTGGATTGTAAAGGTTTCAAGAAGGTTTTGTATAATGCTTTTTACTTTCTGCATTTTAAGATGCTTTGACATCTTGGGGTCTACTAATCCAGGAGAGACTGCCCTCCCAGGGCTAGCTAATTCCTTCAGATAATAAGAAACTCACCTGCAAGCCCACTTTTCCTATGCAGACCAACCAATCCACAGCCCACACCTCGAACTACACCCTTCATTTAACTCTCACAACTAAGCCACTATTTCCCCTGCCCTAAATCATCCCAGGGCCAGGTAAGGTACTAGACAACTGGGGGCTACTCCTACAGCCAACAGGTCAAACCAGCCAATTCTCACCTGGGTCAAACGTGCCTGCACATTCTTCCCCACAAAAACCACAATAAAGGATCTGGCCCATGCTGTCCCCTAGATCAGGGGTCCCCAAGCCCTGGGCCACAGACCAGTACTGGTCCTTGACCTGTTAGGAACTGGGTCTCACAGCAGGAGGCAAGCAGTGGGTGAGCATTATTGCCTGAGCTCCGCCTCCTGTCAGATCATCAGCAGCATTATATTCTCATAGGAGCGCGATTCCTATTGTGAACTGTGCATGCAAGGGATCTAGGTTGCACGCTCCTTATAAGAATCTAATGCCTGATGATCTGAGGTGGAACAGTTTCATCTGAAACCATCCCTGACCTGGACCCTCCCCCAGTTCATGGAAAAATTGTCTTCCACAAAACTGGTCCATGGTGCCAATATGGTTGGGGACTGCTGCCCTAGATCCCTCTGAGCTTCTCTGTGTGGTCTTGCCTGGGTAGCATGGCCCTTCCTCTTGGAAACTGCGAGTAATAAACTCTTCTTTCAAAGCAGTGGTCTCTGTGTCTGGCATCCCACCGTAATGGACTACAACAAATCCCAGGTACCTTTTAAGATAGGCTTGCAACTTAAAGATGATACAGCCTTCTCTAACTATCTCTTATCCCAATTCATCTCTTTCCTATGTATATTTTCAATAGACACCTGTGCTTCAAATGCATTAAGATACGTCCCAGAATGCAATCCATGGGTATGAACTGTGCAGGTACCACATGTTACTCCTAACACTTAGGATCAGATGATTAATAGAAGGGGATTGTCTGTAAAATATGCAGTTATTCAGGTTACTACATAATAATGGAAAGAGTAAAAAATCAAATTATTTCTTCAGTCTTTTACTACGAAGATTTCTGCATTTTGTTTTTGCTACTGCTATAAATGAGGGAGGCCTCATTTGTCCTATAGTAAAATGATGAAAATCTGCCCATCATCCCCTCTACGATGAAGCCAGTGGAGAGTCATGGTGTTCTGTGACCGTGGTGCTGTGTGGCAGAGTGCACTCAACCACCTCTCAGACACACTCGATGTGTGCCCTGCAGCCCTGAGGCTGCTCCACAAGCCCCTCCCAGCATGACCCAGCCCCTGTTCCAGTGACTTCAGATCTATGTCTCACTTCACTTCAGAATTCTTTAGGACAAATCGTTTTCAGAATATGGGAAATTACTTTCCCTTGTCTGATTGCCCTGGCTAGGACTTCAGTAGTGTGTTGAAGAGGAGTGGTCAGAGTGGGCATCCTTGTCTTGTTCCAGTTCTCAGAGGGGATGCTTTCAACTTTTCCCCATTCGGTATTATATTGGCTGCGGGTTTGTCATAGATGGCTTTTATTACAGTGAGATATGTCCTTTGTATCCCGATTTTGCCGAGAGTTTTAATCATAAAGGGATGCTGGATTTTGTTGAATGCTTTTTCTGCATCTGTTGAGATGATCATGTGATTTTTGTATTTAATTCTGTTTATGTGGTGTATCACATTTATTGACTTGCATATGTTAAACCATTTCTGCATCCCTGGTATGAAACCCACTTGGTCATGGTGGATTATCTTTTGATATGTTGTTGGATTTGGTTAGCTAATATTTTGTTAAGGATTTAGCATCTATGTTCATCAAGAATATAGGTCTGTAGTTTTCTTTTTTGGTTATGTCCTTTCCTGGTTTTGGTATTAGGGTGATGCTGGCTTCACAGAATGAATTAGGGAGGGTCTCTTCTTTCTCTATCTTGTGGAACAGTTTCAAAAGGATTGGTACCAATTCCTTTTTGAATATCTGGTAGAATTCTGCTGTGAATCCGTCTGGTCCTGGACTTTTTTTTGTTGGTAATTTTTAAATTGTCATTTCAATCTTACTGCTGGTTACTGTTCTGTTCAGGGTATCTAATTCTTCCTGCCTTACGCTAGGAGGGTTGTATTTTTCCAGGAATTTATCCGTCTCTTCTAGGTTTTCTAGTTTATGTGTGTAAAGTTATTCACAGTAGCCTTGAATGATCTTTTGTGTTTCAGTGGTGTCAGTTGTAATACCTCCCCCGTTTCATTTCTTATTGAGCTTATTTGGGTTTTCTCTCTTGTTTTCTTGGTTAATCTTGCTAATGGTCTATCAATTTTACTTATCTTTTCAAAGAACCGGCTTTTTGTTTCATTTATCTTTTGTATTTTTTTGTTTCAATTTCATTTAGTTCTGCTCTCATCTTGGTTATTTCCTTTCTTTTTCTGGGTTTGTTATTTCCTTTCTTTTGCTGGTTCTTGTTTCTCTAGTTCCTTGAGATGTGACCCTAGAGTGTCAGTTTGTGCTCTTTCAGTCTTTTTGATGCAGGCGTTTAGGGCTATGAACTTGCCTCTTAGCACCGCCTTTGCTGTATCCCAGAGGTTTTGACAGTTTGTGTCATTATTGTCTTTCAGTTCGAAGAATTTTTTAATTTCCATCTTGATTTCATTTTTGACCCAATGCTCATTCAGGAGCAAGTTATTCTGTGCAGAAGCTCTTTAGTTTAATTAGATCCCATTTGTCAGTTTTGGCTTCTGTTGCCATTACTTTTGGTGTTTTAGATGTGAAGTCCTGGCCCATGCCTATGTCCTGAATAGTATTGTCTAGGTTTTCTTCTAGGGTTTTTATGGTTTTAGGTCTAACATTTAAGTCTTTAATCCATCTTGAATTAGATTTTGTATAAGGTGTAAGGAAGGGATCCAGTTTCAGCTTTCTACATATGGCTAGCCAGTTTACCCTGCACCATTTATTAAATAGGGAATCCTTTCCCCATTTCTTGTTTTTGTCAGGTTTGTCAAAGATCAGATGGTTGTAGACGTGTGGTATTATTTCTGAGGGCTCTGTTCTGTTCCGTTGGTCTACATCTCTGTTTTGGTACCAGTACCATGCTGTTTTGGTTACTGTAGCCTTGTAGTATAGTTTGAAGTCAGGTAGCGTGATGCCTCCAGCTTTGTTCTTTTGGCTTAGGATTGACTTGGCAATGCGGGCTCTTTTTTGGTTCCATATGAACTTTAAAGTAGTTTTTTCCAATTCTGTGAAGAAAGTCATTGGTAGCTTGATGGGGATGGCATTGAATCTATAAATTACCTTGGGCAGTATGGCCATTTTCACGATATTGATTCTTCTTATCCATGAGCATGGAATGTTCTTCCATTTGTTTGTATCTCTTTTATTTCTTTGAGCAGTGGTTTGTAGTTGTCCTTGAAGAGGTCCTTCACATCCCTTGTAAGTTGGATTCCTAGGTATTTTATTCTCTTTGAAGCAATTGTGAATGGGAGTTCACTCATGATTTGGCTCTCTGCTTGTCTGTTATTGGTGTATAAGAATGCTTGTATTTTTGCACATTGATTTTGTATCCTGAGACTTTGCTGAATTTGCTTATCAGCTTAAGGAGATTTTGGGCTGAGATGATGGGGTTTTCTAGATATACTATCACAGCAAAAGAAACTACCATCAGAGTGAACAGGCAACCTACAGAATGGGAGAAAATTTTTGCAATCTACTCATCTGACAAAGGGCTAATATCCAGAATCTACAAAGAACTCCAACAAATTTACAAGAAAAAAACAACCCTATCTAAAAGTGGGTGAGGATATGAACAGACACTTCTCAAAAGAAGACATTTATGCAGCCAACAGACACATGAAAAAATGCTCAACATCACTGGCCATCAGAGAAATGCAAATCAAAACCACAATGAGATACCATCTCATGCCAGTTAGAATGGCGATCATTAAAAATTCAGGAAACAATAGGTGCTGGAGAGGATGTGGAGAAATAGGAACACTTTTACACTGTTGGTGGGACTGTAAACCAGTTCAACCATTGTGGAAGACAGTGTGGCAATTCCTCAAGGATCTAGAACTAGAAATACCATTTGACCCAGCCATCCCATTACTGGGTATATACCCAAAGGATTATAAATCATGCTGCTATAAAGACACATGCACACATATGTTTACTGCGGCACTATTCACAATAGCAAAGGCTTGGAACCAACCCCAATGTCCAACAATGACAGACTGGATTAAGAAAATGTGGCACATATACACCATGCAATACTATGCAGCCATAAAAAAGGATGAATTCATGTCCTTTGTAGGGACATGGATGAAGCTGGAAACCATCATCTCAGCAAACTATCGCAAGGACAAAAAAACAAACACCGCATGTTCTCACATATAGGTAGGAACTGAACAATGAGAACACTTGGACACAGGAAGGGGAATATCACACACCAGGGCCTGTTGTGGGGTGGGAGGAGGTGGGAGGGATAGCATTAGGAGATATACCTAATGTAAATGACGAGTTAATGGGTGCAGCACACCAACATGGCACATGTATACATATGTAACAAACCAGCACGTTGTGCACATGTACCCTAGAACTTAAAGTATAATAATAAAAAAAAAAAATGTAAAAAAAAAAGGAGCAAGTTATTTAATTTCCATGTATTTGCATGGTTTTGAAGGTTCCTTTTGGAGTTGATTTCCAGTTTTATTGTACTGTGGTCTAAGTGCTTGATACAATTTTAATTTTCTTAAATTTATTGAGGCTCGTTTTATGGCCTATCGGGCTATCTTGGAGAAAGTTCCACTTGCTGTTGAATAGAATGTGTATTCTGTGGTTCTTGGATGAAATGTTCTGCATATATTTGTTAAGTCCATTTGTTCCAAGGTATAGTTCAAATCCATTGTTTCTTTGCTGACTTTTTGTCTTGATGACCTTGTCTTGTGCTGTCAGTAGAGTACTGAAGTCCCTCACGATTACTGTGTTGCTGTCTATCTCATTTCTTTGGTCTGTTAGTAATTGTTTTATGAATTTTGGAGCTCCAGTGTTAGGTGCATATATGTTTAGGACTGTGATATTTTCCGGTTGGACAAGGCCTTTTATCATTTGTGATGATTAATACCAAGTGTCAACTTGATTGAATTGAAGGATACAAAGTATTGATCCTGAGTGTGTCTGTGAGGGTGTTGCCAAAGGAGATTAGCATTTGAGTCAGTGGGCTGGGAAAGGCAGACCCACCCTCAACCTGGGTGGGAACACTCTAATCAGCTGCTAGTGCAGATAAGACTATAAGCAGGCAGAAAAATGTGAAAAGGAGAGACTGGCCTAGCCTCCCAGCCTACATCTTTCTCCCATGCTGGATGCTTCCTGCCCTCAAACATTGGACTCCAAGTTCTTCAGTTTTGGAACTTGGACTGGCTCTCCTTGCTCCTCAGCCTGCAGACAGCCTATTGTGAGACCTTGTAATAATGTGAATTAATAATAAACTCAAATATATATAATATATATATATATATATATTCCATTAGTTCTGTCCCTCTAGAGAACCTAGACTAACACACCATTATACAAATGTCCCACTTTGTCTCTTTTAACTGCTGCTGCTTTAAAGTTTGTTTTGTCTGATATAAGAATAGCTACCCCTGCTCCCTTTTGGTGTCAATTTGCGTGAAATGCCTTTTTCCACCTCTTTAAGTTTATGTGAGTCCTTATGTGTTGGGTGAGTCTCCTGAAGGCAGCAGATGGTTGTTGAGTTCTGATGCTCCTGAAGCATGGAGTTCTGAGTTTCCTGAGGGCAGCAGTGGGTTGGTGAGTTCTTATCTATTCTGTGGTTCTGTATCTTTTAAGGGGAGCATTTAGGCTATTTACATTCAATGTTAGTATTGAGATGTGAGGTACCATTGCATTCATTGTGCTATTTGTTGCCTGAGTACTTTGGTTTTTTTGTTTTTGCTTTTTAACTTGTATTTTTGTTTTATAGGTCCTGTGTGATTTATGCTTTAAAGAGGTTCTGTTTTGATGTGTTTCCAAGATTTGTTTCAAGATTTAGAGCTCCTTTTAGCAGTTCTTGTAATGGTGGCTTGGCAGTGGCGAATTCTCTCAGCATTTGTTTGTCTGAAAAAGATGGTATCTTTCCTTCATATATGCTGCTTAGTTTCACTGGATACAAAATTCTTGGCTGATAATTGTTTTGTTTCAAGAGGCTGAAGATAGGGCCCTGATCCGTTTTAGCTTGTAGGGTTTCTGCTGAGAAATCTGCTGTTAATCTGATAGGTTTTCATTTATAGGTTACCTAGTGCTTCTGTGTCACAGCTCTTAAGATTCTTTCCTTTGTCTAACTTTGGATAACCTGATGACAATGTACCTAGGTGATGATCTTTTTGTGATGGATTTCCCAGGTGTTCTTTGTGTTTCTTGTACTTGGATATCTAGGTCTCTAGCAAGGCTGGGGAAAATTTTCTCTATTACTCCCCCAAATATGTTTTCCAAGCTTTTAGAATTCTCTTCTTTCTCAGGGACACTGATCATTCTTAGGGTTGGTCATTTTGTTACACCCGAGCGAGTTCCATGGTTTGCAAACATTTAAAAATGAACTTATGTTTCTAAACATTCTGTAGCTTTCTTCTTCCTATTGACTCATTAGCAATATTTGTTTTTTCCTGATTATAAAAGTAACAAATACTCAATGTAGACATTTTATAAAACATACAAAAGTAAAAAGATGTAAATTAAAATCATCCATAATAAAAATGGCTTAATACTGTGAACCATTGTTTAAAAAAAAGAAAAGAAAAGAAAAGAAAAACACCACACTTTGAGACAAATTAAGAGTCCTTTATTTAAGCCGGCGGCCAAGAGAGGGATTGACGCTCCAAAATTCTCTCAGCCCCAAAGAAGGGGCTCGATTTAACTTTTATATCTTGGTTTAGGAAGGGGGGGTCTAGTTAAAACAATTTTACAGAAGTAAAGTAGGCAAAAGTTAAAAGGATAAATGGTTACAGGCAAGTAAACAGTTCTAGGTGCAGGGGCTTTAAGACAATTACAAGGTGATAGGCCCGGGGCTTGGGGCGTTATCAATCAGAGGAATTCCTAGGAATTGTGGATACAGCTTGCCACAGTATCTTATCAGTTAATTGCATTCTTGGATGTGCTGGGAGTCAGCTTGCAGAAGTTAAGTCCTTGAGGAAGGGGCTGCCAGTGAAAGAGCCAAGATAGAATCTGTCTGGTTCTCTTAGCTAAGGAAGAGTCCATTCAGATGGAAACAAGGCTAGGTGATTAAAGGAAAAAGGGAGAGTCTAAAAACATGGTTAGTAAAAACGAGGTTGGGCATTACAATTTAACATAGTCCCAGACTTCTTGGAGGCTTCGTTCATATTTTTTCTTTTTTCTTTATCTTTGTTGGATTGGGTTAATTTGAAGACCTTGTCTTCAAGCTCTGAATTTCTTTCTTCTACTTGTTGAATTCTATTCCTGAGACTTTCCAGAGCACTTTGCATTTCTATAAGTGTGTCCAGTGTTTCCTGAATTTTTTATTGTTTTTTCCTTATGCTGTCTATTTCCATGAATATTTCTCCCTTCACTTCTTGTATCATTTTTGGATTTCCTTGCATTGGGCTTTGCCTTTCTCTGGTGCCTCCCTGATTTGTTTAATAACTAACCTCCTGAATTCTTTTTCAGGTAGATCAGGGACTTCTTGGTTTGGATCCATTGTTGGTAAACTAGTGTGATTTTTTGGGGGTGTTAAAGTTTTGTCATATTACCAGGGTTGGTTTTCTGATTCCTTCTCATTTGGGTAGGCTCTGTCAGAGGGAAGGTCTAGGGCTGAAGGCTGTTGTTCAGATTCTTTTTTTCCCATGGGGTGTTCCCTTGGTGTGGTAATCTCCCTCTTTGCCTATGGATGTGGCTTCCTATGAGCGGAACTGCAGTGATTGTTGTCTGTCTTCTGGGTCTGGCCACCCAGCAAGTTCTATCAGGCTCCAGGCTGGTACTCAGGGTGGTCTGCACAGAGTCCTGTGATGTGAACCGTCAATGGGTCTCTCAGCGTGGATATCAGTGCCTGTTCCGGTAGAGGTGGCAGCGGGGTGCAATGGACTATGTGAGGGTTCTTAGCTTTGGTGGTTTAATGCTCTATTTTTGTGCTGGTTGGCCTCCTGACGGGAGGTGGCACTTTCCAGAAAGCATTGGCTGTGGTGGGTGTGGAGAGGAACCTACGGTGGGCAGGGCCCTAGAACTCCTAAGAGTATATGCCCTTTGTCTTCATACCCCACGCTCATGGATGGGTAGAATCAATATTGTGAAAACGATCATACGGCCAAAAGCAATCTACAAATTCAATGCAATCCCCATCAAAATACCACCACCATTCTTCATAGGATTAGAAAAAACAATTCTAAAATTCATACAAAACCAAAAAAGAGCCCAGGTAGCCAAAGCAAGACTAAGCAAAAAGAACAAATCTGGAGTCATCACATTACCTGTTTTCAAACTATACTATAAAGCCACAGTCACCAAAACAGCATAATACTGGTATAAAAATAGGCACACAGACCAATGGAATAGAATAGAGAACCCAGAAATAAGCCCAAATATTTACAGCCAACTGATCTTCGACAAAGCAAACAAAAACATAAAGTGGGGAAAGGACACCCTCTTCAATAAATGGTGTTGGGATAACTGGCTAGCCACATGTAGGAGAATGAAACTGGATCCTCATCTCTCAACTTACACAAAAGTCAACTCAAGATGGATTAAAGACTTAAATCTAAGACCTGAAACTATAAAAATTATAGAAGATAACTTTGGAGAAACCCTTCTAGATGTTGGCTTAGGCAAGGATTTCATGACCAGGAACCCAAAAACAAATGCAATAAAAACAAAGATAGTCGGGACTTCAACTAAAGAGCTTTTGCATGGCCAAAGGAACAGTTATCAGAGTAAACAGACAACCCACAGGGTGGCAGAACATCTTCACAATCTATACATCTGACAAAGAACTAATTTCCAGAATCTACAATGAACTCAAACAAATCAGTAAGAAAAAAAAAACAAACAATCCCATCAAAAAGTGGGCTAAGGACATGAATAGAGAATTCTCAAAAGAAGATATACAAATGGCCAAGAAACATATGAAAAAATGCTCAACATCATTAGTCATCAGGAAAAGGCAAATCAAAACCATAATGCAATACCATCTTACTCCTGCAAGAATGGCCATAATCAAAAAATCAAAAAATCAAAAAATAGTAGATGTTGCCGTGGATGCAGTAAACAGGGAACACTTCTATGCTGCTGGTGGGAATGTAAACTAATGCAATCACTATGGAAAACAGTGTGGAGCTTCCTTAAAGAAGTAAAATAGAACTACCATTTGATCCAGCAATCCCACTACTGGTTATCTATGCAGAGGAAAAGAAGTGATTATATGAAAAGGATACTTCACACGCATGTTTATAGCAGCACAGTTCGCAATTGCAAAACTGTGGAAACAATCCAAATGCCCATCAGTCAATGAGTGTACAAAGGAACTGTGGTGCATAAATATATATATATGATGGAATACTACTCAGCCATAAAAAGGAATGAATTAATGGCATTTGCAGTGACCTGGATGAGATTGGAGACTACTATTCTAAGTGAAGTAAATCAAGAATGGAAAACCAAACATCGTATGTTCTCACTAATATGTGGGAGCTAAGCTATGAGGATGCAAAGGTGTAAGAGTAATACAATGGACTGTGGGTACTTGAGGGGAAAAGTAGGAAGGGGGTGAGGGATAAAGGACTACAAATAGGATGCAGTTATGCTGCTCTGGTGATGGGTGCACCAAAATCTCACAAGTCACCACTAAAGATCCTACGCATGCAACCAAATACCACCTGTTCGCCAATAACTTATGGAAAAATAAAAAATAAAAATAAAAAAGAAAATTGGAAATTAAAGCTTTAAGTAGAGAGGCGAGACAGTAGGCCAGAAGTCGCTGTGCTTAATGGCAGCAGCCCTGGCCACCTGCCTGATTTCTAGGGCTTATTTGAGGCTGTGGGCTGGGGAGACCCGCTGGGCTGGCTCAGGGGTCTGCGTGGGCTGGCTCCAGTGCCCAGCCTAGAACCTTCAGGGACTTGGCCTACGCAAAGCCTGGCCTACTAGTTTTCATTTAGCGCATGTGAATTCAGAGAAACCAGGATCAGAAAGGTTCCTATTAGGTCTGTTATGATTCTGTCCAAGCTCATTAGAATTTAAATTTTTACCTTTAAACGCACGTTATTTTTGGCTCTGCATTGCATTTATTATTATATTTTATGCAAAGAAGCCTGGCCTTTATGACCGATCAGTATTTGTGATTTTTCACTTTTCATGCAATTAAAGCCCATTAGAACACAGCCACGTGGCACAGGAAATGCACTCATGTGGCTGAGGAAGGAGAGGAGCTGCCGCATTCTTTGTTTCTAATTGTGCTTTATCTGCTAATTGCGTTTCTACCTGCTCCACAGGAACGGTGGGAAACTTACATCGAAAAATATATATCTAAAGGAATTTAGAACTCCTTTAAAATCTCAAATCTGATGAGAATCTAGGGTTTTCTTTGGTGCATGAACGTGTATACACAAAACATTTAGGAAAAAGTTATTTAATTCCAGAAAATAGAACCTTTATTATATAAATTATACAATTAAGTCTTATAACATTCGTTGACCTTTTAGGGAAAAAAAAAAACTACCTGCTTTTCATTTCTAGCATCAGATATTTCACCTTTATTTTGGTCTTCATTTCGTCATATTCCGTTTGCTAATTCATCTCTTGCTCTGCAACAGATGTTCAAATTATTTGTGAAATAGTAGATCTGAGTCACAGGCTTTTAATTTTTCATTTCATGTGTGCCATCGTGAAGAGGGAGAGAGAGACAGGATGAGAATAAATCTGAGGACTGTGGGAATCTGCGATGCCAGTTGGAACTCCTGCCAAGAAGGAAATTGTCAAGTGAGAGCACCAAGCCAGAATCTGGAGTTCTCTTTGAAAGCATGTCTTCCTAGGACACAGCAACCGTTCCTACAGCCCTGGGAATTTTTACACCACCTTTTAATGCAAATGACACTTTTTTTTTTTTTTTGAGACGGAGTCTAGCTCTGTCGCCCAGGCTGCAGTGCAGTGGCACAATCTTGGCTCACTGCAACCTCTGCCTCCTGGGTTCAAGTGATTCTCCTGCCTCAGCCTCCCAAGTAGCTGGGATTATAGGTGCCCACCACCACGCCCAGCTAATTTTTGTATTTTTAGTAGAGACAGGGTTTCACTGTGTTGGCCAGGCTGGTCTCGAACTCCTGACCTCATGATCTGCCCACCTCGGCCTCTCAAAGTGCTGGGATTACAAGTGTGAGCCACCACGACCGACACTTTCAAGGACAGCTTAGCTTGCTGAGTTAGTAACGTTCACACAAGCCTCCTCTTGAACAGGAAAATAAGACTGGCACTCCTGAGGCACTCTTATCACACGAGAGACATGGAATAAGTTAGAGATTCCTCCTCCCTGTCTTGCCTTCGTCTCCTTCTGAGGCTCTTCTGTTAATAATGTAGACTTGCACTTTTAGGCCCGACTCAGAAATTTCATTAATTAGCACGGTCATCAAAGTAGAGCTCCACTTTGCTGACAGAAAGGGAGAAAGGGCTAAAGAGAATCGTGCTGGGTAACAGGAAAATAAGGAACACTGCACGATTTTCCACCACAGAGACCCAAGCAAGAATGTTCGCAGCAGCAGTGCTTGGAATAACAAAAGATTGGAAAGAATCGACATGAGGTTCTGTCAAGTTAACTTGGGAAAACAGTGTTTCAAAAACATTAAATTAGGAGCTCTCCTGCATGACTTCTCCAACTTGTAACATTTCAGTGTGTGTTGTTGTCAGAGGTGTTTGAACCAGAGTAACTCCATCTTGGATAGGGGCTGGGTAAAATAAGGCTGAGACCTACTGGGCTGCATTCCCAGATGGTTAGGCATTCTAATGAGGTAGGAGGTCAGCACAAGATACAGGTCATAAAGACCTTGCTGATAAAACAGTTTGCAGTAAAGAAGCTGGCCAAATCCCATCAAAACCAAGATGGTGACAAGAGTGATCTCTGGGTCATCCTCACTGCTACACTCCCATCAGCGCCATGAGTTTACAAATCCCATGACAATGTCAGGAAGTTACCCTATATGGTCAAAAAGAAAAGGCATGAATAATCCTCCCCTTGTTTAGCATATCATCACGAAATTACCATGAAAATGGGCAACCAGCATCCCTTAGGGCTGCTCTGCCTATGGAGAGCCATTCTTTATTCCTTTACTTAATAAACTTTCACTTTACTCTATGGGCTCGCCTCTAATTCTTTCTTGCGCAAGATCCAATAGCCCTCTCTTGGGGTCTGGATTGGGACCCCTTTTCGGTAACACTGTCACCCTCCAAGAAGAGAGGCTGAGCATGCTGAGTGGACCACGTTTTCCTCCTCCTCTTCCTTCTTACATTTAAAATAACACCCATTTGCATCTCCCGTCACTCATGCTCAGGAGAATGTGCTGTGAGAAGTGCAGAATGAGATGTTCAGGAGAGGTTCAGGGGCCTGCTTCAGTCTCCAGACATTCCAGCTTCCGAGGGGGCCCTGCAGGGCCACCAGCTCCCTCACGCTCACCCCACTAGGAATTACTCTATTTACAGACAAAAATGCCTGCCAGTTGGTATTTGTCCTTTCCTAGAACATACCATAAATACAAAGCAATAAAGAATAACGTTTTTATGAGTTTAAGTTTTTGTCTGGTCTCTAATCCAGCAGAATAGCATGTGATACAATCTCATGACTTTCAGAGCTATACAGGAGAAAACTGCTCATAGCAGTGTCGTGTGTTTCCAGGCAAAACTGAAAACATGAATACAGCACTGGACACCTGGTCAGTCCTTAACAAATTACTCTCCGTTGCTCAACTTCAATGACAAGAACAAATCAAACAAAGAAGCTGGGCAGGGCTGCTGCTGACTGGTCACCTGACGGCCAATGGACAGTGACTTTTAAAGTTTACTTTCTTTTATTCTTGGGGGAGATCATATAGTATTTGAGGGTATAGTTGGGGAACACCACATTAAAAAATCGCAATTCTTAGCTTCTCTTGAAAAGTTTCGAGTTCCAGGTTCACTAGGCCGTGGGTGGCAGCCGCTCCCTCCAGACAAGTCCTCCTGGTTCTGGGCTGGAGAGAGTTTGTCTGGCTTGGCTCCCGGCAGCCTCTGGGATTCTGTTTCTTCCTCTCTGCAAAGAAAGGTGCCCAGCTCCAATGGCTCTCTATCTTCCATGTGGGGACACCTCTTCTGCTGTCATATCTGCACCTGTGAGCCTGTTCCTTCGTAGACATGCTAGCGGGGAGTCCAGTGGACACAGACACACATACATGGGTTGACTCAGCTACGTGTAACTGGATATCAGTTTAGCCACTAATACCCCCTAAAAATGAGCTATAAATCCGAGAAACAGTTCGGATGGTCTTTTTTCCCACTGGAGACCACACTTCTTGCAGACACTAAAGCCCTGCTAAACACAATGCGGGCCCAGTAGAACTCCTGTAGTGGCGCTCCTGGCCAGGGTGGGGGTGGAGGGAATGGAAAGGTAGCCAGAGAGGCTGGTTCTGGAGCCCCTGCGCCTGCAGCCCTTTCCCCAGTCCCTGCAACAGGAAGGCCTCATCCTTCTACACTGCAGGTATCCCAGCAGACGAAAAGCAGGCACTCTCTGGAGAGGGCTCAGCTGACAGAGGACTGACAGACGTCCCAGTGCACATGAAGTAAAGTCTGAAGCTTGCCCGCCCCCAGCTCGCGCCCAGCTCTGCCTGTGAACACAGATAGCTCCACCTCTGTACTCAGAAGTGTGTCCAGAATTGATGGGTTCTTGGTCGCACTGACTTCCCGAACGAAGCCGTGGACCCTCACACTGAGTGTTACAGTTCTTAAAGACACCGTGTCCAGACTTTGTTCCTTCTGGTGTTCGGATGTGTTCACAGTTTCTTCCTTCTGGTGGGTTCGTCGTCTCGCTGGCTCAGCAGTGAAGCTACAGACCTTCGTGGTGAGTGTTACAGCTCTCAAGTCGGCGCGTCTGGAGTTGTTCGTTCCTCCCGGTGGGTTTGTGGTCTCACTGGCTTCAGGAGTGAAGCTGCAGACCTTTGCAGTGAGTGTTACAGGTGATAAAGGCAGCTTGGACCCAAAGAGTGAGCAGCAGCAACTTATTGCAAACATTGAAAGAACAAAGCTTCCACACTTGTGGAAGGGAACTGCGCCGGGTTGCCACTGCTGGCTCGGGCAGCCCGCTTTTATTCTTATTTGGCCCCACCCACATCCTGCTGATTGGTCCATTTTACAGAGAGCCGATTGGTCTGTTTTACAGAGAGCTGATTGGTCCGCTTTGACAGGGTGCTGATTGGTGCATTTACAATCCCTGAGCTAGACACAAAAGTTCTCCACCTCCTCACTAGATTAGCTAGATACAGAGTGTCCACTGGTGTATTTACAAACCCTGAGCTAGACACAGGGTGTTGATTGGTGTATTTACAATCCCTTAGCTAGACATAAAGGTTCTCCAAGTCCCCACCAGACTCAGGAGCCCAGCTGGCTTCACCCAGTGGATCCGGCACCGGGCCGCAGGTGGAGCTGCCTGCCAGTCCCCTGCCGGGCACCCACACTCCTTAGCCCTTGGGTGGTCCATGGGACTGGGCACCGTGGAGCAGGGGGCGGTGCACACTGGGGAGGCTCCCGCAGCACAGGAGCCCACGGAGGTTGGGGAGGCTCAGGCATGGCGGGCTGCAGGTCCTGAGCCCTGCCCCGCGGGAAGGCAGCTAAGGCCTGGTGAGAAACTGAGCACAGCAGCTACTGGCCCACGTGCTAAGCCCCTCACTGCCCGGGCCGGCGGGCTGGCCGGCCGCTCTGAGTGCGGGGCCGCTGAGCCCATGCCCACCCAGAACTCACGCTGGCCCGCAAGCACCAGGCACAGCCCCGGTTCCCGCTCACGCCTCTCCCTCCACACCTCCCTGCAAGCTAAGGGAACAGGCTCCGGCCTTGGCCAGCCCAGAAAGGGGCTCCCACAGTGCAGCAGCGGGCTGAAGGGCTCCTCAAGCACAGCCAGAGTGGGCACCAAGGCCGAGGAGGCGCCCAGAGCCAGAGAGGGCTGTGAGGGCTGCCAGCACGCTGTCACCTCTCAGAAGCAGGAGAAGTCCCGCCCAAGAGAAAACAAAAACTATACACACTGACTTTCGGGGATCTCCCAAGAAATGCTAGATGATTAGATGATCCACCCGAGTCCATGTAGCTGTGACAGATGATGAACCTTGAAGATCTTGTTGCATTTTGGTGGGGAACTGTGGGAATCGGGCAGGGAATCACTTTCACCCGCAGCTTACCAGGACCTATCTACAGGGATGACAAAAGCATCCCCTAACAGGTGGCTGGAGACCTGAGGCTCACCAAGTGCCCCAGTCATGAAATCACAGAAAAAAACTACCAGAGGCCAGTGCATTGCTCTCCCTGCCTGGCAGGTGCAAAGTCAGTGGAGAGAAGTAGTATCACGGTCGAGCATGCGGTGAGAACAACGCCCACGGAACCGGGGGACACATGGCAAGGGCTGAAGCTGCAAGTTCTGAGCACGTCAGCCCCTGCGCCTCACCCCCACCTTCCTGTTCTCCAAACTGAAATGAGCCTCCGGGCCTTGTCCCCAACCACTTCCCTGCATCCTTTAGGCCTCGGCTTGCAGGCCAGGTGCTCAGAGAGGTATTGGCCACGTCCACCACACCTCCCCACGTCTTTCCTCGGAGGACTTCCTGTTGTCTGAAACTGTCCACCGCAGCTCCCCGTGTCTTTCCTTGGAGCACTTCCTGTTGTCTGACACTGTCCACCACAGCCCCCCACGTCTTTCTTTGGAGCCCGAGCTGCTCACCAGAAGGGAGCGGAGCCAGGATTTGGCTTGTCTCCAGGACTTGTCTTGACACTGCCGTGTTCCTAGCACTCAGAACATGCCGGACACGGGGCGCTCCCTCTGTAAAATGTATTAATCCACTGAATCAAAGAATGACTGAATGTACACCATGGACAGATAGATATTTCTATGGAACCACTGTTACCTTAAAACATACCAATTTTTATTTTGCTGGGAATGTTTACTTTGCTAGGAAAGTTTACTTTGCTAGGAAACTTTGGGGGTTTGGAATCAACTTTCAAATTGCAGCTTTTGCATGGAATCTCTTTATCTATAATAATAGCAAATTCACATGAAGAAGAATGAAAACAGAATGATGTTCCTACAAACGGAAAAATTCTGGGCCATCATGACAACGCACAAATAGCTGTCAAATGCTAAATTTCTCATGAAGCCAAGAGAGGCCAAAACTATCCCTGACCTGTGATTAGTACAATAAAGGCTGTGCCTTTGGGCAACAATGGGAACAGAGATGAAGACTTCAAGCCAGACAGTCCAGCAGCCCCAGCCTAAGGCTATGTTCTCCTGTAATTTATTACTCAGGATGAGGAAGCTAAATCAGGGTTGCCCTGGTTACTATGGGGCTCTTCCGAGGACCCTGGTGACATAATTGGTGTTGGCTTGGAGACTGAGGCTTTCAATTCTGAGATTAGAGTGTTGGTAATAGAGGTGGCTACCCCCTCAAGAAGAAATTCAAACAGGCTTTGGAAAAAATGAGATAGTCTCAAAATTAAGGTCCTCCTCCAAAATGTGCCACTGACTGTCTTAACCTGTGGTCCTGACAGATTCAGCAACAATACATAATTGGCTCATTCAAATAATAATTGCCTTTTAAAAATAGTAACAAACAGAATCATGAAACGCTTAACCAGATGATCTCAGCTAACTGAACTAGGTTGTCACACACAGAGAGAGCAGCGTCTGCTGTGAATATCCTGCTCAGATCACCCTTCGGCAGACATTTCCCGAGTTACTGCCACAGCCCCGTGCTGGACACTCAGAGGAGGAAGAACTCTGGGGATAGCGGCTTGGAGGACTGGCTGGAGGGGGAATGACATGGGATGTGGCCCAAGAAACAGATTTTCCAAAGAGAAAGGGACAGTAATACAGAGAACAGGCAGGAAGAGGGAGATAGGACTGGAATATAGTTCATTAAAATGGAATTCAGCCAGGGGCCCTTCTCAGGCACCCAGAACCCTCATGGCTCTGCCACCAGGCTGAGAATAGCAAACAAAGGTGATCGGGTCCCAGAAATCTGAAACACGTTTTTGAGCATCTGGGGATCTGTGCCCTGTGTTTGCAGGCTGGTCTTAAAGGCGCCTGGAGTTTACAGGGGGCGGTGAGCAAGGCAGGAAAAGCGGAGGAGCGGCCTGCATATTTAGGGTGCAAGGGTCTGCGATGTCACCCTCACACCTACACCCACAGTCCATAAGGGTCATCAGGCTCATCAGCTGGGTGGTCGCTGCAGGCCAGAAAGGGCTGGGAGGACAAAGCACAGAACAGGGATGCCCACCCCTCCTGCTGTCGTGAGGCTAAATCTGCTTCCCCCACACCCAGCCGCCACCAGGGAGAGAAGGAGAAGACGGAAGGAAAGAGGATAGGAGGGGCTGAATACCTTCTGGAAAGAGACAAAGTTAATCCTGGGGAGACTGTTTTAAACTGGTAAAGGGGGAACCACTCTGCAGTGGTAAGAGTTGAATTCAATTTTTCTAAATCAGTGGCCACAGAAGTAACTCACTTCTACATGCCAAGTAGAAATCAGTTACAGAAAATGAAGAACACATTTCTGCAGTTCTGAGCCAAGATATGAGAATTTTAATCACACCACATATAACAGAAGTCAACAGGATTGAGACTAAACATCTCTCATAAACATAAGTAGACAAAACTTGCCGATGAGAAAAAAAAAGAAACTTGAAAACATGATGCTAAGTGAAAGATGCCAGACACAAAAGGACAAACACTGTGCCGGGCACGGTGGCTCACACCTGTAATCCCAACACTTTGGGAGACTGAGGCGGGTGGATCAGTTTGAGACCAGCCTGGCCAACATTGTGAAACCCCATCTCTACTAAAAATACAAAAATTAGCTGGGCATGGTGGCGGGCGCCTGTAATCCCAGCTACTCAGGAGGCTGAGGCAGGAGAATCGCTTGAACTAGAGAGGTGGAGGTTGCAGTGAGCCAAGATCACGCCACTGCACTCTAGCCTGGGCAACACAGCAAGACTCCGTCTCAAACAAAAACAAAAACAAAACAAAACAAAATACTGTATGCTTCCACTTACATGAGTGACCTAGAATGGGATAAATTCATAGAGACAGAAAGTAGAATATTGGTTATCAGGGGCTGGGGAAGCAGAGAAATGAAAAGTTATTGTTTGATGGGTATAAAGTTTCTATTAGGGATGATGAAAAAGTTCTGGAAATGGATGTTGGTCATGGTTTCACACAATGTGAATGTACTTAATGCCACTGAATTGCACACTTAACATGGTTAATTTAGTAAACTTTATACTGTGTATATTTTACCATAACCAAAAAGAAAAAGGACTCTCACTTTCATAAGTAGAATAATATACTGTTTAATTATTAATTTAGAAGCCCAATCAAAAAAGGAAAAAAAGTCAAAAGGTACAAATTATCAGTGAGATAACAGACCTTGCACACAGAGGAACTTAACATATTAGAAATGTACAAAAATATTGTAAAATATTTACTAAATAATACTATGAACTATTTTATGCTCATGACTTAAATGATGATTCAAAGCCCAAATAGATCACAAATGTAAAAAAATGCAAAAATTGCCAAATAACTATATCCTTAGCTATCATCAGTCTGACAGTTTAATTGGTGAATCTTTTCTTTTCTTTTCTAAATTAAAAAATTTTTATTAGTAACATTTTTGTCCTTGGTAATCCTTCCGAATAAAGAAATCTATGAAAATGCTATGGAAAATTAAATTAAACAACATATAAAATCACCTGGGCACCTGGAAGATGGTGAAGAAATATTTTGTGACATAAATTTAAAACTGAACTATCAATTTTTAAAAAGCTTTAGTGTTTCGTTAAAAGTATGAAAAAGAAATTTAAAATATGCTTAAATAATCGTTAGTCAGAGATATATTCAGAAAGGAAACTTATTAAATGTACTACTTTTTTCATTCTCCATGGTAAAACTGAGAATGAGAATCTTGGTAAAGGTTAAAATTTTGAAATAATAGCGTATCTGGGGACATCAACTATTCCTTACATCTTGAACACACAATCTTTCTATTTACTCTGTAAACATGCTCAGTTTTGAACCTACCACCCCCTATACCTGACATTATCTTTGCTCTATCTTTCAATTCTTAATTGAGCTTATGGAAAGAGACATACCAATGTCTCTACCTTTTTTTCCCCAAACCTTTCTCCTCAAACCACTACTATCTGGTTTCTGCTTCCACTACATCATATCTGAAACTAAAATGTCAAAGCAATCACGTTGCCAAATGTGAAAAAGGATTTCCCAGACCTTTTGGGAGTTGGTATCATTGCTTCACATGGCATTACTAACCTGTCCCTCCTTGTACTTGTTTTCTCCTGGCTTTGGATATGGCATTCTTTCTGCCCTGCATACTTCTCTATCATTCCTGTTTGGTCTCATTAGCTAGATCCTTTTCTCTACTTGCTCCTGTAGTGCAGACTCTGCTCTTCTCATTTTATCCTCTTTTTCTAGACAATCTCATCCACTCCCATGGTTTCAGTTGCTATCTATAAACTATCTTTATCTCTATCTCAGACCACTTTGGTGACTTCCAGCATCATACAGCCATCCAACCATCTGTGACATTTCTCCATGTGGATATCCAAAGACACTTCAAACTTAACATTAAAAAAAAAAATCTCACATACCTTCTTCTCCCCTCAAATCAGCTGTTCCTCCTAAAATCTCTACCTTGGCTGATGGTTCATTATCACCCTGTCAAGACACCTGGATATCATACTCTCATTCATTTCTAACTTAGTCTCAAAGTCCCATGAATTCAACCTTTCAACTATTTTTAAAATCTGTCCATTCCCACTTCTCACCACTATTGCCTTAGGTTGGATCCTTCATAATCTCTTAGGTGGACTATAGCAATGGCCTCTTAGATGTTCTTGGCGTTTCCAATCTTATTTCTTCCAATCAATCATTTATAATGTTGCCAAAATGATCTTTCCAATACGTAAATCTGATCACATTTCTCCCAAGCTGAAGTAATCCCTACAGCTCTTAAATAATTAGTTGCTTAAAGAATTCATTTACTCACTCATTTAACAAATATTATTTACCACATAACGTATGATTTTAGGCAGAGAGGAAATTATAGTAAATGAAAATATTTAGAGAATATGCAGAAAGGTAGATATTAAACAATCCCCTAAATAAATGTATGATTACAAATTTGACAAATGCAATGAAGAAAAATAATAAGTCACAAAGGAAGAAAAAGAGGAGACCTACTAGAGATTGTGAAGTTATATTATTTTTGAGAGAATAATATCTCGGTAAGTTTAAAAAATGAGTAGAAGTCGCTCAACAAAGAAGTAGTTTTGGTAGAGGGAACAGCACGTACAAGGGATCTGAAAGGGAAAGGAGATTAGAGTGTTAAAAGAAATGAAGGTAAGCCTATTTGGCAAGAGCTTAGTGAAGGATGGGATAGTGGCCTGAGACAAGATTATTGACATAGAAACCAAGTCATGTAGGGTTTGTAAGCCAAGGTATGGATTTGGGTTCTTTTGAAAGGCTATGGGAAGCAATTAAAAAGTTTTAGGCAGATGAATCACATGGTTATATTTACATCTTAAAGTTTCACTCTGGCTGCTGGTAGAGAATAGATTATAGCCTGAGTGGATGTGAGAAGACTAGTAAAGGGATTATTCCATTAGTCTAGGAGAGAAAAATGGTGGTGGGCAGTCTCTATTAACTTTTAGAAGTTATCTTTAGGTAATGTGAGCCTGCAACGTGAAGTTCCTAGTACTTTAAAAGTTATAATGCTGATGAACAAAAAGGTATGTAAAAACTCAGGATTTAATCTAATTAGATACATTTTCCACCATTAGAACATTTCTGCTCAGAGATCTTATTACAAAGCTACATTTCTGATAGTCTACTACGATGCAGCTTCTGCCAAAGCCACTCAGTACTAACCTCTTACATAGCATCTCTACTTACATGATTAAAATGCATATCATACTTGACATAGTCAAAAGATAAAGAACCACTTGATTTCTACTTCCAAGCTACTCAACTCCCTAGTAAATGGCCTTACCATTTACCCTACCCAGGCACTGATGTAAAAAATCTGAGAGTTAATCATAATTTTTCTCTTCCTCTCATATCCCATATCATATGTAAATTAAGTATCAACTTAAATTGAATATAATATTCAATGTAATGCTATGAAAATTATTGTATGTGATTAATGAGAATATAAATCTGGCTATAAAATCTCTGATAGTGATATAGTATTTATATCCATATATCCTTAGGAAAAAATTCCCTTTAATTATAGAGTAGTTATAAACAGTAGTCTAATATAGTATGCTATAGTTGTGTTTTGCCTTAATTATTCTTCATTGTTAATACCTCTATAATAAACATATAAAATAAAACGCTTAATTTCTTAGTTTGCAAATTAATTTACCAATTCGTTCATTCTTTCTTTGTCAAGAACGGAAAACCTTATAGCAATACAGGTCATCTCAGGTCCATAAAGAGTAATTTAAGATCAGAAATTCATGTCAGGTCCATGAGGAATAAGTTTTCTTTTCTTTTTTTTTTTTTTTTTTTTTTTTTTTTTTGAGACGGAGTCTCACTGTGCTGCCCAGGCCGGAGTGAGTGGCGCAATCTTGGCTCACAGTAACCTCCGCCTCCCAGGTTCAAGCGATTCTCCCGCTTCAGCCTCCTGAGTAGCTGGGATTACAGGCGTGGGCCACCACGTCTGGCTAATTTTTGTGTTTACTAGTAGAGATGGGGTTTCGCCATGTTGGCCAGGCTGGTCTCGAACCCCTGACCTCAGGTGATCTGCCTGCCTCAGTCTCCAAAAGTGCTGGGATTACAGGTGTGAGCCACCGCTCCTGGCCCCATAAGGAATAATTTAAGATCAGAAGTACAAAGAAAGTTTTCTAATTGATTTTAAAATTAGTTTCTGCATATTTCTCTAAGACTATAGTTTAAATTCGATCTATTTCACACCAAATAAGTACTACAGCAATATTTAATTTCTGCGTTACTATTGACATATGAGTCATCTAACATGTAAACTTTCAGCCAACCAAATATTATGGCTTTAGTGCTAATTTAAAAAAAAGTTTTTGAAAGGAACATTTGTAAAATATATAAAGGCATTCATCTGCCTTCTTTTTTTTTTTAAAGAGATGGGGGGTCTCATTTTTTTTAAAGAGATGGGGGGTCTCACTCTGTCACCCACACTGGAGTGCAGTGGTACAATCATAGCTCACTGGAGCCTTGAACTCCTGGGCTCAAGCAATCCTCCTGCCTCAGCCTTCTTAGTAGCTGGGACTACAGGTATGCACCACCACACCCGGCTAATTAAATTGTTTGTTTGTTTGTTTGTTTGTTTGTTTAAGAGACAGGGTCTCGCTATATTGACCAGGCTGGTCTCAAACGTCTGGGCTCAAGCGATCCTCCTGCCCCAGCTTCCCAAGTAGCTGGGATTACAGGCGGTGTGCCACCACGTCCAGCTATCTGCTTTTTTAAATAGAGGAAGTGAATATCATGTTAAGTTATTCTTAAAGACTTAACTAAGATTACTTATCATACTTTGTCACAATATATTTAAAATACTTCATTAAATTCTGAGGTGAGATAGTAAACCATTTGTGCTAACCCTAAATAGCCTTTTTAGTTTTTGAATAGTCTTCCTATCTCCAACCTTTTCAGATGTCCCTTCATGTCAGAATGTCTTCCTCTGCTAATCCTTCTCTGTGCTGTATTTGATCTGCTAGTAATAAAGCTTGATAAACAAGTAATCTGTTTATTTCATCAGGCTCTATTCAAGGCTTGGAGATTGACTCTATAACTTTCCCACATTGAAAAGTGCAAGTGGAAGTGGGAGCTTCTGATTGATAGCTTTTGAGCTTACCTCCGGGTTTGTAACTGTATTCTTTAGTTAAAGCTATCAGGAATTTGGCTACCAGATAAGTGAGACATAAAACCAAGTATCATTACTAAAGCAATCTAGTGATACAGAATATTACTGTGTTTAAATAACTTATCCTACATAAACAACAAGGTAGTGTTAACCTCACACTCACAATTCTACATGATTTTATGACAGATATCTAGGATTTAAAAAATGGATATAGCTTATATCCATTATAATTTTGTTATACTGAGAGAGTTCAAAGTTGGCATCAAGGGTCAAAGGTAGAAATTAGCTTACATAGAAAATAATTTGTATAGGCCAAACAGACCTTTTGTATACAATACCACCTACTGTAATTTAGTCCACAAAATACTGACTATAAGACCATAATCAAAATGAAATGCTATGAAAGGTGTGCGAGAGCTTAGTTTATGCACTGCAATAAAGCTATGGATGGATGGGCATAGCGCATCTCCTGTTGCACGCACTCTGTTGCTCATCAAGTTACATGGATCTGAGCTGTTTGTTAACCACAGAAGAAGGTGAATCAGTCTGATGATGTGTGTGGTGTCCAGATGCCTCAACAGACTGCCTTTGTTCACTGTCTGGCGAAGATTAAAAAGGAGTAGAATGAGGGCTTTCTGTGGGAGATGATGTCAAATGAGCCTGAGCTGACATTGTAGAGGATGTAGATGGCTGAAGAAACTGTTCAGCTGGAGTATCTACTTCCATTGCAGTTTCACTCACTTCCAAATCAGGACTTGATGGGACCATAGGAAGAGTTGAAATATCTGATTGACTTGTTCCACCTCTGGGTCAAGATCTTCCTCATCCTCTATTGCTTTGTGCAACCTCACTTGCTTTTTCGAACCGTCTTGATAACATATCAGACATTCTCTGCATCAATGACACATTGGGACTCTGCTCTCCATGTCATTCTCGTTCACTCTCAGGCCTTGATCTGGGTCCAGTATCTGACCAATCACCACGAAGTCTCAAACGCTTAACTGGTGGTTGTCGTAACTCTTCTCTTCTCTCTTCCGCAGAAGGAGTTTTAAGTTCTCGTGCTGTATCATCTTTCGGGTCAAAAAGATATATGTAATCTGAAGAGTAACTAATGAGAATCTCTTGACCATCTTCACTGTAACACAGAAATGTCACTCTGCAGGACTTATTATTAAGATGGGAAGCAATAAAATGGGCAACCATTCCAGTAGTCCCTCGACCTGCATAATTCCCTGTAGCTCTTGTGCCCAGCATTCGCCTATCATATATTTGTACTGAGCTATAAGAACAACCAACGGCAAGGTAATATGGTATTGGTGGGCAAATAGCAACAGATGTGGCAGCACGTCGACAGCTAATTAAAATATCATCTTCACAATCTTCTTTTGTGCAGCTAGTTTTGATGCGTGTATCAAACCACCTACCAGTTCTATCTTCACCACAAGAGAGAAAAGTGTAAGGGTCATTGGGTACAGTCATAATCTCATAAGTAGTTCCATAGTGGCAAGTAAATTGGCATTGTCTGTTGGTTTCTGCATCTTGCTCAACATTGGTATAAAATATTACTCCATCTCCAGAGCAGGATACAATCTGTTTATCATTTGTGCAAGGTAAGAACTTTGCATTAGATATGTTTGCTTGGTGCCCCGAACGAATTGTTGTCAAAACCTTTCTGCTGTAGGGATTACTAATTACTAATTTGGTGTCATCTGAGCCAGATAAAATATATTCTCCAGTGTCATTCCAACAGATTGTATTAACACAGCCATCATGCACATTTAGGGTTGCTTCAAGTTTCAATCTTTAGATAAATTCTCTTCTTCCCAGGTAGTGGCCCCACAGCCAGGACAGGTCCTCCAGCCCGAGGGACCTTTTCCTCATGTCCCACAACAGATGTGGGCAGGAGCCACCCCGAGACATGGCTCTGCCTGAGCGAGGTGGGAGGGGAGACCCTACCTGAATCTTTTCAAAGTGTCATAAAACAGATAGTTCTATAGTCTTGATATCATTATAGAACATTTAAAAAAATAAGGAAAGCTTCTGTTTTCCAAAAGCACTTAATAATGATTGGTCCTGTTTACAGGTTGTGATATTTTGTATACTCCTTCTTTTACCTTTTTTTGCTGTAAGATATCTGCGTGGTTGCCTTCTATTGTCTTTTCATCTTGCTTGTCCTTAACATGAAAGTCCTGGCCACACCTTAGCTTTTCTTTGCTACCTTAAAGAGAGTCTCTAAACATGTGAAAATTAAACACCACAGTTCTAAATAATTCATGGATCAAAGAGAAAGCCTCAAAGAAAAAATCAAGAGAACTGAATGGACACAAAACATATCAAAATATGTGGAGTGCAGCTAAAGCAATACTGAGAGGGAAATTTATAGCACTAGATGCTTACATAAGAAACAAGGAAAGCTCTTAAAACAGTAAGCTAATTCCTACCTCAGGAAACTAGATAAAGAAGAGCGGCTGGGCGTGTTAGCTCACGCCTGTAAACCCAGCACTTTGGGAGGCCAAGGTGGGTGGATCACGAGGTCAGGAATTCAAGACCAGCATGGCCAAGATGGTGAAACCCTGTCTCTACCAAAAATACAAACATTAGCTGGGCATGGTGGCGGGTGCCTGTAATACCAGCTACTTGGGAGGCTGAGGCAAAAAACTGCTTGAACCCGTGAGGCAGAGGTTGCAGTGAGCCGAGATTGAGCCACTGCACTCCAGCCTGGGCGACAGAGTGAGACTCCATCTCAAAAAAACAAAACAAAACAAAACAAAAACCCGAAGGAAACAGAAGAAAAGAAATCATAAAGATAAAAGTACAAATCAATGAAATAAAAAACAGAAAAACAATTGATATGAAAACTTTTAACAGGAGTTGGTACTTTAATAAGATCAACAACACTGACAGAAGTTTAGCAAGAAAAATGCTAGAAAACAAAAATTATCAATATCTGGAATGAAACAAAAATATAACTACAGACCCTGCAGACATCCAAAGGATAATAAAGGAGTAATATGAACAACTCTTCACAAGTAAATTTCACAACTTAGATAAAATGCATCAATTCCTTGAAAAACACAAACTACCATAATTCACATAATATGAAACAGATAATTTGAATAGCCCTGTAACCATTAAGGAAATTGGGAAGCCAGGCACAATGGCTCATTCCTGTAATCCTAGCACTTTTGGAGGCTGAGATGGGAGGATCGCTGGATTCCAGGAGTTCAAGACCAGCCTGGGCAACATAGTGAGACTTCTCTCTATAAAACATAAAAAAAAAAAGTAGCCAGGCATTATGGCATGCACCTGTAGTCCTACCTACTCAGGAGGCTGAGGCAGGAGGATTGCTTGAGCTCAGGAGTTCAAGGTTGCATTGAGCTATGATTGTGCCACTGCACTCTACTCTGGGTGACAGAGCAAGATCCTGTCTCAAAAATTTAAAATCAAAAAAGAGAAATTGAATTCATAGCATTAAAATTCTCCAAAATAAAACCTCCAGGCCTAGAGAGTTTCACTGGAGAATTCTACCAAATGCCTAAAGAATAATTAACATCAATTCTACATAATCCCTTCCAGAAACTAGAAGTGAAGACTTCGCAACACATTTTCTGAAGCTAGTATTACTCTGATACTGAAACCAGACAAAGACAGTTGAAAGAAAAAAAAGAAGGAAGGAAGGAAGGAAAGAAGGGAGGAAAAAAGAAAAGAAAAACAACCATAAACCAATACCTCTCGTGAACTTAGAGCAAAAAATCCACAATAAAATATGTACAAACCAAATCCAACAATGTGTAAAGATTACTACATGCCATGGCCAAGTGATATTTGTTTTAGGTATATAAAACTGATTAACATTTGAAAATCAATGAAATCCACCAGATCAACAAGCCAAAGAAGAAAAATTACATGATTATATTAATTGACAAGGAAGAAGCTTTTGACAAAATGAAATGTGTTTTGCCCATTTTCTAATTGGCTTGTTTTTCACTGTTGAATTTTGAAAGTTCTTCATATATTTTAGATACTAGTCCTTTGGCATACATGTGGCTCACTAATATTTTCTCCCTGTCTGTAGCTTGTCTTTTCAACCTCTTCAGGTGGATTTTCGGAGACCTGGTTTTTAATTTTTCTTAACATTTTCCTTTTATAGGTGATGATTTTGGAGTCAAGTCTCAGAATTCTTTGCCTAGCACTAGATACCAACATTTTTTCTCCTATGTTTTTTCTAAAAGTTTTGTAGTTTTGCATTTTATATTTAATCCCATTAGGTTGGTTTTTATAAAAGGGATGAGGTTTAGGTTGAGGTTCACTGTTTTGCCTATGATTGATGAGCACATGAAAAGATGCTTGGAATCATTAGTAATCAGGGAAATGCAATTCAAAACCATCATGAGATACTACTTTGTACCCACTAGGATGGCTTAAAACAAAGTCAGAAAAGAAACGTTGGCAAGGATGTAGAGAAAATGGAACCCTCACGCGTTGCTGGTGGAAATGTACAATGGTGCAGCTGCTCCGTAAAATGGTCTGGCACTTTCTTCAATGATTCAACTAGAGTTACCAAGTAACCTGGCAATTCTATTCCGAGGTATTAGGTTGACGCAAAAGCAATTGTGGTTTTTGCCATTAAAAGTGATATACCCAAGAGAAATGAAAATATATGCACATAAAAACTTGTATATAAATGTTTATAGCAGCACTGTTCATAATAGCCAAAAGGTGGAAACAACCCAAATGTCCACTGATGGATGAGCGGATAAACAAAATGTGCTTAATCCACACTATGGAATATTATTCAGACATAAAAAAGAATGAAGTACTGATACATGCTGCAATATGTATGAACCTTGAAAACATTACGCTAAGAAAGAAGCCAGTCATAAAAGACTACATATTATGTGATTCCATTCATATGAAAGTCCAGAACAGGGAAATTTATAAAGACAGAAAGTAGACTAGTGGTAGCCCAGGGATGGGGGCAAGGAAGGAGAGTGAGAGCTAAAGGTACAGGGTTGCTTTTTAAGGTGAAATTGACTTCAATGATGTTTACATACATCTGTGAATATATTAGAAACCACTGAATATTATACCTTAAATGGGTGAATTATATGATACATGAGTGTATTAGTCTGGAGCTAGGCGCGGTAGCTCACGCCTGTAATCCCAGCACTTTGGGAGGCCGAGGTGGGCAGATCACAAGGTCAGAAGATTGAGACCATCCTGGCTAACACAGTGAAATCCCATCTCTACTAAAAAAAAATACAAAAAATTATTCAGCTTGGTGGGACGTGCCTGTAGTCCCAGCTACTCGGGAGGCTGAGGCAGGAGAATCGCTTGAACCTGGAAGGCGGAGGTTGCAATGAGCCAAGATCATGCCACTGCAGTCCAGCCTGGGTGACAGAGTGAGACTCCATCTCAGAAAAAAAAAAAGAGGTTTAATTGGCTCACAGTTCCACAGGCTATACAAGAAGCATGGCAGCATCTGCTGCCGGGGAGGCCTCAGGGAGCTTCCAATCATGGCAGAAGGTGAAGGGAAGCAGGCACGTCTTACGTGGCCAGAGCAGGAGCCAGACAGAGAGGAGCGAGGTGCTACACACTTTTAAACAACTAGATCTCATGAGAATTCACTATCATGATGACAGCTCCAAGAAGCATGGTGTTAAACCATGAGAAACCACCCCATGATCCAATCACCTCCCACCAGGCCCCATCTCCAACACTGGGGATTACAATTGAATATGAGATTCGGGTGGGGACATATATCCAAACCACATCAATGACTTACATGTCAATAAAGAGATATAAAATTGTTTTGTTTTTTGAAAAAAATCTAATATTTTAATAAGCCACTCTCTCAAGCCAATACAAGGCAGCTCCAGCACACCCCTGCTTCAGGAGATGTTTATGCCACGTGAAGGGAGGAAACCATAATCCTTTCCACATCCCTCAGGTAGACGTGGAAATAAGGATAAGGTGAAAATTACAAAAACCAAGCTCATCATGCCTCCTTCCCTTGCCACCAAATGCTTGTATTTCTTTTTAACACCTGTTCCCCGGGTTGTATAAAAAGTCCTTTGCTAATTACTTTTAGGAAAAGGGCGACATTCTGGCCTTCACCTCCCAGAAACCACGCATCATACTTGAGGCACACACCAGGGAAGAGGCTGAGGTCAAGTTCACCAATCAGAAACACAAACAGACAAGGAAAAAGAAGGCAGCAATCAGTTTCCATCAAAGCCCTCAGCCAGGTGTCAGATCTCCCAGGGACACCCCTCTTTAATTTGGGGGGGACATAGGTAAATATGTGTATCCAGAAAGCCTGGAGCAAGTCGAGAGAGGCATTTGATTAGTATGCAGATCACAGGCACAGCTGGGATCAGGGCTAACCAGACTTTCAAGGATAAACAGCTGACAAGGATATGTCATGTTGTCCCTGCAGTGTGTTGAATCTAATTAAAAAGGACTTAGGGTCAGAAAAACACTGGTGTAATAATGGGTAAGCACAACAGAAATCATTTTATTGTTTACTTACAGGAAACAATACTTTTCCCGTTTACATGCTTGACGTGGCCAGCAAGGAAGAGCTCACACTTCGTACAAAACTACACACTAGTTTTGCATCTCTTTGTTGTGACACACAACCTCTGGTTTAGATTCTTTAAAATTATCTGTATGGGACAGTTTCTCTCATTATTCAAAGAATGACTTTTCCCCAAAATAAATAAGATATATTCCTTCCCTCCGCTGTCGGGTGTTTCTCATGCTCTCCTCTTTTAATTGTCAGTATAATTCTAGAGTAAAAGTCCTATGTGCTATGGTTTGAATAAGCTCCCCAAAAAGCATGTGTTGAAAACTTAATGTTTGGCTGGACATGGTGGCTCACGCCTGTAATCCCAACACTTTGGGAGGCCGAGGCGGGCGGATCACCTGAGGTCGGGAGTTCGAGACCAGCCTGACCAACATGTAGAAACCCTGTCTCTACTAAAAATACAAAAAATTAGCTGGGCGTGGAGGCACATGCCTGTAATCCCAGCTACTCAGGAGGCCGAGGCAGGAGAACTGCTTGAACCCGGGAGGCGGAGGTTGCAGTGAGCAGAGATTGCACCATTCACTCCAGCCTGAGCGACAGAGCGAGACTCCGTCTCAGAAAAAAAAAAAAAAAGAAAGAAAGAAAAGGAAAACTTAATCCTCAATGCAACAGCGTTGGGAGGCGGGGGCCTATGGGAGGTGCTTTGGTCAGCAGGGCTCCACCATCAGGAATGGATTAATGCTGATTATAAAAGGGCTTGAGGCTGTGAGTTCAATATCTTGCTCTTTCTTTGGCCCTCTCTTGCCCTTTCACCTTCTGCCATGGGATATTGCAGCAAAAAGGCCCGGGCTAGATGCTGGCCCCTCAATCTTGGACTTCCCAGCCTCCCAAAATGTGAGAAATAAATTACCCAGTCTGTGGTATTCTGCTATAGCAGCACACAACAGACTAAGATGCACTGTCAAGCCAAAATATAATGATTTGTGAACGGCTAACAGCACAGGTTGGAATCTGATGCCAGCTAACTCCCAAGGTCTCAGATTCCCTACCTGTCTCCCATGCATAGTTGTCAGAAGTAAATGAATGAACGTACAGAATGTGCTCAAGCAGTGCCCTGCACACAGCAAGGGCTCAGGAAAGTTAGCGACCATCATATCATCATCATCATCATGATCATCATGCAGTCAGTATTAGGTTTGTATAAAAATATCAAAGAGCACATTTTAAGCTTATGTCCAAACATATACTAAAATGTGTTAAATACGTATCTTTTATGTAATTTTCCACCTAAATTTCTAGTTTCTGTGACAATGCTAAGTAGGAAAAATATTTTAATTCATTCAATGCTATCATAATGAAGATTTTGTTTGTTTTCTTTATAATGAAATTAGTGCCTGACTATATCTAAATTTACAGAAGAAAAAGAATGTATATTCACTGAGGTCAGGCCTGCGATAGCAAAACAGAGGGGATGGGCTAACCGCTTCTCAGCAGGGGTAAAGTACTCTCTGCTGCCTTTCAAAGATGAAGCAGCCCCCTAGATATACAGCAATGTATGAAATGGAACTTTGAGTAGGGAAAACATTGCAGACAAATGCATACAGTATAAGCATATTTGCTTAAAAATAAAACTATACAGTTGGATGACTGTGTACATATACATGTACATAAATATATATGTGCATACACAAAAAATGGATACATCATAAAGCAATTGCCTGTGTGGTAGGGAGTAGGAGGCAGAGAGAGGAGGGAGACTTTGTTTTGCTCCAGTTTGTGTACTTCTTGCATCTTTTACAATGAGAATCTATTACTATTTCATTTCATATTTAAAAAGAAAGGGAAAATAGTTCTATTCATTTAAAACCAAATATTCATCAAGCCATATAATGCATTATATTACATTAAATTGCATTTCAAAAGCATCCTCTGTTATGCTTTCATTTAAAAATACAGTAAGAAAAGTATGATGGGAAATCCCAAACTTCTGCAGAATGAATTGAAATAACTGAGTCATTAAAAATCAGTTTATTTCCCAGTGCTTTGGGAGGCTAAGGCCGGAGGATCAGTTGAGGCCAGGAGTTCAAGACTAGCCTATGCAATACAGTGAGACCCCCCCCACCACCACCCTTACAAAAAATTAAAAAATTAGCTGGGTGTGGTGGTGCATACCTGTAGTGCCAGCTGCCTGGAAGAGTGAGGTGGGAGGATCACTTGAGCCCAGGAGTATGAAGCTACAGTGAGCTATGATTGCACCACTGCACTCCAGCCTGGGCAATAGGTGAGACCCTGGACCCTGTCTCTAAAAAATTGTTTTATTTGTATTTTTATGATTTATTTATTTGAAGACATGTTCTCACTTTGACACCCAGGCTGGAGTGCAGTGGCACGATCTTGGCTCACTGCAACCTCCACTGCACCCCCTGCGTCCCCCTGCCCCCGGTTCAAGTAGCTGGGATTACAGGTGCATGCCACCATTCACACTTAATTTTTGTATTTTTTGGTAGAGATGGGATTTCACCAGGTTGTCCAGGCTGGTCTCGAACTCTTGACCTCAAGTAATCTGTCTGCCTTGGCCTCCCGAAGTGCTGGGATTACAGGCGTGAGCCACTGCACCTGGCCAAAAGAATTTTTTAAATTAAAAAACGTGTATATTTTTTAAAAATCCATTTTTTAAATAAAGTTTTGTTGCTGTCATATTTTAATGTGCATGGAGCCTCAAATTAAAATATAATGAGGCATTTTAAGGGGCATTTGAAAATCAATAATGCTCTTTTCTAATTAATTTAAGTGAAACAGCATGTTTGCTTGAAATCCCAAAATGCCTTTTTAATTTCCTAAGGGGCTCTTCAGACAGGAACAGTTGGGAGGCACTCAGTGGTTCACTCACATGCTCCCCTCCAGGAATGGTGCCAGGCCCTGGATGTGGGACAAGGCGCAGCACAGACATGGCCTTCTCCCTTGTGCTGCTTTGCCATGTAGCGAATGATGGGGAAATGTCAGGGCTTGGAGAAAAAGAGACAGAATGCTCAGAGAACCGCAGAGCTGGGGAGCCCCTTGGACGAGGGCTGAGGGAAGGCCCTTGCATCGATGTCCCACCGACTCTGGAATCTAGAGGTCCAGAAGGAGCCACCTAGAGACCAGCTGGGAGGAAGAACAGCTGTGGTGCAGCGTGCAGGGGCAGCCTGAAGTAGAAAGACCCTGAGATTCTAGCACAGCTGGCAAGGCAGGGACGTGGTGCCCAGGAGTACCACTGCAGGCTAGCGAAGCTGGAGGAGCCAGATGAAAGCAGGCACTCACACGCCACGGCGAGGATGCTGGACAGCGCTCCGAGTCCAGTGGGAAGCACGTGGCTGAGTTTATGTTGTAAGAAGCTCTCTCGCCATGAACACACACACACAGACACACAAATATGTGAATACATTTTGATCACAACAAGCTGGGAATCCATGTTTTGTTGTATTTAACAAAAACCCACAAAATACATCCAAAAACTATTCCTATACAAAGTTACAGAAAATTTTAGTGGATTGTAAAAAGTAGAAATTAGGGGCCACATGTTCTCATGCAATGACGTTAGAAATTAACAGTAAAAGGAAAGCAAAAAACCAAAAAGTCTAACTACCTAAAAAGTTAAGGACATCAATCTGAGCGATGATTAGGTTAAAGAGAAAAGCAAAAATGAAAATTACAAACCAAGTGGAACTAAGTCCACAAGAGCACTGTGTATCAACAATGCCAATCTATACAGTATTATTACTGTTACTCAACTATAAAAGGGGGAAAATTAACAATATGTGAATTAAGAAAGTAGAAGGGGTTAATAAAATAAAAACATACATAGTCAACCCTTCCCTCAAATTCCCCATTTCCTCCCGAGACCCCCGGCTCTAGGGAACTATTAATCTACTTTGAATCTCTAAAGATTTGCTAAAATGTTTATTTTTGAACTGTAAAAGAATATTATCTGTAGCTTTATAACAATAAATTGGAAAAAACAGATGAAATATACAATGTTCGAAAGACATTAACAAAAATGATCCCCAAAAAGAAAGAAAACACGAATAACATAATGAACATGGGAAAATACGTTAAAAGTAGTCAAATTACCTCCCCCAAATTAAAATAAACCTAGATAATTCCCAGGTTATATAAACTGTTTCAGAGCATAAGTCAAATCAAATTCTTCCACTTTCATTTTAAAGTATGCATAATTCTAAGACGAAACTGGACAAGGAGGGCACCTCAAGGTAAACTGTAGGTTATCTCATTTCTGAATGTTGATGCAAAACTCTTAAATAATATATTAACAAAGTGAATGCAGCCTAATGTATACCTTCTCAGCACCAGGACCATTGCCTATTTCTGCAATGCAAAAGTGATTCTGCATTAGGAAATCCATTAATGCAAATCACTACATTAATAAACTAAAGGAGGAAAGCCATATGATCATCTTCAGAGATGTTAAAAGGATGGTGATAAAATTTACATGCATCTTGATTTAAAAAAATCTTAGAAAGCCAGGATGGAAGCGAATACCTCCCATTAATAAAGGCATCTCTCAGAAGCTGATGGCAGACATTACTCTACATGGTAACCCATTAGGAGCAATCCTGTGAAAGCCAGGAATAAAACAAGGGTGTTAAAAAATTCCAGTGTTAGTCAACCTTTTTCCCTGTAAATCCTCACTGTGAGTGAAGGGTCACATCGGGTCTGGGCTGACGCATGTGCGCCAGGAAAAATGACCCAAAAGTTCTGTCCTCTCAGGTCACTGCTTCCTTTTCTCGGACACTGCAGCGTTGAGATGGATATGGAAGGCTGTGGTCATCTCATGTGCTGGGAAGGACGCCTGGATCAGGGAAGCAGCGTGGTGGCCTGCAGGCCTTGGGCCTCCGTGAAGACAAAAGTGTTATAAAAACAACTGATGGAAAAGTGAACTGTGGCTTCTCAGTGAGAGTCTCCCCCACGCAGGCAGTGAACACCGCATGTGGGTGTGAGGGAAATGGAGCTGCGGGACCTCCCAGTGATGTGAAGATGCTGTCCCTGCTGTGTCTCCTGTCCTGTGTCCTATGAAGCTCAGCAAATGGGGAGATTTGCTAATAGAAACCATCTCTCAGCAGCATGCTTGGTGGTGGGTCACTAAGAGCTTCTCATTAAATTCAGGAGCAAGAGGTGGATGATGAAATACCATCATCTAATGTTATTTTAACAAAACATCATTATCCAATGTTATTTTAACAGTTTTAGCCACAGCAACTACACAGAAAAGCAAAACAAGATGTACAGATACTGGAAAGCAGAAGAAAATGTAATCATTTCCTCTGACAAACTATGGGATCAAAGATTCAGGTGTACATTCAACTGCTTGTACAGTTCAATGCAAGTAATAAAAAACTGCAAAAAGTCTTACATGCGGCGAGTAGCCTCTTCAGTATAAAATAATAACTAAAACAGGCATCCACCAGAGCAAGAAAATATTTACAATACCTAGGACTAAATTTGAAACATGGAAAGTTCATATGTATATTTTAGAAAACTATAAAAGTGTAGTAACATTTATAACAAAATAAATCCTAGATCGATAAAACACATAAATATTTAAAAAATAAAACCCGAAAATACTGAGGGGATAGTAGAAAATTATTTATAATCTTGGAGTGGGAAAGGCTTTTCTAGGAAAAACACATAACCCAGCAATCAAAAGGGTTAAAATACGTAAATGAATAAAACCAATGTGAGTACAGAAAATACCCAAAGAATGCCATTCAAAAAGTCAAAAGATGCATAACAAACTATTAAAAATATATGTTTGCAACCAATATAACAATAGCCAGTTTCCTTAACATAAGGAAGTATATATATGTATATAATATATATAATATGTAAATTATAAAAACAACAATATAACAGTAAAATAGGTAACAAACGTGAAGTGGCAGTTAACAGATAAAGAAATATAAGCAACTTATAAACAAATATAAAGATGCTCAACTTCACTTTTAATTAAAGAAATGAAAATTACATAATAAAATTGTACAATTTTGTCAGATTGGTGAAGACAAAAACAATTCTGACAACACACAAGTTTGGATCTGGGTAACCAGGCACAGGCTCAGACTGCTGGCAAAGGTGTGAAGGGGTGCCTTGTGTTTGGAGAGCAATTTAGGAATAAGATTCTAAATTTAAAGTGCACTCATGCTCTGACTGCAGGGACGGTCTTAGTGATTTTTTTCTCTAGATCTGTTTGCATTCCTTCCTTGTTCACTGCTACACCCCCAGCACCTAGGCCAGTTCCCCAAGCAGCAGCAATAGCCACTCAGTATCTGTTGAGTAATGAATATGTACAAAGAATACTATTCAATCGGGCACAGTGGCTTACGCCTGTAAACCCAGCACTTTGGGAGGCCAAGGCAGGTAGATAGTTTGAGTTCAGGAGTTTGAGACCAGCCTGGCCAACACGGTGAAACTCTCTACAAAAAATACAAAAAAAGTTAGCTGGTTGTGGTGGCACATGCCTGTAGTCCCAGCTAATTGGGAGGCTGTGACGGGAGGATCACCTGAGCCCAGGGAGGTTGAGGCTGCAGTGAGCCGTGATGGCACCACTGCACTCCAGCCTAAGCAACAGAGTGAAACCCTGTTTCCAAAAAAAAAAAAAAAAAAAGGCTGGGCGCAGTGGCTCATGCCTGTAATACCAGCACTCTGGGAGGCTGAGGCAGGTGGATCGCCTGAGGTCAGGAGTTTGAGACCAGCCTGGCCAACATAGTGAAACTCCATCTCTACAAAAAAATACCAAAAAAATGTATCTGGGCATGGTGGCGGGCGCCTGTAATCCCAGCTACTCAGGAGGCTGAGGCAGGAGAATCGCTTGAACCCAGGAGGTGGAGGTTGCAGTGAGCTGAGATTGCGCCATTGCACTCCTCCAGCCTGGGCAACAAGAGCAAAACTCCATCTCAAAAAAAAAAAATTATTTGCATGTTCATTTTAGCAAAAGACTAGAAACATCTTTTAACTTATCCTTCATTAAGGGGTGGTTATATGAATTATCACACATCCATCCAGTGGAATTATCCGCTACTCCCTGTTTAACAGCAGAGAAGACCTCCAAGTGCTGATGTGAAAATGTCACCAGGCTACATGGTTGACTACAAAATCCATGTTGAGTAGCCCACGTGTGTAAAAAAAAATCCATAAACAAAAATATGTGCAGATGATGACTGGAAAGGCACACACACACACACACACACACACACACACACACACACACACGCAAAACCCTGTAGCAGGAAGGGGAGGTGCTAGGAGCCCAGAATAAAAGATTGACTTTAGTTTAGATATCCTTTTTATGCAGAGAACACTAGCTAGTCTTAAATTATGCAGAGAAAAAAACACAATCACCACACAAACATATGGAAATGTAGTAGGTATCCTAAAGAAAAACAAAAACTGGAGTGAAGAAGTTGAAAAGAATTTGGATAAATCAAAGCATACACTGTATGTTCTGGAATGGAAAGACATGGTATTGTTTAGATGTTTTAATTTTCCCTCAAAGTAATCTACAAATTTAATATGATGCCAATTCAAATCTCAAATCCATTCTTTCCAAGTCTTGGCAAAAGAAAATCAAAGTGCATCTAGAAGACTAAACATTTAAAACCAGGCAAGAACATTTTAAAGAAATAGATTAAAAGTCCGGGATGGGGTAAGGGGTAGAACTTGTCCTACCATGTATAAAAATAGATTATAAAGTCAAGGTAATTTAAGTGGTATTGCTCTGGAATATGAATAAACAGACATATGAATGTTGAATGAATATGAATAAAAAGTCCAGAAATAGACAAATGGGCACTACTATCTGTGTGCGCATGTGTGCATGCAATGATAACACTGGCAGAGTTGATATTGGTTGTTTCTTCACCACCCAGCATACATGTCCAGCTTCCCTCCCCCAACCCTGCTTAATAGCAGCCAACTTTGTTTCCGGTATGTCTGTAAAAAAAAAAGTAGCCCATGTGTGACTGAATTCAGTCTGGTAGGACAGGTAAGCAAATTATCATCCTCCTGTATCCAATTAAACACTCCCTCCCAGCTCTTTGACTCTAATGCAAACAGACCCAGAGGTAAAGAACCATAGGAATTGTCCACTCCTGCAGAACTGCACCCTGGCAAGTTCAGGGTTCCCACTGTAGGCCCCAGTCTCAGTCAGATTTCTGAGCCAACAGAAGAAGCTTCCTTAGAACCAGCCAGTTTTCAAGCCTGATCTCTAGCCTCCTTGATGATTCAATAGGCCCCACTATCCTCACAATAAATGGCCTGTGGCTTTCTTAGTAATTGTAACTTGCTGCAAATGATTTTTAATGATCTGGGTGACATTTCAAATCAGCAGGGAAATACTAGAGTATTCAGAAAATGGTTTCAGGTAAACTACTAAACTGTTTAGAGAGAAAAAGTTCAATTCATCGAGTAGATTGTAAAATACTAAAGAGTTAACTATATTAAAAAAAAGCACACCATAACCAGGAAGTTATTGGGGTAGCATAATCTTGGAAAGGAGACAATCTTTTTAAGCATGATTCTAAGGTAAGATTACAAAGAGAAACATTGGTAAATTTGAATATATAAAAATTAAAAAGTTTTCTACTTTTCTGACAAAAATTAAAAGGCAAATAACAATCCAGGGAATATATTTGCCCAATATAAGTCAAAGGATTCAAAACTATAATATATAAAGAGCTCTTATAAATCATTGATAAATATTTAAATCTATAACTGAGTACAGAACACATACAGACAAAACAGAGAAGAAAATAAAATATAAATGGTGCATAAACATGAATATATGACATAATTACACATATATGTATAAATACATATAAGCTTATGTATATGCAATTATAAATGACTAAAAAGTTTAATCTTACTAGTACTCAAAGAAATTCAAATTAAACAATGAAATCATCTTATATCTTTCAAATTAGCATGGATTAAAAAGAATAACAACTTTCAGTGCTGGCAAAGGTGTAGGGGAAGAGCATTATCATATATTGGGAATATAAATGGGTAAACTTCCCTAAAAGGCACTATGTCAATATGCACCAAATACTCTAAAGATACATTCATTTTTATCATGTATATCTAATTTTAGGAGCTGTAAAAAGGATTTAATTTGTATAAGAATAATGGCCATCTCTCTAATTGCAAAAAGCAGAGATATGGTTAAATAAACAATGTTACATTCATACATATAGAGTAGTCACTACCAATAAAGTTGTAGAATATTTTAAAACATGGAACAGGCCGGGCGTGGTGGCTCATGCCTGTAATCCCACCAAGGCAGGCGGATCACCTGAGGTCAGGAGTTCGAGACCAGTCTGGCCAACATAGTGAAACCTTGTCTCTACTACAGTATAAAAGTTAGCTGGGCGTGGTGGCCCATGCCTATAGTCCCAGCTACTTGGGAGGCTGAGGCAGAAGAATCGCTTGAACCCAGGAGGTAGAGGTTGCAGTGAGCTGAGATTGTGCCACTGCACACCAGCCTGGGTGACTGAGCAAGACTTCATCTCAAAAAATAAATAAATAAAACATGGAACAATGTGATCAGTTAAAAAAGAAATCACAAGGCAGCATGAAGTGGATAGCACATTTAAATACATTAAATATATATGTATACATACATGCATGCATACCCATACATCCATATACACACACATTATGCACAGAAAAGACTGGAAGGACATAATCAACTGGGTGGTAGGACTGTGAAGTGTTTTGTTTTTTGAATTTCTATAGTAAATGTATAATTTTTATATATGAAATTTTGTTTTTTGAATTTCTATAGTAAATGTATAATTTTTATATATGAAATTTTATATATGAAAGGAGCATACCTTTTATGTGTTGTATAGGTTTTGCAATATTCTATGAAGAACTCAGGGTAGGTCATGTCCACACTGAACAGGTGTATTAGTCCATTCTTGCATTGCTAGAATGAAATATCTGAGACTGGGTAATTTATAAAGAGGTTTAACTGGCTCATGCAGGCTGTACAGGAAGCATGATGCCAGCATCTGCTTGACTTCTGGGGAGGCTTCAGGAAACTTACAATCATGGTGGAAAGTGAAGGGGGAGCCAGAAAGTCACGTGGCCAGAGCAGGAGCCAGAGAGAAAGCAAGGAAGGGAGGTGCCACACACTTTAAACAACCAGTTCTCGTGAGAACTCACTCCCTCACTATCATGAGGGCAGCACCGAGGGAATGGTGCTAACCACTCATGAGAATCTGCCCCCATGATCCAATCACCTCCCAGCAGTCTCCACCTCCAACGCTCGGGATTGCAACTGAACATGAGATTTGGGCAGGGACACAAATCCAAACCATATCAATAGGAAAGGGAAGCAAGGCCGAGAAACAGTGAGTGACTTGTCCTAAGTCACATAACCAGGAGGTGGTGAAGCATGGCTTTGATCCTGGATTGCTGACTCCAAATCCAGTACTGTTTGTGCTGCACACATTGCCCCCAAGCAAATGAACACACTGGTTTGTAGCTCTGAGATTTCTGGCCTTGTATGAGCCAAGGCAGAGGGAGACCTAGGATCAAGTTCTAAAGTGAGGGAAATATTGATGATTCTGTGGTACCATCAACCAAACAGATGTATGTGAGAGTACATATCTGTGGTACATGATGTTCTTTTTATGTATCCGTGGAGGTATAGAAAGCGGTAAGAAATAGAGGAGACCAAATCTCCCTTTCCTATACTTCCATGCAGTCTGCGATGTGGGAAAACGGTCTGAGATTAAGACCAGGAGGGGTCAGCCCTTCAAGCTTGGGCAATGTGTGTGGGCTTTCTTTTTGGTGTGAACCTCCAGACACTGAGTTTCCCTTCACCCAATCACTCTGTCTCCCCCACACAGAGCCCTGCACTGGAAAATGAGAGTCTAAGAAAAAAATGGCCAGTTCCTTGTAGGTCACCAGATTTTGCTATACTCATAGCACCTAGTATTTAGGAACAAAAAGGCTGGCCAAGTTATGGATACAAGATGGCAAGTTATCCTTTCAGATGGAGATGGGGATCCAGGTTGTGTCAATTGTCAATCTTAAGGGGGTCTACACCATACCGAGAATACTTCTGTGCACATCATATAGGGATGAAATCTGATCAATGTTTTCTAGGCCACATTCAACAGACAATAACAAGATGAAGCCCCAACAATTCATTTTTGTAACTCAGTGGGCAGCTTCAGCATTGAAACTGTGCCAGCGACACTGGTCCTGCTGGCCTTCGTAGATAAGAATGCAGAGAGCAGCAGGCTTTCCAGTGGCTGCCCCTGTGAATCCAAACAACATGGTCCCAAGCCAAGCAGGCATGGTCCCACAGCAGAAAAGCTTCTGGTAATTCAGCAATCACTTCTCAGAATCATAGCCACAGGTAGAGCAGGCAGAGGGCAACTGTGGAGGGACATGGCTCTGAAAGGTAGCCTGCTGTTGCTTCCAAGACAAAGAAACGAAGGCCCATGTCCCCATACCCAGGGAACCACAGTCCTATCAGGAGTTTAAGTATATTCATACCAGAATGCAACCAAACACACTGCAATTTCTGTCACAGCCAGATGTACCTATTACAGTACCATGAGCTAAGTTATTTTGAAATGATCGTTCTATCCAACAAACAAGTTGTTGATCTTCTACAACAAGCTCGTCCAACCCACCACGCTGCATGCAGCCCAGGATGGCTTCGAATGAGGCCCAACACAAATTCGTAAACTTCCTTAAAACATTATGAGATATTTTTTGTGACTTATTTTTTTTTAGCTCATCAGCTGTCGCTAATATTAGTGTATTTTATATGTGGCCCAAGACAATTCTTCTAACGTGGCCCGAGGAAGCCAAAAGACTGAATACCTCTGTTCTACAATGTACACAGCACACTGTCTACAATTTTCTGAATGTGGCCCAACACAAATTCGTAAACTTTCTTAAAACATTATGAGTTTTTTTTGTGACTTTTTTTTTTTTTTTTTTTTTAGCTCATCAGCTATCGCTAGTTTTAGTGTATTTTATGTGTGGCCCAAGACAATGCTTCTTCTAACGTGGCCCAAGGAAGCCAAAAGATTGAATACCTCTGTTCTACAATGTACATAGCACACTGTCTACAATTTTCCTGGATCTGAAAGAAAATTCTTTTTAATTGAGAAATGCTAACTATATTGTTTTGATATATTCGTCATCCAGCATAATATGTACATCAGCACTTAAAACTGACTTGCAAACTGATTTTTAAAAATTCAATACAAATAAGAATCAATGCAACAAATGCTAAAATATAATAGTTACTAAGGATATTTATTCCAAAATAGCACTACGTTGTGATCCTTAAAAATATACTACTAGTAGCTGATTTACAAGAAGAAAAAGTTTTAATTGTTCTACTTATAAATCAGTAAGTGAATTGTTATCTAACTTATAGAAATAAATCAGCTTAACCTAAATACCCTAAACTAGAAAACATCAGAATGAATTGAAAGTGTACATGAGAACCTAAGAATACAGTAAAATTATTTTTAAAATTGCTCTTGTACACAATCAAATCCTATGACCTTTATGAAAGGGTTTGCATTTCATTACTTACCAACTGGCAGCCTTCTAGGGAGTTGACTAGCTGAGCATTCTGACAAGAGAGAATTGAACCAGCCAAATTCAGCATTACACACACCGCAGAAAGCAGCATGAAAAAGGTTATCTGGAAACAAACCAAACATAAAATTGATTATTCACTTGGAGAGGCTCAAAGGAAAAATGACATGGCTTTACAACAGCTTTCATTTATTATACAACAGTTGATCACATAATTACATGAATAACATGTATGTGTTTTAAAGGAAAGTGGTAGGTTATTTCTCAAACTTCCAAATTCATATGATCTGAAATAGAAAAAGTAAGATCTGTAGGAAGCCATAGCAAGCTACCATGATTTTGTTTAAAACCTATGATGATAAAATATTTAAGGAGTTAAACTTGAAAGACTGTGCATTATATACTCTTAACAGTGACAAGTTACACATTATTAAAGGAAATCAAGTGAAAGAAGTATATTTATTAGAAGGCCTTTAGGTTTAATTTTTATTACAGAAAATTTCATACACATGCAAAACCAAAGAAAACAGCATAATGAAGGCACATGTGTCTATCACCCAACATCAATAATTAATCCACTTACGGCCAACTGTGTTTCATTTACAGCCCCTACCATCTGAATTATTGTGCAACCAATACCAGGCATCATATAATTTTACCCTTAAATCTTTCTAAAGGAATTGAGAAGCTTTCTGAAAACATAGCCAAAATAGTCATCATATCTATAATAAATAAAAATTCATTAATATCATCAGATACTGAGTTCACATTTCCCTAATTGTCTAAATTTTTTCACACTTTGAATCAGGCCACACAGGATACAAAGCAGGTCCATGTGGTACAACTGGCTGTTAGGAATCTTAGACAGTCTATGGGTTTCCCATCCACTTTTTCCTCTGTGAAATTTACTGAAGAAACCAGTTCATTTGTCCTAAAGAGTTTCTTACAGTCTAAACTTTCTGATTGTAGTCCTCTATCATTAAACATTTCTCTAGCCTCTGTATTTCTTGTAATTTGGTGATTAAATACAGAGGTTTGGCCAAATTCAGATCAATAAAAGGCAAATATTGTCTCTCTCTCTTTTTTTTTTTTTTTGTGATGGAGTCTCACTCTGTCGCTGGAGTGCAGTGGCACAATCTCGGCTCATTGCAACCTCTGCCTCCCGGGTTCAAGCGATTATCTTGCCTCAGCCTCCTGAGTAGCTGGGACTACAGGTGCGCACAACCACACCCAGCTAATTTTTGTATTTTTAGTAGAGACAGGGTTTCACCATGTTGGCCAGGACGGTCTCGATCTCTTGACCTCATGATCTGCCCTCCTTGGCCTCCCAAAGTGCTGGGATTACAGGCATGAGCCACCACGCCCGGCCAATATTGTCTCTCTTTTTGTGATGTTAGCGGCCATTTTTAATGATGACAGACTCATTAATTTATTAGGGTTTCCAAAATAGTGCTAGTCTCACTCTGTCATTTTTTCTTTATGAATAAGAATACATATAGAGACACAGACTTTTCCTCATCAACTGTTTTGTTACCCTGAGGTATAGTTCATATATGAAAAGCAGGATATATACTTGACTCTTTCTGTTCATTTTCCAGGCTTTAAAATAATTTTAAATTTTGCAAAATGAACTCAAGGAAGTCTGTATGCTTAATTAGCACTCTTTCTGCACCTATGTAAATAATTAGGCCAAATCTAATGAAGAAAGACCCTTTTTGTGATGGAGAATAACCTTTAAGATTAATCTGATCAAGAGGCGGGGAGACTGGCATTAAAACTTGTTAAAGAGCAAAAAAAAAAAAAAAAATTCACTGGATATTCTGTCTAATGCACACTTCAGGGTTATTTCTGCCTTTCAATGTCTTTATGCTATTTCAAAACTCTGCATAAAACTGATAAAACTGATAGTTTATCAACTGATAGTTGTATAAAACTGATAGTAGTGCAAATGATTCTTGACGATACAAATGTAAAGGAATTTTGTCCAGTAGAACGTAACTGATTATTGCCCCACTGATATTGGCCACTTTTACATTTATTTGTAAATTTATTTCAGCATTCCTGATTGCTTATATGTGTGCAGTGTTTGAATTAACCTTTGAACTGCTTGTAACATCTTACTGATTTCCTCATTAAATAATGAGTTAGACATAGTCTTTGACACATGTCTATTTTTTTAAAAAGCTGATTCCCGGCCAGGCGCAGTGGCTCATGCCTGTAATCCCAGCACTTTGGGAGGCCAAGGTGGGTGGATCATGAGATCAGGAGTTCGAGACCAGCCTGACCAACATGGTGAAAGCCCATCTCTACTAAAAATATAAAAATTAGCCGGGCATGGTGCTGCGCGCCTGTAATCCCAGCTACTCAGGAGCCTGAGGCAGGAGAATTGCTTGAACCCAGGAGGTGGAGGCTGCAGTGAGCCGAGATCTCCAGCCTGGGTAACAAAGCGAGACTCCGTCAAAACAAACAAACAAACAAACCAACAAACAAAAACCTGGTTCCCTAGCATCCTCCAAAATTAACAATATCATGAAATAGTATTTTGTCTGTTTGGTGGAGAGGGGAGTGAGTTTGAGTCATTATGAGCCAAGAACTTAAACACATTTGATAGTTTTAATCATCTGCATCATTAGACAGAGTCCACTCAAGTTGACACCTGGGTCCTTTCAACACAACTCCAGTAGACCTTGACAGCTATCTGGCTTTCTGTATGAGAAGATAGCACAGGATCATCTTACAGTTTTCTACCCAAGAGACCTATAATCAGCCATTTCTCCAGTAAGTCCAGGTTCCATTCAATGAGAATGGTATTCAGATACCATAATTTTTGTGCTACAGGTGCTGTTTGCTACTTGGAGCTTCATTGTTTTCAGTTGTCAGACATATCATGAGTTCACAATTATGTTTCTGATTTAAATTCAACACTACTAAGTTTTCACAATGAGATACCATCTCACACCAGGCTATTACTAAAAAGTAAAAAATAACATGTTAGCAAGGATGTGGAGAAAAGGGAACACTTATACACTGTTGGTGGAAATGTAAATTAGTTCAGCCACTGTGGAAAGCAATGTGGAGATTTCTCAAATAACTAAAAGCAGAACGACCATTCGACCCAGCAATCCCATTACTAGGTATATACCCAAAGGAAAATACATTGTTTTGCCAAAAAATAAAAAACCCCACCTTCACCCATATGTTCACCACAGCATTATTCACAATAGCAAAGTCATAGAACCAACCCAGGTGCCCATCAATAGTGGCTTGGATAAGGAAAATTCCATGGTACATATACACCATGGAATACTACGCAACCATAAAAAAGAACACAATCATGGCCAGGCGCGGTGGCTCATGCCTGTAATCCCAGCACTTTGGGGGGTCGAGGCGGGCGGATCAAAAGGTCAGGAGATTGAGACCATCCTGGCTAACACAGTGAAACCCTGTCTCTACTAAAAATACAAAAAGTTAGCCAGGCATGGTGGTGGGCGCCTGTAGTACCAGCTACTCGGGATGCTGAGGCAGGAGAATAGCATGAACCCGGGAGGTGGAGCTTGCAGTGAGCCAAGATCACGCTACTGCACTCCAGCCTGAGCGACAGAGCGAGAGTCCGTCTCAAAAAAAAAAAAAAAAGGAACACAATCATGTTCTTTGTAGCAACATGGATGTAGCTGGAGTCCATATTATATGAATTAACACAAACAAAACCAAATACTATATATTCTCACTTATAGGGTAGGAGCTAAACTTTGGGTACACACAGACACAAAGATGGGGACAACAGGCACTGAGGACTCCAACCGGAGGTTGGGGGGAAGAGCTGAAAAACCACCTATTGGGGTACTGTGCTCACTAACTGGGTGATGGGATTATGAGAAGCCTAAACTTCAGCATCATGCAACACACCCAGGTAACAAACCTGCACATGTACCTCCTGAATCTAAAATTTAAAATAAATATAGTCATACATAACAAAAAAACCGCAAACAAAACTATAAGGTTTTTATGTAACCATATTAATTTTACATCTGTATCTCCTTTCAACCATGCCAAAAACTATTTCTCAACATAATTAATCTGTTGGATTTAATTTCACAATATCCACACAACAGTCTCAAAATAACACCAATACAACTGCCGAAAAAAATGACTGAAAATAGTTTAACATTTATATTTCTTTTTATTCTTACATTACATTCTACCAGAAATAGTCAAATTATGGTGTTTTAAACTCACATGGTTCCTTTATATGTGGTTACGCTACTGATCAGGAACCCAGGTTCATTCCTTTTATTTCATTTTTTCTTGTTTAAGAATTGTTTCTAAAACTGAGTTTCATTTCTAATTACATAAAATGATTCCAAAGTCAGGTCCATAAATGAAGTTTCACATAAGTCTGGCATTTATTCTGTTCCTCCACTCTATTTCCTCCCATTTATTAATAGGCAAGCATTTATTTTTTAATTTTATATTTTATCCTCCCATCATTTTTTAGTACAAGTATATAATAGTAGCATAATACACACATTTTCTTTACTTACTTTTTTTGCACTTAATATGGTGAAGATCACTCGAAATAAGAACACACAAATAACCCTATTCCCTTCTACAACTGCCTAATACTTCATGGCACAGATGAATCACAATTTATTTTTTTATTATTTATTTATTTATTTATTTATTTATTTATTTATTTATTTATCTTGAGATGGAGTTTCACTCTTGTTGTGCAGGCTGGAGTGCAATGCAGCGATCTCGACTCACCGCAGTCTCCACCTCCCAGGTTCAAGCGATTCTCCTGCCTCAGCCTCTCAAGTAGCTGGGATTACAGGCATGCGCCACCACACCGGGGTAATTTTGTATTTTTAGTAGAGACGGGGTTTCTCCATGTTGGTCAGGCTGGTCTGGAACACCTGACCTCAGGTGGTCCACCCGCCTCGGCCTCCCAAAGTGCTGGGATTACAGGCGTGAGCCACCGCGCCAGGCCAAATCACAATTTATTAAGCCAGATCCCTACTGATGAACATTTGGGTTATTTTTAGTCCTTTGCTATTTATTATAAGTAGTGTTGCAACGAACTGCCTTGTTCATATATCTTTTTATAGGTTTCCCAGCATGGCTTTGGGATATATTCTTAGAAGTGGCATTGCTGGATCAACGGATAAATGTTTGTTTAATGTGCTAGACATTACCACATTCCTCATCATACGACTGGTACTATTTTTCATTCCCACTAACAATGTATGAGAAGGATAAGATCTTACTTTTTCTGTTAATACCTTAAAAATGTAAGCTAAATTAAATTTAGGAAAATAACTGGTATTACCATTCTCTACCGTAACTATAATGTATACCCCTCAGCTGTAGTTAAATTTATTTTCCTTAAAAATGTACATGGGAGACAGAATTCATAAGAGGATATTTTGTTCATTTAGGAACTATTTCAAGTTCATAATGTTAGCAGTATCTCAGCAATGGTTTTAATAACTGCAGAGTCTGACAGCATCCCTTGGGAAAGTTAGGTCACATAGAAAGGGCCAACTTTGCTGGGCGCGGTGGCTCACACCTGTAATCCCAGCACTTTGGGAGGCTGAGGCGGGTGAATCATGAGGTCAGGAGATCGAGACCATCCTGGCTAACACGGTGAAACCCCTGTCTCTACTAAAAATACAAAAAAATTAGCCGGGCGTGCTGGCACGCGCCTGTAATCCCAGCTACTCAGGAGGCTGAGGCAGAAGAATCGCTTGAACTCGGGAGATGGAGGTTGCAGGGAGCCGAGATTGCACCACTGCACTCTAGCCTGGGTGACAGAGCAAGGCTCAGTCTCAAAAAAAAAAAAAAGAAAGAAAGAAAGAAAGAAAAAAGAAAGGGCCAACTTAAATTTTTCATATTAGAAGTTACGGCAGTCCCATATCATTCAAATGATGTGTAAATAAACTGGCCTGCACAGCTTTGAAATTGAGGTCAAAAAATAGTTGCTGAAAACATCACGAAAGCAAACCTACACAGAAGCCAACAAGAGACTACCCTGAGACTTAGTAAGTGCTGAACAACACAGATGCTACGAAAGTCAAGGAGGTAAGAGACAATAAGATCTTTTTGCCTGTTTATTGTTTTTTTTTTAATTGTGGTAAAATATCCATAATAAAAACGTACTTGCATTTTCTAATTTGTTTTTTAAACTGTGGTAAAATATTCATAACATGAAGTTTACCTTTATTCCCATTTTTACGTGTGCAGTTTAATGACATTAAGTATGTTCACACTGTTGTGGAATGATCATCACTATCCATTTCCAGAGAATGTTTTGTCTTCTCAAACTGAAACTCCATACCCATTAAACAATCATTCCTTATCCTCCCTCCTCCTAGCCCCTAGCAATCACCACCATTCTACTTTCTGTCCCTTGAAATTTGATTACTCTAGATATGTTACATACGGGAAATCATACAGTACTCTTCCTTTGGTGACTGGCTGATTTCACTTATAGCATAATGTCTTCAAGGTTCATCCATATTGTAGTATGTGTCAGAATTTCCTTCCTTTTCAAGGCTATTTGAATAATATTCCATTGTTCCAGAAATTGGTCCTGCCAATGAAACAACTTTTCTGAGTGGGCAAGAACTTTGAATCAACTATTTCATAACTCTGGAAGCTGGCTGAACACTTGTAGCATCCAGAGGGATAATCTGATAAAGAAAGAGGTTGGCATTCAAGGAAATCTCCATCAGGTCTTTGGCTGACCATGGATATAATGGAATAGAGACTTTAGTGATCACACACAATAAGGAATAAAATCTGCTCAAAATTAGTTTGGAAAAGTCACTAAAGAAATGGATGGCTACAGCTCTCAAAAAGCAGTTATCAGGCATCATTGAGGAGGGAAGATAATCTGATTTCAGAGTCACCACATTACAATATTCAAAATGTCCAATTCTCAAATATTTCCTTCTTGACCAATCTCTAGCACTTGAACAAAATATTAACATAGATTCTAACAGCTCAAGGCCACATCCCTAGGATGGCTCTAGCTCCCCCTAAAGTGCCTGCCTGAGAAAATTCAAGGCTGCCAAAAGAGTTTACTGTTAGTTCCAGCTGACACTTGAAGACACCCTGTGTCCCAGCATCTGTGGGAGGGTAGGAGCCTAACTTTGATAAGCACTAGCTAACAATCCCAGATGGGTTTCACACAGGCCAATCCCTACTTTCCACTTTTGGTAATTTTTCACTTCCTTGACTTTACTAACCACCCCCTACACCCTGCTCACCCTCCCTCCTGATTCTTCATTCTTCCTTTAAAACACCTAGTGAAGCCTGGCACAGTGGCTCACACCTACAATCCCAGCACTTCAGGAGGCCAAGGCAGGCAGATCACTTGAGCCCAGGAGTTAGATACCAGCCTGAGCAACATGGTGAAATCCCATTTACATATATATATATATGAAGAAAAAAATGCAATTATTAAAAAATCAAAACAAAACAAAAGCCCAGAAACCTCTGTACAAATTGAAGTTGAGTTCAGTTAACACCGGGCTCTTTTCCATAGTGTAATAGTTTATTACTCATTAAAATCTGCCCTTTCCGTTTTAACTGGTGTCCAGCTTTGTGTATCTCTGGCAGAAACACATGAATTAACAAAAGTGATTCAAGACAAAATAGAAATTCTCAATATCTGTATAACAAGGAAGGAGACTGAATCAGGAATCAAAAATCCTCCCAACAAAGAAACGTCTGGGCCTATTTGGGGTCTCTGGTGAATACTCTCAAACATCTAAGGAATTAACACCAGTCTTATGCAAACTCTCTCAAAAACTGAAGGAGAGGGAGCACTTCCTAACTCATTTCATGAGGCAGGATTACCCTGGTACCGAAGTCAGACAAAGACACTACAAGAAAAGTAAACCATAGACTAACATCACTTATGAATATACACAGAAAATCCTCAATACATTTCAGAAGATTAAATCACACAAAGTACCTACTCTGACCAAAATAAAGTGAAGTTAAAAATCAGTAACAGAAAGAAAACTGGAAGGAAACAAAAGGAAATTGGATTCTACTCCGTGACCAAGTGGGATTTACTTCAGGAATGCAAGAAAGTCGATCAATGTAATACACAACATCAATACATTGAAGAAGAAAAAAAAGCACATCATCATCTCAACACAGAAAAACCATTTGACCCAATTTGAGAATTCTTATCTTTCAGAGACACGTGCCAAAATATTTACAGGTAAAATCATATATGGCATTTGTTTCTAAGTAATCTGGACTAGGGAGGAATACAAAGTAGTTGAACTGGGTGGGGATACAGACGAAATAAGATTATCCACATATTGAATCTTGTACCTCATCTTTCTACTTTCACATGTTTGAAATTTTCTAAAATAAAAAATTTAAAAACAGATGAAAAGACATTTTAAGAGAATACTTTTAAAATAAGGCAGGAAGGAAACTGGAAATATGTTAATATAATACTAAAAAGCATTATTAGGAATAAAGAGAGTCTAAAAGCAACAATTCTCCAGGAGGAGATAATGATGCTAAACCTGTTTCGCCTTTACAAATACAGCCTGAAAATATATAAAATAAAAAACAAGACTTAACAAAATCATAATGAGAGATCTTTCCCATTGCTTAGAAATAGATTACGCAATAAAAATAGACTATATAATACTTGAACAACACAATTAACAAGCTTTAGGTAATAAACATACTGTGAACATATCAAAAACACGTACACAGCTGCTTGGGAGGCTAGCGGGGGAGGACTGCTTGTGGTAAGGAGCTCAAGACCAGCCTGAGATACATGGCAAGATCCCATCTCTAAAAAAATAGTTTTAAAAATTAGCTAGGCATGGTGGTGCTCGCCTGTAATCCCAGCTGATCAGGAGGCTGAGGAAGGAGGATCGCTTGAGCCCAAGAGTTGGAGGCTGCCGTGAGCTATGATTGTGCCACTGCATTCTAGCCTGGGCAACAAGCAAGATCCTATCTCTAAAAAGTTTTTTAAAAATTAGCCAGGCATGGTGGCGCTTGACTGTAGTCTGAGCTAATTAGGAGGCTGTAGCAGGAGGCTCACTTGAGCCTGCTTCTACTGCACTCTAGCCTGGGCAACAAGCAAACTTCTATCTCTAAAAAGGAAAAGACAAAAAGAAAACATACTGAATTCACTTCTTTTTTAAAGGACACTTGGAACATACCAAAAGCTAACCACATATTAGGCCAAAGACCATGTTAAAATATTTTAAAAACTGATTTTATACGCAACATTTTATCTCACTCAAAGCAATTTTTTAAAAAATCAAAGACCAACAACAAAAAGCATAGTTCAAATCCAAATATTTGAAAATTTAAAAAGATCACTCACTTGCAATTAGAATCAAAGACAAATCAAAACAGATATTAGGAAATATTTAGCATTGAATATAACAAAAATACATCTGAGAATTTATCAAATATGAGCAATATTGTAAAGATAAATATATTGCCTTAAATGAATTAGAAATGAAAATCAATTGACTAAGTATCTACTCCAGAAATAAAAAAAAAAAGAACCACTAAGTAAACCCAAGGAAAGTAAAAAGAAAGGAAACATAAAGTAATTAAATCAAAAAGGGAAACAATAAAAAAGATCAATACAACAAAAGTTTCTTGAAAATACTGATAAAATAAATAAACTCCCAGCACAAATGGCTCCAGAAAAAAAAAAAAAAAGGGGCGAAGGCAAAAAATAATTCTGGGAGTACAAAAAGAAAGAGAATCTATAAGTAAAGATGCATGGTGTTATGATATATACATATTGGTTTCCTTCCATGGTTCCTGTTTCCTAACTCCCATAATCTTCGTTATACTGTTGGGGTTCTTTAGGCCTCAGGCAACAGAATCTCTCTCTCTGACCTTCTCCTGTCTTTCTTTCATCTGCCCCAGTCAGGCCTCTGATTGTGGGTCAAAAGACCCTCATTTCAGAAAAGAGTCCTGCCCCAAACCCTAGAGGAAGGAATGCTACACAGAGAGGCCAAGAAAACTCTGAGCAGACAGGCCTTGCTGGCTTTAGCTCGTGTGCGTTTTTGTCCAATCACATTTCTGCACAGTTGTCAATCATGCCTATGTAATGAAGCTTCCATAAAAACCCAAAAGGACAGGGTTCAGAGAGCTTCCAGACTGCTGAACATGCGGTGGTTCCGGTAGGGTGGCGTGCCCAGGGAAGGCATGGAAGCTCCACACACCTTCCCCATACCTTGCCCTATGCATCTCTTCATCTGTGTCTTTTGCAATACCCTTTATAATAAACCAGTAAACGTAAGTGTTTCCCTGAGTTGTGTGGACTGCTCTTGCAAATTATTTGAACCCAAAGAGGACATCATCAGAACCCCAACTTGAAGACCATTGGTCAAAAGTTCCAGAGGCCTGGACTTGTGACTAGTGTCCTGAGGGTGGGCAGTCTTGGGGACTAAGCCCTCATCCTGTGGGATCTGACACTATCTCCAGGTAGATAGTGTTGGAACTGAATTGGAGGACACCCAGCTGGTATCTGCTGCTTCCTCCGTAGGGGAAACCCCCTACACATTTGATCACAGAAGTCTTCTTCTGTGTTGATGATTGTTGTGGTGTGAGAGCAGAGGAAAAACGAAGTTTGAGAGTTTTTTCTCTAAAAAAGATGTAAAAGAATTATTTTTAAATCAAAGGACAATACTAAGAAATGCTTTCTACTAATTATATCAGAAAATATATGAAAACATCTTCTAGAAAATACAAGTGACCAAAACCAATTTCAAAAGAAGAGAAAACCTGAACATAATCTTGAGAAAAATATCAGTAAAAATCTACCCACAAAAAACACCAGGCCCACAGCCTTTCACATGTAGATTTGTTCCAAACTTTCGAAAACATCTAATCTTCTGATAACAGGGCAAAAGGCAAGCTTCCCAGTGCATTTATAAGACCAAAAGGTTTTCTATTTCCTGAACAATTCAGTGCAATAGCTGTTAAGTGGGACAGAACAAGTTCCATGTCCTGGGAGAGGCCAAGGTCACCTGAGTGGGGTTAGAGCTCTAGCAATGGGTGGAGGGTGACTGCACAGAAAAGCCAGTTATGTGGGACATTGGAGCCCACGTGGGAAGCTAAGCGCACCCATGTGGATGGTGTGGCAGAGGGGATAGTGGATTGGTTATTTATAAGAGGAATTAATCAAATAAGTAAATATGGTAAAGATAATAGGTGCTAAGTTTCTCAAACCAGAATACACACAGCGGTGCTGTATTGCAAATGGCAGTATCAGTGTAATCTCATAGTCTTCAGTGCTGTGTAGATGACTGATAGATAAATATCCTATAACTTCATCACCTAGAGGGCTGGAAGCAATGATATTTCCCATAGGCATGAGCAAACCTAGCAACCTTGTTTCTGAATTCCATTCTCCACCAAAAGAAACCGGAGCTCTTTAGGAAAAGGATTAATTCCAGGCCTAGGGCAGGGAGAGTTAAAGTCTGAACTCCTGGGTGGGCGCGGTGGCTCACGCCTACAATCCCAGCACTTTGGGAGGCCAAAGTGGATCACGAGGTCAGGAGATTGAGACCATCCTGGCTAACACGGTGAAATCCCCGTCTCTACTAAAAACACAAAAAATTAGCTGGGCATGGTGGCGGGTGCCTGTAGTCCCAGCTACTCGGGAGGCTGAGGCAGGAGAATCGCTTGAACCCAGGAGGCGGAGATTGCAGTGAGCTGAGATTGCACCAATCCACTACAGCCTGGCAGCCTGGGCGACAGAGCGAGACTCCGTCTCAAAAAAAAAAAAAAAAAAAAAAAAAAAGAACTCCCTCTCTTTTTGTGCCAACAAGCAAGGAAATGCTCAATAAATGATGTTGGGGGCATGTTAAAGATGCAAAAGCCAGCTTTAAGGGGCTCCCACTGGCCAAATCAGGGACAATTTGAGTATTGAAATATGTAATGATAATAAAAGATTAGATAATAAGTTAATGATAATAAGAGACCCATGGGTCTATACAAAGTCTCAAAGTGTCTCCACACAAGTTATTTGTTTACCTTAAAGGAGAAAACTCTGCAGTGGAGGCACATGACAGAAATCCACCTTAACCAAAGTGATCAAGGTTTCAAAATAACAGGACAAATTGAAATTTTGTGCCACCTGATAGGATCCAAAAATAACACAGCATTGCTTCTGTGATATTCTTCCCAAAGATGCATAATTCAAATCCAATCATGAAGAAACAGCAGACAAACCCCAGCTGAAGGATGTTCTACAGAAAACAGGCCCGTATTCTTCAAGTGAAGGTCATAATAGTCAAGGAAAGACTTAGGAACTACTGGCAATAGGAAGGAGACTAAAGAAACATAACTAAATAGTTCAGGGAACAAATTATTTTGCACTGGGCTTGCAACTTTTCTGTAAATTTGAGGTTATCTCTAAGTAAATTAGCATAACCTCAAAAATAATGATAATATAGGAAAATTAAAGACTAACCCCCCCTTATGTCAAAAGATGCAAAATTATACATTTTGAGCTATATGTATTTAAAAATTTTATCAACAACTGTTTGTCTCCAAAATGCAAGAATGTTTAGATATCAGAAAACTGTATGTTATTACACCAAATTATATGCCCCAAAAAACAAATTTACAGAGTAAATAAGACATTTTAATCATATTAGCAGGTAAATAAAGAGCATATATACATCCAAAGTCATTCATAGTTTTTTTTCTGAACATCTCTAAGCAAGCTAGGACTGAAGGGGTAACTAAATAGCCCAATAAAAGGTATTTATAGGGGAAAAAAACTCTTAACAGCAAACATCACACTCTATGGCAAAACTTAAAATTATTTCCTTTAAAATCAAGAATAAGGAATCAGAAACATCCTTAGAGCCTGCTGTAACTGCTTCTTTTCAATAATATATTGCATTTTCAGCCAATGCAAAAAAGACTAAAATAAAAGGCTTTAAGAATTGAAAAAGAAGACAGGCATATGATGCTAAAGAATTATAGGCTGGGCGAGGTGGCTCATGCCTGTAATCCTAGCACTTTAGGAGGCCGAGGCGGGCAGATTACCTAAAGTCAGGAGTTTGAGACCACCCTGGCCAACATGGCAAAACCCCGTCTCTACTAAAAGTACAAAAATTAGCCGGACGTGGTGGCGGGCACCTGTAATCCCAGCTACTCAGGAGGCTGAGGCAGGAGAATCGCTTGAATCCAGGAGGCAGAGATTGCACTGAGCCAAGATTGTGCCAATGCACTCCAGCCTGGGCGACAAGAGCAAGACTCCGTCTCAAAAAGAAAAAAAGAATTACAGTATGGTATTTGCAAATGGATAGCAAATAAACCAATTCAGTCCTAGCCATAAATTTATCTATACATGGGACATTGCTACAAAATACTGAGTGTCATAAATCAGTGTGGAAAGTATAAATGATGAAAAACTGGTGCTAGGCTATCCATATAGGAAAAATACAAAAACTATTTCCATACCTCACATCATACACAAAAGCAGATTAAAAGCATAAAATGTGAAGATCAAAACTTTGAACACTTAGGGAAAAAAGGCAGAAAACATATTTACAATTTTAGGATTAGGGGAATTTTTTAAAGCACTATACACAAATGTAGCTCTTATAAACACTAATGATCGTAACACATTTAGGTCAAATGATCTGTATGACCAAAAGAAGTGAAAATGTGGGAGAAGGTATTTGCACTAGATAGATAGAGCAGACCATGGATTAACATGTAGAACATATAAAGATGTCTTACAAATCAATAGAAATAGGTCTAAGACATGAAATCTGACACTCAAAAAGGAGTGAGAGCAAAAGATAGGCAGATACTTAACATTACTAGTAAGCAACAGGTATAAGTTAATACCGTAATAAATTATCATTTCACACTGTACCAGAATGGCTGAAAAGATACTGAAAAGGCCAAGTGTTCACAGGGGGTGAAGGTGGAGGGATTGGTAAACAAAAACAAAACAAAACTGTATAAAATGTTGATGGGAGTGTAACTTGACACAAGCTCAAGAGCAGCTTGGCAATAGTCCTTGATTGCTCCATTTGTTTCTGGCTGGAGAAACTCACACATGTGCCTAAAGAAGTACTGTACAATGCCTGCAAATCTCAAAGAACTGGAAAGACCTTAAATGTCCAGACATTAAGGAATGGATAGTTATTTTTCCCCCATAAAAGAACAATTAAAATGAGTGAATCAGGTCTACATATATCCACATGGCTGAATCTCAAATACATAATGGTGAGTGAGTACAGCAAGTTGCATAAGGACACACGTAACACCGCTTATATAAATCATGAAAGCCCACAAAATAAAACTCTATATTGGTTATGTATATATACATGTATAGTAAAATTATAAAGTCATACAACAGCCCGATAGCCACAGACTTTTGTTACCTCTGGGGAGGGTGAGAAGGAAAAGATATAAGGCCTTGATGTGGCCTCTGATGTTTCATATTTTAAAATTTGAAACAAGATTATCGATGGTAAATTGCTAACACCTCTGAGAAAAGCGGGGGGAATTTTGCCTCAGATATAACTGGTGGTGACTGCTGGGTAATAATTTTTATTATACAGGTGAGAATGCGAGTATCAGAGGGCATGAGGAGGAGAAAGCTGAGTCAGGGAGGTAAGGGGACCAGGAGGCAGGAAGGAGTTTATACACTGAAATAAAATGCAGATCAAGAAGAAATGCCTGTAAGGGCCAAACATATTCCACTGATGAAACAAATGCAAATCCCAATTCAACAGAATGAAATAAAACCCAGTAACCTATCACATTCCTCCATACTCACTATAGACTCTTTTAAATGACATTCCGTCCAGTGTTGATGAAGTTCACTTTTTTCCCCGAGTGAAAAATATTTGCCTTATTTCAAGGTTAATTTGCAGCACCTCCCCCTAAAACAATTAACTTATTTGCCCACTGAATAAAACGTGTTGAATCTCTGCATTAAAAACAGCATCTGCTACACGTAATGGAGGAACACAATGGGACTATGAACTCTTCTAGTTCATTTGGTGCATAAAACTATTATATAGCTATTATTTTTCTCATTTTACAGATAAATTGAGATTCAGAGAGCTTAAAACCTACCCCCACAACCACCATGCTGACAAGTTAGCATGAGCCGTAATTCAAATTCAGTTTGCCAGACAGCCCCAAGACCCATACCCTTTTCCCTATACCTAACTCCCTAGGAGGTAGATCTTATGTCCTGCTCTTATGTTCTATGTGGGGCACACTCACCATACACGTTATATTTCCCCATACAATAGAGTGAGACTAGAGGACTATCTTTTGAACCAGGAATTGCTCTCCTAGGAATGATTTGGAAAAAAAGATAAAGAAAAGTTATATTTAAAAAGTGGCAGCTCCAGACCAAGGAGAATAAAAAATAAAAACATTAAAGAATAACAAATAAAATTCTCCACATCACGGACTAAAACCATTTTACAGGTCAAGAAACATCTGCATACAAACTAAGGAACCTATGTAAATTCATATACTAGTTATGGTGGGGCCAGGATCTCAACCCAGACAGTCCGATTCCCAAACAGGCATGGTTAATGGTTACGCTATTGTTTTATAAGCCTTTTTGAGATCCACAGTGAGAAATATATTTCACCTCATGATCCTGATTTTGTTTCACACAAAAGTGAAACAACTTCTACAAAACAGCATTGACCTTAATATGTAGCAAAAACTTTAAGATGTTGATTTCCAGTCATGAAATTCTCTCATGACCCACGATTTAAAAAACACACAATGCTTAAGTGCTTCAAAAATACAGTATTTATTGTAATAACTACAGTAGCAAGAAGAAAAAAACGAAGTGGAACTACGTGTTTAGCAGCAGAGCTGAATAATTATGAATATAAACAATTACTATTGGGAGAAAATACATTACACTCATTGCTTGGAACCATGAATAATACTTATATATGTACGAAATATAGAAAAATAAAATAGGTTAACATAATAAGGATATAGGCAATTATTTTTTTTAATTTTATAAAAACTTTTATTTTTCCTTACAAACTGGGGTAGTTAGGAGACCTGATAATAGCTTTTTTATTTTCTTGGCACCAAAGCAACTTACTTATGTGTTCCTTCTTGCATTATCTGTTCCAGATCATAGTCAAGTTTTCCAATTCGTTTTACTAAGCTAGCAAAATTTTTTATACCAAAAAGAGTAAAATCAAAACAAATGCTCCTTTGTTTATAGATGAAAATCTGGAGCAAAATAACACAACATTAAAAAAACAAAACTTTGCAAACACATCCTAAAGCTACACACATTGAAGCGTTTACAGCAATATGCTCCCTGGGTTCGTTCTCCCTTCCCCCAATCCTCTAAACTGTGCCTTTGGGTCTCAGACCCTTGTCCCGGGGGTCCCTCTGAATCCACCTTTCAAGAGGATGGAGCTGGGCCACTAGGCTGAGGTCTGGCCCTGTTCTCCTCATCTGCCAAAGCCTCACAGTACTGCGCTGGCCAGTCCTTGGGGTCTTGATTATGGACCTTGGCCACAAACTTAAGAACTTTCATCTTGCTGGTTTCCAGGTTGGTTCGCGGGCCCCACTGGAATTCGTAGTCGACGGGGTCGGTGTGGGGTATCCGCCGGTATTCCAGGTAACGCTGTCGCACAAAGTCCTCAGTAATGAGTTTCTTTGGATCTCCGAAAATTAAATGCTTCTTGGTGGGGTAGACCCCTAAGCGCCGCAGAAAGTCCCAGGCTTCAGTTTCCTTGATGGTGTTGCCCTTCATAAAGATGAGCCCTAAGACGATCATCAGGAGGCCCGTAGTGGGCGTGCCTTGGTCACCCCTCATCTCGGCATCCTCCTCCACAGGCTCCAGGGTGTTGATGAGGATGTAAGTGTTGCTCTTGGGTTCAAGTTCCACCAGCTTATACCCGAAGACGTACTGGAGGCGCTCGGCGGCCCGTTTGAAGAGGTCGGGGAAGATGTCCTTGTAGTCCCCGATGACGTGCTTCAGTATGTCGGCCCGCTTGATCGGAATCTTCTTCTGGTCTTTAATCAGCAAGAACTGCACCAGCTCGGACACTTTCAGCTCCAGCTGCTTCTGGCTCCTGGGCCCCACGGCGGGGGCGGCCTGGGCCCGGCGGGCGCCCTGAGGCGAGGGGCCCTGCGACCCCTGCGAGCCGCCCGGCCCGCGGGACGTGCTCGGGGCCTCCTCGGCAAAGCCGTCTCTGAGAACCCGGGCGTCTTCCCCGGCCCGCGAAGCCCCGGGGTTTCCGCTATGGCTCCAGTCTCTGTCCCTCTCGGCCTGGCCGCCAGAGCGGCCCCGGTTCCTCGGTTTTTGCAACATGTCTCCGGCGGCAGGTGCCGGCGCACACTCCGGTAGGCAAGCAGCCGCGGCGGGGATTGCGGGTCGGCGACCCGCTAACGCCGGTGCCTGGAGGCGCGCGCAGTGTCGGCTGAGACTGCGTGCTGCGTCATGAAGCCTGCGCCTTGCGTCAGGGCGGCTGGGCGGTGCGCCTGCGCGGCTGCGGCGGGTACCAAAAGGAACAGCGTTTTCCGTGCAGCCCTGCAGGTCCGGGCGATGATTTTTAGTATAGTGAAGTGTTGTTACCAAACCATGCAAACAGAGAGCGAGAACCGAAACTCCTAAACAAGTGTGTCGCTAAATTCAGACCACACAGGCTCAGGCAAGTTTTACAGACAGTATTATGAGTTTCTAAATCGGGAGCATTTGTAAACGGAAAGAATTCAGAGGATGAACGTGTGAGAAAAAAAAAAGGTGAAGAGGAAGGGCCGACCGTGGAAGTAAAGTAAAAACATTTATTTCTACACAAAATGTAGAAGGACATAAAAGACCCAGAGGGCTCTTAGTTTTCGTCCCTCCACCCAATTTCATACCCTCCATCCCACTGCCCCCAGTTACTTTCTCTAATGCCCCGTGGAGTCTGTTAAAAACCAAAGTCGGCTGCAGGCTTTCTGCGCAAGCAGGACTTCAGTTTCACTATTTCCGTATTTATATTCTCTGCATTAAACTCCTTTAGCTAGACAACTATGAGAAGACCACAAAAAACGTGTCAGTATTAGGTAAATGTTTTAGCTTGGTCACATGGGTTTATCTTTTGGAAAACAACTGCTTTCGTCACAACCACAATTTTAGCAGAAATGGGTAAGAGGAATGCTGCAAACAAACGTGCACTCTCAAGAGATTACTACTTAATTTGGGGCATCACTGATCAAGAATTGCAATAATGTGGAGCTCTTAAATTTCTTAATTCATAATATATTAGCTTTGAGGAAAAAAAAGAGAACACTGGGGGATTTATCTCTCATCTATGATGTGATATACAGTCTCTACTGTATATTTTAATTGTGCAACTCAAGTAGCCAAAATGAGTCATTTCATTAACTCAAACCATCAGCAGTCTGCTGCCATGACTTCTACAGATCTTAGCAAATTTGTTTCTTCTCTATTTACTTGCAAAGAAGAAACTGAATTTCCCTGTGTCTTTTTAAAGCTACCCAGAAAGTGGATAAACTCTTCAAAGAACCAAATTGAGTTCCTCTTTAATGCAAATATATTCAAAGGAAAGCAATTTAGAACACATTATCTGAGTAATAGCATCAAACACAACCTTATTAAAATTTTGTTAATTGTTAGTAGCATAACACTTTTGTTTGTAATTCAGTAGGAAAATGCAATCTGATAATGGCACTGGAACTGCAATAGTAAATGTAAAATCATATTCCATGAACTAATGCAAGTATGCTAAAATCTGGTATGCAATGAGTAATAACTTACTGTTCCACACAAGATGCAACTATATCCTCAGGCATCAATTTTAATGACAAAGGCCTACTATGAAAAACAAATATATTATCAAGGCATTCATTTTTTTACAATGAGAAAATTCATCTGCTTCAGTTTCCTTGCAAATTAAAATCTGGACTTAGGTTCATAGAAGCTTCCTGCCATCTAGAATTCTGCAAAAGGTCCCTACTGCAGGATGTGGATGTTGTATTGAGGGAATAGAGAGACCGTCTCATATTGTTTTATATTGTTTTATACTCAGTACCTGTTTTAAGAAAAAACAACAAGGAAGTAAAACCAAATACAGGCAGCCCAGCGCCAGGCCCAAAACCAGGCCTGGGCCTGCCTGGCCTAAACCCAGTAGTTAAAAATCAACTCATAACTTAGAAACCGATGTTATTCATAGATTCCAGACATTGTATAGAAGAACATTGTATAAAGAACAGAACTGCCCTGTTCTGTTTCTCTCTGACCACCGGTGCATGTAGCCCCTGTCACATACCGCCTGCTTGCTCTGATCAATCACGACCCTTTCATGTAAAATCTTTAGTGTTGTGAGCTCTTTAAAGGGACAGAAATTGTGCATTTGGGGAGCTCGGATTTTAAGGCAGTAGCTTGCCGATGCTCCCAGCTGAATAAAGCCCTTCCTTGTGCAACTCGGTGTCTGAGAGATTTTGTCTGCGGCTCGTCCTGCTACAGTGCCTTGAGTCAAAAAAGTTCAGTGACCGAGATATAAGGGGAAAGTGGAAAATTAGATAAAAGCTATTGTCAACAGTTGGGCTGGTTTTTCAGTGCTCTTTCTTGCTAAGGTATTCATGTACGTTACCAAGCAGCCCACCAGTCAGACTACCCCTGTCACTGTGAAAATCAGCAGTGTCCTCCAGCAGCACGCTTACCTAGATAGCAGACTGTCATTACTCAAGATAGAGGAGAAGAGATACCAGTTTTTAAGTCTCAAAACATCTCTCTACACTCTTTCCAGAAGAATGCAGGTGAGAAAATGCAGACATAAAATAAGAGTATTAGAATGAAGTTTTAGGCCCTGCATGGAGAAGTCATCCAGACCCACATTCCACCTTGGATTGATACTGGAAGCCATGGATGTCTGGGGAGAAACTGTGGTGATAACAATACTAACATTAGTAACAATAAATATAACCGACAACAGCCAATGATTATAGTAGTTGCTGCTCCATCTCCATGTCTGCAGTTTTACTTTCTGTGGTTTCAGTTACCTGCAGTCAACCACAGTCCGAAAATATTAGGATATTTTCAAAGAGAAACCACAATATAACTTATTACACTATATTTGTTCTACTTTATTGTTAGTGTCAACTGAAGGATGACGAGGTTCATAAATTTGGAAAGAGCTTTATTTCTCATAAAGGGTTGCAGTCTGCGGGGCGGCCATTCCAACAGGCTAGGAAGACAACCTCATGCTAGAAGCCAGAAACAGACACTTCAAGGGAGGGCAAAGGGAGCAGGAATCTATGCAGAATGGGGTGGCCAAATATACATATTTAATAAGCTATAGGAGGAGTCATGAACATTTATGCAAGGAGAAATGTGCATATGCGCAATTGCACTTCATGTCTCTCCCTGGGACCCATATTCCAAAATTGGCAGTGTTAGCATGATCCAGGGTAGGAGTTTTCAGCCCTCTGACATCAAAAGGTGAAGTAGAGGACATGAAAACCCTGACTGCATGTCTTCCATAGACTGGCCAGAACTACTCCATGGTTGGTGGTCTTTTACCAGGAAGAACTGCTGGTCAATTGTGCCAAAACTGCAAAAGGGAGGGGCAGCATCAGGTGGTTGGTTTATACCAGCAGTGGAGTCTTTTGAAAGGGCTGATTTCTGTTTAGCTCTTAGGGAAGAAAGCCTAATGGCATTTAGAGCGGGTGAGGGTTTCCAAGGTTATTCGGGGTCCCCTTGGCCAAGAGGGGGTCTGTTCAGTCAGCTGGAGGGCTTAAGATTTCATTTTTCTCATCAATTATTGTTAATCTCTATTATGACTAATTTATAAATTAAACTTTTTTTTTTTTTTTTTGAGATGGAGTTGCGCTCTGTCGCCCAGGCTGGAGTGCAGTGTCACGATCTTGGCTCACTGCAACCTCCGCCTCCTGGGTTCAAGAGATCCTCACATCTCAGCCTCCCGAGTAGCTAGGATTACAGGTGTGTACCACCACGTCTGGCTTTTTTTGTATTTTTAATAGAGATGGGGTTTCACCATGTTAGCCAGGCTGGTCTCGAACTCCTGACCTCAAGTGATCCATCCACCTCAGCCTCCCAAAGTGTTAGGATTACAGGTGTGAGCCACCGCTCCTGGCGTAAATTAAATTTTATCATAGGTTCGTGTGATGATTCATGTGGAGTGTCAACTTGATTGAAGGAAGCAAAGTATTGTTCCTGGGTGTGTCAGTGAGGGTGTTGCCAAAGGAGATTAACATTTCAGTAAGTGGACTAGGAGAGGCAGACCCACGTTCAATCTGGGTGGGCACCATCTAATCAGCTGCCAGTGCGGCTAGAATAAAAGCAGGCAGAAGAACGTGGAAGGACTTGACTTGCTGAGTCTTCTGGTCTTCATCTTTCTCTCATGCTGGATGCCTCCTTCCCTTGAAAGTCAGACTCCAAGTTCTTCAGCTTTTGGATTCTTGGACTTACACTAGTGGTTTGCCAGGGGTTCAAGGGTCTTCAGCCACAGACTGAAGGCTGCACTATTGGATTCCCTACTTTTGAGGTTTTGGAACTCAGACTGGCTTCCTTGCTCCTCAGCTTGCAGATGGCCTATTGTGGGGCTTCACCTTGTGATCATGTGAGTCAATACTCTAGTAAACTCCCTTTCATATATACATCTATTCTATTAATTCTGTCCCTCTAGAGAACCCTGACTAATACAGTATGTATCTATGCATAGGGAAAAACATTGTGGATTTAGGGTTTGGTGCTGTCCACGATTTCAGGTATCCACTGAGGGTCTTGGAACACATCCTCCACAGACAAGGGGGGACTACTATACAAAGTGAATGGTGGGTCAGACCTTATTCCAGGTGGTTTACAGGTATGACTTCATTTAATCCCCACAACAAACCTATCAGGCATGTGCATTTATTATGTTTCTCTTCTCACAAATAAACTGTCACAGGAGAAGATTATTAAGTTTTGAGGCTCTATAGCGAGTAAGTGGTAGGTGTGAGATCTGAACACAGCCAATCTGCCTCCAGAGAGTGGGCTTTTAACTGTATACTGATTCAGAGCAAACATAGACATGGTGTCCTTGAAAAGTAAGGGCTTTGGGATCAGATGAACTAACATTAGAAACCTGTACGATACTGACACTCCTCCCGGTTTAAGTCTCCAAGTCAACAAAATGAGGCCTAAACCTGGCATCAGGGGATTAAGTGAGATAGGTTTACCCAGTACCTAGCACAGTGCCTGGCAGGGTAGTTTGATAACAATTTGCTTCTTTCCAGGGATTTCTGTTAAGGAAAATATTTGAGGACTACACAAAGTTGTATATACTGCAGGGGAGGCAAAACCTTCCCTCCACCCTCGAAGGGCCCCAGCTGGACCTGAGACTTAAACTAATATAAAATAGATTAACAGGAGAAAAGCATTCAAACTTCATTTAAGTTTTACAGGACACAGGAGCGCTTGTTAGGGAAATGAAGACCGAAAGAGGTGGCAAAACCTAAATGCTTTTATATTTGGTTGAACAAAGAGAGGTAATTGTGGGAAAAGTAAATTATGTGGGGAGGATAAAGGGAGATAATTATTTTAACGAAGTTGTTTGTACAGAATTCACTTGGCTTTGAATCCCCATTGAGTAATGTTTCTTTCCTCTTGGTACAGTAAAGCTATTTTTCACATGGGAGTTTTTATCTCCTGTTTTCAGGAAGAAAAGAGGAAATTCAAATGCCCTTCTTGCATCTGCTATTTTTCAAGTGCCTTTAGCTCAAAGTAATCCTTATGCCAAAGTGGCATATTTTGGGCGGGCAGCATATTCTGCCATCCTTCAGTAGAACGATGAGAAAGATGTTCACTGCAGCAAAACACATGTACACAAGAATCAAAAGGGCTGGAAAGAAATATATATATCAAGGTACTATTAAAGTTAATTTGCTTTTAAAAATAAAAATCAACCCTGATTTTCTTGCTTGGGAGATGAATAAAAAATATATTTTCAATGAAGTTTAACTTCAAAGTGACACTATGCCATAGCAGCTATGCACATTCACATGTTCAATACATTCAGTGTGATTCGAATATGGCATTTGTGACTTTCTGTTCAGGCAGTGAAGTCACAAAGACAAGTGGTTAAAAAAGAAAAACATTTTCAAACACTTTATGTTAATGACCTTCATGCTTTAATTACTAGACCCAAAAGAAAAAATCAAAAGTCTTTGAGGCAAAAGCTAAGCTAGCTAAGATTTCAAGTGCAAAGAACAAGGAAATGCCTACTACAAATTGCTCTTTAGATGTTTATAGTAATTAAATGTTTTATTTTGTCTTTTCGATAGCAAATGCCTGCCAAGAAACTCTAATCATCTTTATTATCTACTAGATTCTCCTCTTCATTCATGGTATTTCTTGTGAATCAGAAAAAGGCTTTAATTTTTCTGACAGCAACACAGTGCTAAAAGCAGGTGAGGACTTCTTAGGAAGAAAGGCAATGATCAAAGCATGCAGCCACCACATATGAGCTGTTCTCTGCCTTTTCCAGTGGAAGAAAGTGGGCCAATGTGCAGCATGTGAGCAAGGGAGTTGGGAGGCAAATACTATTTTGGTGGGTAGACAGCAGGAAAAGCAATCCAGACATCTTAATGGTTGCAATAAAGTCCCTTGTGTCCACACATTTACAACAGTTATATATATTCATTCATAGCAAAGATCCCTCCTGCCTAGGTCACATGGTAGACTACCTAATAACACTTTGTCCCTCATAAATGAATATTTTGATGAAGCAGCAACAGAGTTTTCCTTGGCTGGTGGAAGCGGGTGGAGAGGTGAGCCTTGACAAGATAGTGCTTTCCAAGCATTGCAGCCATTTGGCCCAGAAGCCTGGTCTTAGACTCTCTTTTCAAGAAATGCATCTTCCAGTTATCCAGGGCCCTTTACTTATGAAAATCATTAGGGCCTATTAAGTTATAAAATTACAAACATCCAAGGTCTTGATAGTGGTCACTAAGATTCTCTTCGTTTGCTTGGTTTCTAATCCCTTTGTTCTGTATCCTTTCCCTTTAGAAACAGCCTCTTCCCACCTTTAAAAGACCTTAGTATAGGGCTGCCTTCCTTTCCTGAGTGCACAGGATTCAGGCCAGACACAGTGACTGGTTCAGAAGTTCAGTCAGCATCCTTCCAGGACATTCAGACAGATTCTCGCCCCTCTGAGCTCACAAGCTGAGGGGTGATGTAAGCCTAGCCACTTGTGCCCTTGCTTCTGAAAAACCTGCCTCAGGGCGAAGCCAACTCAAAAGAGATCTAAGAGATGGGAAACAATCTTAATGCTGCCATTTGAATCCCTGGATGCTGAGTTCAAGATCAGACTCCTGGAGATAATGAATTACTAAAGCATCTCCTTTTGCTTAATCTGCTTTGAGTTGGTTCCTGTCACTTGAAAGTGAACAAGGTCTGGCTAAATCAGTAGCCAATCCTATTATTCAGGGGAAAAAAGGGTAGTAAGAAATGAGACTTTGGAGCTAGGGAAGGTTAAAACCAATGAGGAGTTTTGAATATAATGAGAGGTGAATTGAAAACAATATGACATTTTTGTTATGTTTCTTCCCAGTGTTCTGTGGTTGGGGAATGTGCTCATCATTTTAGTTGGTGGCAACAGGGGTAAGGGAGAGACAAATTATGAAGAACTGTACTTTTCCATATGGAAAGTATATATGGGCCAGGCACAGTGGCTCAGGCCTGTAATCCTAGTACTTTGGGAGGCCGGGGCAGGCAGATCACTTGAGGTCAGGAGTTCCAGACCAGCCTGGCCAACATGGCGGAACCCCATCTCTACTAAAAATACAAAAATTAGCCAGGCCTGGTGGCGGGTGCCTGTAGTCCCAGCTACTCGGGAGGCTGAGGCAGGAATCGCTTGAACCCAAGAGGCAGAGCTTACAGTGAGCCAAGATTGTGTCACTGCACTTTAGCCTGGGCCACAGAGCAAGACTCCGTCTCAAAGAAAAAAAAAAAAAAGTACAAATGAGCTAATCAATCTGGTGATTTACCTTTGCAGAAAGGAGTTTTACACAATTTGGAATATAAATTAAAGCAGCGGTCCCCAACCTTTTTGGTACTAGGGACCAGTTTTGGGGAAGACAATGTTTCTATGGAAGGTGCGGGAGTGGGAGGGTGGTTTGAGGATCCCCGCCTGCAGTTCTCAGTAGGGCTCACATCCCTATGAGAATCTAATGCTGCCGCTTATCTGACAGGAGGTGGAGCTCGGGCAGTAATGCTCACTCGCCTGCCACTCACCTCCTGCTGTGCGGCCAGGTTCCTAACAGGCCACGAACTGGTACTGGTCCACAGCCTGGGGTTTGGGAACCCCTGCCTTAAAGCATCTCCTACTCTAAAGTGGCTGTGTTCTCCATATTTAACCCAGAGCACTTCCCCACTTGCTATACCACGCAAGATGACAGAAACCTCATTCTTCCAGACTACGCTTTAGCCTAAAGTAGAGATATATGCACAGGACAGAGGTATGTCCACAAAGAGAGCTGACAAAGCTAATATCCAGACAGGGACAATGCGAATAGGTTATGAGAAAACTGAACACGTTGAAATGGAAAAAAAATAAATTAGAGAAAAAATAAAAATATTCAAGGCAGACAAGAAAGACCCCATGTATACATAACTGGTGGTCTTGAGGGAGATAACAACCATAAAGAGAGAAACAGGTGACTGTAGGAGTCCTGGGGAGCTGGGTTTACACAGGCCCCGCCTCTCTGATCCCACCCCCACCCCACTGCAGCTCCCTCCCTTGGACTAATAACCACAGCAAGCATGCTTCCAGGACTGGAGGGTAATCAGAGGCCATGGGTTCCCCAAGATCTGCAGAAGAGATCCAGTACAGGGTTCCTCCCTCCCTGAGACACAAGTGAGAGCTTAGCAATGAAGTTGCATGCGGAGAAGAGGGCTTGCCCCTTCCCAAGGAAGTCCTGGGAAAAGCAAGGACTGTGTGGTACTTGTGGGGTCTGTGCTGGCAGAAGCCCGTGTCTCCCTTCTGAGAGAGTCCACAGCTGTCCCCTTTCTGAGAATAGTCCTCCAAGACCCTGTCCCAGGCTGTTGTTCTTTGGGAGAGGCAGGCTAACTGCTGCCAGGCTTCAAGGTTGGGAGAGCCAGCAGTTTGCCCCCTGTGAGGCCTGGGCTCCAAGAGGCCCTTCATAGTACTTCAAAAGGCATGTAGACAGTGTGCCCTCTGATGCATCGTGACCATAAAAGCAAAACCTGCTGGGCCTCTTGCTACTTGCCACCTCATACTTTTTCAGTGACTCCCAACAACATGACTCACAGAGGAAAGGGAGAAGCACAGACCCCATTCCAGTTATCCCACTGGATATCCTTGGCCTCTTTTCTGCAGATCTGTTGACCACAGATGTAAGAATTTATTTCTGGAGCCTCAATTCTAATCCATTGCTCTACATGTGCACTGGTTTCCTGGGGCTGCCACAGCAGAATACCACAGACTTGGGGGCTTAAACAACAAAGTGATTCCTCACAGTTCTGGAGGCTCCAAGTCTGAGATCAAGGAGTCGGCATGTTTGGTTCCTCCTGAGGCTTCTCTCCTTGGCCTGCAGATGACCACGTTCTCACTGTGTTCTCAGCTGGCCCTTCTCTGTGCATGTACATCCCTGGTGTCTCTTCCTCCTTTTGTTGACTATAAGGATACCAGTCCTGTTGGACCAGAGCCCCACTGTAAAGGCCTCATTTTAACTTAATCCACTTAAATAACTTATTTCCACACACAGTAAGTCTGAGGTTGAGTCTTTTGAATTCTGGGGGAGACACTGCAGCCCATCACGTATGTTGACGTGTGCCACCGCCACACTGCCTGGTTATTGCAGAGTGTTAGTAAGTTTTGAAATTAGAAAGTATAAGTGCTCCAGTTCTGTTATTTTTCAGGATTATTAGGGCTATTCTGGGTCCCTTCCATCTCCATATGAATTTGAGAATCAGCTTGTTTATTCCTGCTAAAATTTAGTTGGGATTTTTTTTTTTTTGAGATGGAGCCTGGCTGTGTCACCAGGCTGGTGTGCAGTGGTGCAATCTCGCCTCACTGCAACCTCCACCTCCCGGGTTCAAGTGATTCTCCTGCCTCAGCCTCCTGAGTAGCTGGGACTACATGCGCACGCCACCACACTCAGCTAATTTTTGTATTTTTAGTAGAGACGGGGTTTCACCATGTTGGCCAGGATGGTCTTGATCTCTTGATCTCGTGATCCGCCCACCTTGGCCTCCCAAAGTGCTGGGATTACAGGCATGAGCCACCGCGCCTGGCCTCAGTTGGGATTTTCACAGGGCTCGTTTTGAGTCTGCAGATCAATTTGGGTAGTACTGACATCTTAAAATTAAGTCTACCGATCCACATAAGTGGGATGCTAGTTAATATGGACAAGTGAATTTATTACTCCTCCAAAAAACTATTTTCACAAACTTTATATCAACATGAGAAATCATGTTGTATCTTTCTACCTGGAGGGAGCAAGAAAGTCAGGTGGTGTGCCTTTTGTACATGGGCAACCCAATTTCTTATCTAGACTTTCTTTTGCTCGCCTGGAAAAAAAAAAATGAGGTATTGCAAAAATGTGATAATTGCTTTCCTTAGTATGAAAAACTGTTAAAATGAGTAAAGCCTGTGCTCAACTAGAATTCTCACATTTCCGTTTTGATGTATCCGCATTTCACAGTAAAAAAAACCCTCAGTTATGTACATATGTGATCCTGAAGTACCCATGATTAAAAACAAATATTTCAATCTACAATGTTCAGTTCTATTAGATCATTAAAAGACGTATCTCTACTCGCATTCTCTGAAAACGTGTAAATCATGCTCAGCATAGTGACAACTCCACTAGGACAGGCCGACCAACTCATTTGTTACAAAGTCTCTGGCCCCCTGAGTGAGGAGCCCCCAGAAACCTAATGTGAAAGGAAACTTCGGTTTTCTCCCCAGCTGCTTTCCTTGAGTTTGCATGATATGCTTTGGCTGCTATGTGGAGCTGTCAAAAGCCTTGAACAGACAAAATAAAGAAGAATGGCATTCCAGGAAATAAACAAGCTTAATCTCAGTTGGACAGAAGGAGGTACAAAGAAGGCCTGGGGAAGGAAGAGGAAGAGGCAGGATACAGGGAAGACAGAATGGACTCTGTAACCTCAGGAAAAAATAGCAACCTTATAAATACAAAGATGTTCCCTGGCAGACACATGTCAGCACCTGGGTTATGAAAGACCAGCCAATGCCCCCCCACACAGGTTAGAATCACATTCATCAGGAAGAAAGAGAGCAGAAGGACCCTGCTGCCTGGTGATGTCTCAGCTGGCGTGGCTGCAGCTTTGCTTCCAGCAGCCGGGGAACCGCCATGGGAAGGCGTTTCCTCAAAATGCATGAAAGGCGGAGGAGCTTGGTTTTCTGATGGTTTGCTGCCCCTTGAAGTTGGCAACACCATCCCTTCATCTGCATGGATAAACCGGGGCATCCTTTTTGAGAAGCAGTACTTTTTTTTTTAAGACTTTATTAATCCCACACGTTTGAGAGAGGTGGTTGGGAAAGCAAGTATTAATGAATTAACTGCTTCCTAGGATTCAATCAGTCATTAAAAATGTACCCGTGAAATTTTCTTGAGCTGTTCAATTGTTTATCATTATCCAAGTGGTTCATACTCTCATGCATTTATTTTCCTTCCACATTTACCTCTAAGCAAATTACCTAATTCAACATGGTTATTATTCTGGATATTTAAAAGCTGTGTATTGGGAAATTTCACATAGTAATATGAATACACCTGTTACGCTTAATCCTTTGTGCCTAGGTGTGATTATTAGATATAATTTATAGAAATTCTGCCGAACTCATTGTAATTTATTATCCATTTATGGTTTTACTTGATTAGTCTTACTTAAGGATGATATTTTCTAAATGTATAAATAAATGATACAGCCTATTAAAGTGGAGGTTATATAATAAGTGACGGGTTTAGGAGTGGACATGTGACCGAGCTCTGGCCAATGAGTTGCAAGGGGTATTTTTGGGGGCATCTGAGAAATGTTTACTTGCTCTTAAAAAAGAAGATTGTAGGAAAAAAAGAAGGAAAACTTTCCTGTTCTACTGGACTCCCATACCAGACATCTGCATGTACTGCCTCAAGCAGGGGCAACTGTCTCATGACTGAGTAGAGCTAAGCCACCACATCAATACATCGAAACTGGCAGAGGGGAAAGCTGGAAAGATTCTAGGTCCTTGAATTTGTGAGGCTGCTGAACCAGCTAACCCTGCGGCAACCCCGCTCTGGACTTGCCATTTGACGTAATAACTTCCTTCGTTATTGAAACTTGTGTGAATTGGTTTGTATCACTTGCAGCCAAAAGCCACCCCAAAGCTTCCCAGCTGACAGCTGTAGACTAGGGAGTCCCAACAAGAGGAACAGACTTCACCTGGTGAAGCCATGCCAACCCACTCCACCTGTCTCTGAGATCTATAGACATTTGAATGTGAGCGTGAAATGCTGCTCAAGTTCAGGTAGACTACAGCTCAAGAATGTGAGACTACAGGTTGGTAGTCTGCCTCCCTCTCTAAGGCAAAGAGATATTTCAATGTTACCTGGGACCTGAGAAAGGGGGAGGGTCTATGGTTTGCCCAGATAACTAAAGTCTGTAGGTTAGAAAGACAGGATTTGTTTGGAAGCTATAAAGATGTATCCTCATATGTCATGGACATCATGTGATATGGTTTGGCTGTGTTCCCACCCAAATCTCATCTTAGCTCCCATAATTCCCACATGTTGTGGGAGGGACCCCACGGGAGATAACTGAATCATGGGGAAGGTTTCCCCCATACTGTTCTCATGCTGATGAATAAGTCTCACGAGATCTGATGGTTTCATAAGGGGAAACTCCTTTCAGCTGGTTCTCATTCTCTCTTGTCTGCTGCCATGTAAGACGTGCCCTTTGCCTTCTGCCATGACTGTGAGGCCTCCCCAGCCACGTGAAACTGTGAGTCCATTAAACCTCTTTTTCTTTATAAATTACCCAGTCTTGGGTATGTCTTTATCAGCAGCACAAAAACAGACTAATACATCATCCTAACTTGAATGATGCCTGTCCTCAGTGAGTGGTCCATTGTGAGTATCCATCAAGGAGTTTTCTCCCACTGCACACTGGACCTCAGGAGTTACCACAAGCTCCCTAGCACTCTTCAAATTGTTCCTCGTTTCCAGCAAGTCATCTCTTCTCCACCCACCTCATGAATTCAATATTTTAGATGCCTGTCACATTGCCTGTCGCTGATCCCTGACTCTTGAGACCCCACTATGTGCTACAGTCTTGGTCCCCTGTTTGCTTGGAAGAAGACAGGAAGTTTTAACCCGAGGCTGTAGATGGCTTCAGGCATACCGGTCTGTTCTTGTTGCCTGGACTCCTCCAGCACATCCAAGTCTGCCCTTTAACCGTTTCTTGGCTACAACTGGTCTCAATATGGTGATGGCCAGGGGACAGATGAGCTTTGAAAGCCTCGGGCCAACCAGCCAGATGTTCTCTTGCCTCCAGTGGTCACTGGTGATGCCTGGTATGGGGGTGTGTCCAGAGGTTGACCCACTGTTGCTCCCCATGGCCTATGATAGAGGGCCATGCTCACACAGGGAGCTGGGACCAAAGACCAGAGTCCAGCAAGAATCTCTGGACCAAAGGTCAGGCAGTCTGGAGACAGTCTGCATCTCTGGCAGACCCCAGGGTGAGAAGCAGCTATCCCAGGCCAGAGTGGGGTCAGCTGGCCAATCTGGGGGCTCTGGAGCAGATGAGAGGGAGCCTGTCCTGCACACTTGAAAGAGAAGTTGCAAGGTAGTACCAAGGACAATTCAGCTCTACTTGATTCTGAAAAGACTATCCCCACCCTCACCATAAGGAGAAGAGACAGTGTAGTTTGCCAGTGCAACTGCGGAGGGAAAACAATCCCACCCTATCTGCCTCTATCTCTTCTTCTTTTTTTTTGGAGACAGAGTCTTGCTCTGTCACCCAGGCTAGAGTGCAATGGTGTGAGCATAGCTCACTGTAACCTTGAACTTCTGGGCTCAAGTGATTCTCCTGTCTCAGCCTTTCCAGTAGCTGGGATTACAGGCATAAGCCATCATGCCTGGCCCCATCTCTATCAATCCACCATGGCCTGGGGGGGATTTTAGCTATCATAGCCTGCAGCTGGGCCCAAACCAGCGCTGGGGAAACTCCACACCCACCAAAACAATGCAGCACAGCAAACTGATGTGCCCCCTAAGAGGGACAGTGGTTTGAAGGAAGGAGACAGCCAAATTCTAGAACAGATGGCTACTACAGAGCAGAACTAATGACAGATACAGAAATAGACTATATAATATAAACAATGAGAATTCATAAGGAGATATTATTAGAGCACAAAAAATGCTGCCAGAACAGAAAAATGCTTGATTTTTTTTATTGTTTTGTTGTTCCTGGATCCTAAGAGAAACTCCAAATGCTCGACTTTTTCCATTTAAAAATTTAGTAGAGGTACTGTATAAAAGAACGGTCCCCACTAAAAACCAAATTACTATTTTAGGAAGATAAAATGAAAGACGTATCCCACAGCACAAGATAAAAAGTTAATGAACTAAGAATCACGAGTTAAGGATCAAGATATGGAGGGTGGATGCAGGAGGATGCATCCTATGTAAATAATAGGAGTTGAGGGAGAAAACAAAAGTATGAGAGAATAAAAAAAGAAATGCCAAAGAAACAAAACCAATCGAGTCTTAAGATTGAAAGGGTTCTGAAAATGCTGAATTTAGACACATCCTTACAAAGCTGCTGAATTTCCAGAATAGGGAGGAAAATCATATAAGCTTCCAGACAGGAAGAACACGTTGCTTTTAGAAATAACCAGTCTAGGGGCCGGGCGCGGTGGCTCATGCCTGTAATCCCAGCACTTTGGGAGGCTGAGGTGGGCAGATCACTTGAGGTCAGGAGTTCCAGACCAGCCTGGCCAACATGGTGAAACCCATCTCTACTAAAAATACAAAAATTAGTGAGGTGTGGTGGTGCAGGCCTGTAATCCCAGCTACTCAGGAGGATGAGGCAGGAGAATCGCTTGAACCCAGGAGGCAGAGGTTGCAATGAGTAAAGATTGCACCACTGCACTCCAGCCTGGGTGACAGAGAGAGACTCCATCTCAAAAAAAAAAAAACCAAAAATAAATAACCAGTCTAATATCACATTTCTCACCTGCAATCATGGAAAGTAATAGATCATGGGCTAACATTTAGTGGCTAGGGAGAAGAAAGAACTGATGAGGAATCCTCCACCAGGCAACTACAGAGAAATCAATGATTGGACCTGCAGTCAGGAAACACAGCTTCTCTGCATACTCTCTGTGAATACTCCAGGATACGCTACCAAAGAGCCAGATCAGAACAAGGGTCCAAGGGAGAAGACAGAGTGCAGTGATCAACAGTGAGAGTGAATCTCGTAATATTTATTTTTAAATCTTCATGCACAATGGTAACGTCAATGCAAGTTATAACACAATTTTTCTTGAGGATTCTTGAAATGAAATAATGAAAATTTTAGTTAGATCCTAGCCCCAATCTCAGCATACTCCAGGAATAAGGAGAAGACAAGGGCGAAGGAGTGAAAAGAAACATGATTCCCAGGGTTTCTCCTCCAGGTGGGATGAGATGAAGAGGACACTGAAAATATTCAGGCAGAAGGGTGTGCTGGTAATTAAGCTACGTTTTCTCAATTTCAAATCCACTGCTCCCTGACGCTGGAGTGGGGGCTCTTTAAGCTGTGGTTTTCTTTTGTTAGATGGTGTTCTATTGGGTTCTTCCAGTAAGAGGCAATGGAGGGAGCCTGGAAAGTGGGGAGAGGAGATGAACTTGCTTCTTCCTTTTCTCTTGCTCTCCATGTCAGTACCAGCCTGGCAGTACCCCTGCCCTGGGCTTCAACCTCTCTCAGGACTTCCAAACCAGCTTTCTTGTGCTCTCTCAGAAGTATGAACAATAGCAAAGCACTTCCCTGCAGATATGAAAAAGACTGAAAGAGAATACTATATACAGCCTTTCCCAAAACATTTGAAAAACAGAGAAAGTGGGCAAATTCCTAGAAAAACACAACCAAGAAAAACTGATGCAAGAAGAATCACAAAGTTTGAATAATTCTAGGAGCTTCTGAATCTGGAATTCCAAACTTCCCTTCCCAGAAAACTTCAGGCCAAGATGACTTCACTAGTAAATTCCACTGAACATTTGAAGAAGAAATAACACCAGCCTTAAATAAATGTTTCCAGAAAAGCAAAAGAGGGACTAATCCCCATTGTGTCTTATGAAGGAAGTTTAACCTCCATATAAAATCTGTCAAGGACATTTTGAAAAATGAAGATGAAAGACCAATCTCTCTCATGAATATACGATAAAAAAATCCCAAACAAAACATTAACAAACAGAATCAAGAGATTCAGCTTGAGCAAGCTGAGTTCAGTCAAGGAAATAAGGTTGGTTCAACATTCAAAAACCAATCAAGATAATTCACCATATTAACAGAATAAGGGAGTTCTCTCATATGGTCTTCCCCCAAAAAAGAAAAGTCATATGATAAAATTCAGCATTTATTCATGATTTTTTTTAAACTAACAAAACAAAATTTAGCAGGCTAGAAATAGAAAGGAACTTAAACAATCACTACAACAACTTCCATTAAACATCATATGTAAAATAATGAGAATGTTGCCTCAAAGATAAGAAATAACAAAGAAAGCTGCCATCATCACTTCATCATTTTACTGGAAGTCTCAGTCAGTGCAATCAGAAAAAAGAAATAAAAGTTACAAGATTGGGGAAAAACCCCAAGTTATCTTATTTTCAAATGATGTGATTCTACATGCAGAAAATTCAAAAGAATGTAAAGATAAGTTAATAGACTCACTGAATTTATCAAAGTAGCTCGATATAAGGTTAATAGACATACATCAGCTTTATTTCTATTTTCCAATAACAAAATAGAATGAAAATAACAGCATATGTGGTACATTTTCCCAAAGATGGATGCAACGCAATCTCCCCCCTACATGCCCTTTTGTACCAAAATGTGGGTGGCTGAACCTTCCATCAAGGGACAGGGACTATCTGTCCACCCTCTCAAATGTGAACTCCTTTTGTGGCCTGCTTTGAACAATGGAATGCGGCGGTAGTGACACTGTCTGAGTCCTGGAGCCCCGGCCTCGGAGGCTGACACCTCTACTTCTGTCCTCTGGCCACGGTCCCCACTGTAGTGCTCTCCTTGCACGGACAGAGCTCAGCCCATGCCACTGACTAGGGATGACAGGAAAGGCTCAGCAGCCAGCATCAAAGTTCCAAATAGAAGAGTGAGGCCGTTTAGACCATTATGTAATTGAGTGTCCTGTTTTTAAAAAGTATTTCTTCTTTCTCCTTCCTGCCTGTTCCTTGTCTTGCCCTTAGCATGAGATAATAGTCTTTGCTCTCCCTCCTTCTACCAGGAACTCCCTGGCACAATGTTTCCCTCATCTAATTATGTTTTTGTTTAGAAGTTCCAGAGACTAAATCTTGAAACAATTCGGGCCACTATGGGATTCTCCCTGACCTGCAGATTACTTCCAAGCTGCAGTTAATTTGCAACTGGGCTGTACCCAAGATGGCACCAGCCCATTCACCAGATGGGGCAATAACGCAAGATAGTCATAGGAACAAGTCATGTAGACTGGCACCTCCTCATCACTCCTGCATGCCCCTCATACCAAACACCCTTTTTAAGCCCTTAACCTTGACCCAAAAAGCTGAAATGGTTTCTTTCAGGCACTATCCGTGGCCATTTCCCCATGGAATGGGGAAGAAAGCTTTTGGGATAAAGTCACTTTCCTTTCACTGTATTGCATCCTTGTTCTCGGCTTTGCAAGCAGCAAATAGCCGTGCCTGCATTCGGTTACAATTGGATTGCTCCAGCTACACTGCAATCACAGAAGAAAGTTTAGGCAAGACCAGCAAAAAAAAAAAAAAAAGAAAAAAAAAAAGAAAACCCATGGAATCCTGAGGAATGATAAAACTATTGTTGTTTTAAGCCATTACCTTTTGAGGTGGCTTGTGGCACAGCAATAGATAACCAAAACACCATACTCAATCACAATACCACACACACATTTATTTTGTTTAAAGTAGAAATATATCTAATGAGAGATATGCAGTGCCTCTACTCAGAACATTATAAAACAATATTGAGATAAATTACGTGAGACCCAAATACATGTTCATAGCAGACATGCTACGGTAAAGATATCAATATTCCCCATATTCATCAAAAGCTTCAATATAATCCCATTAAAAATTCCAGCAGGGTTTCTTTATACAATTTGACCAATTTACTAAAAAGCTCATGTGAAAATGCAAATGGCCCTGAATAGCAAAACAAGTCTGAACAACAAAATGCTGATGTTATAGATACCAAGTCTTATTTATAAATCTATAGTTATTAAGACAATCTGGTATTAATGCAAGTATAGACAAAAAGACCAACAAGATCGAACAGAGAATCCAGAAAGTGACCCATGGTTAGGAGGACACTCATTCGTCACAGAGATGGCACTGCACAGCTGTGGGGAAGGGACTGTCTTTTGAATAAATAGCCCAGGATCAATTGGATATTCATACAGAAAAATGAAATTACATTTTTTAAACAAAAATTTACTTTCGGTAAACTGTAGTTCTAAATATAGGTGGGAAAATAAAGCTATTTGATGATAACAGGAGAAAAACTCTGTGACCCTGAGGTAGGAAAAATATTTTTTAAATCAAGACACCAAAAAGACCACTGAAAAGGCAAGCCTCTGAAAGCAAGAAACACATACTGTTCTGTATGCATATTTGTATACGTGCGTGTGTGCATATACAGTCATGTGCCACACAATGCTGTTTTAGGCAAGTCTGGGCCACGTATGTGACAGTGGTCTCGTTTGACTGTAACGCCCAGCACAGTGCTCCTGCTCCTGTTTCCCCATCATCACCAACACCTGGTGTTGTCAGGGCCTCTACACTGGCTGTTCTCTCTGCCTGGAAAGTTCTTCCCACATGGCTCACTCCCTTGCCTCCTTCAGGTCCCCAGCAATGGTGAGATCTTCCCTCATAACTCTATATTAAGTGTAGTAATTAACGGTACAATATTTCTACTGTACCTTTTCTGTGTTTAGGTATGTTTAGAAGCACATATGCTCACCACTGTGTTACAGTCACCTATAGTATTCAGCACAGTAACGTGCTGTACAGGTTTATGGTCCAGGAGCAATGGGCTGTACCCTATAGCCTATAGGTGTGTAGTAAGCTGTACCCTCATCTAGGCTTGAGTAAGTACTCTCTATGATGTCTACACAACATGCATTTCCCAGAACACCTTTGTCATTAAGCACATAACACATAACTATATATGTACATGTGTATGTATGTACATACATATATGTATATATCCGCCCAACAAATCACAAATAACTCAATGACGGGATCATTTCCAGAACATACAAAATAAATAAGAAAAATGGGCGGGGTGCAGAGGCTCACGCCTGTAATTCCAGAACTTTGGAAGGCTGTGGGCAGATTGCTTAAGCTCAGGAGTTCGAGACCAGCCTGGGCAACGTGGCAAAACCCTGTCTCTACAAAAAATTAGAAGAAATTAGCTGGGTGTGGTGGTGTATGCCTGCAGTCCCAGCTACTCTGAAGGCTGAGGTGGGAGGATTGCTTGAGCCTAGGAGGCAGAGGTTGCAGCGAGCCAAGATCACGCCACTGCACTCCAGCCTGGGTGACAGAGGGAGACCCTGTCTCAAAAAAAAAAAAAAGAAAAAGAAAAGAAAAATGCACATAACACAATGGAACATAAGGGCTTCAAGAAAAAGAGCATCTAAATGTCAAGTAAGCATGAAAAGGCACTCTACCTTATTAGCAATCAAGGAGATGCAGAACAAAACTGTAATGAGACACCATGACTCACCACCCTATGGCTAAGATGAAAATGACTGACAACATCAAGTGCGGGTGATAATGGGGAAAAACAGGAACATTGGTGGGGTAATGTAAGCTGGACCAACCACTGTGGAAAATGATCTGGCATTATCTACTAAAGTTGAACCTATGCACCCCGAAATTTCACTCCTAGAGAGTGCACAAAAAGATTTGATATGAGGCACGGTGTGGTGGCTCACGTCTGTAATCCCAGCACTTTGGGAGGCCGAGGTGGGTGGATCACCTGGGGTCAGGAGTTTGAGACCAGCCTGATCAACATGGCAAAACCCCATCTCTACTAAAAATACAAAAATTAGCCAGGCATGGTGGTGCGCACCTGTAAACCCAGCTACTCAGGAGGCTGAGGCAGGAGAATCACTGGAATCCGGGAGGTGGAGGTTTCAGTGAGCCAAGATCGCACCACTGCACTCCAGCCTGGGTGACAGAGTGAGACTCCATCTCAAAAAATATATATATACATATATAAGTGAAAGTTCACAGCAGCATTATTTGTAATAGTCACCAAATTGAAATAATCTAAATGTCCATCAACAACAAAATGCATAAATAAAATGCAGGATGTATACGACGAAACACTGTACAGCAATAAGAAGGAGGAACTACGGCTAAATGCGGCAACATGAATGGATCTCATTCCTTCACTGCTTTTGTGGATCTGGCCCTGGCCTCCCAGGGCACAGGTACCAGAGGGACCCTCCTGCAAGTCCCTCCTCACCTCACCACCACAATGGTCCTCAAAAAAGTCAAACTCTTTAAAATCCCCCACCAGTCTGCACACCGGGCAGCCCCTGTTGTCTAGCCTCACCTCCTACTTTCCCTGAGGGCACTCTCCCGAGCCATAACTTCTCCTCGCAGTCTGTTCCTTGAGTGTGCCAGGCGTGCTTCCACCTCAGGGCTCTGCACGGGTTGTCCTCTCTGCCTGGAAAGTTCTTCCCCTGCAGAATCACGCGGCTCACTCCCTTGCCTCCTGCAGGTCTTGGGGACCATGAGCCCTTTCCCATGACTCTATATTCAGGTATCACCCCATGTCCATACTCCTGAGGTTTTGAACGAGTTTTACTTTTTCACCATAACACTCACCTGCATCTGGTATATGATTTATCTGCCCATTCTGTATGATCAATCTCCCTGCACAAGAATGCAGCTTTGGGAGAATGAGAATTTTGCCTCTTTTGTTCACTGTTATATCCGTAGGAGCCAGAGCTCTTCTAACACACAGAAGGCACTCAGTACAATTCTGTTAAAAGAATGGCCACATAAGAAGACAGAAACACAAATGCTGACTGATGCTGTCTGTGCTTAGACAGAGCTTGTCTATCCGTGGGCCTCACCAGTAGGTTCCTCTGCCTGTGATTTTCTTTCTCTAGGCCGTGAACTTCTATAGAAAGGACTCTTGCAGCTCCTGCCAGGGCATTGTTGAGACTAGCAGCCAGCACTGTGGGAGCCAAAGGGAGCGAAGCTGAGGAGGCCGATGGAGATGCGGCCTCATCTCTTCAAAGGCTCTCACTTAATCCCAAGTGACTTAATCCCAGTGTTCACAGAACATCCATGTGCCCCCCTGCAGTTCCTGCCTCCCTTGCAGCTGGGATGGGCCATGTGCCTGAGTCTGGTGAATGGACATGTGAGTAGAAGGGGTGTGTCCCCTCTGGCCTGAGGTGCTCACCATCAGGTGCCTCCCCCATCCCTTTCTTCCCCCTAGACAGCAATTCTGGGGGCCATGGAAGGGGTCTCATTACCTCCCTTCCCACACAGAGGAAAGCTGCCCTGAAGAGCTATCCAGTCCATACTATGCATTTGTGACTAAGAAACAAACCTTTGCTACGTTAAGCCATTGAAATTTCAAGGGTTTTTTTGTTACTGCAGCATAGACTATCTCATCCTGACGATCTTCTGTCAGGCACCCCCACTCCTGCCTTAGCTGTACTAGACATCCTTGTACTCTGATGTCTCTCTGGTTCAACCTCTGTCTGCTACTGGGGTCAGATGGACAGTTACAAAGCTGCACAGGCTCCATTTGGGGCTCTGAGGGGGTTGCCTGCATATCACAGACTGTAAACCAGTGCTCCTTTTGCCCCATCCACATTCCTGCCTTCAGAGACATCTGGTGACTCTAATTCCTGAGCCCTTGCAGGGCCCTGAGGCACAAATCAGCTTGTTTCTTCCTGCCCCACCCTGGACCCCCAGCTCTCAGCATGGTGGATAAGCAGAAAGAAATCGAAGCCAACCACACAATGATACACTTCTCGTGCTTCCAAAATGCTGCTGACATTTCCCATCTGTTCATCTCCTCTTTGTGAGTTTGAATCTTTTTTCTTTTATTCTTTTATTGTCATTTTAATGGTGCTTCAGGAGAAATAGTGATAAACAATAACTATTTCGTGAATACCTATTTATTTTGAATATTCATTGTAACCACTGCTAAGAACAGCAAAACTTTTAGGTTTGCATAGGTTTTTTTTTTCTTCCAAGAAGTTCAGAGTACATTTAAAATATCAGTTCAAAGAACAAAAGGAAAATATTATTATTACCATTTTAAATCAGATAAAGCCCTGTGAGGTCTGAAAAACTGCCCCACCACCCAATGTCTGCCAATGCTGGGACACAATCCAGGCTCCCATCTCATGATCTGATTTTCTACTAGTGGACACTATCCTGAGTGCTATCATTTATATCCATCTTCCCACCTTTCATAGGAATTCTATCTGCATAACCCAAAGAATACCTGCTGGAGACTGACACTTCCTGCAACTTTGCCAGCACTTTCATGTTCTTAACAAGGCATTTCACCAGTTTAACTACTGATCATCACTGACAGGCTTCAGTACATAATTTCATATATGAATCTTCATCCATCTTTTTCTTTTCTTTTCTTTCTCTCTTCCTTTCTTTCCTTCTTTTTCTCTTTCTTCAGTACATAATTTCATATATGAATCTCCTTCCTTCTTTCCTTCCTTCCTTCCTTCTTTCTTTCTTTCCTTCTTTCTTTCTTGTTTTTCATGGAGTTTTGCTCTTGTTGCCCAGGATGGAGTACAATGGCACGGTCTTAGCTCACTGCAACCTCTGCCTCCTGGGTTCAGGCAATTCTCCTGCCTCAGCCTCCCGAGTAGCTAGGATTACAGGCACGTGCCACTATGCATGGCTAATTTTTGTATTTTTAGTAGAGATGGGGTTTCACCATGTTGTCCAGGCTGGTCTTGAACTCCTGACCTCAGGTGATCTGCCCTGCTCGGCCTCCCAAAGTGCTGGGATTACAAGCATGAGCCACTGCGCCCAGCAATGCGTTTTCATATATTCCATAAAACACAGAAGTGTGTACTAAGATCATGTATATGTATATGGCTTGGAAAATTTATAAGGTCTCCATCTAGAAGCTGTACATCTTTGGTTTTAAAAGGAGAGGGCTAGAGAGAGGATAAATCCAATCAGTTGCTTCTTTCATTCCTCACTTCTTTTCTACTGTTAACATACGTGGTCATAAAGAATACCAGATGCAGGCCAAATACATTTGCCATGAGAAAAAGATAAAAATCAAAACTTATGGCTTCTCAATACTGCTTAGTATTAAAGCACAATGCTGCATTCTCTACTACAGCTGTGTAGTTACAAGAATCTATTTGAGTGGCCATGTGTCAAAGATAACGGCACAAAAAGGCTGGGTCTATATGGCTCATGGCCCAACATCCACTGCTTAACATGATGCTTTTTCTGGATTAAGATCTTCAAGTCAGGCAAAGGCTCCGGAGGAGGACAGAAAACCAAAGTGAAGAGATGCACTAGGTAGGGAGGTTTTTGGGTTGTAAGTGATAGAAACTCAACTCCCGTTACCTCAAACAAAAAGGGGAATTTATTGACTCTTTTTTTTTTTGAGACGGAGTCTCGCTCTGTCCCCAGGCTGGAGTGCAGTGGCACAATCTCGGCTCACTGCAAGCTCCACCTCCTGGGTTCACGCCATTCTCCCTCAGCCTCCTGAGTAGCTGGGACTACAGGCGCCCGCCACCATGCCTGGCTAATTTTTTGTATTTTTTTTTTTTTTTAGTAGAGACAGGGTTTCACCGTTTTAGCCAGGATGGTCTCGATCTCCTGACCTTGTGATCCGCCCGCCTTGGCCTCCCAAAGTGCTGGGATTACAGGCATGAGCCACCACACCCGGCCAAATTTATTGACTCTTAGAACCAGGAAGGGTTCCCCCAGGTCCCAGGCAGAGAGTGGGGATGCAAGCAGGCCCAGAAGCAGGTGTGAGCTGCTGTGGGCATCGCTCTGTCCAGGCCGTCCCCTCTGTCCTTGGCTTGGCTCTAATCCTGCAGCATGGCTTACTTCACACTCGGGGAAGCGTGGAAGTTGGCCATGCTGAGCAACTCTCTTAATGGAGAGATGGAGTGTGGGGTCCACACCCTCCACCCCCGCTCCACTGCCTGCACACCATGCCAAGTCCAGGTATTCTAGGGAATGGAATTCTTTGGGGTTCGCTGCCATGCCCAAGACAGTGCCTTCATGCTGTCCTCACAGCGCATCCTGCAGTAACTGTGGGGAAACTGAGGGTGGGGGGAGATTGTCTGGGAAGAGGAGCTGGGCCTACAATTCTGATGCTCCCTGCAGCCTAATCTCCACCCCCCATGTCACTGCCAAGGAATCTTGCAGCCCAGGGCAGACAGCAAGAGCCTCTGCCCACTAGGTCTGGTGCTCAGAAGCAAAGAGGGCCCTCTGGGGGGACAGTCAACACAAGGAGACTTAGGGTGGGTATGGGCAGCCAGAGCCCCAGCCCCAGGAGCTGGGATTAGGGCCCAGGAATGAGGAAACAGGGAGGGGAAAGCACATTGACCAATCCTGGAAGCAGCGTTATTGAAAGGTTCTGGAAATTCAAAGAAGCAGGCAATGTGTGGGCAGACTCCCGTTAGTGGCCAGAGCCCAGAAGGAACCAACTTTGCCTTCAACCTCAGCCCACTCCCTGCTAACAGAGGAAGATGGTGACGAGTCTGAGGGGCAGAAGGAGGTCCAGGCATAGAATTGCACTTGTCCTGGGTCTCTGCAGGTCAGCAGTGGGATGAGTAGGGAGACAGCCCGCCCTGGGCCTCCACAGTGGGGAAATGAGGCAAACGTGTCTCTTTTGCTACAGGACCAAGTCCACTGTCCTAGAAAGGTTTAGTTGACAAAAAAGGAGACATTCACACATTTCCTCCAGCAGACCCACTCACTGTTATTTGTTACCTGGGAAACCAAACAGCCATATATAAACAAGGGTAAATCTTAGAATCTTGGAAATGAAAGTGCCATAATTTCCAGGATGATATTAAAACGCCGTGACTTTCTGAAAAGGGTTCCAGCAACGTGGTTGACAGAAAATATTGTGCTTTCTTTTCCACAAGGAGATTGAATGTGTCTTATTTACAGTTACCCAGAAAACAATGATGAAAGTAGCTAAGTCTGCATTCTAGAGGCACAGGTCAAGGTGTCTGAGGAACAATTTGGCATCTTGGAAAGTGAAGTCCCGAGGCTGGGACCCTGTGGGGAGCCTTCTTCATTGCAGGCTCCAAGCCGCCAGTCTCCTGCTGTAGGGAGAAGGCTGTCGGTGCTGCAAGGATGGAGGGGGATGTGCAGAGCCCAGGCACTGAGAGAAGCTTCTTAGAGCCAGACCATCGGGAGGGAGAAAACAGGGTGACAGGGGTCAGTTCATGAAGACCCTTGGATTGGATTTCATTCCAAGAACAGTGAAAAACCCATGTAAATCAGGACTTCGTGAATGTGCTTATTCTAACTTCCAGAGGAAATAATGAATGAACTGTCTACTGAAAACCCCTGCCTGTGCTCCATCTGAAATGCTGCCTCCCTCAAAGCATGAAGCTGGAGTCAGCACTGATGACGATGGGCAGCTGGAGTGGGAGAAGAGGAGTGGCATGGCCTCAGGGAGGGCCAGGTCCCCCTGCACCTCTTTCCCACTTGGTGTCCCCCACCTGGTCACTCCCAGGAAGCCACTGCTGAATTGACAGCCAGGCCTCTACTGAGTCAAGGGCGACATCTGGAGATGTAGAATCAGACATAAAACTCAGCACAGTACTCATCCCTTATCCTTAGGGGGATACATCCTAAGACCCCCAGTGGATACGTGAAACTGCAGATGGTACCAAACCCTACGCAGCAGTTTTTCCTATACTTACATACATATGATACAGTTTATAAATTAAGCAAATAAGAGAATAACAATAGCTATTGATAAAATAGAACAATTATAACAATATGCCAGTAAAACTACTCTTGTGTTTTGCCACCATTAAGTAATATGAGGGTTCCTTGAACGGAAGCACTGCGATGTATGTCTGATAACCATCCTGGCTACTAAGTGACGGCCACGTGGGGAGTGTGGACAGCCTGGAGACGCTGGACAAAGGGATGAAGAAAGACAGCAGGAGATTTTTATCCTGCGACTCAGAACAGTGGATTTAAAACTTGTGAGTTGTCTGTTTCTGGAATATTCCATTTAGTATTTGCAGCCCATGGTTGATCAAAGGTAACAGAAACTGTGGAAAGTGAAACCTTGGGGAAGAGGGGACTGCTGTATAAAAAACTTTGAAACCTTTTCCATATGTGTGTGGGCTCCATCCAATCACGTGAAGGCCTCAAGGGAACAAGACTGACCTCCCCTGAGCAAGGAGGAATTCTGCCAGCAGAAGGGCTTTGGATCGAACTGTAACTCTTCCCTGGGTCTCCAGTCTGCTGGCCTACCCTGCAGGTTTCCACAACACCATGAGCCAATTCCTGAAAACAATCTCTCTCTATGTATATATACACATCCTGCTGATTCTATTTCTCTAGAGAATCCCAATTAATAGAAACAGTAATGTAGAAAAGAGATGATGGTGGCTTGGATGAGGGGGTAGCAGTGGAGGTGATGAGAAATAGTTACATTCAGGGTGATTTGTAGGATTTCCTGAAAGTTTGGATTATAGGATTGAGAGAAACAGAAGGGCTAAGAATGAATCTACAGAAGGGCAAATGTAAGATGTTATAGAAGGCAGAATTAGACCTATTTTAAAAAACACATGAAATCCTCAGAACAAATATTGGAAAAAGAGATCCTTTAAAAAATTGTTACAAAACTACAAAATAACTAGGCCCAAAATCGACAGAAAATATTATGAACCTAAAGCAAAGTAAAAACTCTGAAACTCTACAGAAAATCATAAAACTTGATGTTTTTTAAATTAAACATTACATATATTGAATACTATAAAGATGTCAGTTCTACTAAAATAACATATAAATCCAGTAATCCTAGTTACAGTAACAACTGGATTGGGATATGTATTAGTTTTCTAGGGCTGCTGTAATCAAGTACCACAAATTGGGTGGTTTAAAACAACAGAGCATCCATCAGGGAGAGAATTGGTCAAATCAGAGCTTTCTAGAAAGGCCATCCCTTAAGAGCAGGTCTATCTCAGCTCTAGAGTAAGGGTTACTCTAGGCCATTGGTTGGCAAACTGTAGCGCATGGGTCAAATGTGGCCTATTGCCCTGTTATCATATAGCCTGTGAACTAAGAATGACTTTTACATTTTAATGAAGAAATATACGTCACAGACCATCTGTGACCCATAAACCCTGGTCCTTTACAGTAAGTTTACCAACCCCTGCTGGAAACCTACCATAAAAAAATCTTAAAAACAAACTCAAAAGCACCAAGTTAATCCACAAATAAATGAACTAACTACCTGCCAGAACAAAATTCAACACTCTCTGAAGGGAACAAAATCTAAAATCCAGATACTCAGCCGTATCACATTTACAATGTCCAGCATACGCTCAAAACTTAATAGATTAATTCACTAGAGAATAAGTTTCAGACAACCAAAATGACCAAAGAGACACTGACAAGAGACATATGGAAAGCTCGCACTGGCCAAACTTAGAACAGTGTACGCATCATAGGGAATAATAATTGCAGGGAGTAAAACATGTCTATGAAGTTCATAATGATCTTTACAAAAACACCATTTGGCCACTTCTAGAGGATGCTCAAAAACCAATGTATTCTCCTGATGACAGATAAAGGGAAATAACAAAGCACAGTAGATAACTAGTACCATCTCTATATCAAATAATCAAACTAATAAATGATGAGGAAATTGTAGAATTAGAATATCATCAGTTTGCAACCTTCAGTGTATTAATGAATCCAGGCATCACACATTAAAAGTTGCTAACATCACAGAGAACACCAGACTTTGGCATGCCTCTTTATGAATGAACAGAATCCCACCTATCATCTTACCAAAGAGAAAGAACTGGAGTCTGATCAGGCCTCTAAATCCTGTTGCTTATTAACAGGAAATATACAGAACACAGGAACATTTTGAACTGCAGCAAAAGTAGGTAATCAGTGAATCCATGCGGGGTCTACAGGTGAAATGCTTCGGCTCTTGAACAGCTAGACTATAAGGAAAAATGACCCATTAAGATAAAAGGAGACAAAAAGACTTTAAAAAAATCCAACAAAACAAAACTAAACTGCAGTGTCTGAAGGATGCACATTTAGTGTTGAAACAATAAAAGAATCTAGCAGCTGAATGCACATGGTTTTTAAACTTGTGGAACATGGACAAAAATTGACCACACATGGGGCAGAAAAGCAAGCTTCAACAAATGTCAAAGGTTTGAAACAGAAAATGTATGGTTTCTGACAACAGTATAATTAAGCTAGGACTATATAACAAAAAGATACTAGAAAACCTATGTTCACAAATTAATATCCTTCTAAGTAACCTATGAATCAAAGAAGAAATAATCAATATCAGAAAATAATTTGAACAGAATGATATTAAAACTAACAGGATACAAGTCAAGCTGTGTTTAGAGGGAATTTATAGCCCTGAGAGCATTTATTAGAGAAGTAAAGTTGAAAATTAATGACCTAAGCATTCATCTCAAGAATTTAGAAAAAGAACTGCAAATTAAATCTTCAGAAAACAGAAAAAAAAGGAATAATAAAGACAGAAAGCAATGAAATAAAATTTCAAAATACAATAAAAAGGGAAAAACAATTCATTGATAATTAATAAAATTGGCAAATCTGAGGTAAGATTGATGAAGAAAGCAAACTGCAGGCATAGATAACTACTATCAGAAATGGAAAGGAGGTATCACTTCTCCTACAGGCATTAGAAAGCTAATAAGAGGATATTATCAACAAATTTATAGGAATACATTTGAAAATTTAGATAAAATGGAGGATTGCTTAGAAAAATACAACCCACCAAAACTGACACAAGAAGAAGAAATACTAAATTTGAATATATTGTAACTATTAAAGAAACTGAATCATAATTCAGCACCTTCCATGAAATAAAATCCCACAGCCAGATGACTTCAACAGTGAATGAATTCTAATGACCATTTAAGGAAGAGATACTACCAGTCTTACATGAACTCTTCCAGAAAATAGAAAAAGAACTATTCACTGTGTTTTCTAAAGGCAGCATAATCTTAGTACCAACCTCTGATAGACCTTTCATGAAGGAAAATGATATGAACCATCTGTCTCATGAACATAAATGCAAAGATCCTAAACAAAACTTTAACAAACGTGACTTGAAAGTGAAAAAAAGAAAAAAGAAGAGTAATGTCCATGGAAATAAACTAGAAGTACATAAAAATGATAACACACCATGACCACATAAGGTTGGATCCAGGAAGCTTGGTCTATCCATAACAGGTTGAAGAAATATTTTATGATTATGTGACAGATGAAGAAAATTACAGAACTGTGTTCAACAAGTATTCATGTTAAAAAACTCTTAGCATACTTGGTTTAGGAGTTTTGGCTACAGCTTACTGGTGTTTAACAAACTCCTTCGGCCTCAGCAGCTGAAAACCACTTTCCTATGGTCATGAGGTCTGTGGGTCAGGAATTCTCCAGGCACAGTGGAGATGGCTTGTGTCTGCTCCATGATGTCTGGGCCTCTGCTGGAAAGACGCAGTGGTGGAGATGACCTGCTGGCTCTTCAGCGTCACCTTTTACCTACCACTCAGCCCCAGGTCACGTGGCTGCAGCACACTGGCTTCTTGACTGTTCCTTCAACTCACCAGCCAGGCTCCAGCATCACAGACCTTACTTGCTCTTCCTTCTGTCTGGGGCCTTCTTAACTAGACATCCACCTGGCTGGACACTCTTCTTTCTCAAGTCACTTCTCAGTGGGATTTCTCTGGCCTCCCTATGAAAAATCAAAATCCCCATCCTGTGCCCACTGACCCTCTCTGGCCCCCTTTCTGCCTGTAATTATCACTTTATAATATATAATATAGTTAACTTATTTAACTATACTTTTATTCTATGTCTTCCCTCATGAGGATGTAAGCTTCATGAGGCAGGTATATTTTGTCTAATTTTATTCATTGCTGTATCCCCAGAGCCTAGTATATAATAAAGCACACAAACATTAGCTGTTGATTAAATGGATGGGTAGGTAGGTGGATGAGTAGGTGGGGGATGGATGGATGGATGAACGGATGGGTGGATGGGTAGGTGAATGGATGAGGTGGGTGGGTGGGTAGATGGATGGGTGGGTGGATGAATGGATGGATGGATGGCTAGGTGGGTGGGTGGATGGATGCGTGGATGGATGTATGGGTGAATGGGTAGATAGATGGATAGATGAATGGGTAGGTGGGTGGACAGATGGATGGATAAATGAATGGATGAGTGGGTGAGTGGATAAATGGATGAATGGGTAGGTGAGTAAATGGATGGATAATGGATGGATGGATGGATGGATGGGTAGGTAGGTGGGTGGGTGGGTGTACAGATGGATAAGTGGATGGAGAAATGGATGGATGGATGGACGGACGGATGAATGGGTAGACAGATGAATCGGTAGGTGGGTAGATGGATGGATGGATGGATGCATGATGGATGGATGGGTGGGAGGGTGGGTAAATGCATGGATGGATGGATGGATAGATAGATGGATAAATGGATGGATGGATGGATGGATGGATGGATGGATGAGTGGATGGGATGGATGGATGTGAGGCATGGCATCACCAATGGTAGATAATCACTGGGTTAAAATGGAATATATGTTGCTATTAGGAAGAATGAATTAAAACTCTATGTGTTGTTATGAACAATTACCAAGATTTATTATGAGAAGGAAGCGAGGTACAGAACATAGTCTTTTTTTTCTTTTGAGATGGAGTCTCGCTCTGTCAGCCAGGCCGGAGTGCAGTGGTGCGATCTCGGCTTACTGCAACCTCCACCTCCCGGGTTCACACCATTCTCCTGCCTCAGCCTCCCGAGTAGCTGGGACTACAGGCACCTGCCACCATGCCCGGCTAATTTTTTGTACTTTTAGTAGAGACGGGGTTTCACCATGTTAGCCAGACAGTCTCGATCTCTTGACCTCGTGATCCGCCTGCCTGGGCCTCCCAAAGTGCTGGGATTACAGGCATGAGCCACTGTGCCCGAACAGAACATAGTCTTAATATGCTCCTTTTATTTCCATTTAAAAAATAATTTCTATACAGGTAAATATGTGTGGATATGCATCATCAGTGTTTTCTGAAAGAAGTAAAAAATACTATTCATAATGGAAGTTCTAGGGAGAAGGACTGAAATACAGGTGGGAAGGATGCCTTACTTTTCCATTTAGCACTTTTCTGCAAAGTTTGAATTTTCTAACCATGCTACTCATATTTTTATTTTAAAATATCAACAGGAGTTTTTTGACAGTATGATCATGGACTATTTAAAACAGTTTTTCTTTACAATTCTTGCTACCTAAAATAATACTTGTTATAAAATAAAAAATAAGGGTAATTTTATTTAACAGAATCGAGAAAAGCAATGCTAGTTTTTAAGGACTTCCTTGAATCACTGAGAGGTCTTCTTTTGTCACATAAGGATTAGATAATGTTCAATATTTTCTATCTGCTAAGGCAGAAGTACTTTTACTTATGCATGTCCTTAGAGTTTTCAGTAACAAAAATTTCAGATAATCAGAGCACTTTGTTCTCTACACCGTCTGCTTTTCTGTGATTTTACGGTAATAGGCAGTATAACAGAGTTGACAGAAAAACACTTAGTAAATAAATATGGTTTAAAACTTTTTATACTAAGTTTTATGTCTGATTCTGTGTCTCCAGATACTACCTTTGACTAAGTAGAGGCATGGTTGTACGTTCAATGATGGCTCCCTGGGAATGACCCAATGGAAGTAGCATTTTGGAAACCCTGGTTCTGTAATCTGAACGTTGTGGCCCATGAGATTAACATATAGAAACCTAATTCCCAGTGTGATAGTATTAAGAGGTGAGGTCTTTGGAAAGTGATTAAATCATGAGGGCGTAACCTTAATGAATGGAATTAGTGTCCTTATAAAAGAGGCTCCAGAGAACTTCCCAGCCCCTTCCACCATGTGAGGACACAGCGAGGAGGTACCATCTATGAAGCAGAAGGTGAGCCCTTGCCAGACACCAAATCTGCTTGTGCCTTCATGTTGGACTTCTAACCCTCCTGAACTGTGAGCAATAAATGTCTATGGTTTGTAAGATACCCAGCCTATGGTATTTTGTTATAGCAGCCTGAACAAACTAAGACACCCGGGGTCTTTGTTTGTTAACTATGCATATTGAAGCTCTAAACCCATGCCCATTTCCCTGTTTTTTTCATTTTTGATGTTTGCTCAGTTTGTGGCCCATTTTCACTCTTCATCTTCATATTGCAAATATCTGATATGACAGTCGAGTGGAAGCTTCTCTTCCAATAAGACCATGTAACAAAAATGGAAAACCAAAACTATTCTGAAAAAAGCCATTTAAAAAATGCATACCAAGATTTTAAAAAAATTCCTGTTAAATTTATCATGAGTCCAAGCTGTTCATTCAACTTATCGTCTTGGTATTTGATACAAAAAATCCCCATTCACTGACTTTTTAAAAAGTAGAATGATGCTGGTGAGTTAAGGAGGTATAGAGTCCCATGTTTTAAAGGAAGATGCAGCTCACTCACACTGCAGCAATATCCTTTGCCGGCTGAAGCAAAATAAAAATCAGTTCTACTGAAAGTTGATAAAGTTTAAGTCCATTAACAGCGAGAGTACTTTATATTAGATTTGCAAATGAATGAGAAATTAATGGAGAAAAGAGCTCTCACAATAGCTTCAAAATGGGCATATTTATAACCCTATTCTGCTTGCCAAAAATAATTACATCCCATTTTTTTCTGCCAACCATTTAAACTCATTTCATAGAAAACGGAAAAAGAGGGTTGGTGCAAATGGGATGTTTCCCGCAAGAAAGAAGAACGGTTTTGGAACCCTTGAGCAATTTGCAAGGCGTGTCAATTTTGGAACGCTCTGTCTTGAAATATTCGCTTTTTTTATGTTTATTTGTTTACCTATTGTTTATTCTCCAAATCAATTACACAACATTTATTTCCAAATGCCACAATAATGGAAGACTGGCATCACATTTGGAATTGATTCTAATGCTGCACAGCCGCCTGCTGAGGATCCTGATCCGGTTCATGAGCTGAGGCTGATCCCAGCGACCCCAGACCTGACCAACTCTGCATTACCCAGGGAGGAGCAGGCCAGTCTGAGCAGACTCCAAGGGGCCGCTTCTACTCGGAGCCACTTTGCATCCACTCCACCCTAAGCTTCTAAGATACTTCGGAGCCCACATGACACTCCTTCACAGGGGCTGGGTGGCCTGGCCTGCCACTTGAAATATGGGGCTGCTGGCACCTGCTGTATCCTTCTCAGCCCCAGGCATAGCTGCTGAAAAGGTGACAGGAAGAGTCTATTTTCATGTCATCACTTAGTTCATATTTGTTTGCAGCTATTTCAGCCTTTTACATTTGTATTATGCATTCTGAACAAGTTGCTATTTGTTTTCTTAGTTGATGTAGTCAGCTGCACAGAAATGCTTAATGCTTTTCTCAGATGATTCCAACCAAACTGACTTTGATTTCAGACAGATAGCCCATGGCCATGCTGACACATAAAACCAACCATGACACTGGTTTTTTTTTCAGACTTTTATTTTTTTTTTAGGTTTAGGGACACATGTTATAGGGGTACTTTTTTTAGGTTTAGGGGTACACTGTCATAGAGCTAAATGGCATGTTGTTGGGGGTTGTTGTGCAGGTTATTTTGTCAGCCAGGTGATTAAGCACAGTACCCGACAGGTAGTGTTTTGATCCTAACCCCCCTCCCCCACCCTCCACCCTGAAGTAGGCCCCAGTGTCTATTACTCCCTTCTTTGTGTCCATGTGTACCCAATGTTTAGCTCCCATTTATAAGTGAGAACATGTGGTATTTGGTTTTCTGTTCTTGCATTAATTTGCTTAGGATAATGGCCTCCAGTTCCATCTATGTTGCTGCAAAGGACATGATCTCATTCTTTCTTACGGCTGCATAGTATTCCATGGTTTATATGTACCACATTTTCTTTCTTTTTTCTTTATTTTTGAGATGGAGTCTCACTCTGTCACCCAGGCCGGAATGCAGTGGCGTGATCTTGGCTCACTGCAACCTCCACCTCCCAGGTTCAGGCGATTCTCTTGCCTCAGCCTCCCAAGTAGCTGGGACTACAGACAGCTGCCACCATGCCCTGCTAATTTTTGTGTATTTTTAGTAGAGATGGGGTTTCACCATGTTGGCTAGGCTCATCTTGAACCTCTGACCTCGGGTGATCTGCCTGCTTTGGCCTCCCAAAGTGCTGGGATTACAGGTGTGAGCCACCGCACCCGGCTGTATGACATTTTCTTTATCAACACTCCACTGAAAATATTGAACAGATCATCGAGGCAGAAAACTAACAAAGATATTTGGGACCTGAACTTGACACTTGACCAAATGGACCTAACAGACATCTACAGAACTCTCCACCCAAAATTAAGAGAATGTACATTCTTTTCATCTGCACATGGCACATACTCTAAAACTGACCACACAATCAGCCATGAAACAATTCTCAACAAATGCAAAAAAACTGAAATCATAGCCACCACACTATCAGACCACAGTGCAATAAAAATAGAAATTAACACTAAGAAAATCACTCAAAACCATACGACTACGTGGCAAACAACCATGACACTGTTACAGCCATCTTACCTGTTCCCTCCTTCAAGACCTCCCTTGCAGCCTGCTCTCAACTCACCAACCAGAGTGGGCCTTTAAAAAATTAAGCCAGGCAATGACACTCTCTGCTTAACACCTCCCAGTGGCTCCCTACAGCACACAGAGTAAAAGGCAGAGGACTTAGATTGACTTACAAGGCCCTGCAGTTTCCTTCCCTCTCCCTTCCTCTATGATCCCCTCTCTTTCCTCCCCACTGCTCACTTCCCTCTAGCCACAGGGCCTCCTGGTTGCTCTTAGAACTGTTAGTCCCACTCAGGGCCTCCGTACTGACTATTCCCTCTGCCTCAGACATTGCAAGGCAAACTCCTTCACCTCCTCACTCCCTCACTTGGCTCAAGAGTCACATGCTCAATCAGCTCTGCTGTCCCCATCTTATTTACAATGATAGTTTCTGCCCCCATCACTCCCTCAGCCAACTGTACCACATTCTACTTTCTAACAGACGTTACCATTTTTAGTCTATTACTATATGCCTTCATTAGGATGTGAGCTCCATGAGGGCTGAGATCTTGGTCTGATTTGTTCCCTGATCTATCTCAAATCCTCAAAACAGTGTTAATAGTTGAAAAGCACTCAATAAATATTGGTTGAATGAACAAATAAAGGGCTTATCAAATGCAAAGATAAATTTTTCATTTAAATTCTCTGCCAGAGTTTCTGGTTCCAGAAGATGGGCAGAGGACAAGTCATACTGGAGCTTGCACGGCACAATGAGTTCAGAAGACTATTCTGAGTGAGACTGGAAGACAAATGAGAATTTTGAACTGGGGAGTGACATGAGGTGACTTACAGGTTTTTAAAAGTTCATCATGGCTTCTGTGTGGTGCACAGGATTCAAAGGCAGGAGTAGTGCCAGGGAGAGTATTTCAGCTGCCTTGGTCCAGCAAGAGATTAAAGTGGTTCAGACCAGAGAAGCTGTGCTGGAGGTGATGAGAAGTGGCTGGACCCTGGATATACTACGAAGGCAGAGCTAACAGGTCTTGTTGATGCACTTTGCTGAGAGGGAGAGGAAGAGAGGGAGTGGCGAGAGTCAAGGGTAACTGTTAAAGTTTTGGCCTCAGAAACTGAGTAAATGGCAGTATCCATTACTGGGACAGAACAGAGGGGAGAAGAACAGACTTGGGAGTGGAATCAAGAATTCTGCTTTGGATGTGTTAAAATGGAAATGCCTACCAGACATCCATATGGAGGTGCTGACTGGCCAGTTGGATACATGAGTCTGGAGCCCAAAAAAGAAGCTGAACTAAAGATAGTTTTTAAAGCCATGGGTCTGGTTGAAATCCCATTAGAGAGAGAAGCTGGATAGAGAGGAAGACTCACGGCTTGGTGCTGAAGCACTTCCCCTTTAGGAAGAAAAGCCAGCAAGAGGGGCTAAAGAAGCAGCCAGTGAGGTAGGGAAGGGCTGAGCAGCTCTACCGAACTGGAAGCCACATGGAGCATGTGTTTCAAATGTTGCTGTGGGGTCAGGTGAGAAGAGTCTAATCACTGACTGCGGGATTTGGCCATATGAGGGCCTTGGGGCCCCAGGCAGCGCTGCGATACCCCAGTGGGTTGTTGGTGATCCTTCAGGATGGGAAGCAGTGCCCACTGGGGCAAGTAGGGTGGTACAGGCTGACTGTGGGAGGCGCAGGGCTCAGGGAAACCTGAGCATTCAGCATAGACAGGAACCTGGAGTCAGGATGACAAGGAAAATCTCCTGAATCGGGCACAAGGATCCTTGGGGGGGATGAGGAAGAGGAATTGAGCATGCTGCATTTCCTAAATGTGGGGCATTAGGGTGCAAGGCGGTGCACCTGAATATGAAAGGAAATAGCCATCCTATAATTCCAGAAGCTTGAAGACACCAAGAGAGTTACACTCACAGAGAAGAAAAAGGTTTGCTTTTCTCATGGAAAAGGTTATATGTAACAAGTTTAGGATACCACATGACAATGTCTTAGTTTTAATTAACTTTTATAATTCAGCACATTTTTAAAAGCACATACTTGTATTTCTGATAATGCTATGCCAGGTTTTTACACTTGTTTCATATTTTTTCTCAAGAGGAAGTTATAGTAGTGTATCTAAGATATACTGAAAAATAATTGGTAATTTTTTTTTTTTTTTTTGGAGATAGAGTCTTGCTCTGCCACCCAGGCTGCAGTGCAGTGGTGTGATCACCCAGGCTGGAGTGCAGTGGCGTGATTACCCAGGCTGGAGTGCAGTGGCGCGATCTCAGCTCACTGCAACTTCCGCCTACCTGGTTCAAGTGGTTCTCCAGCCTCAGCCTCCTGAGTAGCTGGGACTACAGGCGCATGCCACCATGCCTGACTAATTTTTTGTACATTTTAGTAGAGACAGGGTTTCGCCATGTTGCCCAGGCTGGTCTCAATCTCCTGAGATCAGGCAATCCACCCTCCTCGGCCTCCCAAAATGCTGGGATTACAGGAGTGAGCCACTGCACCCAGCTGGCAAATATTCTTTTTTATTTTCAAGTTCATTTGCCAAGAACTCAATTATTTATAGCGGTATTTCTCTCTAGCTTTCTGTAACTAAATGAGAACATTAATTTCAAATGTATCTCTCTACTAAAATCATACAGGGTGTTCTATCCTTCCTTTTATACAAAAAAAATTGACAATTATCTGACGAAATAGGAAAATTTGAACAGCCATGTTTTAAAAGCTGATCATGTCATGCTTCAGCTAACATAAAAAAAAAAACCTGAAGTCAAAATAAACGTTTAAATAACCTGAACATGCTGATAATTGACATTGCTTTCTATCATAATCATCACTTTAACACTGAAAGATGAAGAACTTGCTAGTGGTTTAAGGTAGATCAGGCATTGGATACAGATCCTTCCCATTGGTGTTTACTATCCAACTGCAAGAGATATTGGATGAAATATGAACATAGAAAAACATTTAAAAAGGAGAAATTAGATTTAGAGAAAAAACTAACTTACCTATTGCTATGGACTAAAGTGTGCCCTCTCCATTCATATGTTGAAGCCTTAACCACCAATGTGACTATATTTAGAGATAGGGTCTTTAGTAGGTACTCCAGGCTAACTAAGATCACAAGGGTAGGGTCCTGACCCACAAGGATTGGTGGCCTTAGAAAAGAAGAAAGAGACAGAGACCTCTCTCTCTCTACCTGCACACACATGGAGAAAAGGCTATGTAAAGACACAGTGGGAAGGCGGCCGTCTGCAAGATAGGAAGCAAGTCCTCACGAGAACCAGACCATGCTGCCACTTTAATCTTGGACTTTCCAGCCTCCAGAACTGAGAAAAACTAAATTTTTGTGTTTAATCCACCCAGTTTACATTATTTTGTTATGACACCCCAAGATGACTAAAATACCTATTAATGAGTTTTTAAAAAATTATTTTAGAAGAGAAACAATATGTTGGGTTGTAATGTCAACAAATAAGTAATAATGTGCTTATATATTTCTATGATTTTTCTGAGAGAGAAAAATTTTAAATTGAGTAAATTTCTCCCCCTAGGATGCCTGTCTACAGATTACTTCTTCCATAAACTCTGACCTCAACAATTACTCCTAACAGGAATTCGAACTGTCTTGATGCTTGACCAGCCTGGCCAACACAGTGAAACCCCGTCTCTACTAAAAATACAAAAATTAGCCGGGTGTGGTGGCTCACGCCTGTAATCTCAGCTACTCAGCAGGCTGAGGCAGGAGAATTGCTTAAGCCAGGGAGGCGGAGGTTGCAGCAAGTGGAGATCATGCCACTGCACTCCAGCCTGGCTGACAGAGACTCTGTCTGAAAAAAAGAAAAAAGGAAAGCGTGGTGACTTGTTTTAGACACTTTCACTACTGATAATGACAGTTCACAGGACCAGGCAAAGCAGAGACTCGGCACAGTGCCACAGGGAGACCCTGTCCTGGGCGCCGAGTGGACCTGCCCCTGAGTCAGCTGCCTCCCCTTACCAGCGGCGCGGCCCTAGCGCTCACTGCATTTCCTCCCACCCCTAGTTTCTTCCTCAGCAACACAGGGATAGGAGCTCCCTTGCAGGTGACTGGAGGCAGTGAATGGTCCACATATATAAAGCAGCTGCAGTGGTACCTTGCACATAACAGGAATTATTTTTAGAATGATGTTGAAGATGTTCAGAATACCCAACCCCAACATATGGAGCTCTGGCATACTGTTTTCAGTTAAAGACCCTTGAAAAACAGCAGAGGCAAGAAGAACATTCTAATCACCCCTTTTCTTCCTGAAAATAGGAGATAAACATTGCCATGTGAAAGATGTCCTCCCTCACCAGGAGAATGAAACATTCTTCGATGGGGAGGAAGAGCCAAGAGACCCTGTGAAATGATTCTTACTCCTTCAGCCTCCCCACACAGTGTACCTGTCCCCAGCTGCCTCTCTTTGTCCATCTTGGTATAAAAGCATTTGTGTTTTGCTACTTCTCTGGGTCTTCATTTCCTTATGAGGGCTCCTGAGTCACATAAAACATATATAAATTGGTGTGCTTTTTCCTATTAATCTGTCTTGTGTCAATTTAATTCACAGGCCCAGCTGAAAACCCTAGGAGATTAGAGGTGAAATTCTGTCTCCCCTATAATTGAATGTATTATAACACAAAAATATACTCAGAAAGAAGTCATTAATTTGAGTATAGTGATAATGATAGCTATCAGAGTAATCCCTTTTAAAATAGTTTCAGTTCCTGTAATACCAAGGCCCACTCACATGTTGTAGTATTGTTACCACTGTCGCAGTAATTAGTTTCCATGACACAAAATCACCTCACTTGCTTTCCCACAGAGGCAGCAATATGCTAAAAGAGCAGACTCTAGACCAGGTCTCCCGGGGTCCAAGTCAAGTGTGTGTTGATGACCTTCCCTGAACCCTGGCTTTCTTCTCTATAGAAAGTGCTCAGTGAGCCAAGCACGGTGGCTCACGCATGTAATTCCAGCACTTTGGGAGGACAAGGCAGGTGGATCACTTGAGGTCAGGAGTTTGAGACCAGCATGGCCAGCACGGCCGACATGGCAAAACCCCGTCTCTACTAAAAATACAAAAAATTAGTCGTGTGTGGTGCTGGGCATCTGTAATCTCAGCTACTTGGGAGGCTGATGCAGGAGAATTACTCGAACCCGGGAGGCAGAGGTTGCAGTGAGCTGAGATCATGCCACTGCACTCCAGCCTGGGAGACAGAGTAAGACTCTGTCTCAAAAAAAAAAAAAAAGTGCTCAGTGGTAATGCCTATCCCATAGGACGACTGTGAGATTTTGAACAATAACATATGTCACGCCTGTGCTTGAAGTCTGGCATGCATGGCCCTCAGGAAATGTGTACACTGACCTGGGCATAGGACTGAGACTGTCAGAGGGAAACACGGGGCCTGGGAGTAGACCCTGCATGCTCCGAGGGTCTGCTTCCATGTGACGTGGACTGAAGGTCCCTCTCCTGATTCTTCATGAGATGAGCCAGACAAACATCTTATGAGTGTCACCAGCAGCAATCAAGACAGGAAGAAAGGGGCATCATGTCCTGTCATGAACTAGAAAGGGGGGGCAGGACAGAAATAAGTGGAGAAAAGGAGATCCTGAAGGTTCCATGTCCTCCCCAGCCCTCACCTATGTGAGCACAGGTGAGCAGACAGAAGCTGAGAATTCGCACTAATACCTTCAAGTCTGGGATGATGGGGTCTGAGTTGGGTGCAGGTAGTTCTAGGACAATTTTTTAAAATCTCTTTAAAACAGAAGCTCCTACGCAGCAACTCAGGAGCTCAACCAAGAAAGAAAGGGCCAGGGCTGAGGGACGGATGACGCTCACTGGAGCAGAACTGCCCTGGCTCGGTCAAGGGGACATCTCTAGGGAGGTCCTCAGAGGGAAGAGCAAGAACCCAAGACCTAGCAAGGATGTGCTCAGCCCCTGGGGGATCTCCCCACCCTGTCCTAAGTTAGACAGTCAAGGCCAAAGGCAACATCCATGTCTGAAATGGAGCCTCTGACAGGAGAAGAGAAACTGGCCCTGGTGGGTCTGAAGGCTGTCGGGGCAGGGAAGAATTGTCCGGGCCAAGCCCAGGAGCACAAGGAGAGTGGGTACATCAAGGTGCATGGAAGCACACCACAGCTTATTTGGCAAACAGAAGGTCAGCAGAAAACAGAGCTTGAAAATGGGGAAAGACACATCAACCCAGACGCCAAAGCTCCCCACAAGAACTTCATGGAACCTAATACACACATAAACTTAACAAAGGAAGGACTCAAAGTGAGAAAAACAAGACTATGATGAAAAGAAAGCTAGAGACAGAACTAAGGAAACCAATTACAGCGTGAGAATTAAAACCCCATCACTGCAAATCTAGTAAATAATTTAGAAACAGCAAGGAACAGAGTAGACATGAGTGAAAATTCAAGATAATGGCATGGGGGAAGGTGTGAGATCTCCACAGTAATTTTGTAGAAGAAGGAAGAGACAAATTACAATGAAGAGGACCCGTAAGGAGATTGGGAATTTTTTTTTTTAACTCTAGAAACAAATGTGCTTTGTAATGAGAGACCTGTAATCTAAAATTTAGTATTCTCTCTTCAGTTTCATTTCAATTCTCCTGTTAATTTCAAACAAAGACAATTTTTTAAAACATACACATTATTCTTCCATAGCTTGTGTCTTGTATCATTATATGATCGATAGATTTCTGAATTTATGACCACATAACAGTCTGATCGTTTCTGGATGGTATACTTCTGGGTAATTCATTGCCTTTGCTGTTGTACTTTTCTGTATTTGCTTAAATAATTTATGAGAGACATGCATTGTTTTTTATTTTTAAAAGTATAATCTTGGCCAGATATGGTGGCTCACACGGGTAATCCCAACATTTTGGGAGGGCGAGGTGGGCGGATCACTTGAGATCAGGAGTTCCAGCCCAGCCTGGCCAACATGGCGAAACCCTGTCTCTACTAAAAATACAAAAATTAGCAGGGTGTGGTGGTGCACATCTGTAATCCCAGCTACTCAGGAGGCTGAGGCAGGAGAGTCGCTACAACCTGGGTGGTAGAGGTTGCAGTGAGCTGAGATCGTGCCACTGCACTCCAGCCTGGGTGACCGAGTGAGACTCCATCCCCCCCAAAAAAAAAAGTATGATCTTTAAAGGGAAGAAAATCCACTCAACATTCTTTCAATAAGTAGATATTACACACTATATTGTAGGCACTGGGATTATGAGCTAGGCCAAGACCTTGCCCAGCTTCCAGATAAAGTCATGGAGGTTATAGATTCAGGAAGACAAACATTACTCCAAATACAGTTCATTCCAGAAATGCAAGAGTGATTCAGCATTAGCATATAGTCCATCCTGTTAACAGAGCTAAAGAGAAAAATTATATGATCATCTCTACAGATGCACCAAAGGTATGTGAAAAAATCAGCATTCATTCCTATGAGAAACAACAAAACAGAAACTGAGGGATAGGATAAAGTCATGCCTAACAAGATAGAAAATACATATTTATGCAACACATACCTAACCTCAAAAGCCAGCATCTTAATTAACAAAGAAAAACTAACTTTTCCTGCTACAGTCTGGAACAAGACAAGCACTCACTCTTTAACACTGGGTCTGAAGTATTAGCCCATGTACTTAGACAAGAGAAATCAACTGTAGAAATAACATTCATGAAAGAAGAAGTTAAAATTATCTTTATTTGCAGAGCATATGTTTATGTACTCACATGTGGAAAAACAAAAGAATCCCCACAAAACAAGCACCAAAAAAAAAAAGAAAGAAAATCTAATAAGAAAGCTGGTTGTACAATAAATATAGGCATACCTTGTTTTATTGTTCTTCACTTTATCATGCTTCACAGATGTTGAGATTTTTTACGGATTGAAGGTTTGTGGCAGCCCTATATTGAGTAAGTCTATGAGCAACATTTTTCCAACATCATGTGCTTACTTTGTCTCTGAGTCATATTTTGGTAATTCTCAGTACATTTCAAACTTTTTCATTATTACTATATCTGATATAGTGGCCTGTGATCAGTGACCCTTGAAGATACTATTATAATTGTTTTGGGGCTCCATGAACTGTGCCCATATAAGGCAGTGAACTTAACTGAGAAATGCATGTGTTCTGATTGCTTCATAGGCTGGCCGTTCCCCTGCCTATCTGTTCCCTGAGACACAACAATATTGAAATTAAGCCAATTAATAACTCTACAATGGTCTCTAAGTGTTCAAGTGAAAGGAAGGGTCACACGTTTCTCATTTTAAATCCAAAGCTAGAAGTGATTAAGCTTAGTGAGGAAGGCATGTTAAAAGACAAGACCAGCCAAAAGCTAGGCCTCTTGCACCAGTTAGCAAGTTGTGAATGCAAAGGAAAAGTTCTCGAAGGAAATTAAAAGTGCTACTCCAGTGAACACACGAATGATCAAGAAAACAGCCTTATCGCTGATTTGGAGAAACTATGAGTGGTCTAATAGAAGATCAAACCAGACACAACATTCCCTTAAGCCAAAATCTGATCCACAGCAAGGCCCGAACTCTCTTCAGTTCAATTCAATGAGGATGAGAGAGGTGAGGAAGCTGCAGATGAGAATTTGAAGCTAACAGAGGTTGGTTCCTGAAGTTTAAGAAGCTGAGGCAGCAAATGCTGATAACCTGCAAGTCCAGAATATCCAGCTAAGATAACTGATGAAGGTGGATACATGAAACAACAGATTTTCAGTGTAGACAAAACAGCCTTATACTGGAAGAAGATGCCATCTAGGACTTTCATAGCTAAAGAGGGAAAGATGACGCCTGGCTTCAAAGCTTCAAAGGACAGACTGACTCTCTTGCTAGGAGCTAATGCAGCTGGTCACTTAAAGTTGAAGCCAATACTCAACCATTCTGAAAGTCCCATGGCCCTTAAGAATTATGCTAAATCTATTTCACCTGTGCACTAGAAATAGCCCAACAAAGCCTGGATGACAACATATCTGTTTAAAGCATGGTTTACTTAATATTTCAAGCCCACTATTGAGACCTAACGCTCAGAAAAAAAATATGCCTTTCAAAGTATTACTGTTTATTGACAATACACCTAAGAGCCCTGATGGAGATGTACAAGAAGGTTAATGTCATTTTTCTGCCAGCCAATACATCTACTCTGCAGCCCACGGGTCAGGGAGTAACTCACTTTCAAGTCTTATTATTTAAGAAATGCATTTCACAAAGCTAGAGATGCCATACATAGTGATCCTGTAATAAATCTGGGTGGAGTAAATTGACAACCTTCTGGAAAGGATTCACCATTCTAGGTGCCATTAAGAACATTTGTGATTCATGGGAGGAGGTCAAAATAGCTACATTAACAGGAGTTTGGAAGAAGTTGATTCCAATCCTCACAGGTGACCTTGAGGTTTTCAAAATTTCCGTGGAGGAAGTAATCACAGATGTGGTAGGAACAGCAGGAGAATTAGAATTAGAAGTGGAGCCTAAAGATGTGGCTAAATTGTTGCAATCTCATGAGAAAACTTTAATGGACAAGCAGCTGCTTCTTATGGATGAGCAAAGAAAGTTGTTTCTTGAGATGGAATCTACTCTTGGTGAAGATACTGCAGACATTATTGAAATGACAACAAAGGGTTTAGAATATGATATAAACTTAGTTGATAAAGCAGCAGCAGGGTTAGAGGACTGACTCAAATTTTGAAAAAAGCTCTACTGTGGGTAAAATGCTATCAAACAGCATTGCATGCTACGGACAAATCTTTTGTAAAAGGAAGAGCCAATCAATGCAGCAAACTTCATCACTGTCTTACTTTCAGAAACTGCCACAGCCACCCCAACCTTCAGCAACCACCACCAATTAGTCAGCAGCCATCAGCATCTAGGCAAGACCCTCCACCAGCAAACAGATGACAACTTGCTGAAGGCTCAGATGACTGTTAGCATTTTTGAGCAATAAAGTATTTTTAATCAAGGTATATGTATAATTTTTTTAGACATATGCTGTGGCACACTTAATAGGCAACAGTATAATGTAATCATAGTTTTATATGTACTGGGAAACTAAAAAATTGGTGACTTGCTTTATTGTGATATTCGCTTTATTGCACTGGTCTGGAACTAAACCTGCAATATCTCTGAGTTATGTCTGTATACAAAAATCAATAATGTTTATCCATAACATAGATAAACAGTTAGAAAATGTAATAGAAGGCCAGGTGCAGTGGCTAATGTCTGTAATCCCAGCACTTTGGGAGGCCGAGGCGGGTGGATCGCTTGAGCTCAGGAGTTTGAGACGATCCTGGGCAACATGGTGAAACCCCGCCTCTACCAAAAATACAAAAATTAGCCAGGTGTGGTGGTGCACACCTGTAGTCCCAGCTACTTGGGAGGCTGAGGCAGGAGAATTGTTTGAGCCTGGCAGGCGGAGGTTGCAGTGAGCCGAGATCGTGCCACTGCACTCCAGCCTGGTGACAGAGCGAGACTTTGTCTCAAAAAAGAAAGAAAATGGTGACATGCTTGTGAAAGTAAAGAGTATTTTGAATAAATGGAAAGAAATATATTCTTGGATAAGAAGATACAACAGCAAAGAGATGTTAATTCTCCTAAAGTTAATCTATAAATTTAATGCCATATTGATTAAAAAAAATCATCATTGTCTCCTAGAAGCTAGGCAAACTGATTATATAGTTCTTGGAAGAACAACTAAGCAAGAATCACAAAGGAAACTCCATAAAAGATCAATAAGGAAGGCTAGCCCTTCCAGATATTAAAATGTATTTAAAGCCCCCTTCTTGGCCGATGAATTGACAGACCAATAAAATAAAACGGAAATATCCAGAAACAAACACATTTGTCTATGGTAATTTAGTATATGACAAAGGGGTCATTTAAAATAATTGAGGGAAACATACACTTTTCATAAGTAGTACTGATAAATCCAGATGGGATGGCCATATGGAAAAAGAAAAATACACATCTGTTTCTCACCAGTTATATCAGAACTGATTCCAAATAGATTAGAAACTTAAATGGAGACAGAGAGACCCCACTTTAAGTATTAGAAAAAAACATGGAATTCCTCTCTAACCGGAAAGTTGAGAAATATTTCCTATAACTCACAGTCCAAAGTAATAAGGGAAAAACTGATGAACTTAACTACATAAAATACAAATCTTTACATATGAATACTACCAGAAGCAAATAAAAAAGACAAATGAAAGACAAATGATAAACCGCATTATGCAGTAAACAGGAATAAGAAATGTCTTTATACACTGCTACAGACTGACCCCACGCGATATCACTAAGTTATAAAACCAAAGGCTGGAACAATGTGCAAGGTAGGCACACGTACATGCAGTATGTGTACAGCACATGTGCTTGCTTATAATTTAGAAATGAAAGGACAAAGCGAAAATCTACGAGTAGTTACTATAGGGCCGGGGGGTGGGGAGACAAGGAATACAAACAGGACAGAAATGATAACTAGAATTTTCAGGGGAAAACACTTTACTGCATAGATTTGACTTTGTAACAGTAAATGTCTTATATAATTATGAAACAAAATTAAATCAAAAATTAATTAAAATCCCTAAAATCAAAAGCAAAATGAAATAAGTGAACCAGTAAAACGAGCAGGTGCCTTAACCACAGAGAGCGGTTTAAACTGACTGTAACATATCACCATTTAATTGTATATCTCAAGTGGTTTATTTCCTGAAGGATAATCAAGAGACATGGGAGCTCTGGTGGCCTCTGCTCACTGGGGCCAGCAAGGGAAAATAAAGAAGAGAGACAGAGAGACTTAAGAGACCTAACAACCCAATGCAAAAAGAGAGAAACAGGCACACAGAAATTTGAACATGAGGTATTTGATGATAAACCAAATTATTGGTATCTATTAGTTGTGATCATGGCATTGTGACTATATCATTTTAAAAATAAAAAATAAGGGCCACCTTCTCTTTTAGAGGTAGGCATGTATGTATTTTGACACAAAATAATGTGATGTCTCAGGCTTGCTTTCTTCATCCAAGGGAGAAGTGGTGGGGTACTGATGACGCAAGACTGTCCAGGAGTGGCTGGCAGCTATAGCTGAGTAATGGATGCATAGGGTTCAATATGTCATTCTCTTTACTTGTGTATATAGTTGAGATATCCACAATGTAAATGTCGAAAAATATGAAAATATGGGTTCAGATAATAACTCTGCTACTTAGTCACACAGCCAGTTTGTAAAAATTTCCTATGTTTTGGGAACCTGAATTCCTTCCTTTTAAAAAGAAGACACATAAACCTAAGTTACAAGACAAATTAGTATATGATAAAGAGGTCACTTAAAATCACTGGGGGAAACAAATATTACAAATTTGTTTTATTACATATTACAAAGCCTGTCATATAGCAGAACTAAACAAAGGCCAGTTATTTTTTATTTTGGTATGAATTTAACTATGCCAAATTACTAAAAATATTTTCCTAAACATCACATCAAAGTAAGATTTCACATGGAGTTTTAAAGAGGAAATAAAGAATGAAGCCTTTTGGTTTTATAATTACACAAAATAGCAATACTAGAATAGAACTAAATTTATGCCCAAATGTATTCCTCAATTAGTGCCCAATTCAAATACCAGATATAATGATGTTATTCTGAGTAACACCCATAAAACTACATATAACTATTACCATAAATAACATTTAATTTGTGGGACCGCAGTTGCTAAGCCTGCTGTACCTAAAACTTTGCTGACATATTCTGCCTACTGTTTCATAAAAAACACACAGTAATCAGATTAGGTCAATTAGAAAGCTACAGGCAAAACATTGTTCCCTTTCAAATGTCCTGGTAAATAGAATAATTTTAAAATGAAGAAATATTTGAATCAAAATAGTCAGGAACAGACCTCAAAGCATTAAAGAACTAGATCTTTATACTCTCGAGAGTTGCATTCAAAGACTCAATCAAATTCAAGTTCATCACATATGCAAAACGGAACACGAATCTCCCATTAAAATTATCATAACTGCTGGCTTATTAAAATGCTTGAGTGCATTAGACATAGCATAGAAAAATTCAATATAATATCACTCCAATAATGTTTCTATATTAATCTAGAAAACATGGGGAATGGCCCTAAAGCAAAAAGTGCTGCTACAGGCTCATGCAGAATTGAACTTATGGCTGTTGAGGCCAACCCACCTCAAAGAGGCAAAAACTGTCACAGCAGCAAGATCCAGAGGCCTTCATCCGACCCGGGTGGGATGAAGAGAAGAATTCTCAGCACTGACCCACAGAAGGAGGCGGGAGGCTGTGGTGAGATGAACAGACTAGCGCCCACTCTGGCTAGCTCTCAAGGTGAGATGAGGGTGTGGCTTTTGCACGGTGGCAATGTCGATGATTTTGAAACCTCATGACAGTGTTTCTGAATGTCCACCGAAACATGGCTCTCACAGGCAACAAAACACTCCTGATTAGAGGTGTAAATTTTCCGCGTTTCCAGAGAGCTCTTCATATGTTGATGGAAAATTCCCAGCAACAAACTTGAAGGAGTAATTGCAGGCAGGCCGTGTTTTATTGCACTTCGTTGCATTGCACTGCACAGATACTGCGTTGTTGATAAATTGAAGGTTTGTGGCAACCCTGCAAGGAGCAAGTCTATCAGCATCATTTTTCTCACAGCGTGTGCTCACTTCATGTCTCTCTGTCGGTATATTTTAGCAATGAAGTATTTTTAAATTAAGGTATGTACACTTTTTTTTTGTTTTTTGTTTTTTGAGACGGAGTTTTGCTCAGTCACCCAGGCTGGAGTGCAGTGGCACGATCTCAGCTCACTGCAAGCTCCGCCTCCTGGGTTCACGCCATTCTCCTGCCTCAGCCTCCCGAGTAGCTGGGACTACAGGCGCCTGCCAGCACACCTGGCTAATTTTTTGTATTTTTAGTAGAGACGGGGTTTCACCGTGTTAGCCAGGATGGTCTCGATCTCCTGACCTCGTGATCCGCCCACCTCGGCCTCCCAAAGTGCTGAGATTAAGGGTGTGAGCCACCACGCCCGGCCAAATTAAGGTATGTACACTTTTTAAAGATACAATGCTACTGCACACCTACTAGACTACAGCTTAGTGTAATCGTAACTTTGATATGCTCTGGGAAACCAAAGGATGTGTGTGACTTGCTTTATTGTGATAACCGTCTTATTGCAATAGTCTGCAACAGAACCCACAAGCTCTCCAAGGTAGGCTTATACATTTTCCTATTGGTTGGCTTAGTGCAAAAGATGAACCCAAACTGGCAAAGATTAGGTAGAAACCAGTTTCTGCAAACTGAATGCTCCCTTTCTCCAGGAACATCTACCATCACATAGCCATTTCCTCTACAAAACTGTTACCAAAGAGAAGCCAATTTGTTTACAGTCATATGTAAAATTAAAAGCAACGATTAACTGTATACCACCTAAAGTACCTACTCTATTCAAAACAAAGCTATGAAAAGTAAGAACATCTCATTTTGCCATCTGCACTGCATACTCAAACCAAGGCAGAGCCCTGAGAGGAAGTGCCAGGGAGACCCTCACAACCGCCATGGGTACTGAAGACACGAGAAATAGTTAATGGCAGGCCACTTCTTACTTCACTTCAGATGAACGGAAATCTGAAGGCTTCCATGTTCTATAAACTCTTGGGTTTTCACATTAGAGACCAGTGGAGAGAAAGAGAAAGTGCAAGCCAGACCCCTGCTTTAAAGCACTGACCATTCTTTTGGAACAAGAAGCTCAGACAGCCCCAGTTTCCTCTGAAGTAGCACAAGTCAATGCAGGCTGAGTGAACAGAGGTCCTGGGTTGTTCAAGTGCCATCTAATTCCCTATTGAAATTCACTGCTGCCATCAGTCCAATGGCAGAGCATCTGTGCCCCTGGACTAGGGAAGCGGAGATGCCCAGATTTCTGACACATAAACCACTGGGTGAGAAATTCATCTGGAATAACAAATTTATCTTTAAAAAGCCAAACAAGGACATCCAGTTTCAGTTCCAACACGTAAAAAGCTTGGAGTTGTCACTCCCATCCTTATGATAAGAAAAAAGCTGAACAAACAGAAACTCAGCAACCTTTCTTGGACCCCTCAGAGAGCTGAGGTTGCAGAACAAACTGCCACTGGGAAATCTGAAGAGATGGGAATGCACAGGGTCCCGGCTGAGATCTGCTCACCTAGAGATGCTGCTGGGCCAGCCCCCAGTTGGAGCCTCCAAACGTTAATTCTGACAAATTGCTGGAGGCTGAGGGTGGACCAGCCTCCAAGTGAGACTGCTGGGGCTGCAGTTTTAGGGGGACACCATACACTTTTGTGTGTTTTGCCTCTGAGAACATCACCAGATTCTCAGGGTTAAGAGCCCTGATGGCTGTAGCAGGGGAGGGAAAGGCTAGTCCTAGTGACAAATGAACAGAACCTTCTCCATAACAAAGGCCTGCTCTCCAACACAGTATTCCATCTGGGGGAAGGCGTTTTCCTGACCCCATGCCCGTGCAGCCTTCCTGTCTCACCTAAGGCAGGAATAAAAGGCTAGAAACGCTTGTTAAGGTGATAGCCCAGAGATACAGGCCCACTAAAAGACTGAAATTTCATCATCAGAGTAAAACACACCACACACACACCTTCCCACCACAGCAACAGGGCTGCAGTATAACTACCACAAATTACAGTTGAAGGAGCTGCTAGACACAAGAAAGCATTCTTAGGGAAATCCAAAGACAAGAAAAGGACAAAAACAAGAGAAATAGGTGAATTTGAACCCTCTGGCACCTACAGCTACAGCAAATATTAAGAGCCTAATAACAGCCATATTAATATAAAACCTCACAGGTAAGGCCTGTTTCCTTTAATTCTTATTATCTGATACACTATATTTGGTTTTCAGCAAAAAATTAGAAGGCATGGTAAAAGGCAAGGAAAAAAGTCTGAGGAGACAGAGCAAGCAACAGAACCAGACTGAGACACAGCAGAGAATTTGGAAGGACTAAATGGGGTATTTAAAACCACTGTGGTGAATATGCTAAGGGCTGCAATGGGAAAAATGGACAAATATGCAAGAACAGATGGGTGGTATAAGCAGAGATGGAACGTCTGAGAAAAAATCAAAGAAAATGCTAGAAATCAAAAACACTGTAACAGAAATGAAAATTGCCTTTGATGGGCTCTTAAGTAGACCAGACACAGCTGAGGAAAGAAACAGTGAGCTTGAAGATAGGTCAACACAAATGTCCCAAACTAAAGTGCAAGAAAGAATGAGAAAAAATAAAAATAAAATAACCACCATAAAACACTCAAGAACAGTTGTATAATTTCAGAAAGTGTAATATATGTATAACAGGAATATTAAAAGGCAAAAAGAGAATGGAATAGATGACACATCTAAAGTAATATAAACTGATAAACTTTCCAAATGTAATTTAATAATGATAAATTAAATTACATTTATTTTATTTAATAAAATAAGCTGATAGCTTTCCAAACAGACCCCAAACCAGAGATCAAAGAAGCTTGGAGAACCCAAACAGGATAACTACCAAAAACTCTACGCTGAGGCATCTCATTCAAAGTGCAGAAAGCCAAAGTCCAAGAGAAGATCTAGAAAGAAACCAGAGAAAAAAATAACACCTTACCATAGATGAACAAATATAAGAATTACAGTCGATTTATCATCAAAAGGCAAGCATGAAGAGCGTGGAGTATTTAAAGTGATGAAAGAAGAAATCCCACCAACCTAGACATGTATATCCAGCAAAATTATCCCATAAAAGTGAAAAAGAGGCTGGGCGCGGTGGCTCATGCCTGTAATCCCAGCACTTTGGGAGGCCAAGGCGGGTGGATCACAAGGTCAGGAGTTCGAGACCAGCCTGGCCAAGATGGTGGAATCCCATCTCAACAAACAAACAAAAAAATTAGCTGGGCATGGTGGCGGGCACCTATAATCCCAGGTACTCGGGAGGCTGAGGCAGGAGAATTGCTTGAACCCAGGAGGTGGAGGTTGCAGTGAGCTGAGATGATGCCACTGTACTCCAGCCTGGGTGACAAGAGTGAGACTCTGTCTCAAAAAAAAAAAAAGAAAAAAAAAAGTGAAAAAGAAATAAAGACTTTTTCGGAGAAAGGAAAATGCAGGAAATGTGTCACCAGCAAAGTGACCTGCAAAAAATGTTAAAAGTAGTTCTTTGCAATGAGAACATATGGACACAGGGAGGGGAACAACACACACTGGGGCCTGTTTGGGGGAGTGGGCGGGGAGGGAGAGCATTAGGAAACATCACTAATGAATGCTGGGCTTAATACCTAGGTGATGGATTGATAGGTGCAGCAAACCACTATGGCACACGTTTACCCATGTAACCAACCTGCACATCCTGCACATGTACCCCAGAACTAAAAATTAAAATTTAAATTTAAAAAAAAGGAGTTCTTTGAAGAAAGGAAAATGAAATAGGTCAGAAACTCAGATCTACACAAGGAAAGAAAAGAGCTTTGAAGAAGGAATAAATGAAGGTAAAATAAAGTCTTATTTTTCTTATTTTTTTAAAAATTTGAATATAAACTTATTTTTTAATTGACAAACTTATATATATGTATTATGCACATCATGTTGTTTTGAAATACGCATACATTGTTGAGGGGTTAAACTGAGCTAATTAACACATGCACTGCCTCACATACTTATTTTTTGTGTTAAGAACACTTAAAATATATTCTATTGGCAATTTTCAAGAATACACTACACTGTTATTACCTATAGTCACCACATTGTGCAGTAGATCTCCTGAACTTATCCCTTTTATCTAAGATAAATTTTTTATCCCCTGACCAACATCTCCTCAACCACTCATATATTTTCTTATTCTTAATTGATCTAAAAGATAACTGTTTGCTTAAAGTAATATGAAAGAAAAATAAATCCCGGGACCCTAATTCACTATGGCAAAGGGAAAAATTAAGTTGGAAGCTGAGTCACACAAGAAGCTGCCTTTCCTTTTGTTGCCCAGCAGACAGCTAAAGATAAAAGGCCAGACAGAGGCCAGCTGTCTCCACGAGTGCTGCTCTGTGTTTACTTTATCTTGTGTAAAGTGTCGACTTGCTGAGCACTAGATGAATATATAATCGATTATTTCTATGTCTCCTCCTTTTCACGTGCAACACGTGGATTCAGTGATGTGACCACACCCACCCTCCTTCCCTTCCTGCCCACTTTTCCCCTTTAAATACTGAAGACCTCAAAATCCTCTTGGGAAAAAGTAAGATCACAGATTGTTCCTGTGGTTTTGTGTTCCTTTTTCCCGGATGCATCCTTAACCTTGGTTAAATAAACCTCTAAATTGCTTGAGACCTGTCTCAGATACCTTTCGGTTTACGGTAATAATAGTCAACATCTATTGAGTGATTATAGCATATGGATAAATGCAATGAATGATAGCAATGTCATAAGAAATGGAAGAAGGAAACAGAGAATACTCATTTATAAGGTACCTGTGATACTGTGAAATATTTGGTCTTGACCTCTTTTTTTGGCAAACAATTCCTAAAATCCTTGGAATCCCCAAAGTCCTTTTGCTAATGATGCTAATGTTAACTGACAGCTTCAGGATGGGGTTGCTCACTGGAAAGACAGAGGCAGGATTAGAGGGTTGGGACTTTCAGCCCAATCCCCCAACCCCAGGGAGTGGAGAGGGCCTGAAGGCTAAGTTGATCACCAATAGCCAGTGGTTTAATCAATCATGCCTACACAATGAAGCCTCGATAAAAACCCAAGAGGACCGGGTTCAGAGAGCTTCCTGATAGCTGAACACACGGAGGTTCCTGGAGGGTGGCGTCCTGAAGTGGGCATGGAACCCAAGTACACCTTCCTCCTATCTTACCCTATACATCTCCTCATCGGTGTCCTTTCTAATATCCTTTATAACAAACCAGTAAATGTTAAGTGTTTCCCTGAGTTCTGTGAGCTGCTCCAGCAAATTAATCAAACCCAAAGAGAAGGCTGTGGGAACCCCAAATGAAAGCTGATTGGTCAGAAGTCCTAGAGGCCTGGACTTAGGACTAGTGTTGGGAGAGGGGGCAGCCATGGGTTCCAGGCTCTGCACCAGTGAGGTCTGAGGTTATTTCCAAGTAGAAGATGTTAAAATTAAATTAGAGAATAAGCATCTGGTGGCCACTCCCTGCTGTGTGGGGAAAACCCCCACAATTTAGGTCACAGAAGGTTCTGTGTTGATTATCGTTGTGCTGTGAGAGCAGAGGAAAAACACAGTTTGAGAAATTTTTTCCCAAACAGTACCTATTCTAGATATGAACCAGTATTGTGTTATTTGAGAGTGAATATAGAGTAGTTGAAAATGTAGAGTGAAAACTCTAGGGCAACCACTAAAATAATTTGTAAAAGAAGTGTAATTGATATGCTAAAAGAGGAGATAAAATGGATTCATTAAAAATGCTCTATTCAAACCAGAAAGGGCAGGGAAAAAAAGGGAAAGAAGTGAACAACAACAAAAAATGTTACAAACATAGTAGAATTTTTTTTTTTAATACAGGGTCTCATTCTGTGGCCCAGGCTAGAGTGCAGTGGCACGATCATTGTTCACTGCAGCCCCAACCTTCCTGAGCTCAAGTGACCTTCCCATCTTAGCCTCCTGAGTAGCTGAGACTACAGGCACACATCTAGCTATTTTTTTATTTTTATTATTATTATTTTTTAGAGCCTGGTCTTGAACTCTTGGGATCAAGCAATTGGCCTACCTTGGCCTCCCAAAGTGCTAGGATTACAGGCATGAGCCACTGTGCCCAACCATGTAGATATTTTTAACTACATCAATCCAACTGTGCAATAATCACTTTAAAGTAAATAACCTAAATATCCCAATTAAAAGACAGAAACTATCAGAGTAGATAAAATAAAAAGCCAACTATATGTAGTCTACAAAAAATCCACTTTATATATAAAGACTCAGATTAGAAGTGAAGGGATGAAGAAAGTTATAGTGTGCTATGCTAATCAAAAGGAAGTTGGAGTACCAATATTAGTTTCAGAGAAAGCAGACTTTAGGACAAGGGAAATTATCAGAGGTCAATACGAGCATCCATAGTGATATAAAGGTCAGTTTCCAAGAAGACATAACAATCCTTAACATGTATGCACCTAAAAACAGAGCGTCAAAATACATGAGGCAAAAACTGACAGAACTGAAAGGAAAAATGGACAAATGTACTATTATAGTTGAAGACTTCAACATTTTCTTCTTAGTAATTGATACATCATCAACATCTATAGACTACATCCAACAACAGCAGAATACACATTCTTCTCAAGCTCACAGGGAACATTCACCAAGATTGACCACATTCTTGGCCAGAGAACACACCTAGACAAATTTAAAAGAACTGAAATCATACAAAGTATGCTCTTAGACCACAGTAGAATGAAACTAGAAATCACTAACAGAAAAAGATGGAAATTCCCAAATACTTGGAGATTTTAAAACACATTTCTAAATAGCATATGGTTGAAAGAAGTCTCAAGTGAAATGAAAATATACTTTGAACTAAATGAAAATGAAAATACAACTTATCACTATTGTGTATAGCAAAAGCCATACTCAAGGAGAATTTGCAGCACTAAATGCCTATAACAGAAAAGAAGAAACGTTTATAACCAATAATATAAGCGTGTACCTTAGGAAACTAGAGAGAGAAGAGCAATCCAAGCATAAAGCAAACAGAAAAAAGAAAATACTAAAAATTAAGGCAGAAATCTGAATAGAAAATTGAAAAATAATAGAGAAAATTAGACTCAGAAAAAAGGATACACAAATTATTAATATCAGAAATAAATTAAGGGATTACCAATATTAATCCATGGACATTAAAATGATAACAAAGGAACTCTATACCTCTAAATTTGACAAATTAGAAAAAGGACTAATTCCTTGAAACATACAAATGACCAAAACTCATACAAGGAGAACTAGATCGTCTGAACAGGTTTAAAGCTACTAAAGAAACTGAATCAATAATTAACGATATTCCAAAAAAGAAAGCAGCAGGCCCAGGTGATTTCACTGACGAATCCTACTAAACACTGATGGAAAAAATAGTATCAGTTTTCTGCAATTTCTTCTACAAAACAGAAGCAGAGGGAACGCTTCCTAATTTATTCTATGAGGCCAGCATTACCCTAATGCCAAAACCAGATACATAGAGCATAAAAAAGGGAAACTACAGACCAAGATCTCTCATGGACATAAAGTTCTCAACAAAATATTAGCAAGACTAAAAATGTATGAAAAGAATTATATACTTCAACCCAATGGGATTTATTATAAGTATGCAAGACTGGTACAATATTTGAAAATCAGTCAATGCAATATACCACATCAACAGGCTAATGAGGAAAAATCATATCACATCAATTGATGCAGAAAATGCATCTGGCAAAATCTAACACTCATTTATGAAAGAAAATTCTCTACAAACTAAGAACAAAGATGATCTTCCTCAACTTGATAAAAAGTGTTTATAAAAAGCTAACATCACACCTAATAATGAAATACTGCACACTTTCCCCCAAAAAAGAACAAGGCAAGGATATCCTCTCTCACTACTTCTGTTCAACATCATATTAGAAGTCCTAGCTAATGCAATAATACAAGAAAAGGAAATAAAAGATACATAGATTGAAAAGTCAGAAATAAAACTGTCTTTGTTCATAAATGATATGATTGTTCATGTACAAAATCCCAAAGAACTGTCAAGAAACTCTCAAACTAATAAGCTAGCATAGGTCACAGGATACAATATTAATATACAAAAGTCAATTGCTTTCCCATATTCCAGCAATGAAAAATTGGAATTTGAAATTTAAAATGTACCATTAAACACTGCACCAAGAAAACGAAATACTTAGGTATAAATCTGACAAAATATGTATAAGAACTATATGTAGAAAACTAGAAAACTCAAATGAAAGAGTTCAAAGATTACCTAAATAAATATAGAGATATTCCATGTTCATGGACAGAAAGACAATATTGTTAATATGTCAATTCTTCTCAACTAGATCTATAAATCCAATGCAACCCTAATCAAAATCCAAAAACTATTTTGTAGATAAAAGCTGATTCTCAAACTTATATGAAGAGGCCAAAGACCTAGAATAGCCAACAAAATGCTAAAGGAGAAGAAAAAAGAAGTTGAAGCACTCACAATACCCAATTTAAAGATTTACAATAAAAATAGTATAAACAAGTCAACATGGTATTGGCAAAAGAACAGACAAAGAGATCAATTTAATGGAATTGAGAACCCAGAAATAAAGCCCATAAATATAGTTAACTGATCTTTGAAATATCAACAAAGTCATTCAATGGAAAAAAGAGAAGATTTTTCAACAAATGGTGCTGGAAAAATTGGACATCTATATGCAAAAAAAAAGAAACCTAGACATAAAACTTACACCTTACTCAAAAAATTATATCAAAAGGGATCATGCACCTAAATGTAAAATGCAGAACTATAAAAGTTCTTTAAGAAAACACAGAATATCTTGGTGATTTGGGGTTTGGTTCAAAGACACTGTTAAGAGAAGAAAAAGAGAAGTCACAGACTGAAAGAAAATATTTGTAAAACACATATCTGATAAAGAATTTGTATCCAAAATGTATAAAGAAAAGTAAAACTCAACAATAAGAAAACAAAATGTCTAACTTTAAAAGAAGGTGGCTGGGCGCGGTGGCTCAAGCCTGTAATCCCAGCACTTTACTTTGGGAGGCCGAGGTGGGAGGATCACGAGATTAGGAGGTCGAGACTATCCTGGCTAACACAGTGAAACCCCGTCTCTACTAAAAATACAAAAAAATTAGCCAGGTGTGCTAGCGGGCGCCTGTAGTCCCAGCTGCTCAGGAGGCTGAGGCAGGAGAATGGCGTGAACCCGGGAGGTAGAGCTTGCAGTGAGCCGAGATTGCAACACTGCAGTCCAGGCTGTGCGACAGAGCAAGACCCCATCTCAAAAAAAAAAAAAAAAAGAGGGTAAAGATCTGAACAAACATCACCAAAGAAGATACAGGAACAGCAAATAAGCATATGACATAATGTTCAATATCATTTGCCAGTAGGGGACTGCAAATTAAAGCAACAATAAGATACCATTACATACCTATCACAATGGCTAAAATCCAAAAATGGACAGTATTTGTTGTCAGTTGCTGATGAGGATGCAATTGCTAGTGAGGATGCAGACCAACAGGAATTTTTATCCATTGCTTATAGGAATGTAAAACAGCCACTTAGGAAAACAGTTTAAAAGTTTCTTACAAAACGAGACATAGTCTTATTGTATGATCCAGCAATCATATTCCTAGGTATTTACATAACTGATTTGAAAACACCTGCATGTGATTGTTTATAGCAGCTTTATTTTTAATTGCCAAAAACTGTAAACAAGCAAGGTATCTTAAATAGGTGAATGGATAAACAAACTGTGGTACATCTACATAATGAAATGTTATTTGGCCATAAAAATAAATGAAGAATCCAGCCATAAAACAATATGGATGAATCTTAATGCATATTGCTATGTGAAATAAGTGAATCTTAAAAAGTAACATATTGCATAATTCCAATGACATGGCATTCTGGAAAGGGCAAAACGGTAGTAATAGTGAAAAGATCAGTAAGAGTTCAGGGAGAGAGGGAAGGATTAAATAAGTGAAGTCCAGAGAATTTTTCAGGGTGGTGAACTATTTTTATGATATGTAATTGTGGATACATGACTATGCATTTGTCAAAACCCATTGAACTGTACAGGCCAAAGAGCTAATCTGCAGATATGCTAACTTTTAAAAAGTATTTAAAAGGTGGGAGGATCTCAGGATCCTAATTTTGCAAAATGTGACAAAAAACAATCTACGAAACAACCTCACTGAAAGGGGTTGGGGGGAAAAGGTGCTGACTTAAGTAACTCTGAAAATCATGGAGTCTGTAATACTAAAGGCCAAAGAAGCTGTACATCAGTGATGAACTCTAGTTGATAAATTTGTTTCCCAGGTGGGCAGTGGTTAATAGTTCTGATACCACTACTCACGTATTTTGAAACTGACCATTAAGTAAATGGATGGCAGATGGTGAGAACCAGGTTTCTCACTGCTGGAGTGGGAACAGGGGAGGAGGCTGGACTGATCCACGCTGTAAAGGATTGGCATTGAAGACATCACTATGAACTCATGTTTAGCTTAATAGACTATTGATGGTTATATATAGAAATAGTTACAGGTTACAGGTATATACATGTGTTGGTATACACTCATATACAGTCGTCCTCCCTTATATGTGTGGAATACCCTATTCTAATACCCCTGTAGGTGCCTGAAAAAACAGATAATGCTGAACCCTATGTATACTATGTGTTTTCCTATACATACATACCTTTGATAAAATTTATCATTAGGCACAGTAAGAGATTAACAATGATCCCTAATAATAAAATAGAACAACTAGGCTGGGCGCAGTGGCTCACACCTGTAACCCCAGCATTTTGGGAGGCCGAGGCGGGTGGATCACGAGGTCAGGGGATCGAGACCATCCTGGCTAACATGGTGAAACCCCGTCTCTACTAAAAAATACAAAAAATTAGCCGGGCATGGTGGCAGGTGCCTGTAGTCCCAGCTCCTCGGGAGGCTGAGGCAGGAGAATGGTGTGAACCCAGGAGGCGGAGGTTGCAGTGAGCTGCGATCGCACCACTGCACTCCAGCCTGGGTGACAGAGCAAGGCTCCGTCTCAAAAAAAAAAAAAAAAGTATGAATTGTTCATCTCTAAAATTTGCTATTTAATATTTTTGGACCATGATTGACCGCACCTAACTGAAACCACGGAAATGAAAACTGCGAATAAAGAGGAACCAATGTATTTCCTTGTTTTGTCAGCTGAGTGAACCTAGAAGCAAAGGCCTCTCCCCCACCCAGTAATAACAAGCACACCTGGCACTGAGATTTTGGTTTCTAATGCCAACCTCCAACCAAAAGAACCAGAGCTTTCTTGGAGAAATGGCCAATTTGCCCATGGACTAGGGCAGGAAACATACAAAATGAGCCAGGAACCTCTTGTGGTGCCAGAAAGTAAGAACGTGATAAAAATTAATAACCTCACAATGATGGGGGTGTGTCAAAGGAACACAGAAGCCAACTTTTAACAATAAAGTAACATTGGATTATAACTGTGAGTATAAAATAAATATCCATGAGTCCATATTTCTATAAATACATGATTGAACACACAAGTAAATAAATAGTAAAGAAGGGACAAATCTCCCAAGGGAAAAAATTCCAAATACTTTATGTAGATACTCCGCCCTCAGGGAAGAGGAACATGATTCCCCACTCCTTAAGTGGAGGCTGCACATAGTGACTTCCTTCCAAAGAATACAATATAGGAAGGTGGGCAGGTAGAACTTCACAGTAGAGAAAACTGCCAATCACTCCCTCAGTGATCACCTGGCTAGGTGATCAAGTCAACATCAACAGTGATGCCTTACTGATAGTATGTCCCCCTGATGTGATGAGATAAGAACAGTCTTGGCCGAGCGCGGCAGCTCATGCCTATAATCCCAGCACTTTGGGAGGCCAAGGCAGGTGGATCATGAGGTCAGGAGATGGAGATCATCCTGGCCAACATGGTGAAACCCGGCCTCTACTAAAAATACAAAAAAAAAAAAAAAATTCAGCCAGGAGTGGTGGCATGAGCGTGTAGTCCCAGCTACTCAGGAGGCTGAGGCAGGAGAACCGTTTGAACCCGGGAGGCAGAGACTGCAGTGAGCCGAGATCACGCCACTGCACTCCAGCCTGGGCGACAGAGCGAGACTCTGTCTCAAAAAAAATAAATAAATAATGGTCTTTACCTCTCTGGTCTTCTTCCTCCAAATCCAGTCTAATCATGAGAAAAACATCAGAGAAATCCTAATAGAGGGGCACCCTACGTAACACTGACCAGTACTGCTCAACACTGTCGAGGTCATACGAAGTGAGGAAAGTCTATGAAAAAGCCACAACTGTGAGGAGCCTAAGGCAACATGGCGACGAAACGTGATGTGGGGTTGGATGGTATCCTGGGAGAGACAAAAAACATTAGGTAAAAACTAAGGAAATATGAATAACCATGGACTTTACATAATCATAATGTAGCGATATTGGCTCATTCATTTTAACAAATGCACCATAGTAATGTAAGATGTTACAAACAAAGAAACTGGGAATTCTTTACACTATCTTGGCAATTTTTCTGTTCATATAAAACTATTCTAAAGGATGAACTTTATTTAAAAATCCAAATGGCAATCACAACGCATAAATATCACAGCCAACCACACCCCACCCCACAGTAAGTTGCTTTTATAAACCAACAGCTGCTGGTTGCTGCAGAATCCCCAGGGCCAGGCTCAGGGGCTGTGTCCCCACTATACCCAGGGCAAGCCCCTGAGCTGCCACTGCCAGGGATTCAATCCCCCACCCAAATTAATTTACATGTGGTGTGAGTTTTACACTGACGGAATGAGGGCTTAATGTTTGCTTGGTGTAAAACTGATGTATGGAGGAATAATTTTAGAGCATGACTTTTAGAAGGACCAAAGAGGGCAGCTTCTCAATCGGCAGCAGGTGGCACGAGGATCAATAGCTGACGTCTGTGCCGCTGGACAGCAGGCCCGCCGGGAGGAGGGAAAAGCACAATGGACACACATGAAGGACCCAGTGAGGACTGAGTGATGGGCTGGGGACACCTCTCATACTACCCTGTCATGAAGGCCACAGTGCAACACAGGAGATGGGGAGGTCAGGTCAGAACACCTGTCCGGGGCCTCTCGATGGGCACTAGGAATCTGAGACGAGTCCTTGGCACTGATGCTCAAAACATCTTTCATACCTCCAGAAATTGACTCTCCTAATCCAGTTTCGAGCAGGAGGGACTCATCTATCTATGTGCAACTGACAGAATTAGAGGGTTCCCTTGTGACATCTAAACATCCCCATGAACTGAGCATACTGTATGAACACTGGTGCACCGATATTCAGCAATGACAGCATGATCGTTAATCCACCAACCAAAAATGCAAGCTGAGCGGCTGGGAAGACAAGTCACTTGCCCTTGCAGGCTCCGTCTTCTCACCCCAACAATTCTACTTAAGTAAAGAAAATAAAGCACAAAAGCTTTGAAACCACGGCTGATAGTGCAGGCTCCTCAGGGGAAAGGCAGGCACCCGACAGACCAAGAATCTGGTTTCCACACCCATCACACCTGCAGCACTGATTCACCAGTGCAGCTGAGGTGATGGAAGCAGGGAAAGTCTAAGGGGAGGGACACCGAATCATCCCCAAAACCACAACAGAATTTTCTCTGTGAACCTCTCCAACACTGTCAGCCTGATTCTTCTGCCAGGATTAACTGAATATAAACACCTAAAGCATAAATAATCCGTGTCAATAATTTAGGTGTACAGTAAGATAAAGTGCACTGCTCAATAGGCAAAACTACAGACAAAAGAAAATATACTTTAATAAAATTTACACTAGTACCAGCTAAACAAGAGGTCGAAGAAAGTTGTTAAATTTCTCATCGCATCCTCAAAGATATAACAAAGTTAAACAGGAAATTACAAAAAGAAGGTGGTTTTAAAATTCAGCAAAAAAAAAGATGAAATCATCGTGACCCCAGTGTAACTCTATAGCCATAGCTTTACATGTAAACACTGGATTTAAAATGCAAAATCTGTGGTTACTTTAGACCACTGAGACTCAATTATTTATGCTGATTATTTATAGGTAGCTTCTAATGGAAGTTGATTATTGAATATTTTCAAAGAGAAAAAAAAAGGAATAAATTCTCATTTCGCTAAAAAGCTTTGAGTTTTTTTCCTGAAGGGAAGAAAATAGATTAGGTGGTGTCCTGAGTTCCTCTGCAGCCTGGGGTGCTGGCATGAATAAATAACCGTGGTAAGAAGCAAGCATGCTAGCAGCCAAGCCACAGACAATAGTGCCCAATGCATCGCCCATCTTCAGAAACGAAACATGTTGCATAAGACATTTTCCTAAAAACTTCATACTTGGAGCCGGGTGGGGTGGCTCATGCCTGTAATCCCAGCACTTTCGGAGGCCAAGGCGGGCAGATCACCTGAGGTTGGAAGTTCAAGATGAGCCTGACCAACATGGAGAAAACCTGTCTCTAGTAAAAATACAAAATTAGCTGGGTGTGGTGGTGGGCGCCTGTAATCCCAGCTACTCGGGAGGCTGAGGCAGCAGAATCGCTTGAACCCACGGGGCGGAGGTTGCAGTGAGCCGAGATGGCGCCATTGCACTCCAGCCTGGGTAACAAAAGCGAAACTCCATCTCAAAAAAAAAAAAAAAAAAACCCTTTATACTCGGACTTTAAGCATGAGTCTTTCTAAAGTGCATTCTAATTAGAGCACATGGGGCTAGATAGGGGTGACTGGCAGAAACTGGGGAGGTCCGAAAATGCCCCCCTCAGAGAACTGACCTAAGAAAGCAGCTAGAGCCTGAGGAGACCCACTGGAGGTCACATAGAGTGAAGTGACATGAAGAAATGGCTATGGACACAGTCCTGGGAAACCAGGGAGAGGCCAGAGAGGGGTCACAGTCTGTCTTTAGAGCAGAACTAGAATTAACATCAAACGCCACCATAAGCAGAAAATAGAAGCTGATGCCACCTCTGACCTCTGAGCTGAGAAAAGTGAGTCCATACAGGGCTCATGAAGGCCTTAGAAGGGCCTGCAGAGAAGACAGGAGCACTGTGCCCAGGAGGCAGCCTGGCCAGCAGTCCAGAGACATCCAGCACCCCCCGCCCCACTTGACACAGGCGCATCAGGGTGAGCACCTGTGATGAGAATACCCACTCCCTGTGCACACAGTACCTGCATGGCCCTCCTGGGCACCCGGCTTTGGGGGGACACGTGGGCAGCGAGCTACACACAGACCCTATCCCTCCAGCAGGATCCCCCTTCCTCATTTGCATTCCATTTAGTGATAAGATTTTCCCCATAGCCTTATCCATTTTCTCTTACTCCCCAAGGAAAAATAATCAGAATTATTAGTTTTGGTGGTTATCCTATGTTATGGGGTGAATCTGTCCTTCCCCCAAAATTCACAGGAATTCCTAACCTCCAATACCTGAGACTGTGACCTTATTGGAAATAGGTTCACTGCAGATGCTATTGACTAAGATGAGGTCATATGACAGTAGGGGAGGCCCGCGGTCCAATCTGACTGTGTCCTTAGGAAAAGGGGGATTTGAACACCGAGACATGAACACGAGGAGAACGCCATGTGAATAGGAGGCAGAGACGGGGTGATGCATCTACAAGCCAAGGAACGTCACGTCACGGATTACCAGCAAATCACAGGAAGCTAGGAGGGAGACCTGGAACAGATTTTCCCTCAGGGCCTCGAGAAGAAATCCACGCTGCCAACACCTTGATCTCTGCTTTCCAGTCTGCAGAACTGTGAAGGAATAAATTTCTGTTGCTTAAGCCACCTTGTCTATCGTACTTTGTTATGGGAGCCCAAGGATAGGAATCCAGCCTGTAATGTGAACTTCAGTTTTACAGAGATGTTCCAGCAACTTCCCCGGGACATGATAACCCAGAAAACAAGTGAAGAACGTCCCGGGGGATCCTGCTGTTGTCACACTTCAAGGTCCCTGTGCCTGACTCATGGGAACCCCCAGGCCTTCCATCGGAGACTACGCGACTCTTACTAGAAGCTCAGGAAGGTACACAACCCAGGGCAGGCAGAACACTTTATCTCTAATGAGCAGCAAGCAGGGCTTTCAAGGCAGTAAGAATTTCCTAGCTGTTTTCTTCCTCATCGCAATCAATTCTGAAAGGCATGTTTTCATAGTTCGAGGATTCTAAGGGCTACAATGAAAGTCTCTGCTATTAGGTTAAACATTTGAACAACATATTAAATATTCAAATAGAACATTAGGTTGAACTTTGAGCATATTAAAATACTTTAAGGTTAACACTGAAAAGGAACTTTTTGTAGTAAATTAAAGGTGGCTTCTCCTCCTGAAGGAAAGTGGAGTCTAATTCCTAGCCTCTCGCACACCGGCCGGCCTGTGACTTGCGTGATCCAGCGAATGTGACAGAGGTGACACTCTGGGACACGGGAGGCTGAGTTGTAAGAAGCCTCTTGGAGCCTCTTAGAATGCTGGCTCTGGCAGAAGCCAGACACTATGTAGCAAGTATCACTCACGTGGTGAGGAAGCCCAGGTACCCACATGGAGACGCCATCTGAAGACAGAAAGGTGTCTGGCCAGCCCTGGCTGCTCTGTCTATCCCAGCCAGGCATGTGAGTAAAGGAACCTTTTTGGACATTCCATCGCAGCAGAAATGACATGCAGAAGACCCAGGGAACCCAGCCAACAGCGGGAACCAAGATCCCAAACGTATGGCCCCAGCACAGCTGCCCCGGCCATCTCCAGCCATCAGTGAGGGTTCTAGTCACTGGTCTGTCTCTGGGTCATCCTGCTAAATTCCTCACTCACAGAATCATGAAAAGTGGTTGTTTAGTGCCACTATATTTTGGGGTGGTTTATTGTGCAGCCATAGATAACTGGAGCACACTTTTCTGTGAAGTATTTTCTTTCCAGACTCGAACAGTTAGATGGGTTTATCCGGAGGCTACGGTGTAATTGAAATTCCATTAAAGATGCTTTTTAACAAGTAAGCAGGACTAATGTATCTTCCCACTGCAAAGGCCTGCACTATCTTTGCCAAACCACATCATACTCTGTGAAGTCATCCAGTACAACACGTACCCCAAGTTCATACTCTTTAACAGCTCTCTGAATCAAATGGAGACTTAGTCAGGGTGAACAGTGTCACTGCAACGCTTGCAAGCAAAGTAGGATTCAACCCCACAGCAGAGGTCAGAAATGCCAATAAAAATGACCTTCTGGGGTCATTTATGGGTTTCACAGCTCTGATTTCAAGAGGTACCAGATATGCCAAAGAAAATGTGGCCAAAGACCTGGAAATACGGGCTCTTCTGATTCAGTAGGGCCAGGGGTCGCTGCCCCAGCCAGAGGTCAGCCACCTTGGGGTCAGCCACCCTGGCACTGCCCAGCTAAGACAGTCCCCACAGAACCTGAGAGCTGGCTCTCCATTGTGTCTCTCCAGAGAAACAGCCCCAACTTCTGTTGGTTGTCTGTACAGACTTCAAAGGAAAAATATCTTCCTCCTATCTCATGAAAACATTCCTTGCTGGGGCTGGACGCAGTGGCTCACACCTGTAATCCCAGCACTTTGGGAGGCCGAGGCGGGTGGATCACAAGGTCAGGAGATTGAGACCATCCTGGCTAACACGGTGAAACCCCATCTCTACTAAACATACAAAAAAATTAGCCGGGCCTGGTGTCGGGCGCCTGTAGTCCCAGCTACTCAAGAGGCTGAGGCAGGAGAATGGCATGAACCCGGGAGGTGGAGCTTGCAGTGAGCCGAGATCACGCCACTGCAATCCAGCCTGGGCGACAGAGCGAGACTCCGTCTCAAAAAAAAAAAAAAAAAAAAAAATTCCTTGCTGGGACATAAACCCTTTTCCTATCGTCATACTTGTCCAAACTGTGAGTTCACAGCCAATGATACTTGGATGCGTGGCCTCTGCTGGGTAGATAACCTATGCCAAACTGTTTTCAAATAGACAGAAAACCAACATTAATATGGTTTGTTGTTGTTGTTTTGAGACAGAGTCTCACTCTGTCACCCAGGCTGGAGTGCAGTGGCGTGATCACAGCTCACTGCAGCCTTGATCTCCCAGGCTCAAACAACCCTCCCACCTTGCCTCCCAAGCAGCTGGCACTATAGGCACACACCACCACATTCAGCTAAATTTTATTTTTTTAGTAGAGACAAGGTCTCACTATGTTGCCCAGGCTGGCCTGAAACTCATGAGCTCATGTGATCCTCCTGCCTCAGCCTCCCAAACTCCTGGAATTACAGATGTGAGCCACCGCGCCCAGCCTTAGTATGTTTTAAAAGTCAAAAGAAAACAGTTACTAACAGTGACCTGAATCTGCCTACACTTGGAGGCTCACCGTTTTCACGTGCTCACGTATGCCATCTCCTTTAAGCCTCAGGTCAAGTCCATGTCATGCTCATTTCAGCAAAAATGTCAGGCAGCTCTCCCTGGCCCACAGCTGGCTCCTGGTAGGGCAGTCAAAGTCAGATCTACCAGATGCCAGCACCCATGAGAAAAGGATCTGGATGGTGCCAACCTAATACCCCCTCCATCCCCAGCCACCAGCAGCGCCGAGGTCCTTCCGTCCATGCTGTGTGCATGGCTTTTCTCATCCCCTCTCTGACCCCAGCAGCTGGGTGAGCATCTTACAGATCTCCTTCCCAGATCCCGTGCAAAATGGCCAGAATTCTAGGTCTCAGGCTGTTCATTTGTTTGATGTGAAGTTAGACTTAGTTACCTTGGTGTTAGGAGAGAACAGTGTTTAAATTATGTGTGGCAAGGAAAATTAATTTGAGATTATGAATTCCCTGCAGCGTTCAAAGAGTATCATGGAGCTTAAGAGCAAGTTGGCTGGGTCTCAGTTTATTGACCTGGAGGAATGTGGAAATGCTAAGGGAAAGCATGGAGCTGAAGAGTGCTGTGCGGACTGTCAATCCATTTCCATCTGAAATCACACTGGAAAACAGAAAAGCCTACCTGTGGATCTGTGTGGGGGCATGGAGAACAGTGTGGGTGGAGATGCAAAAAGCTCCACCTCAGAGAGCTGGGAGGGAAGCGGAGTCAGGGAGGGCTGCCTGCCTTTTTCTGTAGACATTCCCCTACTGATTGACTGGTGACAGTGAGATTTTATCACGTTTGTAATTTCCAGAAGGGGAAGGCACAATGACTGGTTACAGTGAGATTGTATTACATTTGTAATTTACAGAAAGGGAAACACACAAACTGCAAGAGAAATAGATCCCTAGAGAGCGTGGTCCAAGAAGGCTGTGTCCACATTTCCACATTCCCTGTGGCTGAATGCCCAGACTTTGAGATCAACCCCATCAGGAAGAAAGTTAAAGACAGAGGCTAATCAGAGTTTGGCAATGCTGAGAGCTTCCACGTGCCAGGTCCTGCCTGGGCTCTTTACCTATATTACGTCATTCAGTTTTCACAACTTCCCCATGAGGTGTCATCCATGTTACAGGTGAGAAACTGAGGCACAGAGACAGTAGCAATTTCCCTATGATCCTAAAGTGATCAGAGGTACAGCTGGGATTCCCATCCAGGCATCCCAAAGCCTGAGCTCTCTATGTTGTGACACTTCATAGTTGTGTTGACTTTTATCAAATCATTCAACCTCTTTGAGGGTCATTTTTCTTATCTGTCAAATGAAGGTGACAACAACACCTTCTTTTTGCAAAGATTCCTTTGCAAAAAGGAATCTTACATATCTTTATCATATGTATCTATATCATCATACATGTACGTATATCATCTCGCCCAGTGCCTGCAGACAGGAGACTGCAGAGCTATGTGCCCAACCAACCTCACAGGGAGGGCACTTTTGAGTGTGGGCAAGGTGCCATCAAATCCACTGATAAGGGACAGTTTAGGGAGTGAGGAGTGCATGTCCCACAGCCCCTCTGCATATAAGGAGTGAAGAGGAGGGTGGTGATGAGGTAGGACAAGGGTTGGAATAGGAGATGAGACTAAGAAACCAGGCAGCTCAGGAGGCTGAGGCAGGAGAATCACTTGAACCCGGGAGGCAGAGCTTGCAGTGAGCCAAGATCGCGCCACTGCACTCCAGCCTGGGTAACAGAGCGAGACTCCATCTCAAAAAAAAAAAAAAAAGAAAAGAAAAAAAAGAAACCAGGCAGGCACAGATGGCCACGTGGAGAGGTCAGCCCCTGAGAGGGCTCTGGACCACAGCCTGAACAAAGAGCACGGATGCAGGCAGCTGCCTTGGAGGACACAGAGGATGTCTCTTTGTGTCGCCTCCATAGGGCACTGGTGTCTGGAAGAGCTCCTCGGCCAGCCATCACTTAGATGGCTGGCTGACTGGGTTAACTTTCCACCCACTCCCTCCTCCAACCACCCAGCTTGATGTTCCTTCAATACCTCTTCAACACTCATGAGGAGGGACGGGAGTAAACTGGTTTTCTTTTAATAAAAAATATTATGCCTTTCTTTTTAATTGCAAAGTAAGGTTTTAAAAAATACCATTTCCAAATAAAACGGTTGTGGGAGGCATAGTAAACATTTAAAATTTACATCATACAATGAATTATTGATTCCCAGCAAATAATACTCCCCCCACTCAGTTTCAGATTTTCAGCTGAATGTAGCAGGGCCCGAGAGCCTGTGCCAGGCCCAGTCCTCTACATCAGGGACCAGGGAACACTTGGACGGGGTGGGGTTTTATGTGTCCCTCCACTGCCCTCAAAGGCACTGCCAATCTCAGCAACAGGAAGGTGCTGACTCCTGACTCACCAGCTCTACTGCAAGTCCATCACCTGCAAAACCTCAGTGATTTGGTCCAGTGATGTGCTACTGCCCAGCACTAGTGGAGTTGGCACGAGATAGGGCCCCTGGCAGCTGCCCAGCGGCCCACCCCTCCATTCGGCTTCGATGCCATGGGAGAGGGCTGGGGCCAGTGACAGTCAAGACCCATGGGCCCAGGCCTTCAGAGTGGCTCTTAGCATAAGGGAGAAGGGGGTCAAATAAGGGAGAAACAGCAGGGAAAATTGAAAAGACATTCTAATGGCTAGTGGGGTGGAGATGGAACAGGTAACCAGGTCTTTCTGGGGACAGACAGGCATGATATGAGAGATCCATCCAAGGATCCGTGTTTAACTGGGACAGGTGTGCAGCTTCGGGATGTGGGGATGAACTGTGAAGTGAAGACAGAAAGAAAATTCGTGCGCTGTAACAGGCTCAGTGCTCTCTCTACCATATGTCACCATAATATTTCAATCATTAGATCTGAACTAAATACAGATTTAATTTACCAAATAACGTTTTAATGACAACAGCAGTGGCCCCCAGCAATACTCCAATTTACGTACAACTTCGAGATAAATTACATCGTTTGACTTGCGAGAAAGATGTCTAATTAGGAAGATTTCCAGATATAAAGAACTGTCACTGTAAGGCATGTCATCTCATCACTCTAAAGTCACTCATTAACATATGAAAACATTCCCGTTTAATAAACTGCTTATGTCAAACGAGGTCCTGAAGATGGGACGTGGGTGAAGGTGCTGCCCAGTAGGCGGCTCAACTGATTCATCACCTGATGTTATCGGCCATGGCCATCCCTCCGCCTTCAGATGGAGTCGCCAGATAGATATTTTTGCCATACAAGGTTCTTATTTCATTTTATCGTATTCTGATTTTCTAGCTGGGTATATTTCAGAATTAGTATTTGTGTTAGGATAAGACACTAAGATTCTCTTGAAGCACTGGTGTTTTACACAGTTTATCTTAAAGGCTGCTTCCAAGTTGCTGCAAGATAAAACTGACTTAAGGAGTCTGTCAATTAGATGCAACCATGGTAACCAGAGAAAACTGCAAAATGGCCATAATTCTGCAACTTTGCCCCAAATGAGGACAAAACCACCCTGTATCCAATACAATACATATACTGGGTTTTGTAGTGGCATGAAGAAATGCCTTCTGAAGTTGGCCCAGTTTAGGAGGTATCAGGAACGACATCTCAGTGGGTTTTTGCAGGAAGAATAGGAGTTTGCTGATAAATTTCATGCTTCCTCTGTAGACAATGGGGAAGCATCAGAGGGGACGTAGCAGGGTGTTGAAGTGACAAGTTCTACAGCAGGGAGGGTGGATTTGGAGCAGGGCAGGGATGAACAGAGGGCCAGTGCAGGGGAGGGGACCACTCAGAAGAATGCTACATTCCTTTCAGACCAAATGTGTTTGCAGCCTCACTGGGAATGCTGGGTTAGACCCTACACCAAAAACTACCTGGAACAAGAGCTGTTCTAATAATGCTAAGCATATGTGAAACTGTGATGATTCTAATATTGGAACTTTTTATTTTAACAGAAAACCAATTATCGTAGGAAGCTTCTACCATCTCTCATCCAACAGTGTTAGCATGACTGTTACTAATACATTGAAAAAATAAAAATAGATAATGGAGATCTGGCAAGGTGGCCGAGGAAATCACATGTATGAGAGATGGGTGGATGAAAAAGTCCCAAACCCCTTCAAGAAGCATCCGTGCCATTTCAAGCTTTCCAGAACTTCAGAGTCATGGACTGTCTACTCCTGTTTCTCTGTATCCTCCCCCCAACCCCAGTTTTAATTTCCATTCTATTTTCCCTTTATCCATTTACTATTTCACTTATTTATGACTCAAATATGCCAGGCCCCATGGGAGAGCTGGGACACACAGTGAACTAACTGGAGCCAGCACCATCTCACACTATCACTCCCGCCTTCCAGTGAAGGAGAGAACCAATAACCACAGGGCTGGTTAGGGAAGTACAACTGTGCCACATACTCCCAAGGAGAGGCCAGGTGCCTCTGAAGGCTTATAGAGTAGACATGTCCTGCCCATCACACCTTCGTCGTTTGTGTCAGAGCTACAACTAAAATCTAGAATTCCTAATTTCCACCCTACTCACTCTGCCTCATTCATTTTTCGGTTTATTCATTTGCTCATTCATTTGCTTATACCTTTGTTCACTGCCCATTCATTCTTTCAACATTCGATCAGTTATTCATCCATTAATTACTCACAGGGCAGGCCCTCTTGTCTCAGCTCAGCTACAAGGCACAGAGGCATAACAAGGCTAATGAACACTCACGGGTCATAACCAGGGTGCTACGGGCACATTGGCCAGTGAAAGCTGAACTGGTCTGGGCAGCTCGATGAAGGCTCTGCAGAAGTGGCCCTGACAAGTGCTAGTGAATCACTCCACAACATGCAAACCTGATCACTAACATAATATGCAACACACGCTCACATGTTCCAGGTGCCGCGCAGACAGGACCCCTGCCCCTTGAAAGTCAGAGTCAAAAGGGGGAGTGGCGAGGAAGCAAAGGCTGCATCTTGTGTCAAGCGCCGTGGAAGGGAATAGTGAAGTACTCCCGGGTCTTGGGGGCCTTCTATAAAGAAGGTGGTAGCATCTGGGCCTGGAGCCTGCAGGAAAAGAACCGGGAGAAGCACCTTACAAGCACGGAGAGAAACCGTGGAAAGTTACAGAAACTGTCAGGAGGCCCGTGGCGCTGGACTACAGGATATTGTCAGATGAAGTCAGCAGCTTGAGCAAAGCATTGCAGGTGGAGGAAAATTTTTTTAATTTTTTCCTATATGTGTCAAGAAGCCACTGAAAGCTTTCAGACGACTTTTTATTGACAGAATCCTATTTACATCTTTAAAGAAGTATACTGGTTGGACCCTCAAGCCCATAGAGGGGTAATGTTGCAAGTAGAAAAGACCACCCCTTGCTCTAAGTGATGAGGCAGATTCCAACCCTTGGCCAGGCCGCCATGCAGGGCAGAAGGTGCCCTGATTCTGGCTGCTGCAGAAGTTGGGGGATGGCAATTGAAACCAAAGAGGTGGCCATACAGATGGCGATGAGGGGACGGACTGCAGGTAACTTTTGAAGGAACAGCTGGTGGGATTTGTATGTGTATGGGCAGGGAGGTGAGGGAAAGGGACTGCTGTGCGTTCCATGCATCTTGATTCCATTATCTCTGTGGCCCTAATGCAAGCTTTCAGCTCTATAGGAATGCGAAACAACTGCAGATTTCCCATCGGGCACATGCCAGAGATAAGTGCTTCCCAGAGATTCTTGGTTGTTCTCAGTCTTCTGCATCACATGCCATAGTGCGACGAAGTCTCCCTTCCGATGTACAGGTCTCTCTGCAGGATCAAATTCCAGAACCGGGATTCCTGAGTCAAAGCGTGAATTAACCTATAATTGTCTTAATTCTGAAAAATTATCCTCCTGGGGCTGGTTGGGGGGGCATTTTACACTCCTCTTAGCAAAATGTGAAAAGGTCTGTTTCACCCCAGCCTCAGTGAAAGATTATGTTCTCCAGCTTGTGGGTTTTTGCCTGACATGGCAGGTGACATACAATATCTTACTGTTGTTTTAATTGTAATTTCTGTTACCACGAGGTTCACAGTGTTTTCATGTGATTAGGCCATTTCTGTGAGCTCTCTGACCCCGCCCATTTTTCTTTTGGATATTTGTGGTCTTTTTCTTATAAACTTCTAGAATGCAGGAACTATTCACGATCTGAATTAGAAATATTTCTCCCAGTTTGGTACTTTGCTTCTAAGTTTGCATACTTTCTTAGAAATTTTATTTTATTTATTTAGCCACGTAAAAGTTTTTGCTTTGATATGGTCACATTTATCAAAATTTGATAGCTGCAAAGAATACTATATGAGCTGGTAAAAAGGAATGGGGGGGGGGGGTGGTTCTTCGGTCCAGATTTAGAAAGATCTCCAAATGCATTGTGAAGTGGAAAAAGCGAAGGTACATATTCTACCCCTTTTTCTCTGAGAAAGAGAATGTGGGCACGTATGTTCTTATTTGTTTATATTTTCATAAAGGAAGTATGATAGGTTATTTTATATGTCAGCTTGGCCAAGCTATGGTGCCTGGTCATTTGGTTAAACACTAGTCTAGATGTTGCTGTGGCTGTCCTTTTAGATGTAATTCATATCTACAATAAATAGACTCAGTTAAGCAGATTACCCTCCATACTGCGGGGGGCCTCATCCAATCAGTCAAAGGCCCTCAGAGCAAAGACTGAGGTTCCCCAAGTAGAAGGAATTCCTTTCAAGACTGTGACATAGAAAGCCCAGCTGAGTTTCCAGCCTGCAGAATTCAGACTCACAAATGAAACCTCAACACCTACCTAACCTCCAGCCTCCCTGCTGCCCTACAGATTTCAGGCCTGCCAGCCCCCACAATCAGGTGAGTCCATTCCTTTAAAAAAAAAACCAGGCGCTCTCTCTCTCTCTTTCTCTCTCTTTCTCTCTCCCTCTCTGTCTCTTCCTCTCATTGGTTCTGTTACTCTGGAGAACCCTGATTAACACGGGAACACTTGGAGGATTCCACAAAAAATGAGTACAGTAACTGTGTGTGGGAAGGATGAGGGAGGGGTGGTAATGGGAATTCTCAGTTTAGGCCTTGTTATAGTTAGAAACTTTAAGCCGTGTAAATATCTCACCTACTCAAAACAGAAAGTAAAATTTGGGGCAAAATCAACTTTTAGGTATAAAATAAAATAAATGCTCTATAAATTAAGCAATAAAGGTTATTTGTTTTATAGAAATTTAAGATACAAAAAAAGAGAATTATCCAGGTTTATCCAAAAGATGAACTGCTCAGGAAGAAGACAATTTTTAAAAGCACTGAGATGCAATTCTTTTAAACATGAACCTATATACCATATTTAAATCCATATAATATTCTACAAATCTGGTGTATCCTCCAAGCATTTGATACAAGGTTTAACTCTCACCAACTCTTCCACTCCTGACCCCACCAGGTGGGCAAACATAACTTGTGGCAATCTGCAAAGAGGCCAGGCCACGACCTGGGCTGGAGTGGCCAGCCTGTGGCTGGGGAGACTTTCCAGGGAACAGGTGCCACCTCCCCAAAACGCTTCACGCTGCGTGCAAGGATTCAGAGATGTCCAGGGTAAACCAGCACTTTTTAAGCCAAATCTAAATGTTTAATAAAAACTAAGAATGATGCATAACAAGAGCTTCATCCTGGAAGTACACACCATTTTACAGGAAACTCAAACCCTAAACATATGTAATCTTGTTTGTAGCAGGGAACTTCCTCCCTGCTAGATTGAAGAAAAGTATTACCATCTGGGACACATTCCTCTCACCCTAAGAAGGGGCTTTATAGAAGGGTCTTTACTTTTATTAGCAGCACCCTGCTATGCACCTGCTGATGTTCATAACACATGGGGCTTTCTGGGCCACTCCAGTGACTGCTGAGCTGGCACCTGATGACATTTCTTCAAGTAAGTTGCCTTAGTTGACCCAGCTACTGCTCCACACCAGAGGTGGAGTGGGGAGGGGTGTCCTCTGGTGGAAGGTCAGTGCCACAGAGAAACACTGGGCACTCAGACTGCATTCGGTCCTGGGACAGACAGCGTGTCCCCAAGCATCCACAGTGCAGCGTCCACAGAGAGGCCTGACTCCCAGGGGCTGACAGAGGCAGAGGACAGAGCTATTTATTGAAATGAGGAGTGCCCTGCTAAAAGAAACTGCATGCATAGCATTATAGAGCCAGGTAAACTCATGGTGAGGAGTCTGTGTTTTGGATTAAACACGCACGCGCGCAGACACACACACACACACACACACACACACACACACACACACGTCTGTGTTTAATCCCAGCTCTATTACATAACTTTCTGGAGGTTGTTTCCCTTTGCCAAGGCTGCCTTTCCCTACATTAAGTGGGAACAATATAATCCCACCATAAAGAACTGTCATGAAATCCGAACGCAATGATGACCACTAAGGCTACAAGTGCCCGTACCGTAGGTAGTAAGTGCTTACTAAATGCTGGCTCCTCCTCCGTAACTGATGGGAATATTAGGAGACATATAGGTCTTTGGATAGTTCTTGAAAGCTGTCTCTAGAGGCTGTATTTGGAAACATATCACATGGATCATCTCTTGAATGAAGTTCCTCGTGACCCTTAGGCCTTTCAGGAGTAATGCCAGGGTCCTTCCTGTGAGCAGCTCAGCCGAGTGGGGCTAGCGGGGAGCAGAGATGGGGCTGGGACAGAGCACAAGCACAGCCCTGGGGTGGGGTAGACAGGGATGCTGGGCAAGCACACCCCACCTCCGCTCCCCGCCAAGGCTGTCTGCTTTCTGCACCAAGGCCCCTTCTACCCCTGCAAGCCCACCTGGCCCCCTGCACACAGGAGAGTTGATGCCCCCAGAGGAAACAATTAGGGGGAATGGGAACAAGGCCCCGCATGCCCTCTTCAGGGGGACAGTTCTGGGACATTCTGTACGGCTCCAGGCACCCCCCAGGCTCACAGTGGCAGCCCTGATAACACCCCCCAGGGATTCCTTCTCCTGCCCCACATCCCCCCCAGCTCCTCACACCTGCTTCCTTGTCCTGGGCTCTGCTTCTGGGCTAAAAACAACCCCAGCGGGGAGAGCTGTTAGGAATGCAAAGAGGAGACCAAGGACTTGAGGCCCCTCCTATCACCTCATTTACATCCCCAGGAGTGCAGGCCACACTGCCCATCAAAAGCACGTCCCCGTGAGGCAAGATGATGATGATCGCAGCGGACATTTATTACCTGCCAGACACCAACCTAAGCACCTTATTATTAACTATTTTAATTCTCACACCAATTCCACAAATTACTATGAGTTTGTTTTCCAAAAGAGGAAACTGGGGCACAGAGAAGCTAACTTTCTGAGGCTGCCCAGCTGGTGAGCAGCAGAGCCAAGCATCCCGCTCGGCGAACGAGCTCCAGAGCCCATGCACTCAAAGGCAGAAGCTGCGCTGCACAACGACGCCAAGAAGAGAACCTGGAGGGTCCAGGCTGGCAGAAATCAGGGAGGGCAAGGGCAAGGAGGAAGCCAAAAGCTAAGAACAAAGTCAGACAAACGCCGAGGCAGAAGCCAGGGAAGCAGAGCATGTCACCAATTACTGGGGACATGCTCTGAGAGAGAGGGTTTGAGAACTGCCACTCACCGGCCGGGGACTGCTTGTTCTAAAGGTGCCTCAGGCTGAAATCCAGCTGGGCCTGTGCTCCAAGCCAGGAGTCCTGGCACAAAAACACGGATCTTTGCTCTTTCTGTCCGCAGGGCCTGGGATCTCAGCCCCACCCCAAGACAGTAGAAGAGAAGGGACCCAGGCAGGGGCTGTGGTCAGTGTAGAGCCTCTGGTTTACTAGGGAAGTCAAGCCTGCTGGTTCCCATTTTCTCCATAAATTACTCCCATTAAAGTCAAATATCCACATTAACTAAATTTTTGATATTTCACAGAATGGTTCCACAAAAAGAGTACTTTCATTTAGCTTTAAACAGCCCTTTCTGCTGACATCCAAATTCGTATTTCACTTCCCTCTCATCTTTAATTAAAGCTTATTATCCTCTGTGTAAACCAAGAAGATTTATGACATTATTTAGTGAGTTTTCTTTTTTTAAATTATAAATAACAGTAAACTTCAGAAAATGCTCCAATTTCACAGTTATTTGTTTTCAAGATTTTTGGCCACACACTAAAGCTAAAGCTAACCTCCAAAAGGCGCAAGTCACATCTTAAATGAAAGCTCTGATCAAATCTAGTCCTCCCCAGCTTCTCTGGGCATAAATTGGAATTTTAAGCCATAGGCCAAGAGTTAAAACTATAGCTTCTGATTTGCTTCCAATGCGATCTGTAACTAGTTATTCATGGTCCAAAGAAAAGTTTGGATTCATGTCAGAACCGCCTCATACACACAGCCATCTGAAAAGTCCCAGAGAAGCCCTGTTTAAATGCAATCCAAACTGATCCTGCCATGTTTCTTCTAAAAGAAGGAACCATTTCCTGTCTCGTGTATGGTTTCTTTTCCTTTCTTTCTTTCTTTTTTGAGACAAGATCTTGCTTTGTCACCCAGGCTAGAGTGCAGCTTCACCATTATAGCTCACTGTCTTGACTCATGCAGTCCTTCTGCCTCAGCCTCCTGAATAGCTGGGACTATAGGCCCATGCCATTGTGCCTGGCTAATTTTATTTTATTTTATTTTTTATAGAGACAAGGTCTCGCTGTGTTGCCCAGGCTGGTCTCCAACTCCTGGCCTCGAGCAATCCTCCCACCGCAGACTCCCAAAAAGCTTGGAATTACAGGTGTCAGCCACCACGCTGAGCCTATGGCATCTTAATTTTTAAATTTTTCATCTCTTTTCACTATTTTTTCTACAGGAGATCATTATTTCATTTAATATAGATACCCATAGTCACAAAGAGACTTAGGACTTCAGAATCAGAAAACAAATCAAAAAAATACAATGTCCTACTACAAGAAAATAGTTTTTACCTTAAAAACCATGGAGAAAGGAAAGTGCTAGGAAACGATGGACCAAAGTGATTGTGATTGAAAAGAAGATAAGGGGCAACTGGAACAAAGCATTCACATGAAGTCCGTCAGCACCTAGAAGGGCTCATCAGGAGTCTACGCAGGCTCGCCAACACAGCAGCAACTGCAACACTCACTGCTCTTTTACTGACAGGATCAAGGCATGTAGACACGGTATCTGCGAGGCAGAGGTCAATTCAGATTTTTAATTTCTCTCCTGCAGCCCAGAGCCTTGTATTGGGAGACCAAACTTCCATTCACTGTCATGGCATTCTGGAGGGCACAGAGAGTCAGGTGTAACAAATATAGAGGGGCACCATCTGGGATGGGTGGGGAGTATTGTCAGATTCTGCGTCAGGGTGCAAGGGGTGGGCGAGCTTACCAGAGTGAGGGGAAATCTATAAGGAATACATGTCCAACCTTGCACTAGAGTTTGAAAAAACATCAACTTTTAAGTGCTGAATCCTGAATGCATTTATTGAGTCCAAAAATATCTGTGTATGTCTTCAATGTGTCAGGCACTGTTCTCAGTTTGGGCATGCGGCAGTGAATAAAACTGTCAAGTAAATTTCACACAGTGAGAGGGCAAGAGGCTTGATACATCATATAGGGTATTAGAAGGTGGTAAGTGGGGGAAATGGAAACAGGGGGAGGTCTAGGACAGGGAGCAGCAATGTTGAACGGGTCTGGCCTCACTGAAATGTCAACAGAACGAGAAGAGGGCCGCAGGGCTGCAGCTACGTGAGGAACAATGTTCCCGACTCAGGGAGCAGTGTGGAGGCGTGTGGCTGGAGCTGAGCTGGAGAGGAGAATCCAGGAAGACCGGCTCGGGAGTGGGAGGGGTGGTTGCAGATGGAGGAGTTGGCTTTTAGCCTGAGAGAATGTGGAGTCTTCGGAGCATTTCCATTACAGGAGTGACAGGATTTGGAATGAGCTTTGAAAGGTTCGCAAAAGTAGCTCTGAAGAAGTGGGGTTATGTGGCTTCTGCAATGTGACCCGCGATTTGGCACAACCTTGAGAACTCCAGCCCCAGTAGGAAAATGGCCAAAGGCCATAAAGAAGTCACACAAGAATTCACAGAAGAATATTTTCAGCCCCATGGTGTCATATGAGTAAAACCACACAGTTCCATTTCAGCACCAGGTGGGAACCTGTCTCCTATAAGTTAAGCGGTATAAATGAAAATTTAATCATGATTTTCCCTTTCATAGAATTGTGGCCTAACTTCTGAATTCTGATAAAATAACTTAACATTGGCCAACAAGATCACTCAGCATCTGAGACCTAATTTGATAACCATAACTCAAATATCTCATCAACTGAAGTTGCAATTAACAAAAAGTCCAGTTGGCAGAGCAGGGCCTGGATGATGAACGATTCACAGCTGATCTGGGGCTGCCGCCTCTACGGCGGTGTCTTCTTTCCAGACCCCCCGAAAGTTCACAGACTGTCACACATGCACACAACTCCCGTGGCCCTGCAAAACCAGCTCCCATCAGGAAACATGTGGGCTCCTTCCTGCATGGTACAGTGAAAAGCAAAATCCTAACGTACTTACTCGCATTAAAAAAAATAAAATGAGAAGACTCAGTTTTATGTCTACACAACTGCAAAAACAAAACAAAAGTCAGAGATGTGAACTCCAGATTGTTAACATATCTGCTGAAACAAACAGAACAGTTTAATCAGGAATGTGTACAAGCTATATTGCATACAAATTGGCATCAATCATGAATAAATGAATTTTGGCTTTTTGCATCTCATGTATGGGACTTATTTACATGGCATACTGGCAAACTGGAATGTAAACTAACAATATAAATGATATTGCAATTTAGGAGCATCCCCAAGCTGCCAGAAATAGGAAGAAGGCAGTGTTTTGGTTTCCTACAGTATGGAAAACTTATAGTGATAACCCAACTAATTCATAGCAAGGGGGAGAAGACAGCACACTAACCTTTAATAAATTAATAGGATTGGGAGGCTAAGGCAGGTGGATTACCTGAGCTCAGGAGTTCGAGACCAGCCTGGGCAACACAGTGAAACCCCGTCTCCACTAAAATACAAAAAATTAGCCTGGCGTGGAGGCGCGTACCTGTAGTCCCAGCTACTTGGGAGGCTGAGGCAGGAGAATTGCTTGAACCCAGGAGGCAGAGGTTGCAGTGAGCTGAGATAGCACCACTCTGCACTCCAGCGTGGGTGACAGAGCGAGACTCTGTCTCAAAATAAATTAAATAAATAAAAATAATAATTAATTGATTAATTAATTAATTGGAGCTGTTTTCCCTTTTCTGCAGGTACTGAAAACCATCTTATGCCTGCCTATAGGCATCTCCATTTAAGGGCTTCCCACACCCTGAAATACAAACACTACCAACCAAGCTATAAATTATATTGCTTTCTACTCCTGTTTCTACTAGCTATTTCTTTAAAATTTGCTAAAATCTGCCTACAAAACTATCTAAACTTGGTGTCTATTAAGAAATAGGGGGATTTTTCAACTCTAATTTGAGTTCTTTAATAACTATTTCTGTTTGGGTTTTCTATTTCTTCTTAAGTTTGGCTATATTATTTATAAATTAAGCCATCTCATCTAAATCTTCAAATATATTGGCATAAGGTTGCTGATTATCATGTCTGAAATCTCTTGTTTATATTATTTTCCTTTCATATTTCTCCATTATTCATGTTTCTTCTCTTTTATTGTAATCAATAACAGGTGTATGTACTTATAACTCTTTTCAAAGAATTTTTGATTGCCTCTATTGCTTCTTGGATATCCATTTCGTTACTTTTCCTTTAATCTTACTTATTCTTTTTGTGAATGTATGCATTTACTTTGATTAAGAATTTCAAACAGAAATTTAAGTTTATCTCTGGTGTTTGTGAAATGTGAAAAGTAACTGAAAACTGCAAAAACAAACAAAAACTCCTAAAGCTCCCACCAAAAGTTTTGCAATAATTATTAATATTTCATAAGAGAGGGTGGGTATGGTGGCTCACGCCTGTAATCTCAGCACTTTGGGAGGCCGAGTTGGGTGGATTACCTGAGGTCAGGAGTTTGAGACCAGCCTAGCCAACATGGTGAAACCCTGTCTATACTAAAAATACAAAAATTAGCTGGGCATGGTGGCGTGCGCCTGTAATGCCAGCTACTTGGGAGGCTGAGGCAGGGCAATCGCTTGACCCAGGAGGCAGAGGCTGCAGTGAGCCAAGATCACGCCACTGCACTCCAGCCTGAGCAAGAGTGAGACTCCGTCTAAAATAAATAAATAAATATATATATAATACACATACATTTATACATTTCATAAGAGATAAGAGAACACATCAATGCAGTCACAAGTCACTTAATGACAAAGATACAATCTGAGAAATGTGTCATTCTGAGCAATGCAAATGGTAACTTCATCATTGTGCAAACCTCAGAGAGTGCACTCGCACTAACCTAGATGGCATAGCCTACTATACATGCCTAGGCTATATGGTGTAGCCTATTGCTCCTGGGCTACAAACCTGCACAGCATGTACTGTACTAAACACTGTAGGCAACTGTAATGCAATGGTAAGTATTTGTGTATCTAAGCATATCTAAACATAGACAAAGTGCATAAAATGTGATACAATACCACTGTCCTATATGTGGTCTGTCATCGATGGACCATTATAGACATCATTATGCAGCACAAAACTGTATTTTATTCATTCCACAGATGACATGGGAGTCTTCTTATTTTTGTAATCAATAATAACAGGTGTGTGATCAATAATAACAGGAGGAGTGATATGCTAATTAGGAACTAAGGATGTGCAAGATAAATGTTTATACTCCAAGAATGAAACAGAAACGAAAAATTAAAAGTAATAACAATAAGATGATTAACAATATCAATAGCAACTAACAGTAGTTTCTTGGTTACTTATCACATGCTAGGTAATGTTCTAACTATTTCATATGAAATTTATTTATTTTATTTTATTTTGAGACAGGGTCTCACTCTGTCATCCAGGCTGGAGTGCAGTCATTGCAATCATAGCTCACTGCAGCCTCAAACTCCTGGGCTCAAGCAATCCTCCCATCTCAGCCTCCCAAGTTGCTGGCACTACAGGCACATGCCACCACACACAGCTTTTTTATTTTTTTTTTGGTAGAGATGGGGTAGGGGGTTTCACTTTGTTGCCAACTCTTGGTCTCAAGCTATCCTCCTACCTCCACCTCCCAAAGCACTGGGATTACATGCACGAGCCACCACGTCCAACTAATTTTACTTTCTGTAGACAGGGTCTTGCTATGTTGCCCAGGCAACAATGTAGTGGCACAATCATAACTAACTATAACCTTGAACTCCTGGACTCAAGCGATCCTCCCACCTCAGCCTCCTGAGTAGCTGTGACTACAGGTGTGTGCAACCATACCGGGCTAATTTTTAAATTTTTTGTAGTGATGTGGTCTCACTATGTTGCTCGGGCTGGACTCTAACTCCTGGCTTCAAGCAATCCTCCTGCCTTGGCCTCCCAAAGCACTGGGATTACAGGTGTGAGCCACTGCACCTGGCTTCATAGGAAATTTAATCCTCAAAAGATCCCATATAGAATGATGGAGGTTAACACTGTTCTCCCCACTTTACAGATGAAATCCCCAGGAATGAAGGCGGTGAGAGCTAGCAAGTGGGTGGTGTATAAGGCAAATCATTATTAATAGCCACAAGCACATTACACAGAGTCTTAGTTTTAACTTCAATGGAAGTTTTATTGTTTTTGACAGTTGCCAAAGCAGATCAGATACTGTGATTAGGTACACGGTTTCTTCCTGCTTATGAAATTACATTCTGAAGCCCTTCGGTCTCATTCCCCGGCTGCCTCCACTCTTTCTTGTAACCGCTCGCCTGTCACCTGTCTGATGTGCATCACCAGCTCATTCATCACCTGGCAGATTTACTAACTCACTCATCATGCAGACACTGATGAGCCTGTCCTTCCGCATTCATCCCCACACCCTGGCTGCCGCTCACTCTGACATACCGCCGCCTGTCACTGTTTGCCAGCCAAACCGATACTTTTCTTAGGAGCTGCTATTAGCTCATTTGTCAGATTATTTTATTCCTTTTTGCTTATCAACTTCCCTTCAGACATCTTTTAGAATTTTTTCTTCTTGTTCTCCTCTGCCAACCACTTGGCTCATTTGCTTATCACCTGATATTATTCACCCCTCATCATTCGACAGCTTTTCAGATTCTATTAGTCAACATACATAATGTGAGTTCTATCTCTTGTTTCTATTAGGTTAAACCCATACAAATCTTGCTCTGTGCCAAGTGACTTAGAATTTGCATGGGGATGACACTTACATTAGAGCATATTCACTATGGCACATGAATATCAGTTATAAAACTCACATTCCCTTTCACAGGTCAGAAAATGTGGGATAGCAGCAGCCTTTTAAAAGGTAACACACAGCGGCATTTTTTTTTAATGTTTAAAAATATATAAATAATTTATTCTCCCCATTGCACAGAATGGCAATATGTTCTCTCCTAGGTGATTGAAAAGGTTTTTGTCTTTAGTCTCTTATGGACTGGTGCATTTGATGGGGATCCAGAAAAAAAGATGGGACTAAGTGCTGCACGCAAAAGAGAACTGGCCATGAAGAGGACCCACCCGCCAGACAAGAGCCCTGTGTGTCTGCCTGGGAAGGAGAGGAGCTCATTCCTGAAGGTCCCACCTGGACGGGCTGTTTGCTTATGAATGTATGCACTTAGGTAGGTAGGTAGGTAGGTAAATGTGTCTATGCATGTATACACATAAGCGTATGAATCTATGTCTATGGGTGTGTGTATGTTGCATGGAAGTACACATGTATGCAGCAGGCTAACACTGACTGCATTTACTGTGTGCAAGTCTCTGCAATATGCTCCCAAGACACAGTAGCTCATTTAGTCATTACAACAACCTTTGCAATAGAAATACCAATGGCCACCCATATTCACTGGTTCTCATTTGCCTGGCTGTGTTCTAAGCCTTGCCACCACCTGGGAGGTAGGTTCTATCATTTTCCCCCATGAAATAAATGAATGAACTGAGCCTCACGGGGATAGAGTTACTCACCCAATGGAGGAGCTCTTATGATCCCCATGTTACCAGTGGGGAGACTGAGGCACAGAGAAGTTCAGAAAGTCACTTGAGGCCATACAGTAAGAAATAGAGTCTGTACCCTTAAGCACATCACACTACTTCCCAGTAGAGAAAGATCACCTTCTGTGATGCTTAATTTTACGAGCCAACTTGACAGGGCTAAGAGGTACCCAGAGAGCTGGTTGAGCATCATTTCTGGGTATGTGTGTCAGGGTGTCTCCAGAAGAGGCTAGGATTTGAATCTGTAGACTGGAGTAGAGAAGATCACCCTCACCAATGTGGGTGCACCTCATCCAGTCCACTGAGGGCCCACATAGAACAAAAAGGCAGAGGAAGGGCGCCGTCTCTCTCCCCTTGAGCTGGAACATCCATCTTCTGTCCTTGGCCATCAGAGCTTCTGCTTCTCCCACCTTCAGACTCCAGGACTTAACACCAGCAGCTCCACCCCTCCTCCTGTTCTCAGGCCTTCGGGCTCTGGCTGAAGCACACCACCAGCCTTCCAGGGTCTCCAGCCTGGAGATGGCAGATTGTGGGACTTCTTGGCCTTCACAAGTGCATGAACCTATTCCCATGATCAATGTCCTGTATACCCCATTGGTTCTGTTTCTCTGGAGAGTCCTCCTAATACACTTTCCTTTTAAGAATGTATAAAAAGACATACATATGTGTACACACATTCACAGCTCAATTAAGACCCTTCTATCATGAGAGAATGGAGACACGTTCTAAGACACTAGGGGATCGGGGGTGGGAGAGGGCCTGGCTCCAAAATAGATATTTTGATGAAACCAGAGTAAATTCTTAGAAATTTTCTGAGTCTCACGGTGATAAACAGACACTGTCTCTATGAAACACGCACAAGTTTCAATGATAGAAAAGGAAGAGATGAGAATAGCTAGCGACCAGAAGGAAACACACCAAGAGAAAAGGAGACTGCCCCAAAACAGAAAGAGAGACTGGACCAGTTAAAACTCTGCACTGGAAATAGTTAAGACCAGGCCAGATACTGCAAAAAAAGAAAAAACTGGTAAAAATATTTTCTGTAGAGCAGTATTTTACATTTCCCCTCATTTTGCTAGATTTTTCTGTTTGCCCTCCAGATCCACCATACACCTTTACTGCTGCCTGGAGGCTGATCTTGATGAGGCTTCCCTGTTTTCCACTGGGTTCAGACTTGGGCAGCACTGAGGGGAGACTGGAGTGGGCAAGGCATGGCAACTGGGGTATTTGTTTCCTCTCTGCTGGAAAGGACCAGTGCCTGCATTCTCTCACCAAAGGCCACCCCTGTCTCAGGGTGAATCCTACGAATTCAGGTCTCACTCCAGGCCCCAGAGCCACTCCCTCCCTGTGCTGTTAAGGTCCAGGAGCCAGGGCAGCTCTCAGCTATGGCTAGCCCTGACAGCCTCACCATTTCTGCCCCTACCTTTGTAAATAGTCACCCCATTAAACTCCCCATTACCCAATTTAAATATGTCATCTGCTTCCTGCTGGGATACTGAGTATGAAGTGCTCCAGGCATCCCCCAGGACAGAGCCCCTGTATCATGATCTGTTTTATAAACCGTGGTTCTGGACAGTAATTTGAGTTTTTAAAGGTCCCATTGGCTTTTTTTTTTTTAAGCTTAAAAACCAAAGATGAAGTTTAAATTTGAGAAGCATTCATGAGAATGCCAAAAAAGGGACAGAGTGATACAAATAAAAAAAAAAAACCTCACACTTGGAGGATCAGAAGCTGAGATTTAAATGATTAATAATGCATGCTTCCAGAGAAGAGCCCAGAACAAATCATTCTGTTCTCATTATGTAGTGAAACTTACACTGGCTTCAGACCTTTCCTCAAATTGCTAATGCCAGAAAAACTGATTGCTCAAGAATTCTGAATCTAACCAAATTACTCTTACATTGAAAGTAACAGATGGCTACTTTCATTTATACACTGTGGGAAATATATATCACCCATGTCCCCATGGTGAAGAGATGAATGAAAATTCAGAACGTAAGAGAGCTGAAGTCAGATAGTAAGCAAATGATGGAGAGTGGAATGGCTGAGCTAAATAAGGGGTCCCACGAAGAGGAGGCTTTATAACCTGAGTTCCCTATGTAAAATTAAAATGTGAAGGGGGTTTTAGATGCACAGAATAAAAAATGCTAATTTACTCATTTTTCCATAAGGAAAAGATGTTAAAATTGACTTTTTTTGGGAGTATCACTTACCTACGAGGCAATGTTCTCTGTTCCAATAGCGATGGTGGTCACCCAGGGGCTTACATTTGCTGAAGCTCATTGAACTCTATTCTTAAAACAAGTGCATCTTGTTCTATGTGAGGATGTGAGGATGAGAAGATTTTTATCTTTGGTTTTGGTAATTTGATAAATGTAGGGTTGAGGATACTTTTGAAAAATCAACAAGATGGTCTAGAAGTGAAGAAGATATGAAATGTATATATATGTGTGTGTGTGTATATATATATATATATATATATATATTTTTTTTTTTTTTTTTTTTTTTTTTTTTTTGAGACGGAGTCTCGCTCTGTCGCCCAGGCTGGAGTGCAGTGGCGTGATCTCAGCTCACTGCAGGCTCTGCCTCCTGGGTTCACGCCATTCTCCCACCTCGCCTCCCGAGTAGCTGGGACCACAGGCGACCACTACCACACCCAGCTAATTTTTTATATTTTTAGTAGAGACGGGGTTTCACTGTGTTAGCCAGGATGGTCTTGATCTCCTGACCTCGTGATCCGCCCGCCTCGGCCTCCCAAAGTGCTGAGATTACAGGAGTGAGCCACCGCGCCTGGCCTGAAATGTATTTTTTAAAAACATATTGATATAGAAGTTAAAAATAAGGTACCAAGGATAAGTGCATGAGAAGATATGCAAGTCCTCTGCAGAAAAAATCTTAAAACTCCAATGAAATACTCTGGAAAAGACCAAAACAAATGGAGGGATATAGTATTCCATGGTCAAGGCCATTTAGGATCACACAGATGTTAATTCTCCCTAAAATGATACACAGATAAAACACAACTCCAATAAACATCCCAATAAGGGAGTCTTTCATAAAATCCAACAAGCTGATTCTCAAGTCTCCATGGTAGAGCAAAGGGCCAAGAAAAGCCCAGATGCCTTTGGAGGGAAGAGAAAGCTGGGGGCCCTTCCTCCTCACAGGTATCTTGTTGTACAGGAACTACCAAAGCAGACCAAAGGGGCAGAACTGAGTGCCTAGAAACAGACACACAGAGATACAGAAAGTGTATTTACAACAAAGTGGGCACTGCAGGTCATGGTAAAAAACAGATTCTAGTGCCACTACAATTGGTCACGCATAAAAGAAGAAAAGAGAATTCCTGTCTCACAGCATATACAAAATTTAATTCCAAGTAGATTAAAGGATTAAATGTGAAAAGCAACACTTCTGATTCTGTAGGGGAGAAAAAAAAAGAAGCAAATGTTTTTACAACTTCGAGGTAGGGAAGGATTTCTTAATAAAAGATAATCACATACATGCACAGAAAGTATCCCCAGTGAAGGAATTAATAAATTAATAAAGATAACCATAAGAAAAATGACATGGTAAGTCAAAGCCTCGGAGGGGGTATTTTCACATATTCCACCAAGAAATCAGCACCAGAAGATATAGTATAAATAACTTTTATAAATTAGTAAGAAAAAGAGAAATGACACAAATGGGTAAAACACACAAACTCACATATTACAGAAGAAGAAACACAACATAAAACTGGTTGATCTCAGCCAGGCGTGGTGGCTCACGCCTGTAATCCCAGCACTTTGGGAGGCCGAGGCGGGCAGATCACAAGGTCGGGAGATCGAGACCATCCTGCCTAACATGGTGAAACCTCGTCTCTACTAAAAAATACAAAAAAATTAGCCGGGCGTGGTGGCGGGCGCCTGTAGTCCCAGCTACTCGGGAGGCTGAGGCAGGAGAATGGCATGAACCCGGGAGGCGGAGCTTGCAGTGAGCCGAGATCGTGCCACTGCACTCCAGCCTGGGCGACAGAGCAAGAGAGCGAGACTCTGAAAAGAAAAGAAAAGAAAAAAAAAAAAAACTGGTTGATCTCATTAGGAACAAGGAGAGCACCAACTGGGACTGGAGATGCCGTGGCACACTCACCAGACTGGCAAACCTCTCAAGGCATGCCATGAAGAATGCGGAACACTTGGGGCACCTACATGAGTACAGTTGCTTTGGGAAAACCATGCGACATCATTTCATCAATCACACTGCCCATGACCCAGCAATTTCATGTCCAAGTGAGTGCCCTGGAGGAACCCATGCCTATGTACCTGAGGAGACGGGCATTTAAACATTCACAGCAACACAGGTCACAGGAACAAAATATTATATACATGGCCCATGCAGCCACTGAAGGAGAACAGACAAACATATTGTGATCTATTCACACCATGGAAGACTGCAACAACAATCAAAATAATTGATGTAGAGCTACACATGAACACGTATGAATCAACAAATATCATGGTGAATGAAAAAAAGCAAGTAATCAAAGAACATAAAGTGCAATTCCATTTACACAAAGTTCAAAAGCAAAAGTAAGCAGTACATTATTTAGGGATGTGTACATATGTGTAAAAGAATGATGAACCTTGAATCTCTGCTCTGAAGACAGGCAGGAGACCAGATGGGAAGGAGCCCACAGGAGGGTCCTGGAGTGGGCAGCTTACACTTCTGGTGCTGGTTGGTGGGGCCTTCAATTGCCTGCTTCATAGCAATACATGAATTTCATTGTACGTGTCATATATTTCATGTTTAATAATATTTTATTAATAAATATTTCCTAATTTAAAACAGAAAAGATGAAATACATTTTAAACATAACTGTCAGTAGAAAAAAAAGCTAGATTCCTACAGTCTAAATATTTACATAAAGTAAAGCACTCTCAACGTGGTATTTATCAGAAAAAAAAACCAGAATAAAAGACAGAAGTGCCGAAGAAACGTGTAAAAACAAGAAGATAAAAAGAGTGACTGAAACAATCCCTAAATAAGTAAAGAGATTTCATAATAACTCAATCCCTTATTTTAAACAATTTGATTTCTATAAGATATGTACCTGAAAGAAAATGTCAGAGAGAAATTAAAGAAAAACTGATGGGCAAAGATATCAGGCACATTCAAACTAAAGGAAAGCAAGCCCAGTGCTCTAATTTAAACAAAGCCAAATTCAAGACAATAAAACACTAAATTGAGACAAGACCACTTTATATTATTAAAAGATATAATCTACAGGGAATGAACAGTAATATCCCAACATCCAAACAGAGCAAAATGTGACAGAAAGAGCCGCAGTGAATATGAACATGAATATGGATCATGTAGGAAAAAGCTGTTATGGAAAAAAACTGCAAAAGCTAACAGTAGCTGTGGGCCAGGGCAGAACACGAAGGAGTGTTTTCTAAGCTGTTTCCCTGCATTTTCCAGGTTTTCTGTAATACACATCTATACTCACTTATCAGGAAAACCATAACTGTAAAGATCTGTGTTTTGGTGAGGATATCACACGTTTAAGAAAGGCAGACTCCTTTCTTCCTCCAAAAGTCACTGCTGAAAGTCATGATTTTTAAAACTTCTTTTTTTCTGAACCCCAAGACGGAGTCTTGCTCTGTCCCCCAGGCTGGAGCACAGTGGCATGATTTCAGCTCACTGCAAGCTCCGCCTCCCGGGTTCAAGCAATTCTCCTGCCTCAGCCTCCCAAGTAGCTGGGAATAGGGGCATGCACCACCACACCCAGCTAATTTTTGTATTTTTAGTAGAGGCGGGGTTTCACCCTGTTGGCCAGGATGGTCTTGATCTCCTGACCTCGTGATCTGCCCACCTCAGCCTCCCAAGGTGCTGGGATTACAGGCGTGAGCCACTGTGCTCAGCCAGTTTCAATCAATTATTCTATCTATTGTTGAACCACACAAACTAAAGAGCAAAACAAATTTGAAACCTTTGAGTCTTCCTTCCCTTACTAATCAGAATTTTTATATTTTGACAAGGAAACATAGATCTACAGCAATTTGATTAAATACACATGAAAATCAGGGTAAAATAAAATTGTTTCAACTTCATCCCACTATTTATTGTATATCATAAAATTATTCAGGAATCAAAGATAAGGTTCATGAATAATATTCTTCATTAAAAGAGGGTGGATGTTTGAAAGAAAATCTGGTAACTAATAGCCTATAAGGTAGAATTTTTTAAAACCTGGGTACGTAGAGAGAGTTCCTCAGAATTGCATATTAAATTCACTTTCAATTAGTATGGTTCAGCATTTTATTCTGATGATTTATTTGTATGCTTGGTAATACTTTTTAAATTAACTGTGCCACAGACAGACATATCACATACTTCACAGTTATAATAATTTTTTCTAACGCTATATCTTTATAACGGTAATTGCCTTCTTTCTGAAAGAATACGCATTTTGAATCTAGTGACACTTCATTTATTACTTTTCTTATATTAGAGCTACCTCAGCATATTAGATTTTTTCTTAATGACTTTTTTCTATTAGGAGACCATGAAGACCCCAGGGCAAAGGAAGTCCATTAGGAAAGGGGGGCATTTTAGAGGAGGCAGGAATTTCTAAGGTAGACATCAGACAATTCTTGTCAAGAACAGACTGAACACGAGATCCTCCATTTCCTGTGAACTATAGATTAATTTTGATATCTGTACAAACAAGATTATGAAATTTGCAATATTCATCATTAATACAGTGAATTAAATTCCTCACATAGCAAAACATACATCAAGTATGTCACTGCTCACTGCACCTCCCACTCTCAGTTGACACATCACCCTGCACAGCTCCTCCCTGGACAACTCCAGCTGACCAGAGTACCTGCTTATACCACGTGGAACAGGAGACCGAGGATCCTCTCACCCTGACAGCTGCCTTGCTCTCTCCTGGAACATAGCAGCAGGTGATTATTCAGTGTGGGGGCAAAAAGAGTCCCTATCACTCCTCTGGTCTGAGAGCCAGATGCTAGAGTATGTCCAGGAAGCACTTCCGAGAAGCTATTCCCTGGACAGGCTGAGCCGCCTTGGGGCAGTCACCCATCTCCTGAAGCCAGGAGTGCTGGAGCACAGGCTGAGAATGACTCTGAGGCTGGAGAGAAGACTCAACAACCTGTTGGTGGCTCCACCACGGCTGTCCCTTTCTCCCAAAACTTTCTACAGCTCGATTTACTCCTGGACCCCTGCACCTGGTGCTTTTCCTGCTTCCTGGATTTTGTCTTGGTTGTTCTGCTGGCCTGCAAGGAGTCTACTCTCTGATCTACCCGCCCAAACTCCACCCATCCAATAATATTTGGGCTGAATCCCATTCTCACTGTAAGATTCAGTCTGAATCAGTCTTCTCCTACTTCAACCTTAGTGGAAGCAGCATGACACAATGAAAAGAGCATGCCCTCTGAAATCAGACACACCTAGACTCCTCCATCCAAGCTTTAGCAATTACCCTTGTATTATGCTACCCAAGTACATAATCCCTTTGAAAAGGACATGCTCTTCAAATGCAGCTGTGAATACTTGTCTTGGGCCAATGTATAAAAAGCACCAGGTAGGCACCAGTTTCCTCTTATCTTTCTAAATAAAAATTATATACAAAATTCATTTCTCGATTTCTAACTTGCAGCAATTTCCTCCCATTATCTTATACAACTTTATGTATCTTTAACATTTTATTGATATTTTTATTTCCCCAACTCATATCATAACCTCACCTAGAACCTAAACCTAAATACCATATCTTAACCTTCTTAGTTTCCAAGTCATTGCACGGCTCAGGGCCCTGTGCAATGCATTTCATTACTGCGGCACAACAGGCTCTGAGCCTCATCTCATGGCAATTCTGACGACCACTCTGTGCTCACGGTGTGCTGATGGTGTCCTTTATGTATCCAGGACAGATAGAACAAGGAACTGCTGACCAGGCAGGTTACAGAATCAGCCCAGGGTTAGACACTTACAGGTCCAATGGGGAAGCACCCCAGGAAACATGTAACAAAGCCTCCATTAGCAGCAGCTGGACAAATTCTTCCCCTCTTCTGGAAACATCCTTAAGCTTTGCTGATGCCCACACCTGGGGATACTAAGTGGTTTATTGTAATCAAGAAATGTATCATGGTCTTGGGGTCCAGCTACATGCAACTCACTTCACAGCACATTAACCAACAGACACGGATCACAGGAAAATCACTCCAGCCATAAAGAAACACACAGACTCTGGGACTCCATCCAGAGGCACATCCCAGGGCTTCTGAGCTCCCAGAGACGGCCCCCACTCAGTGCTGTTCCACAGACCTTACCACCCACTCAGTCTCTACCTTCACAGGAAGAGAGTAACATTACCCAGACAGGGCTATGAGAATAACTCACTCTTTCTCAGAAGCTTCTCAGCCAGTCAGAAGCAGCAATCAGGGAAAAGTTGATTACAATTGTTTCCAGGTGAATTCAAGATGATGCATTTAATTATGATTTTTGAGCACATAATTACCTTATTGGGTATCTTTGTCTACCTTGTTTTTAATCTTTTTTTTTTTTTTTTTTTTTTTTTGAGACAGAGTCTTGCTCTGTCACCCAGGCTAGAATGCAGTGGCGCGATCTCGGCTCACTGCAACTTCCGCCTCCCGGGTTCAAGAGATTCTCCTGCCTCAGCCTCCAGAGTAGCTGGGACTAGAGGCACACGCCGCCACACCCAGCTAATTTTTTGTATTTTAGTAGAGAAAGGGTTTTACCATGTTACCCAGGCTAGTCTTGAACTCCTGAGCTCAGGCAATACGCCCGCCTCGGCCTCCCAAAGTGCTAGGATTACAGGCATGAGCCACCGCGTCCGGCCCCTTGTTTTTCATCTTTCTATTCTAGCTCGCTGTCACTTGCAAAAAGTTAAGTTTTTATATATTTTCAATAAAAAATGTGCCTGATGGATTAAAAGAGTTTATACTTCCAAGTGAAGTGACTTAAGCAAATAAAAATAATTGTCATGTTTCAATAAAAATTAGTATTTTATCAACAACTATTTTTAATTTCACTTGGTCTTGAGTGGTTTCCTTATGTTATACTTTAGTCTGTTTCAGTCTCGTTTTTCTGGTTAGACTATCTTTCCCTGCTGATATTTAATACTGTTAGTAAATTTAAAAGAAGCGTATTAGTCCATTTTCATAAACGAGGTGGGAGGTTGGGATACTTAAGCTGCTTTATGAGCACAGCAAAATTCTGCATTGTTTTAAGGATCTGTACAAATATGTTTTCACCCTACTTCCTTCTTTTCTTCTGCACTTAATAAATGAAAGCTTCATCTTTAATGTGACCAAGCAAAATACATTCTCTTAAAAAAAAAGGTCACGACCTTGACTGTAAGAAATCCCCAAAGTGGATTTATAATGAATTTTCCGAATAAATAATGACTCCAAATACATTTACATTAAAAATATTAACCTTTAACTCACCTATATTTTTAATAGCATATAAAGTGATATTTGAGCTCAATTCATGGCTTCGAAAGAAAGCCTTGCAGGCTTTCTATAACTCATATTAAAGGTTAAGATGATTCATAAATTTTTTTCCACAGAATATGGCAAACAGATGACTTTGTAGTGTGACTGGGACTGAATTTCTGATGGGCACAGCAGGAAACATTTCTGTAAGTGCAAAAATTCAAAGACACTTTTGAAAAGAAGTTAATATATGCAGCGTAAGATTTTAAGCTTTCTTACATTGAAAAATGATCAGCATAGCAATGAAGAGAGAGAAATAAAAAAACCACTAATCCAGGCTGAAGTTCATTCATCACACACTTCCAATTCCTTGATATCTGCATGTTACATTAAATACTGCAGTGGAGAAAAACAAAAATAAGAGAATCCAACTAGAATGGAAAGACAATCAAAGCTATTTTTCTTCAACAGTTGTCTATAAGTTTCCAATAAAATTGGGGCTATGACAAGAATCGAGCATTTATACTTATGCATAAAGTAAGGGCTGGTTTCTCTAATAGGGCTAATTATCGGACACCTATTACCACCACTCCGGGGACAGCATCAATGAATCAAACTCCACAGGACTAGAAATATTCTGACTAGTGTCCAGGATAACAGGAGAGCTACCAGGGCTTTTGGTGCCACACACCTGGGTTTATTAGGGCCAGAATTGCTCTCCATAACCTAAGAACCACCCAAACATCCGCAGGATAAATGCAAAACCCTGGGAACCCTCTTTTTTTTGAGAGAAGAAATATGGAAGGAAAAAAACTTTCCTCTATTTTGTAGCTTCTAATTAAAAGGAATCCATGAAAGAATTAATTGCACCTAAACGTATTTTACTACGTCTTACGTTGTACTGCAGTAAGTCTTAAGATGAGCTGCAGAGGGGAATGGATTATGCCTTACTAAGGCATGGAAAGAGGTTTTTTTGGTTATATTTTAAGGTCTCAGGTAAGGCACTGATTAAGAGCCAGTTGGCCTGGGCTGGAAACCTGCCCACCACTTGCCTGCCACACACCTGCCCTGTGCCTCAGCTTCTCTTTTGGCTAGGATGATAACAGAGTTGTCTCACTGGGGTGTCATAAGAAGTAAGTGCAGCAGGCATCTATCTGAACAGGGCCCAGCATATAGCAGTTTCCCACCACGCTTGTTATTGTGGAAGGTACACAGAAATGGTCGGATTTCTCTGCTGTGACGTCCTTCCATTCAGCTCTCTTGCGGTAAAACGCTTCAGTCTAAGTGCCTTCCTTCACCCAGCTGAAAGGCAGAACACTTACTCCCGTTTTGGATAACAGTGCAAGCTGTGAGTCATAACTGGTGTGGGAGACAGAGATAGATCATGCCTTTCCCTATTGTTAGTCATTTCAAATAAACTGAATGTATCCTGGTTTGGGGGTGATGCCTTTAAAAATTTTTTTTAATTTAAAATTTTTTTAGTTGACTTTATTTTTAGAACAGTTTTAGGTTCACAGCAAAAGTTAGCAAAAGGTACAGAGAGTCCCATACACTCCCTCCCTCCCCAGAGGCACAGCCTCCGCCACTACCACCAGCCGCCAGCAGAGTGGTGCATTTGTTAACAACTGGTGAACCTACATTGCCACACCATTATCACTCAGAGTCCATGGTTTACATTAGGGTCCACTCTTGGTGTTGTACATTCTATGGGTTTGGAGAAATGCATAATGACCTGTATCCACCATTATATTATACAGAATAGTTTCACTGCCCTGAAAATCCTCTGTGTTCCACCTCTTCATCCCTCTTTCCCAACCTGTGACAACCACTTATCTTATTACTGCCTCCACAGTTTTGCCTTTTCCAGAATGTCATATGGTTGGAACTATACAGTCTATAGCCTTTTCAGATTGACTTCTTTCACACTGTATTATGCAAAGTTTCTTCCATGTCTTTTCATGGCTAAATAGCTCATTTCTTTTTTTTTTTTTTCTTTTTGGGACAGAGTCTTGCTCTGTTGCCCAGGCTGGAGTGCAGTTGTGTGAAATCGGCTCACTGCAACCTCCACCTCCTGATTTCAAGAGATCCTTCCATCTCAGCCTCCCAAATAGCTGGGATTACAGGTGCCCGCCACCATGCCCAGCTAATTTTTGTATTTTTAGTAGAGATGGGATTTCACCACATTGGCCAGGCTAGTCTCAAACTCCTGACCTCAAGTGATCCACCTGCCTCGGCTCCCAAAGTGCTGGGATTACAAGCTCATTTCTTTTTAGCACTGACTAATATTCTATTGTCTAATGTACCACAGTTACATATCCATTCACCTAGTAAAGAACAAGGTTGCGCTTTTTTTACCCCACTGCTCTGGGAATATAGTTTCCAAAAATTATAAAAAAAAATACAGAGCCGCTTTTAGTATTTCTGAAGGCTGCTCTGATTTGTCTTTGTCCTTTAAAAGTCTGCAGAAAAAAAAAACAAAACTGAATCTAATAAAGGTGCTTCTGACATTTCTGCAACCTAAACACGCTTTACTTGGTATCTTCCGTACCCTCACACCAGAAGACGACACCTTTGTTGGTTCTGTTTGTTAAAGACTCAGAAGCCAGGGCCCCAGCACCACCCAGCAACCCCCCGAATCAAGGTGCAGCAGAACCCAGCATTCACGCTGAAACACGTGTCCTGTGCTCTGATGTAGACCCAAATCTAACAGCCATTGACATGGACTGTTAGATGACTTCCGTTATCACCTACTGGGATAAAACCTATTTTGTTTTGGCTAATAAATACTGTTCTATGTCATTACTATTATTATTATTTTCGAGATGAAGTCTTGCTCTGTCACCTAGTCTGGAGTGCAGTAGCATGATCTTGATTCACTGCAACCTCCGCCTCCCAGGTTCAAGCGATTCTCCTGCCTCAGCCTCCTGAGTAGCTGGGACTACAGGTTCATGCCACCAGGCCTGGCTAATTTTTTGTATTTTTAGTAGAGACAGGGTTTCACCATATTGGCCAGGCTGGTCTCAAACTCCTGGTCTCAGGTGATCCACCCGCCTCGGCCTCCCAAACTGCTGGGATTACAGGCGTGAGCCACTGCATCCGACCTTCATTAAATTTAATGTATTATTTAAACTAGGATTTTTTTATCAGCTTTATTGAAGTATAATTTACATAAAAGAAAACCCAACCATTTAAAATGCACGGTTCCTGACAAAGTACAGCCTGATAAACTCATATGGCCATGGAAGCACCACCGCAATTAAACTACAGAACATTCCATGTCCCCAGAGTTTCCCTTGTGCTTCCCTGTAGCCATTCTCTTCCCACACCCCAGCGCCAGGTGACCACTCATCTCTCCTCCATCACTAGAATTTCAGAAAAATGGAATCATACAGTATGCAGTCTTTTGTGTCTGGCTTCTTCTATTTAGCCATTTGCTTCTGAGATTCACCCACATTACATGTATCAACAAGGAGAATCTTTTTAACCCCAGAAATACTCTGGCTGGAAAGTAGAAAACTATTCAGCAAAAGCTACTGTAGAAAAACACTCCAAGATGATTAAGAACTGTATTCCACCCCTCTCAAATAAGACCCTTGAACAACAAGTGATTCCTATTTTAGGACAGCAAGGAGATTGCCAAGTGATGGATACAATGAATTTATTTTTTAAATATCTTGCTAGCTAAAGACCTTTAAAGATATTTGGAGAGAGATGACATCAGAAAAAGTGGCAAAGACCTAAAAATTCACTCCTCCATAAGAGGAAAAAATAACTGAATGAAATGGTTAGAATCAAGTTGCTCATAACTCTGGAAATTAACCAAAGGCCTGCAGCAACCTTGGAAGCATTTCTTCAAGATGAAGAGCTGAATCTCGGTAAGAACAGTAGGATTTGGGGCATTTTGGCTTGCCCTAGTCCCATCCTCCATTCCTCATCTCTACAGTACCCTTGAAAAATAAAAGCTCACATGCCTGGTGCAGCCTGGAAGCCACTTGAGGGAAGGGAACAAAGCTGGATCTTTTCCAAAGTCCCATTCCCAAATAATTCTCATGATGTGACCATTCTGGTGATTCCCTAGAAGACCATACTTACAAACCTAGTTATATTTGACCTGACCCTGAGCTCACCCAGTGTGAACAGTCTTTTCCCTGGGGGTGACTGTCAAATACATTTGTAGGCAAGTGTTTTCACTTTGCAGCTGCCTAATCAGTAGATAATAGTTGGGGCAAACAATATATTAATCTAAACACTTAAAAAAAATCCTGGGGAATAAGATGCCCATAGCACTTTTGAAACGCCCCAATATATCTCTGGGAATACAGAGTGCCACATGCATGCATAGCGCTGTGCATATGCCCAGGAAAGCCCTGAGAAGGCTCTAAGCTCTCAGATGACAACTGCCTTGCAGAATGTGGAAGGTGTGCCCCAAGAGTCACACAGACCCCCTTGTCAAAGACTGGGAGATGTACTGGCTCCAGGCATTTAAAGAAATCTCTGTCCAATAACTAGGTAACTCCTAAACTAACTTGGTAGACAATTCAGTAGCCACACATGACAAAGAATAGGCTTTACAGAATTCATTCAGAAAAGTCATCAACAATAAACTATAGTGGACAAGAAGAATTTGCTTTCTAGAGGCACCACATTATATTAGTGAAAATGCCCAGTTTTCAACAAAAAAAAAAAAAGAGAAATATGAAGATACAAGAAAGCATGGCCCATATTCAGGCAAAAAAAAAAAAAAAAGCAATCAATGTAAGTGATCCCTGGCCTGGCACAGTGGCTCATGCCTATAATCCCAGCACTTTGGGAGGCTGAAGTGGGGAGATCACTCTTGAGGTCAGGAGTTTGAGACCTGTCTGGCTGACATGGTGAAACTCCGTCTCTACCAAAAATACAAAAATTAGCTGGGCATGGTGGCACATGCCTGTAATTCCAGCTACTCAGGAGGCTGAGGCACGAGAACTGTTTGAACTCTGCCAGGAGGCAAGGCTGCAGTGAGCTGAGATCATGGCACTGCACTCCAGCCTGGGCAGCAGATTAAGACTCCATCTCAAAAAAAAAAAAATATATATATATATCTAGCTCACATATACATCTCATACACACACATATATATACACACATACACACACACACATATATGACCCCTGAGAAAGGCATGGTGGACTTAGAAGACAAAGACTTTAAATCAGTTATTTAAACGTATTAAAAGAACTAAAGCAAACTGTCTAAAGAACTAAAGAAAAAGATGACAATGATATCTCACCAAACAGAAAATATTAATGAAGAGATAGAAATTATAAGAACCAAATAGGGCTGGGCATGGTTGCTCATACCTGTAATCCCAGCAATTTGGGAGACTGAGGCAGGAGGACTGCTTGAGGCCAGGAGTTTGAGACCAGCCTGGGCAACATAGCAAGATACTATCATTAACAAAAAAAATACACAAAAATTAGCCAGGTGTGGTAGCACTCACCTGTAATCTCAGCTACTCAGGAGGCTGAGGCAGGAGGGAGAATCCCCTGGGCCCAAAAGTTCAAAGCTGCAGTGAGCTATGATCATACCACTGCACTCTAGCCTGAGAGACAGAACAAGACTCTGTCTGAAAAAAAAAATAACCAAATAGAAATTATAGATTGAAAAGTACGATAACTCAAATAAAAAACTCTCTATAGGGGTTAAAGAGCAGATTTGAGTAGACCAAAGAAAGAGTCATCAGTTAACCTAAAGATAGGTTAATTGAGGTTATCCAGCCTGAGCAGCAGAATAAACAATGAAGAAAAATGAACAGATCCTAAGAAGTGTGTGAGCCATCATAAAGTGTACCAAAGTGCATGCAATGGAGTATATCAACAGGAGAGGAGAGAAAGTGAAAAGGGCAGAAAATACCTTTGAAGAAACTATGGCCAAAGACTTCCCAAATTTGATGAAAGACAACAATCTACACATCCAAGCTGAATGAAATCTGAGTAGAATAAACTCAAAGAGATCCATGCCTAGACATATCATAAACAAACTGTCAAAAGCCAAGGCCAAAGAGAGAAGCTTGAAGGCAAAAGATCAGTGACTTACCACATACAAGGGGTCCAAATAAGATTAACAGCTAGTTTCTCATTAGAAAACATGCAGGACAGGAGGCAGAGCAAATGGCAAGAAAAAAAAAAGTGTAAACCAAGAATTTCATATCCAGCAAAACTATCCCTCGAAAATGAAGAAAAAATCAAGACATTACCAGATAAGCCAATGCTGAGATAATTTGTCTCTATGGAATCTGCCCTAAAACAAATAGTAAAGGAAGTCTTTTAGGCTGAAATTAAACACACACACACACACACACACACCCAGGTGCACGAGCGTGTGCAAAACTAGATAGACAGTAAATTAAACTCACATAGACATAAAAAGCATGATTAAAGATAACTACATGGATGCTATGGTTTGGATGTGGTTTGTCCCAGTCAAAACTCAGGTTGAAATTTAATTGCCAATGCAACAGTGTTTGGAGGTGGTGTCTTTAAGAAATGATTAACTTAAGTTGGATTAATGTCTTTCTCACAAGACTGGGTTAGTTCTCTGCAGAAAGGATTAGTTTTGATAAGAGTTAATTGTTATAAAATGAGGTTGCCTCTCACGTTTTTCCCTTTTTGCCTTTCCCTTTATCTGCCATGTTTGGAGGAAGCACAAGGCCCTCACCAGAAGCAGGAGATGCGATTGTCCAATCTTGAACATCCCAGCCTGCAGAACCATGAGCTAAATAAACCTATTTTTTTAAATAAATTACCCAATCTCAGATATTCTGTTATGGCAACATACAACAAAAGGTAAGACATACAGAAAACAAATAGCATACTGGGAGACATAATAATTCCTCATCAGCAATTACATTAAAAAATTAAACTCTCCAATTAAAAGGCAGAAATTTCAGAATGGATTTTAAAAACATGATCCAATTACACACTGTCTATAAGAGATTCACTAGAGTTTGTCAGTAAAAAGTAGAAAATAATATACTGTGCAAATGCTAACCAAAAGAAGTTTGAGTAACTATCCTAGTATTAGACAAAATCATCTTTAAGACAAAAATTGTTACTAGAAACAAATAAGGACATTTTATAATGATAAAGGCTTAATCATTCAAGAATACAGAACAATTATAGACATATTTGTACATAACAATTGTGCCAGAGTAGCAAAGAATTAGCAAAGAACAACATTCTGAACAGCTGAGCTGGTAGCTCTATACTGAAAAATGAGAAATGTCATTTGCCTAAATTATTGACAACCGGAAGACTGCAACCGAGATCAAGTGCACCCTAGAAAGCCACAGGTTTTCTATCCTGGCTGCATATTGAAATGATCCACAGAGTCTAAAACTATAGATACCCCGGCCCTATGCCAAGAAATCCTGATATAGTGAGTCTGAAGTAACATTTCTTAAAGTGCCCCAGGTGTTCTGAAGTGCAGGCAGGATAAGGAGACACGGGCCTAGAGTGTGAGAGCATGGGCTCTGAAACATACAGCCTGGGTTTCAACCTGAGCTCTGCCTCTTACTCGCTCCAAAAAACCTTGAACATGACTGAACCTTGCTGTACCCACATCATGGAAGAGTGTCTGGAACACATCATAGAAGACACTAAGAACAGATTTAAAAAAAAAACTATCCCAGTAATGTGAAAATACATATTCTTTATTCATGTCGCTAGTTTTCAGCATTTAGAAAGGCACTTATAAATGTTAGCCATTACTGTCGTTGTCATCATCATCATCATCATCATCTGTCATCATCATCATTTGCCCAGGACAGGCACAACTTGAGGTACCTCTGAACCCTCACAATGGACACTGAAGTTGGGGAAGAAAGAGACAAATGGCAGCTTTACCTGGTGGAAAATAAGCTCAGCTCTTCCCTCTTGAGCCTGCTTCATCCCCCAGGAAGACTAAAGTGGATCTTGCCAGTCAGCACAACAGAGCTCCCACTTTCAAAGATGGCCTTCACATTCTGGACCACGCATACTAGGGTGGAGTTTAGGAAAGGTAAACTGTGCCACCCTCCCATACCACCACACCCCCGCAAACACACACACACACACACACACACACACACACACACGAAACCAACTAATCCAACAACACCAACTTTCTACCTTCATTAACATAGTCCTTCTTTTGTAAATATAAATAGGACAATGAAAGATGGCCTGATATTGAGTGGGAAAAAAATAGCATAAATAATGACCTAGATGATTAAAGAGACCAGTTAACCTGTGGGGGGAGGTGAGAATATCTGATAAACAGAATTCTAATTAATATACTTGAAGGAGATTGCACCCATTAAATGAGTGTTTCATAAAATGTGAACATATTGCTATGAAAAAAAGCAATTAGAGAAAAACACAGTTCTTAGAAAATAACATAACTGTCTGTCAAAATAAAAAATTCAACAGAATGATCAAACAGTAGAATGGATACAGCTGAAATCCAAAGTAGTTATCTAGAAAATAAAATAGAAGTGCCCCAGAAAGTAAAGAAAAAGAGAAAGAAAACATTAGAAAATGTTAAGAATCCCATAGGATCAATTTAGAAGGTAGAGCATCTATCCACTAGGAATTCAAGTAAGAGAAGGCAAAAATAAATAAATAGATAGATAGATAGATAGATAGATAGATAGATAGATAGATAAAGAGATACAATCAAAGAATTAATGGAAGAAATTTCCCCAACAATTTTTCTTGAACTATCCAATAGACGAATAACTAGAACTAGTTTAATAATTCACTATGGTCTGTGATAAACAAGTATGAGATCAATACACATAATTTTTCCAGAAATTATGGCAGAAAATACAGTTGGTTCTTGAACAACACAGGTTTGGACTGCATAGGTCCACTTACACATGGATCTTCTTCTACCTCTGCCACCCCTGAGACAGCAAGACCAACCCCTCCTCTTCCTCCTCCTCCTCAGCCTACTCAACTGATGACGATGAGGACGAAGGCCTTTATGATGGTCCACTTCCACTTAATTAATAGTAAATACATTTTCTATTTCTTAGGACTTTTTGAAATGATATTTTCTTTTCTCTAGCTTACTTTATTGTAAGAATACAGCATATAATACATCTAACATACAAAATATGTGTTAGTTGACTATGTGATCAGTAAGGCTTCCAGTCGGCAGTTGCTTACTTGTAGTTAAGTTTTTGAGGAGTCACACATTATATGCAAATTTTCAACTACATGAGGGGTCAGTGCCCCTAACTGCCATGTTGTTCAAGGGTTAACTCTATATCCCCATCTCTAAATATTATAGATATTATTTTCCAGGAATTAATCTATAAAATCAATGCAATCACAAAATCAAATCATGGCCACTGTGTAACTTTACAAACTCATTCTAAATTTATTGAAGAATGCACAGAAGAGCAAATAATATGTGAAAATAAGTCATTTGACTTATTATAAAGCTGGACTAGTTAAAACAATGTAGTGTTGTCTTAGAAATGAACTGATAGATTCATTACACAAAATAAAGATTAACAAACAGACCCATATCTAGCAGTGAGGTGGTGGAAAACATTTCAAATGGCAGGAGAAATACTGAATCGTTCAAAAAAAATAATATTGGGAAAATGGTCATCCGTTAGGAAAAGATAAAGTTAGAGTCTTCATACCATATGTAAAAATAAGCTTTGATTCAATTAAACATAAAAAGAAAAATTAAACATTTTAGAAATAAACAGGTGAATAATTTCAGAATTATGGTCCAAGAGAGATCTTTTACAGTGTATATTTTAAAAAGACACTTTGTTAAAAATTAAAAGACAAACAAACTGACAAGACAAACTGGGATAAAATATTAGTCACTTAAAACAGAAAAGTATTATGATCTTAAGAAAAATAAAAAGAAAAAATAAAAATAAAAATAAGGAAATGAGGAGAGGTCCCCTCCAAGGAGGGACAGTGACAGTGAAGGAGAGGAGTGATTTGAAAGACTAGAAGGTAAGAAAATGACATATTAATAATTTGGTTCAATATATTGAATCAGGTCGGGGTGAGGAAGGAACCAAGGGAACCTGAGTTTAGGTTTTAGAATAAGGCAACTGAAGGAAAGGGAGAAACATTCCTAATGAGATAGGGGAGCAAAAAGAAATTAGTTTGGGTTTGGAGTAGATTGAGTTGGGGTCCTTGTAGGATAAATGCTAACATGGAGGCTCCTCCAGTTTAGTCTCACTAGGCAGATTCATTTGAGTTAACAAAAAACTAAACTATAGACCTCATGTGAAAAATTATAAGATTGTGTTGTGTTTCTGTTTTGCTTTCTTTTCATTCTCTTTATTATTTTTTTATTTTGCTTTCTTTTATTTTTATTTTTATTGTCTCCTACTTGAGTTGCTTTATTGAATCTTCTTTTGTAGACAAATAAGAATCATATAATTGTTTGGATTTAAATGGTTATTTTCAAATTGCTTAAGGGTATTCGAAAACAACTTCTTTCCTTGCAATTTTTAAAATGTCCCTTTCTAATTGCTTACATGTTAATACAGTCACACAACAAAATAATATGCAACTGTTTAAAACAGTTTGTACTAAGAAATATTAGTGAATGGAGCAACAGTCATGAAATACTCCTAAGCAGAAAAAAAAAGGCAGGTTACAAAATAGGTGCACTATGAATCTAATTTTCATAAAAATATGTACGCATCTGTGTATGCATGGGGAAAAATGGAAGGCAAAACAGCAAAATATAATTGTCTATCTCTAAGTGTTGGGATCTGGGATGATTTTTAAAAATTGTCTTGTGTTTTTATGCATTTGCTAAATTCAAAACAATGAATATTTAATATACTAGAGTTTAAAAATTAAAAAAAAGAAATCTCACACATCAATGTAACACAGTCTCACAGAAAAAATATGTACAAGCAATTCATGGAAGAAATTCAAATAGGTAATGGAATCTTATTCTTTGTTTCGTTTCGGTCCCATCTATTCTTTGTTTCCTTTTTCCTGTTTTCTGCCTTCTTTTGCATTAATTGGATATTTTTTATTATTCCATTCCATTTCCTTTGTTGGTTTCTTAGCCAACTCTTTGGGGTTTTTGGTTTTATTTTGTGGTTGCTTTAAGCTTTACAGTATACAACTTTAATTTATCATAGTTTACCTTCAGGTGACATTAGACTTCATCAAGTATAGTCTAAGAATCTTACATTGTATAGTTCCATCCGCCCTCCTTTACAGTATTTTCACACAATTACTTATTCAAATGTTATAAACCCCACAATACATTGGTGCATTTTTTTTTCCTATTTTTGGTTCTTTGCATGCATTCAGCTTCTTGAATCTGTGGGTTTCTAGTTTTTATTCCATTTTGAAAAAAAATTACTACTATTTCTTCAAGTATTTTTTCTGTTTGCCCTCACTCCTTATTCCACATATATTAGTGTTTCTGGAAATTATTCCACAAAGCTCTGTGATTTTTTTCCATATTTTTGTTGAAAAAATGTTTTTTCTCTGTGTTCTTCATTTTGGAGAATGTATATTGCATTGCAATGCCTGTAAGTCCACTAATCTTTTTTCTTGTCTCAAATCTGCCATTAATCTCATCCAGTGAATTTTTTTCTCTCTTACATTGTAGTTTTCATCAGTAGAAGTTCAACTGGGTTTTTTTTATACCTCCATGTGTCTACTTAACTTTTGGAACATACAATTTTAATAACTGTAATCTTTGATTAGATGATAGACATTAGGAATGTTATCTAGTTGGTGCTGGATACTTTTGTATTCCTATGAACGTTCTCAAACTTTGCTCTGGGACACAGGTAAATTACTTGGAAACTATCTGATTCCTTTGGATCTTGCTTTTAATATCTGTTAGGCAGAACTGGAACAGCATTTAGCTCAAGGCTAGTTATTCTCCACTACTGAGGTAAAACTCTTCTGCATGCTGTATACAATGCCCAGGTGAATCATGAGGTTTCCAATCTGGATGGTGGGAAAACCCTAATTTTGTGACTGGCACTTTTGTCTCTAGTCCTCTCAGATAGTTCTTTCATGGCCTCAGTTTCTCTACCTACATGCAAGAGCTGATCAGTAGCAGCTGAATATTCACAGGGCTTCCTCTCCAAATCTCCAGAACCCTCTACTTGAGTAAGTCTTTCCTCTCTGGCACTTTGTTCTGCAAATTCTAGCCACCTTGGACTCCCAGGCTCAGTATAGCCTCCTTAACTCAGCAGGACTGCCAGGCTCTTCCCAGGTTCCTGTGCTGTGGCCTAGAAACCTTCTCACAACAGGAGGCTGCAGCAATCCATCCCCAGAGGATCCAGAGGCACACCTTTCTCTACAGTTATGAGAAATAAATACGCGAGAGGAACCTCAGCATCCCTGAACTCTTCCTGGAGGCCACAAATTACAGTTGGAATTTCTGTGCTGCCATCTAACTAGGGTCCCTAAATGCAATGAAGATGATGAGACCCCAGGGTTGCAGGGGCCAGGTGGCAGCTCTTAATTGCCAAAGGCATGGTGGATGTGGTTACTGTGAAGCACAGAGAGCCAAAGCAGCCATCAGAGTAGACTGGCTCACCGAGATCTTTGGTGTTGGCTCTGAAAAGCCCTGTTTCTCTGATTGAGCCGTGATGGATACACGTTTCTGTCTGGGTTGATAAAGCTTAGCAATAAAAATAAACCACCATCTGAGTAAGGCAAAAAGCCAGATCCCTCAAACAATGTAATATAAAATGCAAACAATACTAAACACATTATTGGATCTATATGGTACTCATATTCCCATAGATTAGTGCTTCTTAAAGTAGATTTACTTTGCTTTAAAAAAAAAAACTGTCCTAAACTGTAACTAATTTGTTATTGGTAAAAATAAATTCTAAAAAATGTTTTCAACTCCATGGTTATTAGTTTCTCAACAGTATTAGTTATTATGAATAATCTAATATCCAGTTCAGTGCTACTGTACTCAAGGTTTTAAAACTTATACCGCCTGTGATTGTGGGAGACTGTTTCCATTATTCATACATAAGCCATCACAAGATGGTTCACTGAATCTTTCAAAAAATCATCTAATCAGAGCTATATAATCTGATTTCTAATTGGCATCCAGCATAATATAGAACCCGTTATAGTTTAATGTAAGGAAGACAATGATCTCAATCATAGAAGACACTAAGAACAGATTTAAAAAAAAAACTATCCCAGTAATGTGAAAATACATATTCTTTATTCATGTCGCTAGTTTTCAGCATTTAGAAAGGCACTTATAAAACACTATGGTAAACACACACACACACACACACACACACACACACACAGCATTTCCCTTCTTCCCCTCCGACATTGCATTCGCCAGCCTACAAAGGGAGGCCTCCCTCACTGAGTGCTCACAGTGAGCTGCTGCTCCCCTCTCTTTGCCCTCCCGCACATCAGTCACTCCGGCAGGGACTGTACAGCTCTCCTTCATCTCGCTCTGTGTGTCTGTAAGCGCAGAATGATGAAAAGAAGGAGCTGCAGCAGGGCTCCGGATGGCCTTGTGCTTGGGAGCCCTGCAGAGGAAAGCTGCTGCCAGGAGAGCAATGGCAGCACCAAAACGCTCCAGCAGCAGGGGCCACTCATGCCTGTACTCAGCCAGCCAGGCCTGCAGGGCGAATGGAGTGGCTGCAAAGACCTTGGAGCTGTGGGCCCAAAACTGCTTCTTCTCACTATCCTGAGGGATACGCCCCTTTCAGAGAGGGCAACTGACTGTGTGGTGTTTATGGAAGGAGTTGGGGGGAGGGCAGGCCAGTGTGCCCCCCTGGGAATGAACTAGAAAACTCACTGCTGCATCTTTAGTTGACACCTCCAGGAAGAAAAAAAAACAAATCATTAGCACAGACAATAAAAGCAGGAGCTTTTATTTTAAAAATCATTGAAATCAAGACTTCAAGTCATGCTAGTGCTAAGTCCCAGGGCAGGGTACTTTGCTTTCTAGGTCTTCCTTTCCTTGCATAAGGTCTCACACGTCATCTGGAAAACCTCAGTTCCATTTTGTGGTCCCTGGGAAACCATGAAGGGCTTAACGAAGGGGAGTGACACAGGCTGGCAGACACTTTACATACCACCCACGGCATCTGTGTGTGTGTGGAGAACGGATTGGAGAAGAGCCAGCTTTTTGGCACACAGATCTGTTAGGAGGCTACTATATGAGATGCCAGGCAAGGACCTGCCCTAGAATGGTGGCTCAAGGCAGAGAGAAGACAGGGGCAGCTGCATACAAATAAAATGAGTCACGGCCAGGCGCAGTGGCTTACACCTGTAATTCCAGCACTTTGGGAGGCCAAGGTGGGCGGATCACGAGATCAGGAGTTTGAGACCAGCCTGACCAACATGGAGAAACCCTGTCTCTACTGAAAATACAAAAATTAGCTGGGCGTGGTGCGCACACCTTTAATCCCAGCTACTCAGGCAGCTGAGGCAAGAGAATCGCTTGAACCCGGGTGGCAGAGGTTGCAGTGAGCCAAGATCGTACCATTGCCCTCCAGCCTGGGCAACAGAGTGAGACTCTGTCTCAAAAATAATAATAATAATAATAATAATAATAATAATAATAATAATAATAATAATAAAAAAATGAGCCACAAGGAGAGAGCTTGTGAATAAGTATGATGGGTGAGGAAGGAGAAGGATGTCTGAGTGTCTCCCCAGTTTCTAGAATGGGTAGGCGGTGGTGTCATCAACTGAGACAGAAAATACAAAGGGACAAGAAGATGAGGTTGAAGGAATGTAAGTCATGTGATACCTAATTAGAGAAGAAAGATAATGTCCACACAGACTACAGTTGGCTGGAACAAAGGAGGATTTGGGAGTCAGAGAGGTTTGGGTTCAAGTCCTAGCTCATTACTTAAGGTGTGGAAGCCTTGGCCTCGCTTTAAAAACCTTTTTTAAAAAAACTCTTTTGAACTTTAAAAACTCTTAAAAAAAAAAAAGAGTAGGAAAACCTACTCTTGCCAGGACTGTTGTGAGGATAAGGACATACAGGTCCCACTCGATGAATGGTTACCATCATTGTTTACAGTATTTTCTTTGGTATTATTCTGGATAGAACATCTTTGGTCACATTTCCAAAACTCTGCGGTGATGGTTCCTGATGGTTCCTTAGTCAACTCGGCTAGACCACAGTACCCAGATATGTGGTCAAACACTAGTTTGGATGTTGCTGTGAAAGTATTTTTGTAGATGAGATTAAGTTTTAAGTAGACCTTGAACAAAGCAGATTACCCTCCATAATGTAGTGGGCTGCAACCAGTCAGTGGAAAGAAGAGAAAATGACGGACCTGCTACAGGGAGGAGGGAATTCCACCTGCTGCCTCCCTTCAGGCTAAAGCTGCAGCCTCAGCTCTTCCCTCCATCTCCAGCCTGCGGGCCAGCACTGCAGACTTTCGAATTGCCCGTTCCCACAACTGCGTGAGCCAATTCTTTAAAATAAATAAATCTGTCTATATACATATACATACATATATAAAATTTATAACCTAGATATATATATACATCTGTGTATGCGTGTGTATATCTATCTATATCTGCCTCTATATCTGTATATCTCCCATTGGTTATGTTTTTCTAAAGCACCCTAATAGAACTTTATATTGTAGATTTTCCTTGCATCTATTGTGAATGCCTTTACTCCTCATAAAGCCAAAGCCGAGGCTATCTCAATGGTCATGATTCAGAGAGTGAGTTTTTGCTAATGAACCAAAAGATTGCACTGTTGTGGTCAACACAGCAGAAGAACATTCTCATGGTACAGATAAAAAACTACCCAGCAAAATCCATACACTTCCGTCTGCAGTGCAGAACTGCCTCTGGGAAGTGCCTGTCCAGAGAGGCAGTGCCTGCCACAGGTTCCTAGATGGGCCTCATGACAGGCTCTCCTGAATGGCTTGAAAGGCAAGCAATGAATGTCAGTTTCAGGCCAAGAAAATTAAACTGCTAGGGTTCCTTTTCTGTTCTCTATTCCCTTTCACTGACTTGCCAGGTCCCTGAGCCCCTCTGTGAAGCCTGCCACAGGCCACGCCTGACCTGGACAGGGGCCAGGGTAGCCTTGCCCTGAACTGAGCCACTGATAGTCAGGAGGTTGCTCCAGCAATTAGTGTCACCCTAATGATACCCTAACCTCCCTACATAAGGCAAGGAAGTCAGTCAAGCCACATGAACCCCTTCTCCTCTGCCTGGGGCTTGGGAAGAAATTAGTCCATGGAAGGTCAGTGCTGACCACCTCCCAGAGAGCAGACTGGCCCTGCTCCAACTATGCGGCAGGGCTGGGGAGCGAGCACTCTGAACATTCTACTCCTGTAGGTCCAGCTGCTGCTACATCCCCCCACTGGGATGAGTCCTGAGACCCCAGCCTGCTTCCCTGGCTTCCCTGGGACACTCCTCAGCCACCACCATAAGGGGTCCTAACTCCTCGTCAGCTATAAGCTTATGCATCCTGCATGGTAAAATGCCCAGCCCTGTGAGATTCCTGATGCTGAGGCCAGGGCTGGGGGTGGCGCGCGGGGGTGATTGGGTGATGGACGTCATTTCTCTCTTGTCTTTTCATTCACACACCCACTCTGCGGAAGGCGGCTTTTCCTTTGTTTAGAGAGCTTAATCTGTCTGCACCATGAAGGTGGGTGTGGAGTGAGGAGGCAGCTGTCCCCATGTCACTGAAGGCAGCGCAGTCACCACACTGCATACCCCGAGGATGTCAACCCCACAGTCAGCCTATTCACTGCATTTCCCCTTGGCACCAAGAGCCAGCTTCAAAATAATCCAGCAAGGGGCTGGGGGGAGGTGGGGGGTGGGGAGATAGTGACAAAACAAGATGGGCCAGATGTTGGCATCTGTTGAAGCCAGAAGAGGAGTACACAGGGGTTCATGACAGCAGTCTGTTTACTTTTACGTATGTTTGAAAAGTTCTAAATAAAAATATTTTTCTAAAAGGAAATTCCTTATATGAGCCGAGATACAGCAGAAGAGGAGCCTCACCTGACTCTAAGGCCACTCCTGTCTTCCCTGATACCATTTCAGGGCGTCATGGTTACTCTCATGAAGGAAGAGGTGTTTTTAATAGACAAATGTGGGTTATTTTTCTATTCCCATTAATATTTACTACATGTCATTATCTCCAAGTCTAATCACTTAAAGAGGAGATTTTAAATAATTGATTAATATAAAAGAAGAAAAATGCCACGCTGTCTTTTTCATTATCTATCAAAACCCAGAAAACCTCTTCCTCTAGTCCTGACACAGACACATACATATATTAATGCATACACTGAGAAGAACAGGCATACAAATCAATAGACACAAATCTGCTCAGGGCATTTTTCCGAGGGAAAAACCATTAACCTCTCTCCATCTCCCGCGTGGCCTGCTCCTCAGCACAATGCCACGGCAATTCAAGTAACTCTTTTTATTTTACTCACAGAATTTTAGGGTTCCCCCAAAAACACAAAAATCTAACATTTCTTGAACTCTGATAACATATATTTTGCTTGTGCGATCATACATATGCATGTATAGTGCATAAACAGGCTTTAATGTCTAGATGAAATGCATGCATCCACACTTTTTTTTTTTTTTTTTTGAGATGGATTCTCTCTCTGCACCAGGCTGGAGTGCAGTGGTGTGGCGCGATCTCGGCTCACTGCAACCTCTACCTCCCGGGTTCAAGCAATTCTCCTGCCTCAGTCTCCCCAGTAGCTGGGATTACAGACACCCGCCAACATTCCCCGGCTAATTTTTCTAATTTTAGTAGAGATGGGGTTTCACCATGTTGGCCAGGCTGGTCTCGAGCTCCTGACTCATTATCTGCCCGCCTCGGCACCCCAAAGTGCTGGGATTACAGGCGTGAACCTGCGCCAAGCCGCATCCACACTTTTAAAATGCCCTTGTTGGCCAGGCGCAGTGGCTCATGCCTGTAATCCCAGCACTTTGGGAGGCCAAGGTGGGTGGATCACGAGTTCAGGAGTTCCAGACCAGCCTGGCCAAGATGGTGAAACCCCATCTCTACTAAAAACACAAAAAAATTAGCCGGGCATGGTGGCAGGCACCTGTAATTCCAGCTATTCAGGAGGCTGAGGCAGAGAATCATTTGAACCTGGGAGGCAGAGGTTGCAGTGAGCCGAGATCATGCCATTGCACTCCAGGCTAGGTGACAGAGCGAGACTCTGTCTCAAAAAAAAAAAAAAAAAAAAAAAAAGCCCTTGGTTCACGCTCGGTCCTTACAGGAGGACAGCAAAACAAAACAAACACAAAGAGGATGCCCTCGGAGCATCTCAGCAAGACACTGAGGAGCGCTCTCAGAAGCACCTCCCATGAGAAACACAGTGCTTCTCACAAGCCCATCAGCATTCAGCAGTGAGATTTTATCAAGCTCTGCTTCCCGCTGCCTGAAAAGAAGTTGGAATTCTCTTCGCCACTGCCTCCAACCTGCTCACGCATCTGAAGGTGGAACCCTGCTCCAAGGCCACCTGGAGACGCAGGTGCCACTTACCACAAGGGAGAGAGGCCTCTTCCAGGAGACGACACCTATGAGTCCCGACAGCAGCACCTGGAAGGACAAAAGATACAGGAAGGTGAGATGCTTCCGAAACCTTGCATGGGCAATCAAAACACTGTGAACCGTTTCAACCCGGAGAAGGACGTGTGGAACACAGCACACACACAGTGGCGGGGCTACCATGAGCTGCATTTTCACAGCTTGCACCCACTCTGAGAGGCACATTGGTCTCTCAGGGCACCAGGGTGCTATGGAGGGGTCACTTTGTGCACTGCACTAGGTGGCCCGAGAGTGACAGGCTTTCTGAAACACCCCACCCTGGTCCTCGATGTGATTTGGCTGTGCTAGGCACACGCTTGTATTCCTAGCTACTCGGGAGGCTGAGGCACGAGAATCACTTGAACCTGGGAGGCAGAGGTTGCAGTGAGCCAAGATCACACCACTGCACTCCAGCCTGGGAGGCAGAGCGAGACTCCATCTCAAAAAAAAAAAAAAAATCACAGAGAACACTATTTGGGGAAAAGGCAAATGCAACCCCACCCACGGGCCACCTGGCCACCTGCCATGGTTGCATGGACCCTGGGCATGGCAGACCCTGCAGGCTCCTTCTGCCCTATACACACTTGGCTCCCCTGATGCACACCCTTCTCTCCCCTCCAGCCCCTGCGAGCCCCTCCCCTTCACTCATCACAGCTTCCCACCTCACCCGTACATAGGCAGTGTCTTCTGATGAGGCTCCAGAACTTTCTAGGCCCTGACTCCAAGCAGCCCACTCCTTTCCCAGGCCAAGTCCTGCCCTTGACCTTGCCTGGGGTCTCACCAGAAGTCATCCCCTCTCTCCTGCCTCCTCCCTACTGTCCTGATCACATGAATACACTGTGACTTCTGTCCCTTAGAAGAACCACTGCTTAGCCCTGTGTCCAGCTCCTGGCCTGCCTGTCTCCTAGGCGGCCTCCTGAGGCCAGGCAACCTGAGGATGACACTGGCTCTGATCCCCACATTCCTGATTTCCTGGTGTCCAGGAAGGGCCAATGGATCATGAAGACACAGTCACTTCCCACCCACTACCATCTATCTGGCTTCAGCCCCACAACTCCAAGGAAACTTCTCCCAAGGTTCCCCAGCAGTCACCAAGTGCGACAGACAAAGCTCGGTCCCCATCACCCGGCTGAGGGCTGAGGCTCCCTCCCATCTGGGCTCCTGTGGCTTCTCACTCCCCTGCGGTTCTTCCCACTTCCCAGGGGCCGCTCTCCTCCACAGCCTCCCTCCTGGCCTCCTCCCTCTCCCCAACCTCTTCCTGGTTTCCCAACACCTGTCTCCTGAGCCCTTTGTCTCCTCTCCCCAGGGCTCTGTGGTGGCTGTCCTGAGGCTCCTCGAGTACCATCCACTGGTATCTGCACAGGTGATTCTCAGCCCAGGGCTTTGCCATGGCCACGGCATCACACCGTCCACAGGCTCTGCTCCTGGCATCTGTCCAACCCAACATGTCCAAAAATGCAGCTGCAGCCTCCACCTCAGAAGCCCACACTTCCTCTTGCAACCTCTGCTCTCCACAAGAGTACCTCTTCTTCCCCGTCACTCAAGCCGAAATCCTGGAGATCTTTCCCTCTCCCTTACCCCCATGTCCAACCAGGGAGGAACAGGAGGCTAAGGCTCACTCAACAGGGCAGCATGTGAGAAGGCCGAATTAAAAGGAAGGTGTTTGCAGACCAGGTCTCCTGTGAAGACAAATTGCTCACGCTTGCCACTGTGGGCACAAGCCAGGCATCCGGGCACTGGCTGGAAGGGCTTGGCTGCATGTCCCCTGAGACTCCAAAAGCACTGGCCAGACCCGGGAGGAGGGCATGATGCTGACAAACTCACAAGGTACCCTTGGTCACAGACTGCAGTTCACCCTCAACCACCTCCACAGGGGGCAGAACCAGGTCTCAGACACAGCAGCCACTATCACATCCTGCACCATGCTAGTCTAGTATCAAAAACATCTGGCCACAAAACAACAAAACAACAACAAAAACATGAACCAAAGCACGCACACCAGGGCTCTGCTCCCAAGCCTCTCACACGTGTATTTTTTCTGCAACGCTCACAAGTCCTCCAAACACAGTTACCGGCGACAGACATTATTTACAGCCATTTCCCACCGCCCGGGTCCCCTCCCATGGCCATGCCACCCAGGCTCCTTGCCTCGCAGTCCAGTTCCAGCCCTAGGGAAATCCTTGACCAATGTCTCTCGTGTCTCTCAGGGGCTGTGTCTCACTAACTCTCCTTCCAAATGCCCCTGAAACCTCTCTCTTGCCTTCTGTACCCAACATTTGAACCCAGTGGGCACACCATGTTCCCATGTCATTTCACAGTCAGAGGACACCGGCCTTTCTTGGAAGGAGATGACCATTCCCGCCGGAGCTCTCACCATCATTTCATGTTTGACATTTCAGACCCTGACTTCACTCCTCCACACCCACTTTCTTCTTTTTGTGAATTCAAAATTTCTGACCATAATGCCATCATGTTTTGAGCTCATGGTATATAGTTCAGGGGCCACTCCGTCACTAAGCAGGATCCATTCTTCTGCTCAGCACCCTCCATTTCCCGGTTCATCTCTCTGCCCTCTGCCGGCACGCTCCTGTTTCACCTGCCCGATGACAGCCTTGTCCACTCGCTCTTGTCTCCACCTCCTCCCTCCCCACTGAAGCCATCCTGGATGCCTCCACCAAACAAACCGCATCTCCCTGGCCTGACAATTTAGACCACAAAGCTAGGTCCCTGATTTTCCAGCACTGGAGGCACCTCCCTTGGTGGCCCCACTCCTGTCCAGGCCACTCTGGGCACCTCCAGGGAGGCTGGCAAGGGAGGAAACTGCACAGCAGCCACTGTGTGACTCACCTACAAGCCACAGAGCTCTGTGGGCTGTCTTCCCTCCACACCCAACCTCCGAGACAGCCCCCATCTTCCAGCACTCCCTTCCTGTCCCCAGCCCTCCCGGCCCCAGCCTCAGCCCCCGACTCTTCTTATCCCTCAAGTTGAGGGCCACATTCCGGGGCTCTGGCTCTGACTCTGCCATCTGCCTAGGATGAAACTTCCAAAAAGTGTCTTCCATTTTTCCACACGCCCCAACACTGGCCTCACGCAGACTAAGCCTGGACAGATGGTGAGAAGAAACATCCCCTAGAAAATGGCGTCTTCTACTTCCCATGTCTAGCAGATGAAATCTTACCCGTTCTTCAACCATGGCCCCACCCTCCTCACTCACGAAGAGCCTAGGAATTCAAGAGCCCAGGGGGCCCATCAGATCCCCAAACTACCACCAGAGTCCTGCAGGCATCTTTAATAAACTCAGATTGAACGCCTTGACCTCTTCTCAGCTGAAGTGTATTAAACTATCAAAATTCTACAGTGACTAAGTCGCTTGTAGCAGGAATTTCACTGGAAGTACATAAAACTTCCAAATCGTAGCCACTACTCCACCTACTTCTAAGCCTGAAGGAAGTTAATATTGCTTTTATCTTATTAAGCTACAGGGAGAGTTCTTGACCTTCCCCATTCCCATAAGCAAAGCTATCATTCCACAAATCCCCTCACAGAATTTGACTTTCAACAAACACGGGTGACTTGCTCACTGAAGACAATGTGCATTTCCAAGTATCATTAATAACTACAACTAGGAATGGATCAAATTCTCCTACACAAAGCAAAAGAATAAAGCCATTAAACTTGGCGTGGCAGGCAGAATTCTAAAATGACCCCTGGTGACCCCTGGCCTTACAGAATGCTCTCCCCTGAGTAAGAATATGATGGGCTGTCACTCTTGTGGTCTTCCCCCAGGGACATGTTCAAATAACATGGCCCCAGCAACACTCTGGTTGCAGCCTTGTGAAACCTGGCCAGGTGACTCTTCTATGGGAGGGGGGCAAGGAAATGCTGGGTAGAGAAGGGTGGGGTGCCTGGCGAGGGCTCCACCCTCAGGCCTGTGCCCATGGACCTAAGTGAGAACGGGCAGTCCTGTTTTCATGCCCAAATGTTGCATCTTCCAAGACCACTCTGGCCTCCCATGCCCCCCATCCTGTGCCCATAAAAATCTGAGACCATAGTGGGCATGGACACAAGCAGCTGGATGTTGAAAGGAGGAGAAGGGCACACCAACAGACACCAGCAGACACTGGCAGGCCACTGACGGCGGGATGACACAGAATTTGGTCGAGGGCAGTCGGAGGAGAGTCCAGCCACTGGCCGGCCTGACTCCAGGGGAAGACACCTTCCCACTCCATCCCCGTTTTGCTCCCCATCCACTTCGCTGAGAGCTACCTCCACCACTCAATTAAACCTCGCACCCATCCTCCAAGCCCATGTGTGATCTGATTTTTCCTGTACACTAGGGCAAGAACCAGGATACAGAAAGCCCTCTGTCCTTGTGATAAGGCAGAGGGTCTAACTGAGCTGATTAACACAAGCTGCCTGCAGATGGCAAAACTGAAAGAGCACTCTGTAACACACACCCACTGAGGCTTTGGGACCTGCAAACACTCAACCCTAGACGATGCCGTGGAGATGGAGCCCCAAAACACTCCCCAAAACCTACCCATCTTCATGTTCCCCCTTGGAGTTTGAACAGCGGGGCACCGAAGAAGCGAACCACACCCTTGTCACACGCCCGGTGAGGCGGATAAGGGAACTCCTCCGGTTTCAACTCTACTAAGCAAGGTCCAGACTCCTAACCCAAGAAAACTATGAGGTATTAAGTGAGTGTTGTGTCAAGCTGCAAAGTTTATGGTCATTTGCTACACAGCAACAGAAAACAATTGTTAGGGACTAAATGTATGTGACCCCCCAATTGGAGATGTTGAATCCCTAACCCGCAATGTAATGGTATTTGGAGATGGGGCCTCTGGGAGGTGATTAGGATTAGACTGGGTCATGAGGATGACGCCTTCACAATGGGACTGGTAGCTCTACACGAGGAGAAAGCGAGCTCTCACGCTCTCCGCACACACACAATGAGGCAGACCATTCAGAGTGCAAGTCAGTTATTGGTGTATAAAAATGCTTGTGAATTTTGCACATTGATTTTGTATCCTGAGACTTTGCTGAAGTTGCTTATCAGCTTAAGGAGATTTTGGGCTGAGACCATGGGGTTTTCTAAATATACAATCATGTCATTTGCAAACAGGGACAATTTGACTTCCTCTTTTCCTAATTGAATACCCTTTATTTCTTTCTCCTGCCTGACTGCCCTGGCCAGAACTTCCAACACTATGTTGAATAGGAGTGGTGAGAGAGGGCATCCCTGTCTTGTGCCAGTTTTCAAAGGGAATGCTTCCAGTTTTTGCCCATTCAGTATGATATTGGCTGTGGGTTTGTCATAGATGGCTCTTATTATTTTGAGATACATCACATCAATACCTAATTTATTGAGAGTTTTTAGCATGAAGGGCTGTTGAATTTTGTCAAAGGCCTTTTCTGCATCTATTGAGATAATCATGTGGTTTTTGTCTTTGGTTCTGTTTATATGCTGGATTACATTTATTGATTTGCATATGTTGAATAACAGACAAAAAGAGAGCCAAATCATGAGTGAACTCCCATTCACAATTGATTCAAAGAGAATAAAATACCTAGGAATCCAACTTACAAGGGATGTGAAGGACCTCTTCAAGGACAACTACAAACCACTGCTCAACGAAATAAAAGAGGATACAAACAAATGGAAGAACATTCCATGCTCATGGATAGGAAGAATCAATATCGTGAAAATGGACATAATGCCGAAGGTAATTTATAGATTCAATGCCATCCCCATCAAGCTACCAATGACTTTCTTCACAGAATTGGAAAAAACTACTTTAAAGTTCATATGGAACCAAAAAAGAGCCTGCATTGCCAAGTCAATCCTAAGCCAAAAGAACAAAGCTGGAGGCATCACACTACCTGACTTCAAACTATACTACAAGGCTACAGTAACCAAAACAGCATGGTACTGGTACCAAAACAGAGATACAGACCAATGGAACAGAACAGAGCCCTCAGAAATAATACCACACATCTACAACCATCTGATCTTTGACAAACCTGACAAAAACAAGAAATGGGGAAAGGATTCCCTATTTAAAAATGGTGCTGGGAAAACTGGCTAGCCATACGTAGAAAGCTGAAACTGGATCCCTTCCTTATACCTTATACAAAAATTAATTCAAGATGGATTAAAGACTTATATGTTAGACCTAAAACCATAAAAACCCTAGAAGAAAACCTAGGCAATACCATTCAGGACATAGGCATCGGCAAGGACTTCATGTCTAAAACACCAAAAGCAATGGCAACAAAAGCCAAAATTGACAAATGGGATCTAATTAAACTAAAGAGCTTCTGCACAGCAAAAGAAACTACCATCAGAGTGAACAGGCAACCTACAGAATGGGAGAAAATTTTTGCAATCTACTCATCTGCCAAAGGGCTCATATCCAGAATCTACAAAGAACTCAAACAAATTTACAAGAAAAAAACAAACAACCCTATCAACAAGTGGGTGAAGGGTATGAACAGACACTTCTCAAAAGACATTTATGCAGCCAACAGACACATGAAAAAATGCTCATCATCACTGGCCATCAGAGAAATGCAAATCAAAACCACAATGAGATGCCATCTCACACCAGTTAGAATGGCCATAATTAAAAAGTCAGGAAACAACAGGTGCCGGAGAGGACGTAGAGAAATAGGAACACTTTTACACTGTTGTGGGACTGTAAACTAGTTCAACCATTGTGGAAGACAGTGTGGCAATTCCTCAGGGATCTAGAACTAGAAATACCATTTGACCCAGACATCCCATTACTGGGTATATACCCAAAGGATTATAAATCATGCTGCTATAAAGACACATGCACACACGTTTATTGCAGCACTATTCACAATAGCAAAGACTTGGAACTAACCCAAATGTCCATCAATGATAGACTGGATTAAGAAAATATGCCACATATACAACATGGAATACTATGTAGCCATAAAAAAGGATGAGTTCATGTCCTTTGTAGAGACATGGATGAAGCTGGAAACCATCATTCTCAGCAAACTATCGCAAGGACAAAAAACCAAACACTGCATGTTCTCACTCATAGGTGGGAATTGAACAATGAGAACACTTGGACACAGGAAGGGGAACATCACACACCGGGGCCTGTTGTGGGGTGGGGGGAGGGGGGAGGGAAAACATTAGGAGATATACCTAATGTAAATGACGAGTTAATGGATGCAGCACACCAACATGGCACATGTATACATATGTAACAAACCTGCACGTTGTGCACATGTACCCTAGAACTTAAAGTATAATTTAAAAAAACAATAATAATAATTAAAATATTCAGGAACTATGAAAAAAAAAAAAAGAATGCAAGTCAGGAAGGAGCCCTCACCAGAAACCAAGCTTGCTGACACCCTGATTTCAGACTTTCCAGCTTCACAAACTGCGAGAAAATAAATTTCTGTTAGGTCACCTAGTCTATGCTATTTCGTTATGGCAGCCTAAGTAGACTAAGACACTACGACATCCCAAGTGGGACACTGGATTGTTGTTCCAAAACATCTGCTTTCTCCCCAGACCTCTCCAGGAGGGGCAGCACAGGCTTCCCTCCCCACACCCCTCCCCAATCCTGGAAACACTGACACAGCTCCCAACACCAATGCTTGAGCGCTTGGAACTGACTGTGCATGCATTGCTTGCTGTTCATCAGTGAGCTTCTGTGGAGCCAAGTTGGAAAACTTTTCCCTAGAAAGGTATAGTTCTGCCAGTAACAGGAATGCACCCAGGATTTGGAAACACTGTGATGCTCGAGGGCCTCAGCTCACAGCACAGTAGAAATCCCAGGCCAAGCCCCTACCTTGCCGTGGGCATCAGGCTCAGCCACAGTGCTATGGTGGACACTCATGCTCAGGGCAAGTCCCTTCTCCAGCCACATGCCGCCTGACGCTGCTCCCTGTCATTGTGACTCCAGCCACCTGCCACTCTGGCCTCAATTCATTATTTGTTTATTTGTTTCTTCGGGAGTGGGACACTGGATCATTTTTTCAAAACATCTGCTTTCTCCCCAGACCTCTCCAGGAGGGGCAGCACAGACTTCACTCCCCCCACCCCTCCCTGATACCGGAAACACTGACACAGGTCCAAATACGAAGGCCAAATAGATTGGGAAAGGCATGATATTGCTCAGGGAGAGGAGGCTTAACCCTAATGACGGAGGGCCTGCAGAATGGCTTGAGGGAGGCTTTTCACGGCCCAGGTGCTGGTGTGCCTCCTCCCTGGAGAGGCCAGCTCTGGCCCACTGGAGACCAAGGGCGGTTGATGTAAAAGCAGCTCAGAGCCTCTGCTCTGAAACCATCGGATCTTGAACTGTTTTTGCTCAATTCCAGCTACCAGCAAGGATTATGTTGCACATTCTGACATGTCAGTAATCCTGTAGGTTGATTTTGCACCACTCTCATGAGAAAAAGGGTCATGAATCTAGTTAGCCATGAAATTACCACATCATGAAACCTTCATCCCGTTTAATTTACAGGTATCATTATTCAGAGTCCACAGTTCACAAAGAATATGGAGAAAACGAAGAGGGTTGGGGAAGAGTAACATAGAATTAAATAGCTGTGGAAAAAAAGCCAAATAGATTGGAAAAGGCATGATATTGCTCAAGGAGAGGAGGCCGAACCTTGCGAGCACCATGAGTTGTCACAAGGACGCCAACTCGCTCTTTTCTCCACTTCCCCACCCAGCCTAATAGAGGCAAGAGATAAAATCAGAACAGAGACAGAACTTCCTGCTGTTGAGGCTGATGACAAGGGATAACAGGCTGCCGGGAAATAATGGCATCCTTAGAGTCAAAGACCTGCCCATTTGATTGGTACCCTGCCTGGACACAGAGGTCTGGAATAAATTAGCTCTTTAAATCTTGTCCTCTAACACTGAAAAGTTCTTTTACTTCCTAAAATCAAGAATGTTCTTCAGATCATAAAGTCTGGTCCAAAGGCAACTGATAGTGAAGCAAGTCCTTCTAGAACGCAGTCTTGAAAGCCAAGTAAATTACTTTCATGAAACATATGGCAGATGGGTGCCCAATAGCTACAGAGATATCAATTTACCACTAAGAAGCCAGCATTCACTGTGTGTGGAAAGAATTGTTGCAAAAACAGAGCAAATAATATTCTGAGTCCACCAACCCCCCATCTTCCAAACCTCCTGGACTGCAGCTCTGTGCAATATTCCTCCTACAGCCTCCTGGAGCAGCTGATCTTCCTACTTCACCCTCCGTCAATTCTCCTTGCTTTGGGTGTGGCTTTCTTTCTCTGAGTCTTGCTGGGGCCACAGAAGGCTCACGAGGCATGCAGGCCTCTACCATCTGTCTCTACCTTTGAGGACACACTCATTGCTACCCCCACCCTGTCCATGCTTTCTGCCCCCTCTCCTTAGGGCAACTTCCAACTCACCATTCCCTCTCCCAGCCTTTCATCCCAGGCTGTGGTCCAAACATCCTCCACACCATTTCCCTTCAGGGGCTGCACCAACACATCACACTCATAATGTCCCTGAGAAAAGTTACCTTTCTTCTCAACCTACTGATAGAAAAAGAACTCTGCAGCTTTCATTATCTTCTCAAGCAGAAGCAAAACTATAAATTGATGACAAAGATCACCTCATGAAAGAGAAAAAACTCCTTAGTGTTGAAGTGTTTTAAAATATTCTAAATAACTCATGAGTCAAAAGATACTGAAAGGTGAAATACACCATGGTCTGTTCTGATGCAATGCATGCTTCTTTGATGCACATTCTCTCTTAAGTGCTTGGTAACAAACTCATTTGTCCAGGGCCTGCCCTGTAAGATGCTGCCTCCTCTTACGGGTATCTACTCTGACATTAGGGTAGCTGCTGGATTTTGTTACTTAGTGGGTTATTAGGTAGCACATATATTATTATAATACATTTAAAAATATTTTTAGTTTAAAAATTTCAAAATAATTTGTTTCCTTTGTAATAGTTTTTTTGGTTTTGTTTTTTGTTGCTGTTGTTGTTTTGAGACGGAGTCTGGCTCTATCGCCCAGGCTGGAGTGCAGTGGCACGAGCTCGGCTCACCGCAAGCTCCGCCTCCCGGGTTCACGCCATTCTCCTGCCTCAGCCTCCCAAGTAGCTGGGACTACAGGTGCCTGCCACCATGCCTGGCTAATTTTTTTTCCTATTTTTTAGTAGAGACAGGGTTTCACTGTGTTAGCCAGGATGGTCTCGATCTCCTGACCTCGTGATCTGCCCGCCTCAGCCTCCCAAAGTGTTGGAATTACAGGCGTGAGCCACTGTGCCCGGCCTTTTTTTGTATTTTTTAGTGGAGAAGGGGTTTCACCATGTTAGCCAGGATGGTCTCGATCTCCTGACCTTGTGATCCACCCGCCTCGGCCTCCCAAAGTGCAGGGATTACAGGCGTGAGCCACTGTGCCCGGCCTGTAATAGTTTTATTTCATGCTTTTAAAAACCTTATTCTGAGAAGGGATCCACAGGCTTCACTAGATTGTCATGACAAAAGTTATGACCCCCCCCACCCCCGACCCCGATTAAAGTTCCTTTAGAGCAGATTTTTTGGTGATAAACTCCCGTTTTTGGTTTATCTGTAAATAGCTTACTTCGTTCGCCTTGATGCTTGAAAAATAGTTACGCTGGAAACACCCTAGGTTGACAGTTGCATCTCTCAACAGTTTGAAACTATTATTCCACTGTTTTCTGACTGCCATTGTTGCAGCCAAGTCAGCTGTCCTCATTCTCTAAAGACTTTTGAGATCATCTCCTTGCCTTTAGTATTCTGAACTTTTTGCCTGGTATGTTAGGTGTGGATTTCTTTTTAATCTTCTTTGAGAGATACTGTGCTACTGAATCTGTGAATTTATATTTTTCATTCGTTCTGGAAATTTTGTAGCTAATATCTCTTCAGATACTGTATCTTCGCTATTCTCTTTGCCAGGGACTCCAGTAGCTGTATGTTTGTCCTTCACATTCCATCCTCCAAATGTCTTAGTTTTTCTTCCACATATTCCCCACACATGTCATTCATGACTTCATTCTGGTTACTTTCTTTAGCTGTGTCTTCCAGATCATCAATTGTCTCTGCACTGTGTCTAATCAGCTGTTGAACTATATAACTGCACTTGTTTAGAAAAGTTCAGTGATTATATCTCAATATCTAGAAATTCTTTTATTTCCAAATGTAACTATTTATTTCAAATAGTTCCTTGTTGTGTGCTCATCTATATGACTGTGTTGATAATTTCTTTAAATGTTTCATACACTAATGTTCTAGATTCCAAGACATGTTGTCCCAGGAGGGTATCAAAGTTTGCCCTTTGTTGTCTCATTGTGATTTGCTTTCTTTGATGCTTGAGCGCTTGGAAGTGTTTGACTGTGCATGCATTGCTTGCTGTTCATCAGTGAACTTCTGTGGAGCCAAGTTGGAAAACTTTTCCCTAGAGAAGTATAGTTCTGCCAGTAACAGGAATGCACCCAGGATTTGGAAACACTGTGATGCTCAAGGGCCTCAGCTCACAGCACAGTAGAAATCCCAGGCCAAGCCCCTACCTTGCAGTGGGCACCAGGCTCAGCCACAGTGCTATGGTGGACACTCATGCTCAGGGCAAGTCCCTTCTCCAGCCACATACCGCCTGACGCTGCTCCCTGTCATTGTGACTCCAGCCACCTGCCACTCTGGCCTCAGTTCATTATTTATTTGTTTGGGAGTAGGGCAGTGGACCTTGATGATCTGCAATGCATCAAGGAGCATGTCTTTTGCAGTGTATAGTTGTTCTATAGGAGAAGCATCCTTCAAAGTGCCTACTCAGCCAAAATGCCAGAATCAGAAGGAAATCCCCCATTCCTGGTGTTTTTATTGGTCCCATAAATACACCAATAAAGCAATGAATAGAGGCTACTTTTATTTTTTTTTAATTAACAAATGTTATAAGTTATCAAAATATGAAACTTTATTTAGCTAATAAAATTCTTTATAAATTCCAAAGTATTCCACATATCCTATTATTTATTTACTCTTTTAGCCCCAGCAACTATATTTCTCAAATCACTTTACTTTCAAAAAAACAAAATGTTATCCCAAATTATTCTTTCCCTCCATTTTCCCCTGGAAAAAAATATTACTCCCATCCAAAGCCTTTCTAATTCAGTAGCTTTCCTACATGCTGGTAAGAAACTGTAAGACAAGGATTCCATTCACAAAAGCAAAAAAATTAAAAACTATCCAAGAATTAACTTCATGATGAATGTATAAGGTTTTTTAAAAGGCAACTACAAGACTCTACTGAGACATAGGAAGGAAGATTTTTAGTAAATGGACGTATATACCATGTTCCCAAATGAGGAAACCTAAAGATAATAAAAATGTTAATTTCTCTATATTCATAAATTAATTTAGTGAAATCTCTATCAAAATCCCAATGGGATTCTTTGAAGGTTGACAAAATGATTCAAAAATTTATCTGAAGGAAAAATTTTTCCTTCAGATAGTAGAGAAGAAACAATGTCATTGAACTATGTGGAGGGAAAGAGGTTTATGTATTACTGGACACAATTTTCATCCCTTCATTATTTTAAGTTAAAAATTCCCAGGAACAAAAACAGTTTAGAAAGCCACAATAGTTATAAGTGGCTCAAGAACAAACAGACCTGTAAAGAACAGAATATAATGTCCAGAAAGAGACTTAGGCATATATTAGGGTTTTAAAAAATTATTTGTTTTTTAGATTGTGGTAAAATGTACATACATAAAATTTACCATTTAACCATTTTTAAGTGTACACTCAGTAGCATTAAGTCCATTCACCTTGTGCAAACATTCTCCTCATCCATCTCCAGAAAACCTTTCATCTTGCAAAATTAAAACTTTGTATCCATTAATTTACACCGATTCCCCATTCCCTCCCCCACTCTAGCCCCTGACAACCACCATTCTTCTTTCTGTCTCTATATGAGTGGAATCATAGTTTTATCCTTTTGTGACAGGCTTCTATCACTTAGGATAATGTTTTCAAGGTTCATCCATATGTAGCATGTGTCAGAATCATCTCTTTTTTTTTTTTTTTTTTTTTTGAGACAGTTTTGTTCTGTCGCCCACGCTGGAGTGCAGTGGTGTGATCTCAGCTCACTGCAAGCTCTGCCTCCTGGGTTCATGCCATTCTCCTGCCTCAGCCTCCTGAGTAGCTGGGCTACAGGCGCCCACCACCATGCCCGGCTACTTTTTTTTGTATTTTTAGTAAAGACGGGTTTCACCATGTTAGCCAGGATGGTCTCAATCTCCTGATCTCATGATCCGCCCGCCTCGGCCTCCCAAAGTGCTGGGATTACGGGCCTGAGCCACCGCGCCTGGCCCCTCCTTCCTTTTTAAGTCTAATAGTATTCTGTACGTATAGACCTCATTCTGTTGAGCCACCCGTCTACAGATGGATGCTTGGGTTGCTTCCACCCTTTAGCTATGAGGATAATGCTTCTATGAACACAGGTGTGCAAATATGTCTTTGAGACCCTTCTTTCAATTCTTTTGGGTATGTACCCAGAAGTGAAATATGGTAATTCTATTTGTAATAATACAGAGTGGAAAACAGTATAAACCTCCTCAATAATTACAAATAGAATTACCATATGGCTATTATTTTTATAATAGCCATTCTGATGGGTAGGAAGTGGTAGTCATTTTGATTTTTTCTCTTTTTTCTTTCTTTTTTTTTTTTGAGACAGGGTCTCACTCTCACCTAGGCTGGAGTGCAGTGACGTGATCACAGCTCACTGCACTTTCAACCTCCTGGGCTCAAGCAATCCTCCCTGCTCAGCCTCCCGAGTAGTTGGGACTACAGGTGCATGCCACCACACCCAGCTAGTTTTCGTATTTTTTTTTTTCAAGAGATGGGGGTTTCGCCACGTTGCCCAGGCTGGTCTTGAACTCTTGGGCGCCAACGATCCTCCTGCCTGGGCCTCGAAAAGTGCTGGGATTACAGGTGTGAGCCACCACGCCAGCCATTGTTGTGATTTTGATTTGCATCTCCTTAAGGATTAGTGATGTTGAGCATGTTTTCATGTGCTTATTAGCCATCTGTATCTCTTCTGTGGAGAAAGGCCTAGTCAAGCCTTTTGCCTATCTTTGAAGCTTTCCTCCCAGCTTTATTGAGGTATGACTGACAAATAAAAACTGTATATAAAATGTACAACATGATTCTGGTATACATATACTGTGAAATGATTACCACAATCAAGCTAACCATATCCATCACCTCACTAGTTACCATTTCTTCTGAGTGTTTGATAAGAACATATGAAGCCTCTTTCAGAAAATTTCAAATATACAGCACATTATTATTAAGTATAGTCACTATGCTGTACATTACGTCTCCAGAATGTATTTCTTTTATAACTGAAAGTTTATACCCTTTGACCAACATCTCCCCTTTCCCCTCTCTCCCCCAGCCCCGGGCAACTACGCCTCTCCTCTCTGTTACCATGAGTTTGACTTTTTTTTTTTAGAGTCTACGGACAAGTGAGATTATTCAGTATTCATCTTTCTGTGTCTGGCTAATTTCACTTAGCATAATGTCCTCTGGGTTCATCCATGTTGCCAAAAATCCTTTGCCCATTTTTGAATTGTGTTCTTTACTTTTTTGTTATTGAGTTTTAGGAGTTTTCTATATGTTCTGGATAATAATTTCTGATGAAATATGTGATTTTCCAGTACTTTTTCCCATTCTGTGGGTTGCCTGTTTACTCTCTTAATAGTGTCCTTTGATGCACAAGTTTTTAATTTTGATGAAGTCCAGTTTGCCACTTTTCTTTTGTTGCTTATGCCTTTGGCATCATATCCAAGAAATCACTGCCAAGCCCAGGGTTGTAAAGCTTTTCCCCTAAGCTTCCTTCTAAGAGTTTTATAACTTTAGCTCTTATGTTTAGGTCTTTAATCCATTTTGAGTTAATTTTTGTATAGGATGTTAGTTAAGGGTCCAACTTCATTTTTTTTGCATGTGAACACATTAAATTAGTTTTTACAATTTAATTTATATAATTCAGTTATACAAGGAGTGACATAGTAACTGATGGGGGAAAAGGCTATTCAATAAATCGTTCTGGGATAATTGTTAAATGTAAATAAATAAGCAGATAGAGAAATTAAAATTAGTTCCCTCCCACAAACCAAAATACATTACAAGATGATTAAAATATTAAATGTAAATAATTAACCACCCAGGTTACTGGCTAAAACTCACAAAAAGGCAACTGCTCCTCAAAAAAATTTACTGAGAGGCCAGGCACAGTGGGTGGCTCACACCTGTAATCTCAACACTTTGGGAGGCCGAGGTGGGCAGATCACTTGAGGTCAGGAGCTCGAGGACAGCCTGGCCAACATGGTGAAACCTGTCTCCACTAAAAATACAAAAAATTAGCCAGACATGGTGGTATGTGCCTGTAGTCCCAGCTACTCAGGAGGCTGAGGTAGGAGAATCTCTTGAACCCAGGAGGCAGAGGTTGCCGTGAGCCGAGATTGTGCCACTGCACTCCAGCCTGGGCGACAGAGTGAGACTCCATCTTAAAAAAAGGAAAAAAAAATTTACTCAGAAAAACACCTTATAAGTAAGTAATCAATAAAATGCAAAGTGGAATAAGAGGTCCCTTGCTGCCTGTCAAGCTAGCAGTGGTTAGAAAGAACAGTGGTCCTCACTTACAGGGCTGTAGAGAATGTACATCATTAAGAGGTGCGATGCTGTCAACTGGCAAAAAGTATAATAAACAAAGCATGGGCTCTATGCAAATAAATTCAAAACCCAGGATGACAAAGATAACTTGCTAAATTACTACAATTGATTCCCCAAAAGACCAAAACACTAACTGTTCCCATAAACACCAAGAAATTGGAAATATGCTCAAACAGCTGTAGGCAAAGTCTTCAAAAACTTCTACGTATGAAGATTTCCAAAGCTGTTTAAATTTTTTCTGAGCACAGAGGGAAAAAAGGGGGAACTTCCAAATTGTCTTTATAAAGGTCAGTGTAACAATCACAAACCTGTAAAATATCACAAAAATAAGGAACAGACCAGTGGCTTTTAAACAGAAGTACATTGTTTTTATTTTATTTTTCCTGTGCTGGATCAATATTTAATGAATTTCCCCCATGTATCAGGCATTGTTGGACTCTTTCAGATATTTAACTCCTTCCCCCTCATTATTTATTTGGCAAAAGTTACATTAAGTTATTCCCTCCCCTCACAAAGCAGGTTCTCCCTGACTTCAAGGGCCAACATCCAAACAAAACCAAACATGAAAGACAGAGACTCAAAAACTTAGCATTCCTCATCTACTACACATACTAGATATAAACACACAAATTTAAATGCCAAAAACTCATAGGACAGTGCATTAAAATGATAATTTTACTGGTACATCATTTTTAAATAAAAGGTTAGAAAACAGAATTCAGCAGTACATTTAAAAGAATGAAGAACATGGGGGTTCACGTCAGGAATGAAAAGATGGTTCTGCATATTAATGTGACGAAAATGAAAAATTCTTTCATTCAGTAGATGCATGGAAGACGTCCAATAGAATTTGATCTCCATCCTCTCTTTTAAAAAAGAACTCTTAGGGCTGGGGGCAGTGGCTCACACCTGTAATGCCAGCACTTTGGGAGGCCGAGGCTAGCGGATCACTTGAGGTCAGGAGTCCTAGACCAGCCTGGCCAACATGGTAAAATCCTGTCTCTACTAAAAATACAAAAATCAGCTGAGTGTGGTGGCACATGGCTATAGTCTCAGCTACTCGGGAGGCTGAGGCAGGAGAATCACTGGAACCCGGGAAACGGAGGTTGCAATGAGCCAAGATCACGCCACTGCACTCCAGCCTGGGTGACAGAGCGAGACTCCGTCTCAAAAATAAAATAAAATAAAACAAAATGATTCTGAAAGTACTCGTGTGGTATGCAGAATTATGAGATGGCCCCCAAGGTCCCCACTCCCTGGTGTACCTGCCCTGTGTAATCCTCTCCCTTGGGCCGTGGGTGGGACTGTGAATATGTATGTGATTAGGTTACGCTGCCTGACAATGGTGGATGGGAGGTCCCAAATCAGTTTGCTGTTGAGTTCATCAAAAGGGAAGTTCTCTTGGGTGTGCCTGACCTAATCAGGCAAGACCTTTGGTTCTGGGCCCTTGGTGAAGTCCCAATTTGAGGTGTAAGAAGTTGTGCTGCTGGCCTTGAAGAAGTGGGCTGCCATGTGGTGAGATGCCTCTAAGAGCTGAGAGCTTCCCCACCCACAGCTTGCAAGGAAGCAGGGCTGAGTCACACAACCCCCAAAATGAATTCTGCCAACAACCTGAAGGAGTTTGGAAGTGGATCTTTCCCTCGTAAAGCTTTTGGATGAAGATGCTTCCAGCCTCACCAGGATTTCAGCCTGCAGACCCTGAGGACAGGACCCAATTAAAACACTCCAGAGTCCCAACCCTTAGAAACTCTGAAATAATAAGGTTGAGCTGTTTGAACCTGCTATGCTTGTGGCAATTTGCCACATAACAATAGAAAACTAATATATCTAGCTAATAACACTAAAAAGGAAAAATAAAAGAAAGTTATAAACATTGGAAAGAAGAAGCAAAATCATTACTATTTGAAAATAAAGTGATCACCTAATTAGAAAACCCAAAGGAATTGATTCAGAAGAATAAGAAACCATAAGAAAATTCAGTATGTTACCTGGTTACAAAATCAATATGTTGAAAATTATAATACTATATATAGTTGTCCCTTGAACAAGAGGGGTGTTAGGGGCACCAACCTCCTGTGCAGTCAAAAATCTATGTATAACATTTTCACTCCTCCAAAACTTAACTGGTAATAGTCTGCTGTTGACTGGAAGTCTTACCAATCAGATAAACAGTTGATTAACACACATTCACATTTTGGATGTCGTATGTACTATATGCTGTATTCTTACAATAAAGAGAAAAGAAAATGCTATTAAGAAAGTCATAAGGAAGAGAAAATATATTTTACTATTCATTAAGTGGAAGTGGATCATCATAAAGGCCTTCATCCTTGTCATCTTCTTGTTGAGTAGGCTCAGGAGGAGGAGGAGGAAGAGGAGGGCTTAGTCTTGCCATTTCAGGGTGGCAGAGGTGGAAGAAAATCCACATATAAGTGGACCTATGCTGTTTAAACGCATGTTGTTCAAGGTCAACAGGATCAATATTTATTGTGCCCTGAATATATGCCAGATATACTTACTAAGTTTTTATACTTTATCCTGACAACCCTAATTAGTATGTGTGACTCTTGTGCCCGTGCACATATGTGAAAATTAAAGCACAAAGAGATTAAGTGACTTGCCCAACGTTACAATGATGGGCAGGGTTAGGACACAAGCTCTTAAACTATAGACAAACAGCTTTCCTACATATGTGCAAGCAAAGACTGGTTAGAAAAGAGAATACAATTAAAAATTCCATTTATAATGGTAAGCAAAAAGGCAGAATATCTTAGAATACACAGATTTAATAAGAGGTGAGCAGGAGCAATATCAAGGAATCCTTAAACATCTACTGGGGAACCTAAAAGACTTCATGACTAGATGGGAGGGAAATTCATTTTTTAAACAAAAAGACTAAATAATGTATAAGTTCCATGCAATTCTAATTAAAATACCAAAAAGGGGAAAAGAAAATCTACGCAATAAGAAGTGCTAGGGCAACTGGCTAGCCACTTGGAAAGAAATGAAACTTAATCTCTACGTTTCAACATTAAAATAAATTCCAGAGAAATCAAAGAGTAAAATATAAATTAAAACATAAATATTTGAGAAATTTGTAAAAGAATCTTGAAGTAAGCCTTTTAAGGCACCACACAATTTTAAGACATAATAGAAACAATTAATAAATTTAAAATGTATACGTTTATGGCTAAAAAAACCCACATTTGTTTGTGGTAGGAGGAATCTGTGTTCTCAATCCCAGGGCCTCTCTGCATCTGCATTAGAAGAACAAGTCTGTGCCTTTGACGTGTGAGGTCGGAGGCTCCTGCAGAGTGGGTGGAGTCCCGTCCCCATCCCAGAATAAACTTGGCCATGGGATATGCCTGGTGGTGAGTGGAAGTGGCACATGCCATCGCCCCGGGCCTTCTGATGCACTACGTGCTACCTCTTGCCCTCCTCCTTGCCCAGGTGGCCACTGCCCCTTCAAGCCTGGGCCCCGGAATGGACAGATGGCACAGACACAAACCCCATGAGAAGCTTGCAACCCAAAGTGGAGCCACCCCAGCTGACCTGCAAACCCAGAGGAGAAAATAATGGCTCGCTACTGTCAAGCACTGCATTTTGGTGTGGTTTTTAATGTAGCATTATTCTGAAAAGGGCCAATGAACACATTTATGGTTAAAAAAAACCCATAAAACCAAAGGCTGGTTTCAAATAGGAAAAATATTTATAATACATAAACAGACAAAAGGTTTTCTTAATTTACAAAGAGCTCGTATAAATTAATAAAAGAAACAACAGAAAAAAATGGCTGAATACGATGAATAGGATGTTTAGATTTTTAATGAACAATAAACATGTAACAGAATGCGTAGACCTACTGAATTTTCTAAAGCAAGTGAAAACAATAAGATAAGTATTTTTTTCAACGAGACTGGAAACATTTTGGTGAAGTTTTGGTAAAACCCAGTGATGGCAAAGGGCAGAGGGGAAAGAAAGTTCCTCTTAAACATTTCTTATGTTGGCATAATTTGATGTAGCCTTCCTTGGGAACAATTTCATAGCATCTCTCAAAATAAAAACTGTACATACCCATACTCAATGGTTTCAATCCTGGGAATTTAACCTGTGGATATACTAACAGAAACAGGCCAGCCTATTTACACAAGGACGTTTACTACAAAAACCTGAACCAGTGAGTAGCAATAAAGGGCTAGTTAAAAAGACTTCGGTATTTACATAGAACATGAATATGTGCATTATAAAGTTTGAGGTAGATCTATTTATGCCACTGTGGAATGATCTCGAAGATAAATAACTGACAAGCAAGACACAGCCCAGTGTGCACTGAAGGATCTCTGTGTAAACAAGAAGGAATGGATGAATGCATTTACTACATAAACATTGCTCTCTTGGAACGACGCACAAGAAACCTAACAATCGGAAACTAGATTAAGGAGGAGGCGAGGGGGAACTTGCTTTTAAATGTGTAACTTTCTGTAATATTAACCTTTAATCCATGCATGTATTATGTTAAGCATATTTAAAACTCTGCATACCATTGAACCTAGAATTCTACTTCTAAGAATTCCCAGTATTAACCAAAGGATTATGTATTTTGGAAACTGGAAACAACCGAGGTGTGCAGCAAGAGGGAATTACATATATTCATTGGGTCCTTCCTAGTTGCTGCCATTAAATCATATTATAGAAGAATATATATATATATACACACACATATATATGTATATTGTATTGTGTGTGTGTGTGTGTGTGTGTGTGTATATATGTATATTGGAGACAAGGTCTCCCTCTGTAGCCCAGGCTAGAATGCAGTGGCATGATCACAGCTCACTGTGACCTCCACCTCCCATGCTCAAGTGATCCTCCCATTTCGGCCTCCCGAATAGCAGGGAATACAGGCATGCATCACCCGGCTGATTTTTGTATCTTTTGTAGAGAGAGGGTTTCACTATGTTGCCCAGGCTGGTCTCGAACTCCTGGCTCAAGTGATCCCCTCGCTGTGGCCTCCCAAAGTGCTGAGATTAAAGGTGTGAACCACTGTGCCCAGCCACAGGAGAATATTTAATGCCATGTAGAAACGTTCACACTAAGTGAAAGAAGAAGAAGGAAAAGCAGGTTGCAAAATGGTGTGGAAAGTGCATAATTTCCCTTCTGAGAAGCAAACAAATACATAAAGAAAATCAGCAGCTGCATCTCAAAGTTACCATGGTTATCTCCAGACAGTGAGATTTTGGCTTCCTCTTTATTTTTCTGTTTCCCATGGTTGATACACAACAGAGAAAACGCACTATTAAAACCCAAGCCAGCGACAGCTGGTTCTGCCTCCTAAGTGAGGAGGCATAACCCATGCCAGTGGGTACTAACTCCCTCTAATGTTCCCATCAGCAGGCGGGAGAGGTGGACGGGGCCAGACAAATTCCACCACTTCAATGTGAGGGCCGATGGCTTCAGAACAGGTATGGAAAGGCTCTGGAAACAATGGCGGCCAGTCTGAGTGAGAGGCAGCAAACCAGAATCCCTGCACAGTGACGGGGTCCAAGGTGGCAGGATGACCAACAAGGTGTGTAGGGGAGGGACGGGGCCTGATCTGCACAGAAAGTGGTCAGCCAGGTGGCCATGTACACTTCTATGTGGGCTGCTGCTCCTTGACAGAGAATAATGAGAATTTCAGACATAAATGCAAGCTACAAGAATAAATTCCAACCAGGACCCAAACGTATTCAAGAGCCTCTGCCCCCCTCCCTTTCTCAACCCATTGTCAGAAAAAAGTATGAAGTGGGAAGGTAGATTGCCCTGCTTGAAAAAGAGTATTACATAAACCATTTGCAAATGACTTTTATTCTCTTCTTTTAGAAATCTCCTCATGGCACAATAATAAAAACAATGTATTTGTTGATACAGAACATTAATTCCATTAAAATTGCATTATGTGTAATGAAAAGCTATCAGAGTATAATTATGCAAGCAAATTCACAGACTCACATCAACTTTTAAATCCACTGGAACTATACAATAGGAACTGAACCTGTCTGGTAGACAAATTGCTCTTTCTTTTCCAAATCATTATGAATAAAGGCCACTGTACTAATGTCATAAACCGCACACTATTTATGCAAACTCTCAAATCCAGGACTGTTCCCTAGAGGTGCCTCTGCCTGGTTTTTCCCAGGACCAACCTGTTCTCAGACCCAGAGGCTGTGCTCCCATTCCTGACTTAGCCCCAAAGCAGGCTCCCTTCTCGGAATTCTTGCCCAGAGAGCCCAGTTGTACCCTGAAGGGAGCCTGGTTGCACCCCCAAAGGGTTGCCTGAATCCGCACACTCTCAGCCCTCTGCCCCAGCCTGGGAGCTGTGCTCTGCTCTGCTGCCCCTGGCTGGCCGCTGCAGGGCCCGCAGGCTGCTCTCCCTCCTCCCTGCTGCAGGTACTGCACCCAGGTGGCCCTCCTGCCATCTCTGCTCACACCAGGCAGCGCCACCCACAGAGACTGGAGTGCAGAGCCCATCTCCTGTCCCCACGAGGTTCTGAGAGGAGGCAGAGGGCCACCAGGACAGGGGAGGAAGGGGGCAGGAGGCTGGATTCCTGCAAGGGCACAGGAGTACATCCAGTGCCGCCCACTCCCGCTGATGATAGCCCCGGTAAAAAGACACACCCTGGGAAAGGGACTCAGTCTATGCCCCTCACTCATCACCTATGTCCATCCCTGGGTTTAGACACTTCTAGGATCCCCAAACACAGTAGGGATATGGACAACTCGTGCCATGCTGGTGACATGAAGGGAACCCCCCCATCTGACTAAGTGGTCCCAGCACCCTTGTAATAGCCGTCTCCACTCCCCAGTCCTGCTCCCCTTTCCCCTCACTGGCACAGGCAGAACTCCCCTGTCTGGTCAGTTCTGGGTCGCTGAGTCCCAGGAACCCCCTTCAGCACCCAGCAGGCTGACACTGATCTTACTCCTGCTTTGCAGAAGGAACACCCTCCTGCCTTGGCCGCCCCCTTGCTTCCTCCCCCACTCACGCTCCCCAGCTGCTCGTTAGTAAGGGCTCCCTCGGCCCATCATCTCCCCATACCTCCCCTCCCCTCCTCGCAGTATCTATCCTGGGAGAGCCTGTTCCCTCCCTGGCTCCATCCTCCAGGGTACCCTAAGCCTCTCTCAGCCTCTCTTCCTCCCAGATCCCTGTGTCCACCCACTGGCCTGATGGAAACATGACGGATGCCTCCCCAGCAGCCTAACTCAATACAGCCAGTGCTCCTGGAGCCTGCCCTACCTCCACAGGAGGCCCCACTCACCCAGATGTGCCTGTCAGGGTCCCAGATACCCCACGTCCCTCCCCCACCCAATCTCACTCTCAAATCCATCCAAATCAGGGACATCTACTGACCAGCTCACCCTGGGCCCCGGCCCCCAGTTCCTCCCTCCACCTGGTACCTGGCTGCCACCTGGCAGGAGAGCTACTGTAAGAGCCCTACAAAGCCCTCCCTGCCTGGACTCCTGGTCACTTCTAACCTGTTTTCCACACTGCAGAATCATCTTTTTAAAATGCAAACCTGGCTGGGCGTGGTGGCTCACACCTGTAATCCCAGCACTTTGGGAGGCCGAGGCGGGCAGATCACCTGAGGTCAGGAGTTCGAGACCAGCCTGGCCAACATGGTGAAACCCTGCCTCTACTAAAACTATAAAAATTAGCCAGGCATGGTGGCATATGCCTGTAATCCCAGCTACTCAGGAGGCTGAGGCAGGTGAATCGTTTGAACCTGGGAGGTGGAGGTTGCAGTGAGCCAAGATTGCACCATTGCACTCCAGCCTGGGTGACAGAGCAAGACTCCGTCTCCAGAAAAAAAAAAAAAAAATCTGACCATGTCACTCGCCCCACTCAATGACACTGTGCCCTTTAGGGGCTTTCTTTATCCCTTGGAGTAAGTCCCACATCTTCCAGCTCAGAAGGTCCCTGCCTACCCTTCCTGCTTCATCCAGGTCACTCCATGGGTGGGGTCACCTCTGCCTCCCCCTCAACCCCCAAACAGCTAATTACCCAGACTGGGTAGCAAACAGCTACAGGACCACGGGGCTATGGCACCAGCACCCCACAGTGCCGCTCACTCATGCACCTGCCTTTGGCTGCTCAGCAGGTCCTGGGGGCCCAGAGCACGCTTGTTTCATCTGCACAGTGCCCACCGGAGCAAGGGCCTGGTGCCATGGCACACATGAGAGTGAAGGCTGTCGGCACGCACAAGGTTGGCCAGCGCCCACCTCCGGGCGGGAGACTTTGTGCCCATGCTCCTGACCAGCTTCACAGCCCCACGGAGGCAGCACGGTCCTGAGGGGCAGTGTGCTGACTTTTCCCCTTTATTTTATAACCAAAACAATGCAAGTTCAATATAGAACAAGTTAGGAAAGGCAGATAAGCTGAAGGAAATAATGAAACCATCTACATTCACACGGCTTCTCCTCTAACTCCTGTTAACATGTGGCTGGGTTCTATTTAAATCGGTTTTTATAAAAATTGGGTCATCATGTTGTCAATAACCTTTCCACATTACCATATAATGTGTCATGATCATGATGGCACACCCTGTAGGTATTCACTGACATCACCTTAATGGCTGAATGGGACTCCATTGTATAAAAATACAAAATACTCATGACCTATTATTCTATAAACATTTGGAATCACAAACGTATGTGAAAAATATATTTTTTAACAAGCTTATGAAAAGATAAACATAAGCCTGTAATCCCAGCACTTTGGGAGGCCAAGGCGGGTGGATCACTTGAGGCCAGGAGTTCAAGACCAGTTTGGCCAACATGGCGAAACCGCATCTCTACTAAAAATACAAAAAATTAGTCAAGCACCATAGCAGGTGCCTGTAATCTCAGCTACTCGGATGGCTGAGGTAAGAGAATCACTTGAACCTGGGAGGCAAAGGTTGCAGTGAGCCAAGATCATGCCACTGCACTCCAGCCTGGGCGACAGAGCGAAACTCTGTTTCAAAAATTAAAAAAAAGAATATTAAAAAATATATTAAATATATGAATATATTTTTAAAAGTATTTCATTTTTTCTGATCTAGTCATTCTTACACAATCTGAAGTCAAAATTGTTCTGTAGAGAAGCTGCCACTTACAACAAATAGTTTTGCTTGTTTCTTCAGTTTACTTTCACATTTCTAAACTTGATGCTTTGACTGACTTCTGACTATGAAAATTGAGGATTCTCACTTTCCCCTCCAACACACAGCAGACACAGCCAAATGCACACACTCGCTCTCCCTCTCCTCCTCACTTTCCCAATCCAAATATAGCAACAACCCACCTTTTGATATTTCAGCATTCAGTATTGGCATTATTATGACTACGTAAAATGTCACCCATAACTGAGCCACAAGGAGTACTACAATTACAGTGCCTTTAAAAAAAATCACATCACAATATGTAACTGGGGTTAATTGCCTCATTTTTCACTTACATCTTCTACACAGTCACACATGATTTAACAACGGAGCTATGTTCTGAGAAGTGCGCCCTTAGGTGAGTCCATCATTGTGTGAACCTCACAGAATGCACTTACACAAACCTAGATGGCGAAGCCCACTACATACCTAGGCTGTATGGTACGGCCTACTGCTCCCAGGCTACAAAACTGGGCAGCATGTTACTGTCCTGAACACTGTAGGCAACTGTAATACAATGGTGAGTACTTTGTATTTAACACATCTCAACATAATAACGGTACAGTAAAAACATGGTATTAGAATCTCATGGGACCACCATTGTATACACAGTCCGTCATTGAGGGAAGCGTTGGTGTGTGGTGTACGACTGTATATCTATCAAAAATTCATCCTAGCTCTCCAACAGCCCTGAGGTCTCCCTCACCATGTATGAGCACATGAAGTCTATCAAAAAATGAGGGAGCAAACCAAGAAAAGAGAAGACATGGGCTCAAGAAAACAGAGGCTCTAGCCCAGGAGAGAGGCGAAGGGGAGTCGAAGACCCAGGGAAGTCCCTAGGAGCCATAGTGCACCAGGCCAGGGCACAGCCAGGTAAGGAGGGAGCAGGTGACCTGGGTCCAAGAAGGACATATCTCAGCAAACCAGAGTGGTTTGCTCCCCATTTTTTTGGGTTGGGGGGAGCCCGAGTCTCTCTGTCACCCATGCTGGAGTGCAGTGGCTCGATCTCCGCTCACTGCAACATCCACCTCCCAATCAAGCGATTCTCCTGCCGCAGCCTCCCGAGTAGCTGGGACTACAGGCACCCACCAGCACACCCCACTAATTTTTTGGGGTTTTTTTTGCATTTTTAATGGAGATAGCGTTTCACCATGTTGGCCAGGCTGGTCTCGAACTCCTGACCTCCAGGTGATCCACCCACCTCGGCCTCCCAAAGTGCTGGGATTACAGGCCTGAGCCACTGCACCTGGCCCACATTTTTTGATAGACCATATCCTCCACTAACTTTCAGAGAAAGGATTTACAGTAGGTGAAATCTGAGGGACCCTACACGTTTAACATGTAAGGACAGAAATTTTAGGTTGCAGATTATTTTGTCTCAGAACTTTTTAGGCAACGATCTAATATGTGCTGATCTCCATGGTGGCTCCAGAGTGGTCTGATTCATCAGCAGATACTGGCAAGGACCAGCTGTTTACCAGGCACTGTTCTAGGCACAGGGGATCCAGCAGTTTAAAAAAAAGACATGCATAGTGCCTCCCTCATGACATCCTGGGGAGCAGCAGAGGAGGGAGACACAAAAATAAGAGTGAAACCACATGGCATGTTACACAGAATGAAGAAAAATAAGGTGGGAAAGTGTGGGCTCAGGAGCTGGGAAATCCTGGGCTTGTAGGGGTAACAGATCCCAAAAGGAGGAACGGCCCTGGTGGGATGGATGCCGGTTCCTGATGGGGATATACAGGACTCTACAATGGTGAGACGGTCTTTGTTTTTATTCACTGGGTGAAGTATGAGAAACTGATCTGAATCTGCAATCTCCTTTCAGTTCTGAGAATAACTCCTGTATCATTTTGCAATGATGATTCTACTTCCTTTGGTCTCTGCAAAGCCTATTTATATTCTCTGGCTGACCCTCTCATTTACTGTCTTCCCTATTTCCAACTTCCTGGTCTTTTTTTGTTGTTGTTCAGTTTTCTGAGAGATTTCCCCCAATTTCATCTTTCAAGCCTTTGATGATTTTTAAACTTTATATTCTGAAATTTTTCAAATAGAAAAGTACAAAAATAAGAATGTTCAATCCATCTACTTAGCCTGTCACGTTAACAATTTTACTATATTTGCTTCATCTCTTTTTCTTTGCTTTTCAAGATAAATTACAAACCATGACATTTTAAGTTTTTCAATATGCATACCTAAAATACAAGGACATTTTTCTATATAACCTGTGAGGCCATTAACACATCTAAAATATACTAATTATTAATAGATCATCTTTGTATGATTTCATACCCAATTCCTATTCAAATTTCCCAGATTGTCCCCAGAATAACTTCTTGCAGTTAATTTGTTCAAACTAGCTTCCAATGCTTAGGAATTTGTTATGTGCCTACATGGTTGTAATTTTGTTAAGTAGCTTTAAATTTTCAGCTTGTTCTTTAACCCACATGTCTCCGGTTTTCAGGGTAGGCAAGGGTTTTAATACAATTATGGTTTCATCCCTTCACACATCCCACATCTCTTTCTTTGCTAGTATAATCTAGAATTTTAGATTCAAACTCATATTACATTGTTTTCATATTATACTCAGTATCTTTTTTCCTTTATAAAAATTAATTTTTCTTTTTTTTTTGGAGATGGAGTCTCGCTTTGTTGCCCAGGCAATCTCGGCTCACTGCAACCTCCACCTCCTGAGTTCAAGCAATTCTCATGCCTCAGCCTCCTGAGTAGCTGGGATTACAAGTAGCTGCCACCACACCCGGCTAATTTTTGTATTTTTAGTAGAGACAGGTTTCACCATGTTGGCCAGGCTGGTCTCGAACTCCTGACCTCAAGTGATCTGCCCACCTTGGCCTCACAAAGTGCTGGGATTACAGGCATGAGCCACCGTGCCCGGCCTATTTTTCTTTTTTTTTTTTAAAGACAGGGTCTCACCGTGTTACCCAGGCTGGTCTTGAACACCCTGGCTCAAGTGATCCTCCTGCCACAACCTCCGAGTAGCTGGGACTTCAGGCATGAGCCACCTCGCCTGGCTATATTCTGTGTCTTTCGATGTTTTTTAAATTTCCACTTTCCAGTTATAACTAGTTTCAGTGTTCTGCATTAGTTCTGCTTAGCCATGATTCCACCAACTCAAGCTGCTAACTTAATAGCTCAAACGTTGAATGACATCTTCACGAGACTCCTGTGAGGGTCCCCAAAGCCCCCGATACCTGAGCATATCTTCAGGGCTCCCAGGACCAATATGGACTGCTCGCCTGCTCAGCTATCATCACGTCTGAAGAGCAGGTCGCCCTAGCGCAGGTCTGGATTCACAGACTTTCCCCTCAATCACTGCAGATGCTGCGTGCCTGCCCTCTGCTTTATCATAGCAGAGAACTCTAAGGCCTGTCTCTTTGTTTGTATGTTTGCTTTGCTGAAAATAAGGTCCCCTACCTAGATGCTTGTGGAATCCCATTCTTGAATTTGCATTGATAATTTCCTTTCCTTTCTCTCTGAAACTTTTCTGGCATACTTAGTTCATCTCCGCAAGACAGTGTGTTTGGTGTTGCTTGTTTTTGCACTTTACAAAAACAGTGTCATAGAAAAAACATAGTATTTTTTCATGTGGTCTCACAGGCAGAGAACTAATTGGCTCCTGCACTGCAGGTCTCACTCCCCTGCAGGGGCTGCTCTGGTGGAAGCCAGAGCAGGGCTGCCCCAGGAGCAGCCCTGGGGCAACAGAGACTTGAGGCGACGGGTCTCGGGGAGGCAAGCCTGAAATGTGCTCGGTAACTGCACTCCAGTCCCCTCAGGAGCCAGCACGATCACCCGCCGTAGCCAACTGGGTAACACACTTGGACTAGCTATCCTTCCTCCCTGCCTCCCTCTGCCTTCCTGACTGTGCTCTGCGCAAACAAGAGAGATTCCTGCTAGTCCTGCTCTCAGTCTGCTTTCAGGGTCATCCAGGCTAAGAACATTCACGTTCCTAAGATTCCTTTATCATGTTGTTGCACACAGCTATAGTTTATTCACTTTCACTGTGGTATAACAACAGTCCATTTCGTTAGACCACAGAACTTATTTTGTTTGTTTTTGAGATGGAGTCTTGCTCTGTTGCCCAGGCTGGAGTGCAGTGGCACAATCTCAGCTCACTGCAACCTCCGCCTCCCAGGTTCAAGCAATTCTCCTGCCTCAGCCTCCCGAGTAGCTGGGATTACAGGCGTGCGCCACCACGCCCAGCTAATTTTTTTATTTTTAGTAGAGACGTGGTTTCACCATGTTGGTCAGGCTGGTCTCGAATTCCTGACCTGGTGATCCGCCGCCTCAGCCTCCCAAACTGCTGAGATTACAGGCATGAGCCACTGCGCCTGGCCTATATAATTTATTAATATCCCATTCTTCTGCTGATGAACATCTGCACTGTTTCCAGTTTTTGCTATCATGTACTATTCGTTGATGACTATCCTGGTGCACGTGGGCAGGAGTTTCTGCAAGGTATATGCTTATGAGTAGAACTGCAGGTCACGGTATGTGTGCATATTCAGCTATAGAAAAGAATGCCAAGTTGTATTCCACTGTATTCCAGAGTGGTCCCACCCATTTCCACTCCCACCAAGAATTCTCCTGATCCACATTCTGTCCAAATTGGCATTGTCAAACTTCTTAATTGAGGCCAATCTAGTAGGTGTAAACGATTTCTCTCCACAGTTGAATTTTACATGTCCATGCTGACTGGGGCATGTGTTGACACGTTTATTGACCCTACATATGCCCACTTCCATGAAATGCCTATGTAAGCATTTTGTCCACTTTTCTATTGAGTTTTGTGCCTTTATCCTATTGATTTGTGGGAGTTCACTACATGAAATCATAATCAGTTATGTGTATTGCAAGCATCTCCTTCCAGTTGTGTTTTTGCTTTCTTCGTGATGTCTTTCAATAAAAAGAATGTTTAAATGTACTTACCTTTCAAACATATTTTTCAGCTTTGGCGTTTCTCTGTCTTGTTTAAAAAATTCTTTCCAAATTTCTTACATCTTACATTTTATTCTGTAAAGTTCCAATGTTTTGCTTTCACAGTTAAGTGTTTAAACCACCTGACACTGATTCTCTTGCATGGATAGCCAATGATCCCAGAACCATTTATGGTAGACTCCCTGAATTCTGCTCCTGGCCTGCCCTGCATCGTTTCATATATGCTTCAGGCTCTATCTTATGTTTTGCTGATTGCATTGTCTTCCTTTGCACCTACACTTACTGTCTATAGCTTAAAAATGAGTCTTATACGTGGTAGCATAAATTCCCCCCAAATTCTTCAGGAGCCTCTTGACTTTCCTTGGCCTATGGCTCTGTCATATAATTTTACAATTAGGTTGTTAAGTCTTACCCTCCCAACAAAAACATTTGTCAGGATTTTTAATGAAATCAATTGAATCTGATTTGGAAAAAAAAAACAGCCATCTTCACAGTATTGAGTTAGCTTAGACTAGCTCTCTCAATATGGTATATCCCTCCATTTATTTAGGTTTTATTTAATGTCTTTCAATAAAGTTTTACACTTTTCTGCATATTCAAATTACATATTTTTTCTTAGATATAGTTCTAAGTTCCTTATTTTTGTGCTATTGTAAATAATGTCCTTAAACAATTTACATTTTCTCTCTGTGGCTGAAGTATAAAGATACAATTGATTTTTGGTATATTAACCTTCTAGCTAACCACCTTGCCAAACTCATTATTTCTAATTGATTGTAGATGGCTTATTCCTGATTTTAAAGGGAATACTTTCAATGTTTCCTCATTAAGAATAAAACAGTTCTATTAAGTTTGTATATGTATTTTTTCTATAACTTAAGTTCTGTTACGTTTTTCTATAAATCTGTCCATTACATCTGAGTTATCAAATGTGTAGTCTCTCATCAACTTTTTGATCTCTTCTGTATCTGTAATTACATCTTCCTTTTCATTCATAATAATGGTTATTTGTACCTTCTTTTTTGTTCTTACACATTCTTACCATATTTGTCTATTTTGTTAGAATTTTCAAGGAGCTACCTTTTGGCTATGTTTATCCTCTTTATTGCAGCCTTATATTCTATTTCGTTAATTTCTATTCTTATGTATTATGTTCTTTAAATTTATTCATTCTTCTTTTTCTAAGTAAATCTGATCACTTCATTCCTATTCTTATGTATTGTGTTCTTTAAATTTATTCATTCTTCTTTTTCTAAGTAAATCTGATCACTTCATTCATTTTCAATTGTCAATCTTTCTAGGTACCTAAGGCTATTCATTTGCATTACAATTTCTTCTTTGATTAATGAGTTATTAAAATCTTTTTTTAATTTCCAAATATATTAGGGTCATTTATCCTTTTGTTATTTATTTCTAACTTAATTAAATTGTGGTCAGAGAATGTGATCTCCTTGATATTCATTCTTTGAAATGTTTTGATATTTACTCTACAAACTAAAAAACTGCAAGATCAATTTCTTAAAGATAGTCCCTGTTTACATGAGAACATCTCTGAAAGCTGCAGAATTCTGTATATGTAAATTATACCTGGTTGTGTTCTTTAAGTTATTACATAATTTTTAATTTTCTGTCTGATAGATCAACAATCAATATGTATTGAAATTTCCTTTTCATGACAGATTGATCGATTTCTACCTCCATTTTTATGTGTTTTTTCTTTATACGCTTTGCAGTGGTTTAATCAAAAGTATATAAGCATAAAATTGTACCTATTTGTTATATGTAATGAGCCTCTCTCTAACAAGGCTTTTTGACTGAAAGTCGATTTTGTCTGATATTAAAATGGCTCTGCCAATATTCTTTTGGTTGACATCTGCCCACCCAAACAACTACACAAAAATCTACAATTTCCAAACTACATTGTGACCAGGGTTCATTCATCACAACCCCTACATACGTACGGTATTTTGCTTGTGAACTCTCTTCCCCTCTTCCTACCAAATTTTCTTACAGCTTTGAAATTTGCCTGGACTTCCTAAAATGACAATGTCCCAGGGAAATGTTCAATAATCTGGGTAAGCAGAGACACACATAGGCTCAAAATAAAGGGATGGAGGAAGATCTACCAAGCAAATGGAAAACAAAAAAAGGCAGGGGTTGCAATCCTGGTCTCTAATAAAACAGACTTTAAACCAACAAAGATCAAAAGAGACAAAGAAGGTCATTACATAATGGTAAAGGGATCAATGCAACAAGAAGAGCTAACTATCCTAAATATATATGCACCCAATACAGGAGCACCCAGATTCATAAAGCAAGTCCTTAGTGACCTACAAAGAGACTTAGACTCCCACACAATAATAATGGGAGACTTTAACACCCCACTGTCAACATTAGACAGATCAACGAGACAGAAAGTTAACAAGGATATCCAGGAATTGGACTCAGCTCTGCACCAAGCGGACCTAATAGACATCTACAGAACTCTCCACCCCAAATCAACAGAATATATATTCTTTTCAGCACCATACCACACCTATTCCAAAATTGACCACATAGTTGGAAGTAAAGCACTCCTCAGCAAATGTAAAAGAACAGAAATTATAAGGAACCGTCTCTCAGACCATAATGCAATCAAACTAGAACTCAGGATTAAGAAACTCACTCAAAACCACTCAACTACATGGAAACTGAACAACCTGCTCCTGAATGACTACTGGGTACATCACGAAATGAAGGCAGAAATAAAGATGTTCTTTGAAACCAATGAGAACAAAGATACAACATACCAGAATCTCTGGGACACATTCAAAGCAGTGTGTAGAGGGAAATTTATAGCACTAAATGCCCACAAGAGAAAGCAGGAAAGACCTAAAATTGACACCCTAACATCACAATTAAAAGAACTAGAGAAGCAAGAGCAAACACATTCAAAAGCTAGCAGAAGGCAAGAAATAACTAAGATCAGAGCAGAACTGAAGGAGATAGAGACACAAAAACCCTTCAAAAAATCAATGAATCCAGGAGCTGGTTTTCTGAAAAGATCAACAAAATTGACAGACTGCTAGCAAGACTAATAAAGAAGAAAATAGAGAAGAATCAAATAGATGCAATAAAAAATGATAAAGGGGATATCACCACCGATCCCACAGAAATACAAACTACCATCAGAGAATACTATAAACACCTCTACACAAATAAACTAGAAAATCTAGAAGAAATGGATAAATTCCTCGACACATACACCCTCCCAAGACTAAACCAGGAAGAAGTTGAATCTCTGAATAGACAAATAATAACAGGCTCTGAAATTGAGGCAATAATTAATAGCTTACCAACCAAAAAAAGTCCAGGACCAGATGGATTCACAGCCGAATTCTACCAGAGGTACAAGGAGGAGCTGGTACCATTCCTTCTGAAACTATTCCAATCAACAGAAAAACAGTGAATCCCCCCTAACTCATTTTATGAGGCCAGCATCATCCTGATACAAAGCCTGGCAGAGACACAACAAAAAAAGAGAATTTTACACCAATATCCCTGATGAACATTGATGCAAAAATCCTCAATAAAATACTGGCAAACCGAATCCAGCAGCACATCAAAAAGCTTATCCACCATGATCAAGTGGGCTTCATCCCTGGGATGCAAGGCTGGTTCAACAAGTGAAAATCAATAAACGTAATCCAGCATATAAACAGAACCAAAGACAAAAACCACGATTATCTCAATAGATGCAGAAAAGGCCTTTGACAGAATTCAACAACCCTTCATGCTAAAAACTCTCAATAAATTAGGTATTGATGGGATGTATCTCAAAATAATAAGAGCTATCTATGACAAACCCACAGCCAATATCATACTGAATGGGCAAAAACTGGAAGCATTCCCTTTGAAAACTGGCACAAGACAGGGATGCCCTCTCTCACCACTCCTATTCAACATAGTGTTGGAAGTTCTGGCCAGGGCAGTCAGGCAGGAGAAGGAGATAAACGGCATTCAATTAGGAAAAGAGGAAGTCAAATTGTCCCTGTTTGCAGATGACATGATTGTATATCTAGAAAACCCCGTCGTCTCAGCCCACAATCTCCTTAAGCTGATAAGCAACTTCAGCAAAGTCTCAGGATACAAAATCAATGTGCAAAAATCACAAGCATTCTTATACACCAATAACAGACAGACAGCCAAATCATGAGTGAACTCCCATTCACAACTGCTTCAAAGAGAATAAAATACCTAGAAATCCAACTTACAAGGGATGTGAAGGACCTCTTCAAGGACAACTACAAGCCACTGCTCAATGAAATAAAAGAGGATACAAACAAATGGAAGAACATTCCATGCTCATGGGTAGGAAGAATCAGTATCGTGAAAATGGCCATAATGCCCAAGGTAATTTATAGATTCAATGCCATCCCCATCAAGCTACCAATGGCTTTCTTCACAGAATTGGAAAAAACTACTTTAAAGTTCATATGGAACCAAAAAAGAGCCTGCATTGCCAAGTCAATCCTAAGCCAAAAGAACAAAGCTGGAGGCATCACGCTACCTGACTTCAAACTATACTACAAGGCTACAGTAACCAAAACAGCATGGTACTGGTACCAAAACAGAGATATAGACCAATGGAATACAACAGAGCCCTCAGAAATAATGCCGCGTATCTACAACCATCTGATCTTTGACTAACCTGACAAAAACGAGAAATGGGGAAAGGATTCCCTATTTAATAAATGGTGTTGGGAAAACTGGCTAGTCATATGCAGAAAGCTGAAACTGGATCTCTTCCTTACACCTTATACAAAAATTAATTCAAGGTGGATTAAAGACTTACATGTTAGACCTAAAACCATAAAAACCCTAGAAGAAAACCTAGGCAATACCATTCAGGACATAGGCATGGGCAAAGACTTCATGTCTAAAACACCAAAAGCAATGGCAACAAAAGCCAAAATTGACAAATGGGATCTAATTAAACTAAAGAGCTTCTGCACAGCAAAAGAAACTACCATCAGAGTGAACAGGCAACCTACAGAATGGGAGAAAATTTTTGCAATCTACTCATCTGACAAAGGGCTCATATCCAGAATCTACAATGAACTCCAACAAATTTACAAGAAGAAAACAAACAACCCCATCAACAAGTGGGCAAAGGATATGAACAGACACTTCTCAAAAGACATTTATGCAGCCAGAAAACACATGAAAAATTGCTCATCATCACTGGCCATCAGAGAAATGCAAATCAAAACCACAATGAGATACCATCTCACACCAGTTAGGATGGCGATCATTAAAAAGTCAGGAAACAACAGGTGCTGGAGAGGATGTGGAGAAATAGGAACACTCTTTCACTGTTAGTGGGACTGTAAACCAGTTCAACCATTGTGGAAGTCAGTGTGGCTATTCCTCAGGGATCTAGAACTAGAAATACTATTTGACCCAGCCATCCCATTACTGGGTATATACCCAAAGGATTATAAATCATGCTGCTATAAAGACACATGCACACGTATGTTTACTGCAGCACTATTCACAATAGTAAAGACTTGGAACCAACCCAAATATCCAACAATGATAGACTGGATTAAGAAAATGTGGCACATATACACCATGGAATACTATGCAGCCATAAAAAATGATGAGTTCTTGTCCTTTGTAGGGACATGGATGAAGCTGGAAACCATCATTCTCAGCAAACTATCGCAAGGACAAAAAACCAAACACCGCATGTTCTCACTCAGGTGGGAATTGAACAATGAGAACACATGGACACAGTAAGGGGAACATCACACACCGGGGACTGCTGTGGGGTTAGGGGAGCGGAGAGAGATAGCATTAGGAGATATATCTAATGCTGAATGACGAGTTAATGGGTGCAGCACACCAACATGGCACATGTATACATATGTAACAAACCTGCACGTTGTGCACAGGTACCCTAAAACTTAAAGTATAATAATAATAAAATTTAAAATAATAATAATAATAATCTACGTAAAAAAAGAAATGTTGATGTGGCTGAAATATATATGTATGTATCTTGCAAATATAATTCATGGCTATTTTCCATATAAATCATCTCAAATCAAGATTTGATTTTCTCTAACAGATCTGGTCTGAAAAGTATAGTTATGAACAGGAGTGGAGTCATGGGCATTCACTGCTTCTTTAATTGCATTTTCTGGAAAACTCTACAGTTCTATTTTTAACATTTGATCACACCATCAGTAGAGCTACATTCCACAAAGCAATTATGTTTTGCTCAGCAAAATATCAGAATGGAATAATATGCTGCATATTAACAACTGTAAGAATAGAAGCCATTTAGAACATTTTAGAATAATGATTGAGGTCATTTGTTCAGAATTTACAGCAAATGTGTTTTAAAGACCCACTATCATGGAGTCCACTGTGAAGTCTAAGTTATGCACATCAGAAACTACAAATGCACAAGGAGCCCAGTATTTTATCAAAACATTAATATCAGCACTATTAAAAACCAAACCTTTTATCCAGCACCCCCTGCTTACCAGCTCTCCCCATGTACAAATGCATTAGCATTTAATGCAATATGCTTTCCTTTTCTTTAAGGGCTTTATCCAGATATCTAGAAAGTAGTAAAGTGGTAGCATTTAACTAACACAGGAGTGGCAAACAGGTGGCAACTCCCTTCCTCGACCCAGAAGGACAAGGCTCATCTATCACCACACCCTCCGTGCAGAGTACAGAAGCCATCTTAGAATCCTTCTAACACAGTATTCCAGGCACCATGACTTAGAATTTGTGTTGGCATGCCAGATCCCACCTACCCGAAGGTGCTATATAAATAGGCTAGGGCAGCTAGGGGAATACAGTTATATGTCTTATTCACAATTCTAAAAGGCAGTTCGTGGTTGCACAGGTCTTTCGCTTCCAGGTCGGATGGAGTAGTTAGCAGCTCATCAGTGTCCCCAGTAAGAACAACAGGAAAAGCTCAATAAAATATGGAAATCAACTCTCTGAAAATGGCTGAGAGTGACAAAATTCAAACAGGCTTGAGAGAGGAATGAACCTCCCTCCAAGAAGGGAGCTAAACTCTGAAGCTTCTTTTATCCTAGAAGTGTTCCAATTCTGGGCACAAGCAGCAGCCTGAGAACTCTGGCTATGCACCTGCTGAAAGCCAGTTCTGGGGGAAACCCCAGCAGGGCTATGGTTGGAGACTTGGGGTCCAAGCACATGGTTGGGTTTTCCCCTGGGATAGCTTTCCAATTCTGAGGGTAAGAGACTTAAATTTTAACAAAAAGCCACTGGAAGGCAGCCTCAAAATAAAAATTGTAATTAGGAAACACAAGAGAGAGGGGCTGTGACAAATATAGAAGACTCTCATTTGAAAACCCTAAAAGGCAAGGACAAACAACAGCAAGACTGAAGCTTACCAGGGCTGCAAACCAGCTCTGAGTCAGCACAGTCCTTGCTTCAATGAAGGTGATGAACACCAGATAATCTGGACAATAAAGTTAGCTGGCTGACTTCAAAACAATTATAGTTATTACGCCCAAGAAAACAGAGAAAAAGATGAATAAAATAAATGAAAAGAAGAATTTCACCAGATAACTATAATTGGTAAAAATTAATAATCAAAGAGAAAATATAAAACTAAAAAATACAACATCTAAAATGAGTAACTCAACAGATGGGTTTAACAGCAAATTAGATACAGAAGATAAGACTAGTAAACAGCAAGACAGGTCAATTAAAACAAATACCCAAACTAAAACCTAAGGAGGAAAAAAAAATTTAAGAGGATTAGAGAGACACAGGACACAATGAATGGGCCTAGTGTATGTGATTCAAGTCCCATTCAGAGAAAAAGAGAACAGGGTAGAAGAAATGATGGCCAAGGATTTTCTAAAACAAACAAAACAGCAAATCTCAAATCGTTCAGTAAGCGCTGCAAAGCTAAGCTGGCCATTTACACAAAAGAAAAAGAAACCTAAATAAAAGGAAAAATCTTAAAAGCAGCAAAGGAGCAGATCTGGACGCACATATTACCTTCAAAGAAGTAACAAAAAGACTGGTAGTCATTTTCTAACAAAATTGATGGAAACCACCTTTTAAGTCCTGAAAGGAAGTAGCTGCCAACCTAGAATTCTATCACCAAGAAAATATCCTTCAAAAAAGGAAGCTAAAATAAAAATGTTTCTGAGACAATCACAGCAGAATTTGTCACCAGCAAACTTACACTAAAGAAAAGAAAAATGACCTAGAGAAAAACCCAAATAAGGACGAAGAAATGAAGATTGATGAAAGGGATGAATGAATATGGACTGCGACCAAACTTTGGAAGTTATGAAAAGGACAGACAGGCAGTACTGATTTAGCCAAATTAAGAAAGATGGATCCTAAAGCAGCAACAGCAGCAGCAGAGAAGAGAGAACAACCCATTGTGCACCTCAGAACCCTCAAAAGATTCAGGCACGAGTCTCAATGGGCACCTCTGGAAGTGGGGCTAATTTGGTGTAGAAGGCTTGAGGGATTTGGGGGCTAATCAAGGAAGTAGATATGCTGAAAGGAAGCAGTAACACATGCAAGCTTTCTTAAAAGGTTATGTGGGAGGGGAAGTCCCTCACAGTATGACATCCACAGGCTTCAAGCAAGGGGTCTATCCAGAAGGGGAAGAGGACAAGGGAACTCCTGGGGAAAGGGGGTCAGAGAGGAGGCTGACATAGCCAGGTGACAGTCTGTAGCAGCACAGCAGGGGGTCCCAGGGTCAGAGAGCTTTGATGGTAGCAGTGGCTTGGAGCTTTATAACCACAAGGCTCTATCTTACCAGAGGCCAGCTCACCGGGTATGCAAAGCAGTCAGGCTCTTAATGGCTAAAAATCTGCTAATTCAGGCTATTTGAAAAAAATTAGACGTGTAAAAATTTGAGTTTGGTACCAGTGGGCTTCTGAGCTAACAGATCTCAGTCTGCTATGAAGAAATAAACAACCTAGAGGCCAATATATAGTGGCCACCTTTGGCCTCTATATGACACTTGGGAAGGAGGGCTAAGATAAGGAATGGAAATTTGGACAGCTACTTGAAAACAGATTTCCCAGCCCTGCACCCTAGCAGAATTCTGAAGGACTGTTCCCCTAAAAACATCAAAACAGGTCTGTGCTGTGGACTGACCAGCCCCAGACCACAATGCAGCAACATGAGGCAACAGAAGGCATTCTGAGGCTGGTCCCACCATGCCCTCTGCCCCTGCAGCATCTTTTTAGGTGAAACTAATGCAGAATGTGCTCCACAAAACAAGGCAGCAAAGTCAGAATGAGGAAGACCTGAGATGCAGAAAATGACCCAGTGGAATTCCAGAGATGGCAGAAAGAGGGAACCCGGGCTGACAGCTGTGTACAGGCCTAGAAAGCCACCAACCCAAGAGAAGAAAATGAGTCCTGGAGAAGAAAATGGGAACAGAAAGATAACCTACTAGAGCTGAGCTGAGTCAGTATTACTGAGAGGCTATTGCAAGAGGAGCTATTGATTAAGGCGAGGCAAGTACTGACTTCAAGAGTAAGTTAGTGAAAGTGAACATACCACTCTACACAGCTCTGCAGTGAATAATATCTGCATAGGTATAAATCCAAATACTGACTAAATTAAACTTGTAACATACCCACTCTGGAGGATGAGGAAGGGGAACCAGAGAGAAAATGAAAAGCTAAATCCTCACTGCCATAATTAGAAACCTACAATGATATCTACAACCAATTAATCAAAGATAGCAGAATTTGTATCTTATTTAGAAATGTGGAGACGTAGTAAGTCCCAGGGAAAAAAGCTGAATTAAAAGTAGTTGCCTCTGCACAAGTTAGAGCAGGGAACTACTGGGTTTTCCTATTTGCTATTTGACTTTTTAAACTATGTTTTCATTTCATTAGATGACATAAAAATTAACTTTAAAAACACATAGACATGAATATTTTTCCTTAGTAATATGAAACTTACAATGCTCAAACTACGTAACACTAGCATCTATAAAACCTACAGGAAAACAGCTGATCATTTTACATTTAACTTTTTTTAATATAAAGAGAGCTTACTCTCCTAAATTAAGCCAAAACTCCCAGATCTCTCAATTTTTCATGGTGCCATGGGAAAAAGCAAATCTGATGTTTCTACCCTCAAAATACCAAAAGGATTAACATCAGCTAATTTCTTCAATTATGACTTCATGAGTAACGGACTCTAAGTCCTGGACAGCAGCCAACATCCTGCCAGATGCTAAAGACAGCATGGTGGAGGCCTGAAAGAGAACTCAGAATGAGGACATGGGGCCGGGCACGGTGGCTCACGCCTGTAATCCCAGCACTTTGGGAGGCCGAAGCAGGTGGATCACCTGAGGTCAGGAGTTCAAAACCAGCCTGGCCAACATGGTGGAACCCTGTCTGTACTAAAAATACAAAAAATTTAGCCATGCATGGTGGTGGGCACCTGTAATACCTGTTACTCTGGAAGCTGAGGCAGGAGAATTGCTTGAACCCAGGAAGCAGAGGTTGCAGTGAGCCGAGGTCGCGCCATTGCACTCCAGCCTGAGCAACAAGAGTGAAACTCCGTGTCAAAAAAAAAGAAAAAAGAAAAAAAGAAAAAAAAGAATGAGGACATGGCCACTGACTGGTGCTGAGCAGGTTATCTCTCACCCAGGATGGGGACCCCACATACCATTATCTGCTCTCCTGCCTCTCCGGGGGCTCAGCAACACTATGGCAGTGGACTTTGAATTACAGAGCAGAAAGAAAGGTTAAATTCTTGGACTTGAATAAAGAGAACGGCAGGGTAAACTCTAGGAGTTTGTAGGGGGAAAGTCAGCAAGTTTGCGTGTTAAATAAGGGTAGAGTACAAGACAACTATCCCAGTGGCTGTAAGGCCAAAGAACTCTGAGGCTCTGTAATGTCGGAAGTTGCTGGCTCTCTGCTATGCAAGGTAACCCTACCCCCACCCTCTACCATCTCACCTACAAAATCATCAGTAAATTTATCTGGACAAAGATACCTTTGTAAGAGTAGACCAGGGTGGAGTGAAGGTGACAAGGACTCACAAAGGTTTTGAGTGTGAAACTTAGGTAAGAGAGAAAGAACAGTGCTGAGACAGCCCCTGAGCATGATGGATCCAGGGGGATGGAACTTGTACTCCATGGAATTAGAAGTAAGTATGGAGAGAGTTTGGGACATTGTGGCCAATGGAACCGGTGTACCTAAGAAGGCTAGGGGATCAAGATGGAATCTGAGATGCAGAATCCAATGTATAATTTCGGGATAGGTGAGTGTGTCTTTAATGTTTTACAAAATATTAGTTTATCAAAGAACACATATAAAAATGGGTTCCACGTCAACGAGGTCTGAAAACATGACATAGTATACCCTTTTCATGCAGAGTCACGGTGCACATGAGAATAACACAGTCAAGCTAAAATGCACACCACAGGAAAGAAAATGCTTCAACCCTGAATAACCCCGCCTGCCCCAAATGTGACCTTGGAATCTTTTTAACTCAGAATACACATTTAACATCTTGTATACACAGTTGTTTACTATACATGTTAGTGAAAATGCTGGCATAGGAAATTATAGTGGGAATTCAGAGAGAGATAAGTTAGGGTTTTTTTCCTTCACAATGAAAATTCCTTCTTCTGACTATACATATAAATAGTACACCCTAATGCTGCTAAATTTAGTTAACATGAAAAATTCTAGAGAAGAATGTAAAATTCACCCACACCACCATACACAAAGATAAACCAATGGCAATGTTTAAATGTATTCATACCTAGATTTTTTGGTTTACAAAGTTTATTTGGGCCGGCGCGGTGGCTCACGTCTGTAATCCCAGCACTTCAGGAGGCCAAGGCGGGCGGATCACGCGGTCAGGAGATCGAGACCATCCTGGCTACCACAGTGAAACCCCATCTCTACTAAAAATACAAAAAAAAAAAAAAAATTAGCCGGACGACGTGGCGGGCGCCTGTAGTCCCAGCTACGCCAGAGGCTGAGGCAGGAGAATGGCGTGAACCTGGGAGGCGGAGGCTGCAGTAAGCAGATATCGCGCCACTGCACTCCAACCTGGGCGACAGCGAGACTCCGTCTCAAAAAAAAAATTTGATTTTTTTCTAAGGACTCCGTTCACAGTACACAGTTTTTCCTTTAAAAATATATCACACACGTATGTGGACACCCATCCTCCAATGATGTACATTCAGACTATCTCAATGGGAAAAAAAATGAGGCTCACATTGTGTCCGCAATTTATTCTTCCCCGTGGGTTCTTGGTCTTGCTGACTTCAGGAATGAAGGCGTGGACCCTCACGGTGAGTGTCACAGCTCTTAAAGATGGTGTGTCTAGAGTTTGTTCTTTCAGATGCGTCTGGAACTTTTTCCTTCCCACGGGTTTGTGCTCTCACTGACTTCAGGAAGGAAGCTGCAAACCCTCAATGTGAGTTATAGCTCATAAAGGTAATGCAAACCCAAAGAGTGAGCAACAGCAAGCTTTATTGCCAAGAGCAGCAAAAATACAAAACCTCTGCACTACCTAAGTGGACCCCATGGGGCTCCCACCGCTGACTGGGTGGCTTTTGTTCCCTTATTTGGCCCCGCCCACATCCTGCTGATTGGTCCATTTTACAGAGCGTTGATTGGTCCCTTTTACAGAGTGCTGATTGGTCCCTTTTACAGAGTGCTGATTGGTGTGTTTTTATAGAGTGCCGATTGGTGCATTTACAATCCTTTAGCTGGACACAAAAGTTCTCCAAATCCCCACCTGACCCAGAAGCCCAACTTGGCTTCCTCTTTTAATATTGCTATTGACTCTATTCTGCCCAGTCTGGGTAGGCGCCAACCTCTCAGGTGAAAGGAGCACAAGAGAAGGTAAAGGCTGTCTTGACCTGTAGTGACCCAACACCAGGTCATCCACAACAGGGAGAAGAGGTACTGAGAGGGGCCCTGCAAAGTCCTGGTTTATTTATTCCGTTGGTAACCATGAGGCAGAGGAGACACACCAGGCAGTGCCCCAGGAATCCTCAAGCTCACAGCTTTTTCAACACATTTCCTTTTCTTTACAACTGGAGTCTTTCTGAAAGTTGTCTTCTGCACAAATTGCTACCAAAATCCTCGCCAGTGTCTCTCCCACTGCAGGCACAAGACCAGCAAGCCTTATCATGTCTGTGTCTCCAAGTATCTTGTTCTTGCTGACCAAGTCATGGTTTTCTAATTCTACTGACACAGTACATTCTATTTCCATCATCAAAACCCATCAGACAGATGACAGATCTGCAAACACCATAATGGGGTGATTATACTTTTATGACTAGTTTTTGTTGTTGTTGTTTTGTTTTTGTTTTTTGAGATGGAGTCTCGCTCTGTTGCCCAGGCTGGAGTGCAGTGGCATGATCTCCACTCACTGCAAGCTCCACCTCCAGGGTTCACGCCATTCTCCTGCCTCAGCCTCCCAAGTAGCTGGGACTACAGGCACCCACCACCACGTCCAGGTTTTTTGTTTTTTTTTTTGTATTTTTTAATAGACATGGGGTTTCACTGTGTTAGCCAGGATGGTCTCGATCTCCTGACCTCATCATCTGCCTGCCTCAGCCTCCCAAAGTGCTGGGATTACAGGCTGAGCCACCACGCCTGGCTTTTTATGACTAGTTTTAAATCTTCTTTATCCTGTTTGGAGTTATATTTTTGTATTGCATTCTATTTGATCATACGTGGACAGTCCTACTTTCCTTTACTTGGCCACTGCCAGATAGCTCTTTGCCAATGCCCTGGTCTGTTATTTTAAGCTATTTGTGTTTGTTTGTTTGCCAATAGTATCTATCTGATTTTTGCTTTTTACCCCAATCTAAAAGTGCTGTCTTTTAATAGAGGAAATTAAGTAACACCTTTAGCGTGGTAGCTAACATAACTGAATTATTTCCTAGCTTATTTACTATATTTCCTTAATTTTTGTTTCTCTAATTTTCCTGTCTTTTGCTATTTTGTTCAATTTTTGTTGTTTGCTTTTTCTAATGATTTGGAAATTATATATCAATTTTCTAACCAAAATTTTAAATCTATGTTTGAAATTATATATCTAATAAGTATATATCAATAGCATAGATATCTATAGTCTCTATGCAACATGGCAAAATTTTCTACCTCAACCTGCCTCCCAGATTTTATCAAAACAACCACATTAGTGTCAACAATTCAAACTTAACTTTATGTTTCATTGGTTTAATTGCTTACTTCTGCAGTATTTATACCAATGCTTCCTGTTTATCTTTAATAACTAAATATAATTATTAAATTTATATAATTCTATAAATTATTGAATTTATATAATTATTACATAAAGATAATTGATTATTTTAATAATTAAATAATTGATTTATTTTAATAACAAGTAAAGGTATTAAATATTTAATAATAATTTTCCTCATTTGGCTTGTGCACTACAAGTCATTTCCTTTATTCAGAAATGGTATGCAGAAATTTGGAGTCCACTGTATTTCTGAAAATCACTTTCATGTACCCATTCACATACATGAGCTTAGAAATCTTGCATACAGAAAGCCTAGAGGAATCTTGCTTAACAACCTGTTCCTTCTAAAATATGCAAATGTTGCTGCATTATCTTCTAGCATTTGACTTTATGGATTAAAATCTAGTATTAATGTGATTATTTTCTGTAGCCTGCTTTGTCTTGTTTAACGCTTATCTTTGATTTTTTTTGATTACTGAAATTCAGAAAATGTTCTATTACATGAATCAAACCTAAAACAAAAACATCTCCTATATGCCTGTCTGACGTCTTACATGTATCTTCCATGACCTTTAGCTTTTCTCTCCTAATTTCCCCATCTTGTCTCATTCCTCTCAGTTGAAAAATAGATCCCCCAGGTGATATCCTAATTCACTAATCCAATGTTGGTCATCTGGTTTCCTTCTCACAGTAACATTTTCGTGTCCTCCGTCTGCCTCCACTGCACTTGACAGTCTCTTCTTTTGCAATGTGGCACCTCTCAGATCTCACAGGTCATAAGCCAGAGTTGTTTTGAAGTTTTATTCCATTTCTCTGTTTCACTGTGTGCCATTTACTCCATTGGCTTTTGGAGTTGGTATGTGATATATCCTAAACATTCACAAATACTTCAAAATGCTATGCACACTGGGCGCCGAGTGGTCAGTGTGATGCCCAAAGCTTGGGGCAGTGCATTACATACAGAAGTAGAAGAGAATTGTCCAATCAGAATTAAACATGATGGCTTTGACCTACTGTCTGCAGGAAATAAGTGATGAGAGAAGGCCAAAGAAAACTGTAGCCATGTGGCCTCCAGATGGACCTTATTATCTTATGGGTGCTTGGTTTCTTTTTGTTCTTTGACCCTAGGTGATTTATTTTGTTATATTTAAAGCAAACTAGCAATTTCTGCTCTATAATTAAAAGTATGTGTATGTCTTTATAAACACTGAGTATATATACTATTAATTGCTGTTGTTATTTTTCCATTCTCAAAGCTTTCCAGGCCTAATCGTTATCCTGCAACAACTTTCAAAGAAGTGAGAGCAATGATTTCCTCTCCTCCACTGTTCATACGAATCATGGAGAAGCGGGGTTGAAAACGAAGACTGCCTGAGCCCCAACCCCCGGAGTCCAACTTGGGGTACCTGAGATATAGCCCTATCTGTTAGTTTCCTATTGCTGCTGCAACCAATGACCAAAAACTCAGTGGCTTAAAACAATACAAAATTATCACCTTTCAGCTTTTGAGGTCAAAAGTCCAAAATGGGTTGGGTTGGTAGGACTGAGCTCCTTCTGGAAGCTCCAGGGGAGAGTCCCTTTCCTTGCCTTCTCCAGCTTCCAGAGACTGCCCTCAGCCCTTGGCTTGTGGCCCCACTGCACTCCTGAGTTCTGCTTCCATCCTCGCCTCTCCTTCTCTGACTCTCCTGCCTCCCTCTTTCCCTTATGAGGGCCCTTGTGACTACCTTGAACCCATTCAGATACCCGGCATAACCTCCCCATCTCCAAACCCATAACTTCACCACATCTACAAAGCCCCTTTTGCCATGTAAAGTAATACATTCATAGGTTCCAGCGATTAGGAAGGACGTGGACATCAGTGGGGTTGGGGGTACGAGTCTCCCTATACACCCAGAAACCTGCACTTTGAACAAGAACCAGCAGACTGCCTGGTGAGAAACACCAAATCACACCCACTACATGGTGGCTGGAGCTTTTTCCTTTAGGACACTCTTCAGACCCATCACCTTAAAAGTCCGAAACCAACAGAGTGATAAATATCATAATATAAACAAAACACCATCCTTGACAATTTATTAAGATAAAATATTGCAGTATGTACCTAGACCTACCCAGAATTCATTTTTAAGTGGAAAGTTAAATGACAGAACAGAAATGTCTAAGAATCATTGGGGAAAAATACAAGTCAAACCCAAAGCCAAGTCCACTTTCCACAGCAGAATCAAGATGACACCCTGTGGAGACTCCGATACACTCAAAAAACATACTTCCATGTTTGTTTGTTTGAGACAGAGTCTCACTCTATCGCCCAGGCTGCAGTGAAGTGGTTCGATCTTGGCTCACTGCAACCGCTGCCCCATGGGTTCAAGCGATTCTCCTGCTTCAGCCTCCCGAGTAGCTGTTATTACAGGTGCTCGCCACCACACACGGCTATTTTTTTGGATTTTTAGCAGAGATGGGGTTTCACCATGTTGACCAGGCTGGTCTTGAACTCCTGACCTCAGGTGATCCACCCTCCTTGCACTCCCAAAGTGCTGGGATTACAGGTGTGAGCCACCGTGCCCAGCCACTTCCATGTTTTAAAGCTTCACTTTTCCATCTGTCTTAAGCTCTTTTCCCAAAAAAAAAAAAGTAAAATTTCTGAATTGTTTAAATACATTATTAGGAAACAGAACTTAAAAGGCCAGTCCTCTTAGTACATGCCCAAATTCCAAATGTGTCACTATTTCTATAATAAATAGCGCCAGCACTGACAGACTTCATAATGCAGGGTTTCCTGTGCTGCCATTCACCAGCACACACAAAAGTGAGAGTAATGAAAATGTCAGGAAACGGCATCCCATTTAGAAACCAGGAAATACAAAAATGCAGCTATCAGTCATCCCTAAGGCTGGCCAAATAAAAGGTTTTAAATATAGTCACGGATCACCAGTGTCACAAGCAACAACATTCACTGCACAGAGAGGCAGCAGAATTTGCAGCATTGAGGATTTGCTGGGTGGCTGATGAGATCTGCCCACTTTGAACTTGCTCTCAACTGACATACCCAGATCTGTTTTTACATTAGCTGTCAAAATGATAGGTCTCCTGCATCCTATGCCTGCACTGTTAATTATCTATCTGCCTATCTGTCTATCCATCCATCCATCCATCTTGAGATGTCTATCTATCCATCCGTCCATTCATCTATCTTGAGATGTCTATCTGTCCATCCATCCATCCATCCATCTTGAGATGTCTATCTATCCATCCATCCATCCATCCATCCATCCATCCATCCATCTATCTTGAGATGGGGTGTTGCTCTGTGGCCCAAGCTGGAATGCACTGGTGCGATCTTGGCTCACTGCAGCCTCAACCTTTCAGGCTCCAGCAATCCTCCTGCCTTAGCCCCACAAGTAGCTGGGACCACAGGCACACGCTACCACACCTGGGTAATTTTAAAAATTTTGTAGAGACAGAGACTCACTACGTTCCCAGGGCTGGTCTAGAAATTCTGGCCTCAAGCAATCCTCCCACCTCGGCCTCCTAAAGTGCTAGGATCACGGGCATAAGCCACCATGGCCAGCCAATATTTAATTTTTGAATTTGGGACTCCCACGTTGGAGCTGGGATTTTGTACTTACATGTATACTCTCTAGCACATGTAACCCATTAAAAACATCACCTGCTTTGCTGGTTGCAGTCCTTCCTCCCCTCTGTCCTAATTCTGACAGGATCCGGTAGAAGGGACAAATTCGTCTGTGGTTGAAATCTACGGACAGCCATGAGCTGAAACTACGGACCCCGTAGTTCTCAAAGGAATACAGAGAAGCAGGTATGGAATGCCAACAGGGCTGTGCAATGCCCGATCCGGGCCGGCGTGAGGGCACCTCCATGATGGGGTGAGGATGAGGGAAGGAGTCCCAGTTCAAGAAGCCGTTACCAAAAGGCACTCCTAGCGAGCCAGGTGGCTTCATTCATCCACGCCTGATGTAAAGCCACCCACATACCCCATCTATACAATAGGGCTGGGCGCAGACTTTCAAATACCTATTGAACCTTTACTTCCTCTGAAACCCAGAAGCCTGTGTTACAGACCTCAACCACCACATACACATTGTCTCTAAGGAGAAATCAATTCCGTGGGGAAAACCTGGGAATGGAGGAAGCGGAAACAAGAAAGTGGGAAGTGGGGAAAGGCAAGAAGGCTTTCTTTCAGAAGGTGAGTTAGAGATACCACCTGTCTCCCCCATTGATAAAAGGCTCCTCCCATGGCTGGCTCCACTCATCCTGCCAGCCTCATTTCAAAGGCCACAGGCTCAGAGAGGTCCCTGCTGAGCCCCGAGTCCACAGCACAGCCCTGGCCCCTCTCGATGGCCTTGCAGTTTTATCTTAAACATGTATCTCTGTATGAAATGGTTTCCTTATTTTTTGCCTGTCTCTCCTGCTCTAGGACGTGTACTCGCCAGGCAGAGGCCTGGTGTGTCTTCTCCAAAGCAGTATCTCCAGCTCCCAGCACAGGCCTGGCCCATAGCAGGGACTATGATCATTATGAATGCATTGAGAAGCCAGGCATGGTGGCACATGCCTGTAATCACAGCTACTCGGGAGGCTAAGGCAGGAGAATCACTTGAACCCGGGAGGCAAGCAGAGGTTGCAGTGAGCCAAGGTCATGCCACTGCACTCCCGCCTGGGCAACAGAGTGAGACTCCATCTCAAAAACAAACAAACAAACAAACAAAAAGAATGCATTGAGAGATGGGTGGGGGAAGGATGGGAGGAAGGAGGGAGGAATGGAGGTACACCCATCACTCGGTAAAACAAGGCCTAATCTGACCTAGATTTAATTATCCTGGAGACCACCCACTCCCCAAAAAAGGGCCAATGACCACTCTGAGTCGGATGGATTGACATAAGGAGAGAGAGGCAGTGTCCAATGAAACTGTGCTAGAGATCCTCATGGTCCCCAGGTTCCTGGTCTTACTGACACGGCTCCGGTGAGCTCCCACCCTCCCAGATGTCTTTCTAGTAACTCCTTTGTGCGTAGCTACCCAAAGCTGGTTTCTGCTGCTTGCCCTAAATATACCCCATTCCAGGAGCATGTATTCAGGGTGGCTGAGGCACACTGCGGGCCCAAACTGTTTTCAAGCTTTACATCTGGGCACTCTACCTGTTTAATCCTCACAAGGACCTAAAGAGGGAAATGCAATTATAATCTGGTATTCTAAGGATACCAGTGGCCGGGTTACGTAACCCCGGGTAAAATCACGCTGGCAGTAACAGGGGAGCCTCGGTTTATACCCAGGCCATAAATTTCCCTCCTGCGATGCCACGCTGGCCCCTGCACGTATGGTTTATTGTGATAAGTAAAGAATCCTATATAACTTATGGTTTTTATGAATCTAAAATTTTGATGAAACAGGTCTGCTTGGAGTAGGATCCAGCTGTGTCATTTTGAATCTTGTACAACTGTTAGACTGCTTTGAGTCATTCTCCTAAAACTGTAATTTTATTTTAAATTATATTTAAATTAATTAAAAATATAATTTTATAACTTGCCCCGGAGACATTTTACAGACATGCTTTTAGCAAAAATATAACCCACAAAATAAAAGTTACTTTGTGAAACCCTCTCCCAAAATTTATATAACATATATAACCATTTTTCTTAAAATTATTTTTAGATCTAAGCAATGGTAAACTCATTAGTCTGTTCATAATATGATTTTATACTCCCTGGCATCTGCAAGCACAGAACATAGAGAACTCAGCTTGAGGAAAAACAGTAAGCAAATTAAAAAGTAAAATAAATCTTAGCCTATGTTCACACACTCAAAATTTAAATAACAGTTTTTCTAGGGGAAAGGAGTGGGAGGTGGAGGCAGAGAGATCAATCCATTTGCCTCTCACTCCAGGTCTGAGAACCCTCATTTTCTATTCTTCAAATTAATGAAATGAACACAAGACCACTCTGATGAGGAAGTCTGAAATAATGGAAACGCCGTGGCATTTGCATTCCCTTTCAATGTGAACAGGCTATTTTGATAGTTAGCAAAACCAGGACAAATTGCCTGAGATTTCATCCTTTGTTGCTCTAAAATGGCTCTCGGGCTGTAATAGGCCATATCACTGCAAAATGCACTTACCTTTAAATAGGCAGGCAAAGTGGATTGTGTTAAATATAAAATTAGTGACATGTTCTCTCAACTCATGGAGTCTAATTCTAATTCAAAAGACTTCTGCTCACTTCAGACAATGCCTGTTCCTTCTTGTTTATAACCTCAATTCCAATTTTCTGCAATTCAAATAAATCCCACCTACAGCCCTGGGCTTTGGTCTCACCCACCTCTGCCCCAGACACCAGGCTCAGACTCCCAGGCCCTCTGTCTGCCCCGCACGCCTGCCATGTCTGAGCTCTTGAGCATGGGTCTGTACTGCCTAGGAGGCTCTTCACCAGGTTTCCACATCACGGATGCCTCGTCACCATCCTGGCCTGGGCTTAAACGTCATCTCCTCCCAGTGGCTTGGCCTGAAGAACTGCTCTGATGTCTTCTTCCCCACATTTGCACCATGTTTGATCATCTTACTCTGGCTGGTTAGTGCTGTTCCCATCAGACCCTCTCCCCAACACTGTAAGCTTTGCTGGGATCAGGACCCTGGGTCCCCAGTGCACACTGGGGGAATCCGGCTGCAGCTGGTGACTCAGGCTGCAGGAGCCCATGCCCAGGGCAGTGCCCCTGACCAGTGGCTAGAAACAGCATGGCAGCCCACACCTACAGGGCCTGGCAGACACCTCTGTCCCAGCATAGCTTCACCCCTCCCCTCCTCCCCCAGCTCCCTGCTGCAGCCTCCCCAGACCCTGAGATCCACGCAGCTGTGAGGAGCCCTCAGCTCTCCCTGCAGGCCTGGAGTTGGCCGGCTCCACTGCTGGTCCAGCCCTGGCTCCTGCCTCCAGCCTCACTCCTGGGCATCTACCCCCAACAGGCACCGGGTATAATCACCTATTCTCTACCTGCTCATCGCACGCCCACCTCCATCTGCAGGTCTTTATCATGGTGTAAGGCTCCCCTGGGTAAAGTTCTCCATGAGCATAAGAGGCATCTTTTTTACAACTGAATCCCAGCACAAACAGGTCTCAATCACACCACTGCCCTCTCATGAGCCAAGGAACCTGCCTGGGCCAGCCCCCGACGGTCCTGGCACTCTGTGTACTGGACCCAGCCCCAGCACTGGTGGCTGTGACTGTCTCCTCCCCACAGCATCACAGGTGGGTGAGTGTCTAGCCTAGGAGGGTAGGTCTCAGCCAACCTCAGTTCACTGTGTCTTCAGGTTGCATTTTCATTGTAGTGAATACTCAGAATGGAATAATGCAATGAAGGGCTGTGTCCTGTTTCAAATGGACCACAGGTGCCCCTTCCCAGTTTGCTCCTTTCCTTTTTGAACTAATGGTAGAAAATTCCCTTTACCCTTAGAAACTCAACTCCAACAGTGATTTAGCTACATTTTATTCTTAAGGCTGCTCATAGCAATTCACATATCCATGAGAGAAAGACCAATTTACTTAATGGTACAAATCTTATTCCCCATCACATAACACAGCTGGTCAAAAATGCATTCTTTCAAGCCAAGATGAAATAATTCCCAGAATGTCCCTTTTAGTCAAATTTGGCTCTTGACAAGTCTAGAGAGAATCCCCATAATAGGCTTCAAAGGCTGGCCCCACAGCCCCCACTGGCAGCTGGTAGGGATTCCCAGTAGGGGAAGCCTCCCCAGACCCCTTCTCTGCTACTGGCTGTCCCTCAAGGGGTCTCAAGGTCTCTCAGACACCAAACACAGACTCCTCCATGGGAAAAAAAAAAAAAAAAACAGCTACCTTCTGGCCCTAGGATCTGTGCATTCTCCTTTCCTAAAGCGAACCACCCTCATCCTCTCATAAAGAACCAAAAAGCACGTCATTCACCTGATGGCTCTACACCACCAACCCTGTTACTCTATTCCCATGCCCTGCTTCTATGTATTTGTTGCTGTAAGACTTCTTACTACCCAGCATTACATTGTCAATTTGTTTGTCTGTCTACCCTCTGTCTATCCTAGAGAATGTGAGCTTAGAGTGTACAACAGTACCTAGAAACGGATGACCAAGGAAATCTGCTGAATGAACTAACGACTGTGTGGTTACCGTGGCTCTAGCTGGCATGCCACTTTAGGATATATCTTGAGTTTTAGGAATTCAGGAATTCCTGCAATCTTTCAAAGGGATCATGGGGCTTCCCTGATTGCAGAATTCAGCAATCTATGAGCGAGTATCTATGCATTTCATTGCCTCTGCTTTGGAAGAGACTGTTGTTCTGTAATAGGTCTGGTATTCATTAAGCCTTTCAAAAAGATGTTCCCTGGTGCATAGGTCAACATTGCAAAGTGTTTCCTTCGCCTTCCTAAACAAGCCTCACATAAGAAGCTATGTGATTACTGGATGTTTGGGTGATTAAAACCACATCCTTGCCTTTCCTCAGCATCCCTTCACCTGTTCAGTGTCCCACACTAATCCACAGCTGTGCAATGTATCATAAATCAGACTCAGAGTCTCTGGAAGGGTCATGTGCTGCAAATTACAGAATACCCAGATCACACAGACACATCCACATGGTGCAAAATAAACCATGAAGGAGAAAAGAATCTCACTCTCGCAGGTTTGACCTGAAGCATACATGACATACATACATAGAGCACACATGAATAACCAAACTACTTCCACTGGAGTTAAACCTTACAGCTCATCCATGCTCCTCAAGCAGAGATCAGAGGACACTGGGGCAGGGCAGGGCGGTGGCAGTGCACATGGAGTCTCACGAAGCTTGAGAAACAATGCCTTAGACGGTGAAAAAAGTCTTGTGTTAAAAACTAACATTTCAAAATGGAATTTTGGTAAAACAATCAAGAAGAAAGCATGGCAGACCATGGCCCGAGTGTTAGGCAGACTCCAAGACTCGAGTTTCTCAAAATGGGAGTTTGTGGCTCCCAGGGAATCTCAGCTATGATCCAGGTTGAGAAACTGCTCTAAACCCAGTGAGACTTGTTTCCTGCAACTATTTAACTGTGGTCTGTTTTGAGAGTACTGTACACCTGTTTTCCTTTCCTCCCCATTTTCCCCTCTTCCCTATCACTCTCCAGGCTGCGCCCTACTAACTCCATCCTGCTTGACAAACGTGTTTGCTTCTTTCAGTGACTTTTCCCTCCCATTTTCTTTTTTGGAAAGTCTGCCTTTGTCTGGCATTTGTGTTTTTAAGACAGCAAGAAACGTGAGCTCAGAGATCTGCATCCACTCTGTGCTCCCCACTGGCTCCGGGGTGGGAGCAGTCTTCCCAGTCTGCAAACCCTCAAAGGGGAAGTAATATAAATTTCAAATGAGGACACCCTCCTAAAGAAGCAGCTGGACCCACATTTTGGTACATCTGCCTGGCACTCCCAGGAATGAGCAGTGGGGACCATGTTTGACCAGCATAGTGCATCCTGGGTGATGCTTGGGGCAAATTTTCAGCACTGCTTGTTTAATTTTTATGTTTGTTAATATCCTTTTTAGGGGATGATAAAACTTACCCAAGCCTTCAAACCATCTTTATAGTGTAGTTTTATAAATTGTTATTTGGTTCTAATCAAACTCTGTGGGAGGGAAAGGTGGACATAAAAATAAGGCCCTTGGATTCTTTCAAGAGAATGTTGCTGCATATATATATACACATATATATACACACATATATATGTATATATATACAATATGTGTGTGTGTGTGTATATATATACACACACAAAATGTAAATGGAACTCTAAAGATGCTCTTTCACTGTGGTTGAAAGTAAGTATCACATCTGGGTAAGCAACTCATCCCAGTTTGCCCTGGAGTTTTCGGTTTTAGTGCTGGAAGATGGAAGACCTCCATCCTGGGAAGTCCCTCAGGCCTGGTTGCTCATGCTATTTTTATGAAACATGACAGCAGAGCACAGGCATCTACTGAGGGAACCATTAAGCCCTTTGCTACTGATGAGTCAACCGATGTACTAGAGCAGCCAATGGCAACAAAGCTAGATCTGGGATCTGGGCAAAGTAGAACTCAGGTGTACAAGGAATGATCCTATCTGGTGATTTCACTCCTGGGGTGAGAACATGCAGAGTTCCTGCCATTCCATCGGGCAGTTCAGATGTCGGAGATCTTGCCATTTGTCATTTTCTCTACAATGTCAGGAATCATATTGTAAAACACCTGACACTGACCTGGAGAAGAAAAATGTAGCTGTTTAATTCATGTGTAACATACTCAGATTATCTTATATGTTAGCAATACTCCATTAGGTCTCGTCTACCTGCAAAGAGCCCTGGGTCCCATCGCTGAGGAAGCGCCTCTACTCACCCTCCAGAGGACATGGACTTCCTGAAGGAAAACAGCACTGCCCATCTGGCACTGGGGTCAATCGTTTTTAAACTTTAAGAGAACTTTTTATTCCCCAAAGACATTCCTATGCAGAATCTAATATATAAAACAGACAAAAGTGGTGTTCTGTGAGCAGAGATTTCTTTTATAAGTTCAGATGTAAAATATGTATTACATATTCAGTCGAGAACAAAAAGGTTGGAAACTGGCATTATAGAGGGCAGCTGAAGTCATAACAGCCTACAAAAATCATCTACTTCTAAATTTAATTTTGGCTGCCCAGTATCAAGAAAATTCTGGAAACAGGTTTTACTTTGTAATTTTAGGATACCCTCAAATGAAATGCATTCGGAAGCTTGAAAACAAAATGCAAGGGAACACTGATGCCAATGCTGAATCATGAAGAGAAACCAATAAATGACTTCTCCACTCGTTTAAGTATTAATTACTTGGGAGAAAATGTTTTTCAAACGTATCTGTAACATTACGGAATTTCCAACGATGTTATATTTTGAAATATCAATCCAGTCTTTAGACAGAATTTCAAACGGTCATATTTACTTTGTTTTCCATGCTGACCCCTAACCTCCTGTCCAAGAACTCAGAAGGCCCAAAAAGATCAAATGGACAGGAGGTGGGGGCCAAACAAAAATGACAATACAACTTCCTGCTTCAATCTTAAATTGTCTTTTAGACGTTACATTCCACTTCATTAGTTATCCGAAACCAAAGTCCATGAAGCTGTCCCTGACTTTTCCTATCCCTTCCGAACATCTCCCACTAGTGCAAAAGGCCAGGGAAGAATCAGGTCATTGAAAAGAAATGATGGCTTTTTCCAGTAAACAATGATTTCTTAAAGCCTAAAGTCTACAATGGACTATAAAGCTTTCCCTATCAAGTACATAAGCCAAAGGCTCACATTTAAAGAAAAAAAACATAACTGCAATATTGTTGCAACTAGCTATAAAATGTAAAAATTTAAAAAGTAAACGTCTAAATTACTAAAATAAGCTGATATTTAGATTCTAAGAGGAGATCAGTAACCATGCTCAAGATGATCCTAAAAACACTGTCTTCTATTAATTGGCCTGTTTTAAAAGTAACAGAACACTTCATATAATATTGCATCTCCAACTTCTATTCTTATTCACCATTCTGAAACTAGACTGAGAGGTTGGATAATTAATAAAATCACCCCTTTCCCCTGGCTCTTGATTATCCTTCATCAGGGTCATGTTTGTACTTCTCTTGTCGATTGTAATCATTTATTTGAAACAGTGTCTCAGCAGTTCATTAGCTTTTCATTAGTGCCTGTAGGTTGGATAAAATGTGCTTGAATTTCCAAAGTAAATGCAAATCCCCTTGGTAATCCAGCAAGGACATGAATTCCCAGAACATTTTCAAGTAAGACAGCTCCAATCAGAACTTGGATTTTAGTGAAAAAAGTGGTGTCCTCCTGAATGGCAGAGAACCCACGCTCCCATCCAGTCCTAAACATCAATTCTGAAAATGACCATCACAGTTTGGCTTCATCTTCAACCTGACCGTGGTATTCAGGAATGTCAGTTACTTAATTACAAACAAGGAGGGCAAGTCAAAAGAATTCAACACAAATTTTAAAAGCCAATGTATCAGCTACTCAGTAAGTTAAAAATATGGCTGCCAGGACCCCACCTGGACAGTCAAACTCAGCAGCTCCAGCCTTGAACACAAGAGACCTGGATCCGCATCCTGCCTCCGGCCCTGGGCAGCTGTGTAGACCTACACATCACAAGCTGAGCTTGGTGTCTGTATCTTCAAAAAAGGAAAGATGATCCACAGTTCTGAGACTGGGATGGAGATCACAGAAATAATGAAGGGGAAGTGCCTTGCACTGTCCCCAACACATAGCAGGCCTCCACAAATGACCGCTTTACAAAGATCACAGATGCAGCCTCCCCAGTGTTAAAGTATGTCCTCAGTGGACAGTCAAAATGGACTCCCCGTGGCTAACTGACGTGTGCAAAACGAAAGCAGAGCCAGGTGGCCATAGTTGGGTGAGGAAAAGGTCATGTTCTCTGTGTTCTCAGAAATATATTGTAAAAGTGTCACAGGACCTCCCTTTCTACCATCCAGTCAAACCAGTTCCTGTTGTCAGTGCTGAAATAGAGTGTAGCTGGAAATGCCGCAGCTGACCACCCAGAGACCCCCTGAGGCCAGCCCATGAAGACAGACTTGTGATGTCCTCCTTAAAGACCATCCAACCCGGCCCCTGTACCTGAATCCCCAGCTATCCTGTGGTTTGCACCTTTATGACCTTCTATCCCCAGTCTCTCCTTGGAGTACATTTTTGTTTTTTGCTGAAGGCTGTCTCTCCCAATCTTCAGATTGCTTTTAGAAAATAAAGTTATCCTTTTGCCTCCGCAGATCTCACTGGTCTTTTGTTAACACCCGTAAGGGAAGATAGAATTGCAGGACTGAAATGCATGCCATGAGACAGAGGAACAGGTCAAACAGGTTAAACAGAAACACACATGAAACAAGGTTATGTACTAACCAGTTGAGGAAAATGAGGCCAGAGGCAACAGGAACTTAACCATGTACATGTGTATTTCCCCTGAAGGCAATGGCTCAGTATTCACTAACTGAGTATCCATGATGACTTCATAAAACAAAACTGCTGCAAATGATGAGAACTGGCAATACATATATTTCCTAGTTCTGTCCCCTAATAGAGCATAGAAGCAATGATACCCAATAGTAAGGAGCTCAACTAGCACCCTGGTTTTCTAATACCAAGGCTTCAGACGATCCAATCACTCTGAGCTATGGGAGGACATTCTCTGATAAAAGGAGAAACACATAAGCAGCTGATGGTAGGGGCAGGGAAAGCATCAGAATGTAAGATGAACCAGGAGCATCTTATAGTGCTAGAAAATTGGAATTACACACACACACACACACACACACACACACACACACACACACACACACACACAAACAGTAGAGGGTGGGAGAAGATGAAGCAGGAGCCAAATGGCCAAAGGTCAAATAACTTGAGCAACAAAATAAATACCCACACTATTGAATTACAACCTAAAGGCCAAAATAAATAGACAGGAGTCCATATTAATGTCACAATGACTAAATTAACAATGGAGGAAGAGACCAATTTTCCTTAAAAAAGAATTCCAAATCAGAAATGTGAAAAACAAAGGAGGGAAACAGAAAGTCACCCCCAGAACACCAGGGTGATTGCTGCTGGGCCCAGATCCACTCTAGAATGCTAACATCAGTGCTTGAAATTTTAAGAAGAAACAGGACATTTGCAAGGCCTGGAAGTATCTCCCCCAGAATATTTATTAATCACTATGGCTTTAACTCACGTCCACTAATTCTTTGACACGCTCTCCCCCAGGAGGCAAAGCTTAATCCTCCTCCTCTTGAGTGTGGGCTGAACTTAGTGACTGGCTTCTAACAAGGAGTAAGGGAGGGGAAAGATGGTGACTTCACAGAGGAGACATCTGGCAGACACCAGCTTGGCCAGGTGATCAAGGTTAACTCACCAGTAGTAAGTCACATGTTGACATCATGATATGATGTGATGAGGGGGGTACCTTACCTCTGTGGTGGTCTTCCTCATATTCGTAACTCCAGTCTAACAATGAGAAAGCATCAGACAAACCCAAATTGAGGGATATTCTACAAAATACCTGATCCATATACTTCAAAGTGTCAAGGTCATGAAAAACAAGGAAAGACTGAGAAACTGAGATTAGAGGAGATTCAAGAGATATGATGATTAAATGAAACATGGTACCCTGGATAAAAAGACCATTAGTAGAAAAATTGGTGAAATCCCAAAAAAGTCTGTAGTTTAGTTATTTTTAGTTTTGACAAATGTATGATGGTTACATGAGATGCTGATTTTTGAGCAACTCCCCGCTTCTGTGTTAAATGATTAATACAGGAGTCCCCTCACTTCCTTTTCCTGTTCTAATGCCAGATACCAGCCAAAGCACATCATTTTTGCATCATCCTACATGTGGGGAAATATTTTTTATTCTGCATATCATAGAATAGTATGCATTGATCATAAAATTTTCTGCAGTAGACTTGAGTTAACTTTTCACCTATAAAATTACAACCCTCACTCGTTTCCAACATTAGCATGAAGAAAATGGTTACTCCCAGGTTTCCACATCTTACTGGAGAAAACCGCAATTAATGTCACCACAAATATCCAGTTTCCAACGTTAGCTCAGCTGCCATTCTGTGTGTTCCTGTTCCTCAATCATACTCAATTCACCTGTGGTTCCCGTCCTGCCTCTCACCACAGGGTCGGCTGGGCCCAGGATGACAAGGGGCCTCCCTGCCTCTTCCACTGTCACCATCCTCTGCCTCAGGGCTGCCATCATCGCTCTCCCTCCTTTTCCTGAATCCCAGCACCACTGGCTCCTCCAGGGCCCGCTCCAGGGGTTATCCCCTCCCCTGCCTCCACTCTGTCTCTACTCAGTCCTCCCACCCATGAGCAAACACAGCCACACTGTCTCCCCATCCCAAAAAAGAACGTTCCTCAGTTCCTCAAAACATTAAACACAGAATGACCATATGATCCAGCAATTCCACTTCTGGGTATATACCCAAAAGAACAAAAGAAGGGAGAGGCATGTGTACCCCCATGTTCACGGCAGCATTACTCACAATAGTGAAAAGGTGGAGGCAAACCAAGTGTCCATCCACAGATGCGTGCATTGATAAAATGGAGTCCATCCACACAATGGAGTGTTATTCAGCCTTGAAAGGAAATTCAGACACATGCCACAACATGGATGGACCCTGAGGACACTGTGCTGAGCAAAATAAGCCGATCACAAAAGGACAAATATGTGTGACTCCACTTCTGTGAGGTACCTACGGTAGTCAAATTCTTAGAGACAGGAAGTAGAGTGGTGGTTGCCAGAGCCTGGGGAGAGGAGGGAATGTGGAATTCGTGTTGAATGGTGACTGGATACAGAGTTTCAGTTGGGGAAGATGAAAAGCGTTCTGTGGATGGATGGTGGTAGTCATACGAAGGTGACTAATAATCCCCCAAATGCCCAATCCCATCACCCATTCTCAGAACTCCATGGCATCTGACACTGCTAACCAACTTCTACAGCATTAAGCCCGCTGCTCCCCAGCTCTCGTTCTGCAATTGTTGAGGGACAGTTATGCGCACGTGTGTGTGTGTGAGAATATACGTTATGAATTATACTGGGTGTGCATTTATGTACATATATGCATATAGACGATATTTTTTTAATTCCACTTACTGAACATCTACTACCATTATCAGAAATTACACAAGTATTTACATGCATCATCCCATATAATCCCCCCAAATTGCCCTGTATTGCTTCCTGACTCCATCTACACCATCACCAGTTTTTTCTTGGTTTCTTTGCTGGCATTGTCATATGGTGGAGTCCTTGGGGTTCTGTCCCTCCTCATCTGCCCAGGTGAGCTCACGCACTTTCATAGCTCACCGCCATCTCTGTGGTGATGGCTCTGAGTCTTCCTTTCCAGTCCAGGCCCATCTGCTGAGCTCCAGACACCACACCCATGTGTCCACCCAACATTTCCCATGAGCCTCTCAAAGTCAGGACAGCCAATACCAACCCAGTTCTCTCTCCATCCCTCCCTCCCAATTCCTCTCCAGCATCTATGCTCCTTGTTTTATAACCTCTGTTGCTGTTGTCCCCCTGAAGCACCAAGGGAAAGGAAAAGCCTCCTCACTGGGATTCCTAATGGAAGCGTTTGCACACAGTGACCCTCCCAGCACGGACCCCTTGTTAATAGATGGGTAGGAAGCACCAGGAACAGAGTATGTTCAAAATCAGATAAGCGTTATAAAAACTGGTATGGGGTCAGAGTGGAGATCATTTTCCAAACCAACTATTCGAACCACCCCATCGCCATCTGGGTAAAGACTGGGTTGTGCCTCCAGCAAGCTACTCTGACTTGGGAAGACCGTGTGCAACTATCTTTGGGAAACACAGCCGCATGCTCCTTGGCTGGAAATGATCAGAGGCTCTAAGGAGTGTAAAAAGGGAACACAACCCTGATTCTAATTTTTATTCTTGGAGAAATCACGTTTTATTTTTCATATCAAAGAGGGGGAACTCTGTGGGCAGAGTACTCTGCCGAGAACCAGTTCTGTTCTGCAACTTGTCCCAATCATCAGGAAAACACATGTTCCAGGGAAGCCCCCATCAGGGCACACACAGCCCCAAATCAGGGCATGCTGTCACTTCCTCTCATTCCCTCGAGAGCCCACCTGGCCAAAGAGGCTCCAGTGGCCTGATTGGAGGGCACATCAATAATATGGAGGGTCCCCGTGCCCCCCGACCTGGAAAGTCAGTCTCAGCGATGGGGCTCTCGGGGCCTCTTAAAATGGGAAAAACAGAAGATGAAAAGGCTGTTTGCACTTGTCAGCAATGCTGGCACTGCTCACTATCCATACTTTACCCTCCCCAATTAAAACCACACACTTGATCTGTTCACATAACAAAGCCTCCCTTAGAGCCCCCAGAGGTGCCTGCTCCCAAAACAGCACTGTCAGGGCACAGCCTCAGTCCTCACTGGACAGAAACCAGGGGCAGGGACCAATCCTCTCTCTGTCCCAGCCCTTTCAAACCAAAGACAGCGTCTCTGCGAAGGAGGGAAGCCGCATGTTTTCATGCTGAGATACAGTGCAGATTTATGATCGGCACCTGTGAGGTCCTCAGGTACCTCTTGCTGGAACAGAGCAACAGGTTTCTAAAGGTTCTGGCCCTTGGCCTCTACATTTGTCACCACTCCTGTGGTCACTCTTCAGTGGAAGCTGCTCACCAGCCTCCTTGTCCCACATGTAAAAGCCAAAAGGAGGGGCCCTACAGCACCACTGTCATTGGAATCCTTCCAACATTCCCCACCCACCTTATGCAGTGGGAAGACAAGGTTCCTACCAGACCCTCCAAAGCCCAGGAACCTCTCCCTGTGCTGACATCCAAAGATGCCCGGCGTTCCAAAACACCAGAAATCCAGGGAAGAGGCCCTACCTTGGGGATGAGTACATTAGGAAATAGCCAAGGAGCAGGATTAAGTAATTATACACTAGCCCACCAGGAAACCATGACACTGAACATCCCATGGGGCCCACGGGTCTGGTGGGTGTTTCTCGCCCACTGGGGGCTGGATAAGTGAGCATGAGGGTGTGGCCCAAGAAGTGTCCGAGGCAGAGCTCAATCCTTTAGAGGTTTATTTTGCCAAGGTTGGGATGTACCCAAGCAAAAGAAACACAAGTTACAGTAGGGTCTGCGGCCTGGGCTTTTCTCCAAAGAGGGGTCTGAGAAAGAGCAAGCAGGAGGGGAAAAGGAGAGAGGGGTGCCCATGAGGCAAGTGGTTACATCCTCGGAGGCTTTGATTGGCATTCAGTGAATCTGCATCTTACATATAAAAAGAAGGGGCCGGGCGCGGTGGCTCACACCTGTAATCCCAGCACTTTGGGAGGGGGAGGCGGGTGGATCACAAGGTCAGGAGATCGAGACCATCCTGGCTAACATGGTGAAACCCCATCTCTACTAAAAATAGAAAACATTAGCCAGGCGTGATGGTGGGCGCCTGTAGTCCCAGCTACTCAGGAGGCTGAGGCAGGAGAATGGCGTGAACCTGGGAGGTGGAGCTTGCAGTGAGCCGAGATCGCGCCACTGCACTCCGCCTGGGCGACAGAGCGAGACTCCGTCTCAAAAAGAAAGAAAGACAGACAGAAAGAAAGACAGACAGACAGAAAGACAGACAGAAAGAAAGAAAGACAGACACAGAAAGAAAGAAAGAAAGAAAGAAAGAAAGAAAGAAAGAAAGAAAGAAAGAAAGAAAGAAAGAAAGAAAGAAAGAAAGAAAGAGAAAGAGAAAAGAAGGGGATAGGGGAAAAGCCAAGTATGCATTCTTCTCAGGCTCAGCAAATCTACATTTTATATAAGCAAGCATGTGAAATCACGGCTATCCGTTGCGGGGTGCGGGATAAAAAGGAAAGTGGTTTTTTGCATGACTCAGTTCTCAAGCTTAACTTTCCCTTTGGCATAGTGAGTCTGGGGTCCACAGCTTCCTTCTTTTTTTTCTTTTTTTCTTTTTTTCTTTTTTTTTTTCTTTTCTGTCACCCAAGCTGGAGTGCAGTGGCTTGATCTCAGCTCACTGCAAACTCCGACTCCCAGGTTCAAGCGATTCTCCTGCCTCAGCCTCCCGAATACCTGGCACTACAGGCGCCCACCACCATGCCTGGCTAATTTTTGTATTTTTAGTAGAGACGGGGTTTCACCATATTGGCCAGGCTGGTCTCGAACTCCTGACCTTGTGATCCGCCCACCTCGGCCTCCCAAAGTGCTGGGATTACAGGTGTGAGCCATCACACCTGGCCGGCAGATTTCATTTTCCTTTCACAAATGCGTGGTCTACTGGACAAGCCCTGAGATGAAGATGGCTAGAGAGGCTCCACAGTCCCTGGAGGGGGGCACTGGCAGGCGGTCCACGGCCACTCAGGCTGAGACCCTGGCTCTAGAAAAGGGAGGAAGTGCAGGTACCAATAAGGTTTAAGGATGGATGTATCAGACTGTGGACAAAGACTAAAAGAAACAGGGCTGCCAGCCCAATACTGACACCTTGCTTCCTCATAGAATAGCAGATGTGTTGGGGTGGCAATGTGCCCAACTGCTATGGTCTAAATGTTTGGGTCCCCCCAAAATTCCTATGTTGAAATCCTAACACCCAATGTGATTGTATTAGGAGGTGGAGCTTTTGGAGGTGATTTGGTGATGACGGTGGAGCCCTCATGAATGGAATTAGTGCGAGATACTGGGATTTACAAGAAGAAATATATATCTGCTCTTCTTGTTTCCTGGCATGCAGCTCCTAACACTTGGAATCTCCAAGGTGATGTGTCTTTTTGTGTGCTAATAAGATGAGTGGTAGTGAGGGGCTTCTGGACAGCCTCAGGATGGGGGCTGGTTGCCAAGTGAACCAACCCTGTGATTAGAGCGTTGGAACTTTCAGGCCCACAATCCCACCACCACCCCTCACCTTAGGGAAGGGAAGAGGGGCCAAAGGTTGAGTTAATCACCCAACAACCAATGATGTAATCAATCAAGCTATGCAATGATGCCTCCATAAAAACCTAAAATAACTGGATTTGGAGAGCTTCCAGTTGCTGAGCACATGGAGGTTCCTGGAGGGTGGCGCCCAGAGAAAGCTCCACACCCCTTTCCACAAATAAGAGGTTACCCTGTGCATCTCCTCCATCTGGCTGTTCATCTGTATCCTTTGTAATATCCTTTATAATAATTGGGTAAATGTAAGCAAGAATGTTTCCCTGAGTTCTTGAGCCATGCCAGCCATCCCACTCCTGGAGAAGGGAGTTGTGAGAACCCCAATTTATAGACCATCAGTCAGAGGTACAGATCACAACCTGGGATTTGCAACTGGCATCTAGAGTGGAAGCATCTGAGCCCTCAACCTGTGGGATCTGATGCGAATTCCAGGCAGACAGTGTCAGGACTGAACTGACTTAGAGGACACCCAGCTGATGTCTGCTGGAGAATTGCTTGCTGTATGGGAAAACATCCCACACACATCTGGGCGACCAGAGAAGCATTCTAAATTATTGAGAGTGAGGGCTGGAAAAACTGTGTTTTTCTATATCTCGAACAGTGCCCTTATAAATTAAGAGGCCGAAGAGAGCTAGTTCGCCCCTTCCACCAAGTGAGGACACAGCAAGAAGGCATGATGCAGAAGGAAGCAGGCCTTCCTCAGACACTGAATCTGCCAGCACCTTGATCTTGGACTTCTGGCTCCAGAACTGTGAGCAATAAATGCCTGTTGTTTTTAAGCTACCGACTCTAAGGCATTTTGTTATAGCAACCCCACACGGACTAAGACACCAACTAACACTCCTTTCCCAGACCACACTGGCTTAGGAGTGGCCATGTGACCCAATTCAGACTAAAGAGGTGAGGGGGGAAGTCTGCTAGGTGGTTCTTGGAAGGTTTTTTTTTCCTGGAACAGGTTCCCCACGTTTCTGTTTCCAATTCTTGCTGCCTGGAAGACAGACACGCTACTTGGAGAAATAGAAGCCCTGCAGTAATCCTGAGACAATACGCACAGAGCAAAGCCAACATGCCAAAGTTGGCCAGCAGAAAGGAGGAGGAGCCTCGGTCCCCAGTGGCACCATGGGGTGGGGAGTGAGATCATGGCTTTTTCTTGATATACGTGTATACTGTTTCACCTGTGCATTAGTTTTGTATGGCTGCCACAACAAATTACCTCAAAGTCAGCAGCTTAAAGCAACACAAATTTATGATCTTGCATTTCTGTAGGTTAGAAGTCCCAAACAGGTCTCCCTGTGGAGACTCTAGGGCTGAATCCATTATCCTGCCTTTTCCCACTCCTAGAGGTGACCCACATTCCTTGGTTGTCAGCCACCTTCCTCCATTCCTGACTTCCAGAGCCAGGAGCATGGTATCTCTTGAGCCATTCTTCTGCAGTCACACCTCCTTCTGATTCTCCTCTTCTGCCTCCCTCTTCCACTTATGGGACTTTCTCTCACCCAGATAATCCAGGATTACATCCCTTTTCGAGGTCAACTGACCAGCAATCTTAATTCCATCCACAACCTTAATTCCCCTTTACCACATAACCTAACATGTTCCAGGGATTAAGGCATGGACATCTTTGTGGAGGGGGGTCACTATTCAGCCAACCACAAATTCTTACAGCAAGCAAATTCCTTTTGTTATTTAAAACACAAATCAAATAATTTTTAATTAAAATATTTTAATTGAATATTAAAAATTGGGACTGTAATCCAATAAATCAAAAAAGAAAGTCCAACCTTTAAAGCACAATGAATCAAGAATGCTAAGATTTCCATGGAGAAAAGAAGTCATTCTGGGATTAGATGAGAACAGGCCCCTTCTACCACCTCTGCTGATCAGTGGGCATGCCTTTACTCATAAAAAACAGAGTACAGGGAGCTCTGCATAGCACAGTCTTCGCCAGGCTGAGGCTGCTTCCCAGCTCCTGTGTGTCTGACTGGGCTAGTCCTTCACATCCCATGCAAAAGGTTGAATTTTTTTATTTTCTTTGAGACAGGGTCTCACTCTGTTGCCCAGGCTGGAGTGCAGTGGCACAATCGCAGCTCACTGCAGCTTCAACCTCTGGGCTTAAGCCATCCTCCCACCTCAGCCTCCTGAGTAGCTGGGACTACAGGTGCATGCCACTGGGACTACAGGTGCATGCCACCAGACCTGGCTGATTTTTTTTTTTTTTTTCGTAGAGATGGGGGTCTCGCCATGTTGCCCAAGCTGGTCTCGAACTCCTGGGCACAAGTGACCTTCCCACCTGGCTTTGAATATTTTTAAATTTACTTTAAAAAATGGGCTTGGCCGGGCGTGGTGGCTCACCCCTGTAATCCCAGCACTTTGGGAGGCCAAGGCAGGTGGATTACCTGAGGTCAGGAGTTCAAGACCAGCCTGGCCAACATGGTGAAACTCCGTCTCTGCTAAAAATACAAAAAAAATTAGCTGGGCGTGGTGGCAAGTGCCTGTAATCCCACCTACTTGGGAGGCTAAGGCAGGAGAATCACTTGAACCCGGGACGTGGAGGCTGCAGTGAGCGGGATTGAGTGCACTCTAGCACTGCACTCTAGCCTGGGTGATGGAGCGAGACTCTCTGTCTCAAAAAAAAAAGGGCTTAAGCAATTTCCAATTATTTAAATTTTTTTGAACTTAATAAGCCCAACAAGATCTTTCTCCTTTCTAATTAATGCTACCAGGTGAGCATCTTGAAAAACAGTGGCCTATAGGTGGGTCACCATTCTCCGTTGACACAAGCCCTCCTACAACAGCACCTCGGGGAGGGAGCCTCAATGGGCTCCAGTGCTTCACCTATGATGGGATTCTGTGGATTTAAAACGAAGACACACCACTGACCTTCAAGAATCTCCCTGGCAGATATCTCCCAAACATTCAGTCCTGATACAAGTATCTTCATAACTGGAATTCACCTACTTCCAGAACGTCAGGATGAGTACCCAGGACAGCTCTGACTGCCTGTTGCTTAAAACCATGCCCAGGTCATAAAGCCCTCACTGTACTGTACCCTAAATGCACTTAAGCGACTGTTTTCTACAGTGTCCTAGTACTGAATGTTGACACTAACCTATGAAACTAAGTGTCATACTTACTGTGAGGCAGAGAAACCATCAACTGACCACAAGGTTTGTTTCAAGAACAAATCGAGACGAACCAATAATGCAGAGGCTAAATTTTTCAAATCAATAATAATACAGTTCACATGCAAGAGCTTTTGAAAACTCTTCCATATGATAAATATCACATCACATCGGTAGAGATGGAAATTAGATTGCTCAACCAGGTGAATCAAATTTAATCCAGCTTTTTCCATCCTGTTTTCTAAATATCTTGTATTATTTTAAATTAGTTTTGAAAAATCAATCTGAAAGTATAAAAGATACAAATGAAATCTGGGTCTTGGAGCCCCTGGGTCTAGGAGCCTGACTCCAAGAACACATTTCACCTGCAGCTCCAACCAGTGGTCTCTTCCCAACCCCTGGCCTGAAGGTCTCCAGCCTGGGATGGAGCACCTCCTTCCTTAGAAACAAACACTGTTACTGCATCTACATGAAATGGCTCAAAAGAGTTAAGAGAGAATGTTGCGATCACTGAAGAATGGTCTGAATGAGAAAGAAAGAGTAGTGGACATTTAAAGCTTAATTGCCAGACTCAGCTTTTCCCTTAATCAGGGAAACTGACCTAATGAGAACAGAGGGGTCTCTGTGAAGCTGCCAAGCTCAAAGGAGGCAAGGCAGCATAAAGAGACATCTGAAGGCAGGTGTGACATCCAAACTAGGAGAAGCTCAGAGAAAGAAGCAACCAGGGACAGGACAACCTCCATGAAAGGATGTGTTTGAGCTGAGGTGCTGGCCATGGTGCTGACAGGGGTCAGCTTGGGGAGGCCCAGGGAGGTGGAAGATGAAGGCTTGATCACTGACTGGATAGAAAGACAGGGACAGGAAGAAGAAGGAGCTTGGCAGGTGAAGTGCAGGCACAAATACCTACCCTTCTCTGCTTTCGGAATGTGATGAATGTGAATGATCACCCTTTATGTCCTTTATAGGACAAAAACCTCAGCAGAATAAATAACCAACATGTTAGTCACACTAAAGAACCACTCTGAAGCACAGAAGAATAAGCAGAGTAAGATGAACAAGACAAAAACTTTAATATTAAAGAAGAAAATAGAAGTTTGTTACAACAAAATTACACCAAACTTGTTAACAGAACAATGTGGCAGCTTAAGACTCAAGACTTTATTTTTCTCATCCTCAAAGGTCCACTTCATGGTTTTAATTAGACAAACATTTTGTAGAGTACTATAATTCTCTATCTTTTAAATACACATTCACATTATGGTGAAATTGGGAAATCCTAATATTTACTTGTATTAAGAAGTGTTTAAGCAGTCCCTTTCCTCTACAAACTCACCGGTACCTGTTGTTTTTTGACTTTTTAATAGAAGCCATTCTGACTGGTGTGATATGGTATTTCATTGTGCTTTTGATTTGCATTTCTCTAATGATAAGTGATATTGAGCATTTTTTCATAGGCTTGTTGACTGCACGTATGTCTTTGGAAAAGTGTCTGTTCATGTCCTTTGCCCACTTTTTAATGAGTTTCTTAGTTTTTTGCTTGTACATTTGTTTAAGTTCCTTGTAGATTCTGAATATTGGACCTTTGTCAGATGCATAGTTTGCAAATATTTTCTCCCATCCTGTAGGCTGCCTGTTTTCTCTATTGATAGTTTCTTTTCTGTGCAGAAGCTCCTTAATTATGTACCATTTGTCAATTTTTGCTTTTGGTGGTGTTGTCATGAAATCTTTGCCAGTTTCCATGTCCAAAATGGTATTTCCTGGGTTATCTTCCAGGGTTTTTATAGTTTTGGGTTTTTACATTTTAGTCCTTAATCCATCTTCAGTTGATTTTTGTATATGGTGAAGGGAACGGGCCCAGTTTCAGTCTTCTGCCTATGGTTAGCCAGCTATCCTGGCACCATTTATTGAATAGGGAGCCCTTTCCCCACTGCTTGCTTTGCAGGTGGGGGTGTAAATTAGTTCAATCATTGTGGAAAGCAGTGTGGCAATTCCTCAAAGAGCTAAAAACAGAATTACCATTCAGCCCAGCAATCCTAGTACTGAGGATAAACCCAAAGGAATATAAATCATTCTATCATAAAGACACATGCATGCATATGCTCTCTGCAACACTATTCACAATAGCAAAGACACTGAATCAACCTAAATGCCCATCAATGGTAGACTGGGTAAAGAAAATGTGGTACATATACATCATGGAATATGATGCGGCCATTAAAAAGAATGATGTTCCTGCAAAGGAACATAGATGGCCATTATCCTTAGCAAATTAATGCAGGAACAGAAAACCAAATACTGCATGTTCTCACTTAAAAGCGGGAGCTAAACAATGAGTACACATGGACAGAAAGAGGGGAACAACAGACTCTGGGGCCTACTTGAGAGAAGAGGGTGGGAGGAGAGAGAGATTCAGGAAAAAAAAAAACTGTTGGGTACTATGCTTAGTACTCAGGTGAGGAAATAATCTGTACACCAAACCCCCAAGTCACGAATTTACCTGTATAACAAACCTGCACTGAACCTAAAATAAAGGTTAAAAAAAAAGAAGTGTTAACAGCTCCAAATAAGTAAGAGTAACTGTCCACTCCCTGCAGTTGTTCCCACTGAGCCTCTGGTGGCCCCACCCCAATCCCTATGGGGTCTAGAAAGAGTGCCCCGGTCTCCCTGGTCCTTCGCTGATGATGGGGGGTGGCAGCTCTCTGGCCGGCCCTCGGCCCTCGGCCCTCGCCTCTCGCCTGTTAGGTACCCTGGACTTCTCCACATCCTTCCCCACCCCTTCTCGCCTCTCCCACAGGAGTCTGCAGGACCAGGCCAGCAGGTGGCTCAGCTGAGCATCTGCAGACACAGCACACCGACCCCACAGAGAAAAGGCACTCCCAGACCGCTGTCACAGAGAGCTCATGTCGGGGGCGCGAGGGGCTGAGAGGGGCCAGTCACAAGTCAGGCAAGTCCATACAGGGACACAGAGAGCAGGCAGAGGTCAGGGCAGCTGTGGATGACTCGGGGCGTGACTGAAATGCATGAAAGGATGGTTCAAGAACAGCCCAGCAGCTCCCCTCTGCCCACCACGGGAGGGTCTTCACTATCAGTGAGGAATTAAGACTGCAGGCAGCGAAGCCCCCTCCCCACCGGAACCTTGCAGGGCTCCCTCGAGGGGCCACCACTCCTATCACAGCCACTGTCCTGCTCATCCCAGTGACCTTAGGGGCCCCACCCCCCTGCAAGTCCTGCTCACTGGCAAGCCTAGCTTGGAGGCAACGCTCGGGGCAAAGCCAGAGGGTCCTCCCCAGGCCTTCTGTGCAGACCTCTGCGAAGAATCCTGCTCAGCAGTAGATATTTATTGTATTTTAATATCAGGGCCAAAAGCTACAGTTCGCTTTTCAGTTAAGTAAATGTGTATTCACTAAAGGGTTTTAAAACCTTTTTCCTGAAAAAAATGTTCTAGACCATCAAATGCCTTTTTATATTGTTAACTTTTACTCATTTAAAATGCATGTTTTCTAAGCCACATTTTACACACTTTTCTATATAGACAACTCTCAATTAATTCCCTAAGCCAAACCCAGAAATGTTTAACACACACTTTATTGACACTAAGGCACAAATGATGAGTGGCCTCTAGTGTTACCCACAACCATCTGCTTTCTCAGCAGCACTGGCACCTGGTGCTGACAGCCCCTCACCCACCCCCATCTCCCATTCCCCATCCCAGAGCAGGCAAGAGGGGAAGTGGATATTGGGAATCCTGAGAGAGCAGGAATTTGGGGCAAGCAGTAACCAGAGAAGGGAAGCCATAGCCCTTCACCCTCGTCAGCTCCCAGAAGCCTCTGAAACACCAGGAAGGAGGCCTCATGCCACATGTTGTGGAATGGGGCTCAACTAATGTGATGTGGCGAATAAGCAGAACACGGGCTGCTTGGCTGTTTCATCTGCTTCTGTTTTCTTGGTAGTATCTGGCCTATCAGAGACAATTATACCACACCACAGTCACAGTCCTACCTGCCTCTGAGTCCTAAGTGCAGATTCTTAAGAACAGACGGGAATCCTTTAGCGTCACAGGGTAGGTGTGAGTCTGCGCTCCAGGCTCCAGAGATGCTTCTGCAAGCATGCTGCCCAAATCCACGTCTTTTCTGCTACTGGGAGCTCTCTCATCTTTAAAATACAGAATGCATTTCTCATATCTGAAGGAATATATTTAACTGGTGTCTCAACATAACACTTAAAGCAAAACCCAAAAGCAGAGGGTGGGGGGTTGGGGGGAGTAAAGAGCAGCCATATCCCAGTGGAGGGGCAGGAGGAAGAGAAAGAAGGCCTCAGGAGACCTGGTCAGGCCGGCTGAGCGGCAGGGGATGCGGGACAAGCAGGCAGAAATGAGTGGAAAAGCTGAGAGAGGCCGAGAGGAAATTAAACCGGAGGAGGCAGAGCCAAGTAACGAGCAAACATGAAAGGAAATGCCTCCCTGCTTCCTGCCCTTTCTAAAATCACCTCGAGGCAACTGACCACAAATAGTCTTCTATCACAATAAAAAAGGAGATCAGAAATTTCCCGGCTGTTTAGTGGCCTGCCAATGCCACACCACAGTCACCGGCCTTCACTGAACACCCCGGTGCAGGGGGAGAGAATGTAATAACTTCTTAAGAATCTGCACTTAAGCCTCAGAGGCCGGTAGGACTGTTACTGTGGTGCAGTGATCACGGTGCTGCAAGGCACGGCAGGACAATTTCACAGCCCTGTCCTGGAAGTGGCGGAGGGGAGGAGGACTGTGCCTCACAAGCAGTGTACTAACCCAGGGATGAAAAGCACACATTTACTTAACTGAAAAGTGAACTGTAGCTTTTGGCCCTGATATTAAAATACAATAAATATCTACTGCTGAGCAGGATTCTTCGCAGAGGTCTGCACAGAAGGCCTGGGGAGGACCTGCTAGCTTTGCCCCAGCAAATACAGAGCATAGACACCCCCACCGGCCAGAGTGCCCTGGGCTGGGCTGCACACTTCCTGTTGATTTCTTGTCCAATTATCTCAATAATACATCCTCAAGGAAGGAAGTGGAGAACACACAGAAAAGAAGAAAAGAAATAACGTATATCACCACCAGGAAATAACCACTGCTGCTAATATTTTGATGTGTTTCCAATCAGACTTTTTTTTTGTACATGCACATTGTACAAAATTGGAATCCTACTGTATAGCGGGAATCTTGCTGTGTTCATTTAAAATAACATGAGACCTTCTCCAGGCCACTGAATATTCTTTCAAAGCACGGTTTTAATGGCCACAGAATCTGGGAATGACATAGTATAACCACCCTGCTATTATTAAGATATTCAAGCTGCATCCAATTTTCAACTATGATAAGTAAAGCTTCAGTGAGTCTCTTTACATACAAATGATACTGACATCTCCGATTTTAATATAAACCCTTAGAAAGAGGATGATTGAGTCAAAGGTCACAAACACTTCTTTTCCAGAAGGTTCCATCACTTGACATTTCCTCCACTGGAGTATGAGAGTATTCATCCTCCAGCACTCACCCATACTGAGAATAATTATGAGACTGCACCAGTTTGGTGGACCCAAAAACAAAAAAGAATTTTTTAAATTTGCATTTCTCTGATTACTTGTGAGGTTTGGTACTTTTCTATTTGCCTTTTATTTTTCTTCAGTGACTTGCCAACTAGAGTCCACTGCAGATTTGTTCCATTTGATGTTAATGTTTTCTTATTGATTTATGACTGCTTTTAGTATAATAGGGATGGATTGGCAGGTGGACAGCGTATGTCCTGATTTACCAATTCTGTTGATGCTGTTTGACACACACAGGATGCTAATGGATGTGTGGTCAATTGTATCAATCTTTCCCCTTATTATGACTTCCATTGCAAGTAGAGTGTCATGGCCCTTCAGCCTGGGATCCAGACTCAGCTCCCCCACTCACTATCTCAGTGACCCTCTCTTTGCCTCAATTTCCTTGATTGAACGTGCAGGATAATGAGAATGCATTTAATCCATATAGTTAGTATGTGGCACACAGCCTCAGAGATGGCCCCAATGCCCCCCACCTCCTATAATGGCATTCACATGTGATCCCTGCAGGTCCAGCCAGCAGGGACCAGGGCCTGCGAACAGCCACGGAGTGAGCTTGGAGGTAGATACTCCCCAGTGGTCCCTGGAGATGACGCAGCTCCAGCCAACACTTAGTGAGATCCTCAGCCAGAGGCAACCTGCAAAGCTGTGCCAAGATTCCTGGCCCACAAAACTGGGAAGTAATACACATTCGTTGCTGTAAACTGCTACATTTAAGGGTGATTTGCTATGCAGCAGGAGATTACTAATGCATTATACACGTAAAGCACTTAGAACAGTGGCTGTGGCAGATCACACAAAAAAGGCCTAACACGTTGACAGTCCTCCCATGGAAAGAGGAAATCCGTCTCCACCTGGGGTAGCTCAGCTTGACTGTGTGATTTGCTCTGACCAATGGAGCTGTGGCAAACGTGAAGTCACCTACACACAGGAGCCTGCCTCTTACAACTCCTGAAACTCTGCTGTCTCCATGTGAAGAAGCCCAGCCTGCTGGGGGATGAGACTACAAAGCCCATCACCCCTGCTCACCCCAGTTTACAGGCAGCCATCCTGACAATGCAGCCCATCACCCCTGCCCGCCCCAGCTTACAGGCAAGCCATACTAACCATGTGAGGCCATCAATGCACGACCATGAATGAGCTCAGCGAAGAGAGCCACCCAGCCAAGCCCAGCCTGAATTTCCAACCCAAATCACCCACTGAGTAAGTAGTTGCTGGTAGAAGCCACTATGTTCTGGAATAGTTTGTTACACAGCATTTGATACCTAATACAGCTGCCATTATTACTACTATTATTGTCTTGGGATCAGTTACATGATCATACATATTTCTTAACAGTATATTTATGCTTTTACTTTTTAATCCATAGGAAACTTATTTTTGTGTATGATATTAGGTGAGGACCTAACAATGTTTTGCCACACAGCCAGTTCTCCCTTCTCCATAAAACTGCAACACCTTGTTTTCACATATTAGAATCCAGAGCAGGGGCTCCCAACCCCCAGGCCACCGACCAGTATCAGTCCATGGCCTGTTAGGAATCAGGCCGCACTGCAGGAGGTGAGCAGTGGGCAAGTGAGCGAAGCTTCATCTGTATTTACAGCTGCTCCCCACTGCTTGTGTTACCACCTGAGCTTTGCCTCCTGTCAGATCAGCAGCAGCAGCAGATTCTCATAGGAGCATGAACCCTATTGTAAACTGTGCATGTAAAGGATCTAGGTTGTGGCTCCTTATGAAAAGCTAATGCCTGATGATCCGTCACTATCTCCCATCATCCCCAGATGAAACTGTCCAGTTGCAGGAAAACAAGCTCAGGGCTCCCACTGATTCTACATTATGGTGAGTTGCATGATTATTTCATTATATAGTACAATGTAATAATAACAGAAATAAAGTGTACAATAAACGTAATGTGCTTGAATCATCCTGAAACCATCCCCACCCCCTCCCTGTCCATGGAAAAATTGTCTTCCATGAAACCAGTCCCTGGTGCCCAAAAGGCTGGAGACTGCTGATGTAGAGAATTTGGTGATATCATTTCCAGTGATCATTTCTATTGGTATAGTATTAATAGTAAATCTTGACCCAATACCATACAGCTGGTTTGTTTTCATTTTGTCAGGATAATACTGCATGTTCTTTCCACTGAGGCATGGCAGGAGAAATGCTCACTAATCTGACTGCATGGAAGAGGAGGGGTAGTGAAGTTGCTGGGGCAGGTGCAGGAGGAGAGGGAGAGCAGCAACATGAATCAAGAGACAGACACAGTCACAGTCACCAAAGGGATGGGGGTGACGTCAAGGCTATTTTTTGTCTGAAACAGAAACAAAACCTGCCCTAACTTTCTAAGTCAGTCGGCTGCCAAATTCCACAAGCTGATTCTGAGCAGGGCACTAGGCCCTGTGAAGGGGTTGGCAAGGTGCAAGGAGCATGTGGGACAGTGCCCCCTCCCAGGTGTTCACAGCCGCAGAGGGGAGACAGTGCCACCTACGAAACCCTGGAGAAAATATGTATAAACCAAGATGAACACAAATTAATATAATACAAATAATATAGAACGGAAGGAGAGCTTAGAAGCCCCACAGGTCAATCATGGATGGCTACTTGGAGGAAAGTTTTCAGATCCTGAGGAGTAAGATCAGCAAAGAGTGGTGTGTGCAAAGGCAGGAGGCTGGAACACATAATTCATGTGGACTCATCAGTTACTTGGTTAGCGTAAAAAGTCTATAAACAGGTACACTATGCAGTGAGGCTGATGAAGGCATAGGGGCCAATCTGATGGAAGATCTTCAGTGTTAGGTCTGGTCTTCAAGAGAAATGAGCAAACAATGTGTGTTTTTAGGTAATAAGAGTAGGAAACTACAGGTTGTGCACCTTCACAGGGCCCCGTGTTCTTGACACGGTTCTGTGACATATGCAGCATTCCCCAGTGGCTCCAGCAGAAGGAACTGCCTTCCCTAGAATTCTCAAAAAGGAGCACGACTTCCCAAAGGAAAGGAAGCACAGAAGCCGGCATGGTTCCCAGGGGAAGATGCCTGAGAGGCCAGCCGGACCCCAGCCCTCTCACACATCCAGTCGGAATGTCCCTGCCCCTGCCATCACTTGGTGCAGAGCAGGCATGGGCCAGCTAAGAAAATGACGTCTTTGCTTATTTTCAAATTGTACTGAATATCAGCTTTGAGCCTCAACGTTTAGAAATGAAAATACAAGCATGAGCAAGGTCCTAGTCTAAGGATCCATCCACAGCTCTCAGGAGAGCAACATCTTCTGTGTCCCTTGCAGAGTCTTCCATGGTGGGAAGGGGCTGCACTGTGCAGGAAGGCAGGCCCTGGCCCTGGTGCCTGCTGGAAAGGGGCATCACGAGAGACAGGTGCTCGGGGCAGAGGCTCAGCTGCAGTCACAGAAGCCCTGAGGCTTGGACAGAGCCTGTCCTGTCAGCGCTGGCACCCGCTGCCAGGGCCCAGTTATACTGCCTGTTCCTTTGGCTGTGTTAATGAGGGCCTAACTAGCAGTGGAGGCCTCACTTCCCCATCAGCATGAAGCTGCTAAGTGTCCCCCAAAACAGTCGAAAGTGTCACACGGGAGAGACACACTCGAGAGAAACTTCTGCTGCCCCTTGGGTTCCAGATTTGCAGTTTGATTTTGCTTGCCTCCATCAAGGACCACACGAACCCCAAATTCCAAATAAGAACACTGCAGGCCAGTGGGAACCTACTGCCTGTAGCCTGCAGGATGAGGCACGGCTTCCTCACACCCGAACCAAGAGGACCAGCTGTCTCAGCCCACAGAGCCCAGGCCTGGCAAGGAGCTGGAGCCTGTATGAGTCAGGCCTCTCCACAGAAACAAAACTGATAGGACACATATATCAGAGGAAATTCATTATGGGAATTGGCTCACACAATTACAGAAGCTGAGAAGTCTTATGATCTGCTCTCTGCAAGAGGAAGACCCAGGATAGCTAGCATGTCGGTCAGTCTGAGTCTAAAGGCCTGAGGACAGGGTCCAAAGGCCCAAGAACCAGGAGCACCGATGTCCGAAGGCAGGAGAAAATGAATGTCCCAACTCAAGTAGAGACAGCAAATTTGCCCTTCCTGTGCCTTTTTGATCTATCTGGGCCCTCCACAGATTGGAGGATGCATGCCCAAACTGGCAAGGGCAGATCTTCTTTCCTCAGTCTGCTGATTCAAATGTTTATCTCTTCCTGAAACACCCTCACAGACGCTATCAGGAATAATGTTTTACCAGCACCCCTAGCCCAGGCAAACTGACACATAAAATTAACCATCGCAGAGCCACGGGCACGGTAGAGAAGGAAAGCAATCCTGAGCCCACCAAGCCCCCTACCCAATCCCTCCAGCTCTTCTCAAAGCCTCCCTGCCCCTCCTCCCAATTTTGGAGCTTCCGATCCCTGCCCTGGACTTGGAGGTGACCCAGGAGTGATGCACTAGAGATAAGCCAAGGTCATGGTCACGCCTCCTCTGGATCCTCAGTCGACCCAACTTCTCCAGCACCATAATGTCAAACAATCATAGCTCATAGTACATTTTTATATGAAAAAGGAGGATTCTCTGCTGAGGATAACACATGCTTGAACACAAACGTTTTTTTCTGGTTTGTACTCACGTTCACTTTCAGCAGAATACGTCTCCTCTGACTCTTCAGGAAACCATTCCCTTTCCTTAATGGGGTAGTATTTTTTCCACAGACTCCTTGGTACATTTTCTGTTTGCTTTCCCTCACACAAAGGAGACTTATCCAGAGCCAGGACTTGCTAATGGCAGGCGTGGATTCAGCAGGTGTCCGGTGCTGATTCCCACATGTTCCCAGGCGCAGAGCAAGAGGAACAGACCCAATCTCCAGGGCAGGCAAACTTCACCAGGCCAGCTGCCACACAGGGTTGACAAGGGATTGTTCTGCACCCACTGACTCTTTCTCCGACCCATCCAATCAACAGGGGTCCCAAGAAGCTAAGATTTCCATTATTTCCTGCTGCGGGGCTCAGCCAGCCTCCCGCACCACTCCATGCGTCCCCAGCCAGACTATCAGTCCTGGTCCTTCTGAGCAACCCAGCTGTTTCTTAAGAATGCAGTTTCAAAGAGACCTTCAAAGATGGGGTGCAAGGACAGTCATCTGGCCCATGGCCTGTGGAGAAGTGGCAGCTCTATGAAATCGTTGGTGTGACATTTCCTGGGAGGGGACATTTCCTGGGAGGAGAGATGAGTCCCATCATCTGCCCTGAGGACAGGCACTCTTCTCTAGGGAGCAATGTAAGCAAGGCCAGTTCCACCATCCTCATAGATTATTTCTCACCCTTACTGTAAGAGGTCCTCAATTCTCCAGTCTTCACAGGTACAGTAGTTTAATCAAACTAGGAGTTGTACATGATGTTATATAAAGATTATCGCCAACAGCCAGTTATTATCCCTAACTCCCTCAGAGACTAACTACACTGACATTGAGAAACGTTAGGTGACTCTGCAGGGTTGTAAGCCAGGAGGGAGTGAAGCCAAGGTTTGCATAGTGCCTTGGCCTTCTCCTGTGAGCCCCACATGCAGCACAAACTTGGCCCAGAAAGCCCATGGACTCCCTTCTCACACTCTATGTGGGGAATCCAACCTTTGGGAGGTGACTCTTCCATTAACACAGCTTCTAATTCAGTTAATTACTTGACTTGATAGGTTAGTTCCCTTTGTTACTACAAACACCACTACCTGCAAGCTATGGTAATATTATCATGCTTCATTAAAAGTTATCAAGTGATCTACTTTCTAATAGAGGTATAAACACCTAAACACAGCTATTTCAGGCCAGATGAGGTGGCTTACACCTGAAATCCTAGCATTTTTGGAGGCCAAGACAGGAGGGTTGCTTGAGATGAGAAGTTCAAGACCAGCCTGGGCAACACAGCAAGACCATGTCACAACAAAAAACATTTTTTTTTAAATAGCTGGGTGTGGTGGTGCACGCCTGTAGTCCCAGCTACTCAAATGCTGAGGCAAGAGGATCCTGTGAGCCCAGGAGTTTGAGGCTGCAGTGAGCCACGATCGCACCACTGCCTTCCAGCCTGGGTGACAGAGCAAGACTCTATCTCTTAACAACAACAAAGACAGCTATTTCAGACTAAGCCTTTAACTTTAAAAATATGAAACAATGTATGTGTCAGTTACGATTCTTAAATCATTATGTCTGCCTGGGTGCGGTGGCTCATGCCTGTAATCCCGACACTCTGGAAGGCCAAGGTGGGTGGATCACCTTGAGGTCAGGAATTCGAGATCAGCCTGGCCAACATAGTGAAACCCCATCACTACTAAAAATACAAAAATTAGCCCGGCACGGTGGCGCATGCCTGTATTCCCAGCTACTTGGGAGGCTGAGGCAGGAGAATCACTTGAGCCCGGAGGCGGAGGCTGCAGTGACCCGAGATTGTGCCACTGCACTCCAGCCTGGGCGACAGAGTGAGACTCTGTCTCAAAAAACAAAACAAAACAGCAACAAGAAAAAACACAATTCTTAAATCATCACATCTAACTGGAGTCAAGTCATTAACACATTTGAGAAATTTAGCAATAACAAAAAGATTATTAGGATTCTTCTAAGCTAACAATTCTAAATTCTAACTACAAAACCAAATGCTCTGGCTTACCACAACAGAGAATAACATCCAAGCCACTATCACGTCTTTTCCAATTAGTAAGCCATTGGTGGTGTGAATAAAACCTAGAAGTCAATTTTCTACGAACTCTAGCAGGAAGAAAAGTGATTCAGCTTTACAGTTATCTTCTGACCTGTTTTTAGTCTTCATGTAACAAAAAGCTTGTCAAGTTACAACTTTCTTATAGTGCCTCACTATAGAACATTTATTCTATACAAATGGGATTTTCTCAAGACAATAACTACGGCATCAACACGAGGATGACTGCAAGACATCAATATTTTATCTATTTTCATGGATGTTGGACATGCCCAACACTATCCCATTTTGTAAATGTATTGCCTTGCTCTGTGTGATGTTTGTGATAAATGTAGTGTCACAGAAAGCCTCCATGACTGTTATTTCCCTTCATTTTATAAATGCCAAGTTTATTTAAACCTACTGTCACATGACTTTGTTAACCAAATACAACTGTTGAAACTGTTCTAAAACAATGCTTATATCAGTATCAACACACCAGAAAACATGAGTTGCTTCTCAAAAAAATTTCTGATGGCCCAAAATATCCCAATATTTTGCTCAAGAAAGGTAATTTTTCATTTGATGGTGTTGATTTTTATTATGATAAAATACACAGAAAATAAAATTTTCCATTTTCACCAGTTTTTTATTTTTTTATCATTTTTTGAGACGGAGTCTTGCTCTGTCGCCCAGGCTAGAGAGCAGTGGTGCGATCTTGGCTCACTGTAACCTCCGCCTTCCAGGTTCAAGCGATTCTCCTTACTCAGCCTCTCGAGTAGTACAGGTGTCTGCCACTGTGCCAGGCTAATTTTTGTACTTTTGGTAGAGCTGGGGTTTCACTATCTTGGCCCTGCTGGTCTGGAACTCTCGACCTTGTGATCCACCCGCTTCGGCCTCCCATAGTGCTGGGATTACAGGCATGAGCCACCGTGCCCGGCCATCATTTTCACCAGTTTTTAAGTGTATGGTTCAGCAGCATTGAGTACATTTACTGTGTTTGCAACCATCACCACCACCCATCTTCAGAACGTCTTCCAAGACTGAAACTCTGCACCCACTGAACAACTCCCCATTCCTCCCTAGCCCCGTCCCTGGCAACCACCATTCTATTTTCTGTCTCTGTGGGTTTGACTACTCTATGTCCCTCATATAAAGTGAAGTCATACAGTTATTCATCCTTTTGTGACTGACTTATTTCACTCAGCACCATGTCAAGGTTCATCCATGGTGCAGCATGTGTCAGAATCTCCTTCCTTTTTAAGGCTGAGTAATGTTTCATGACAGGTGTAAACCACATTCTGTTTACCCATTCTTCCATCAATGGACGCTTGGGTTGCTTCCATGTTTTAGCTATTGTGAATCATGCTGCTATGAACATGGCTGTGCAAATATCTCTTTGAGCCTCTGCTTTCCATCCTTTGAGTATATACCCAGAAGTGGGATTGCTGGATCACATGGTAATTCTGTTTTAATTTTTTGAGGAACCACTACTCTCCTTTGTTCAGTGGCTCACACCTGTAATCCCAGCACTTTGGAAGGCTGAGGCGGGCAGATCACCTTGGGACAGGAGTTTGAGACCAGCCTGGCTAACATGGTGAAACCCCGTTTCTACTAAAAATACAAAAAATTAGCCAGGTGTGGTGGGCCACACCTGTAATGCCAGCTACTCGGGAGGCTGAGGCAAGAGAATCACTTGAACCCAGGAGGTGGAGGTTGCAGTGAGCCAAGGTCGCACCACTGCAGTCCAGCTTAGGCAACAAGAGCGAAATTCGATCTCAAAACTAATAATAATAATAATAATACAATTAAATTCCTCAAGATGAAAAGTGGTGGCCAAGTGTCTGGTGTACTCTGCAAGTTCTGAGAATCACTAGGAGTCCCATCACAACCTTTTCAGCAAAGCAATATTCTCTCTGGGCATGACCCCTATGTCCAGAGGACAGTGTCAGCCCAACCAGGCTCTGGGCAGGTGGCTGTAGCTTATCACAGAAAAAAGAAATCCCACCAGTGAGAACCCTCTACAATAAAATCAGAAACAGACTCCTAAGATATGTAGTTTCTACTCCTGTTGATAGTTTTTAAAAATAATGAAGGGTAGGAAGTTCCAGTTAATAGTGATAACTCGATCTTGTGCACCTACCTCTCTCCTGCCTCCTGAAACCTTGGACACACTCGGACAAGAAGATGAGGAGGTGCCTCCAGGGGCAGGAGAGTCCAACAGCCTTTTCAAAGCCTTAACATGGACATAGGAATGGCGACTGAGATGGCAGGTACATGGAGGGGGAGTGACGAGGCTCAGGCTGATTCCCCTGCAGAACTTAGGAGCCTGTGGGTTGGAGCCACTGGGGCCCCAGGAGGCAGGCTGCAGAGACACCCACCAGGCTGGAAACCAGGGGTTGGAAAGAAGGCTTGGCCCAGGCACTTCCACCTGTCTCATGAAGCACTGTGACCACACACCTCAGAGGATACTGAAACCCAGTCCCTGGAGAAAGTATCAGGAAAGGTTCAGCGGCCCAGGGCTGAGTTCAGCAACCGATCTTCACCAGGTCCAGGGGCTGCTTAGGGGATGGGAGTTTTCTAAAACTGGGCATGTGGCTGCACAATTATACAATGTATTAAAAAATCATTGAGCCGTAGATTTACAATAGGTGAATAGGACAGTCTGTAAATTATACAGCAGCAAAACTTTAAAAATGCACAGATGAGAGAGAGACGGAAGTAACCAAAATACCAAGGAACTATCAATGTGGCAAGTTTTTGATTTTTTTTTCCTGCTACCCAACAAAATATGAGTCTGAGAACAAGATAAGGTGAATTATTTTAAAAAATAAGAAATGATTTCCATGTGACACAGCAATTCCACTTCTGGGTACATACCCTAAATAACTGAAAGCAGGAGCTCGAACAGATATCTGTGCACCTATGTTCACAGCAGGATTACTCACAGTAGCTGCATGGTGGAAATAACATAAGTGTCCATCAATGGCAGAACAGATATACAAAATGTGGCACAGACACACCATGGAATATTATTTTGCTACAAAAAGGAGGGAAATATTGACACATGCTCCAACACGGATAAACCTTGAGGATGTTACGCTGAGTGAAATAAGCCAGCCATGAAACGACACATACTGCAAGATGCCACTCATATGAGTTGCCCAGAGTCATCAAATTCATTGAGATGGAAAGGAGAATAGGGGTTCCAGGGGCCGGGGAGAAGGGAGATCATGTTCAATGGGGACAGTTTTAGTTGAGGAAGAGGGAGTCTTCTGGAGATGGATTGCGGTGGTGGCTGCACAGCAATGAGAATGTACTTACTGCCACTGAACCGTACTCTTAAAAATGGCTAAGACGGTAAATGTTATGTTATAGATATTTCACCATGATACTAAAAAAAAAAGATAAGGAATGCTATTTTTGCACAGAAAAGAATAAAGAAAAGAAGGACAGCTGAGAAACGTGGAAGTGGGTGTCCCTGCAACTGGGGGCACCTGCACAGCATGGGGCAAGAACAGCCACTTTCATTACCAGCTTCTCAACACAATTTCACTTTGACTCTGTTATATACTAGACAGATTTTTAAGCATTAATTTTAAAACATGATGGAGAGTGGCGGAGATGAAGAGAAAATCAAATCATGGAAGCTACACACCAATAAGCCTGATGTCAATCACAGGCCAGATCTGAGAGGGGACTATCAGAGCAGAAGGCTCGTGAGTACTTCAGGAAGCAAGTGCCAGGCCAAATGCATCTTGATTTCTCTTTTAATAAGGTTATGAGATTGGCATATTAGAGAAATGCTGAGCAGATGAGGGCCTTTATTTCAGCAAGAAGTTAACACAGTCGCTCGTGGACCCTATGAAGAGGAGGCGATGTGGAGGGGCCCCCTGGGCAGGGGGCAGCGAGGCCGCTCATGGCACAACCTCGGAAACAGCAGGAGCAGTTGGTCCAGCCACAGAGCTCCGGCCCAGCCTGGATGCAGGACGGGGAACTTGTTTAAAACAGGCTGACACCATCGGGCCTGTACCCTCAGAGACGAGCCTCCCAATCAAGATGAGATCATCTCAACAGGCTGGAATGCTAACTTTTAAAGCGAACAGATGAATTTATCAGTCTTACAAATGTTCCGCAATTTGGTACCACAATTCATTAACTGCCATGAGCTGTAGGACACAGTGGAAAGGAAAAAAGCATGGGGCTTTAGAGGAGGAGCAGCCCCTTCACCTGAGGCAGTGACGATGCGGTTGGGAGCTGCCCAGGCCATAGTGGAAACCACCCAATGTCTGCCCCCGATATAACCCCCACTCAGCACTGGTGCCATGTCCAAAGTGACAAGATGCCCAGAAGCCACCAGATGAAAACTGGGTGACCAGCCTTCAAATGTGCAAGCAGAAAAAAGAGCTATGCAGGGAATGGGGTGCAGAAGTGGTTTTCTCCATTTGCAGAACTTCAATGTTGGAAGGGAAGTAAGGACATTTCTTGGTTCTCCAGGAAGAGCCAGGCAAACAGAATCATTGTCCAAAAATAGATTTGGCTCTAGTTAAAGCTGCCTGACAACTGAGCCACGTGACACTGCAAGCTCCCCATCCCCAGCTCAGGGAAACGGAGTGCCCACACATCAGAAATGCCACTGAAGGACTGTGCACTCTGCAGAGGATTGACTTAAGTGGACCATAAACACCTTCTGATACCCTACAGTAAAAGAGTAACAGTGATGAAAATAACAACTTCCATTTGCTAAGTCCTGACCGCAGCCAGGCAATCCTGGATGTACTCTAAAGGCTTCCTGACTCTGAGTCTTTGATTCTCAAATTGTATGGTCCATTATAAATACAATCAACAATCAAACCCCAACATAAAGATATTTAACATAAATCATTAGTTCTTTGGGATGACAGTTATAAATAATTTTTATAATTCTTTAAAAGGAAGAGTCTATCAAGTTTATAATAAAAATTGCCTAACACTAACATTTAATTAGTCCTAATACCTGACCGACTTCTTCTTTCGAGACATCAGGGTATACCTAACAATGTTCAGATTTGATAAGGTCTCGAGGAAGCAGGTAGCTCCTTTGTTTGTGGCCTGAGATCTGGCATTGCTGAAGCTAGATTGGGCCAGGCCTGGCTCTGCCAAATACTGATGAACTGCCAGGTTCATTCATTTATCCAACAAATATTTACTGAGTGCCAGTTATGTACCAGGTGCTGTTCTCTGTACCGGCAGAGAGGGCAACCAGCCCCTGAAGCTGGAAGCATATGGTTTGAGGATCAGGAAAACCAAGATGATGGCATGATGGAGCGAGGCATGAGTTCAGCAGGAAGGGCCAGTGAGAGCAGCTCCGAGCAACAGTGCCTCAAAGGGCAGGTTAAAGAAGAAAGGAGGGGAGAGCAAGAAAGCAGTGAGAGAGACTACACAAGAGAACAATGATGTCTGCTTTATGTTTCTGTCATGGTCACTCTGGCTGCTGGGTGGAGATGGTCAGCAGAGAAGCAGGAAAGACAGAAAAGAGACCAGCCAGCAAGGTAGACACTGCAGCCCCCAGGAGAGAGCCCAGGAGAGGACGCTGCAGCCCCCAGGGGAGGACACTGCTGCACCCAGGGGAGGGCCCAGGTGAGGATGCTGATGGCCCCAGGGGAGGGTCCAGGGGAGGATGCTGCAGCCCCCTGGGAAGAGCCGAGGAGAGGACGCTGCACCCCCAAGGGAGAGCCCAGGGGAGGATGCTGCAGCCCCCAGGGGAGAGCCCAGGGGAGGATGCTGCAGCCCCCAGGGTAGGGCCCAGGGGAGGATGCTGCAGCCCCCAGGGGAGGGCCCAGGGGAGGATGCTGCAGCCCCCAGGGGAGGGCCCGGGGAGGATGCTGATGGCCCCAGGGGAGGGCCCAGGGGTGGATGCTGCAGCCCCCAGGGGAGGGCCCAGGAGAGGACGCTGCAGCCCCCAGGAGAGGGCCCAGGAGAGGACGCTGCAGCCCCCAGGGGAGGGCCCAGGGGAGGATGCTGCAGCCCCCAGGGGAGGGCCCAGGGGAGGATGCTGCAGCCCCCAGGGAAGGGCCCAGGGGAAGATGCTGCAGCCCCCAGGGTAGGGCCCAGGGGAGGATGCTGCAGCCCCCAGGGGAGGGCCCAGGGGAGGATGCTGCAGCCCCCAGGGGAGGGCCCGGGGAGGATGCTGATGGCCCCAGGGGAGGGCCCAGGGGTGGATGCTGATGGCCCCAGGGGAGGGCCCAGGGGAGGATGCTGATGGCCCCAGGGGAGGGCCCAGGGGAGGATGCTGCAGCCCCCAAGTAAAACTGGAGCTCCTCCAGAGGAACAGCAGCAGGGGTGGAGGGAGGGAATCCAGCCTGGGTGTGTCCTGCGGCAAAGCGATGGGCAGGGCTAAAGGAAAAGGAGAAATCGAGATGCCTCTCAGGCTATTGGAGTGAACAATGGACAAGAAAGGAAGCCATGTTTTAAAGATGTGCTTAGGTAGTGTTCCACCCAAAGTTCAAATCCAAGTCACTGCCAAAATGCAAAATGCAAACTGCCAGACTTGTGGTCTGTTCATCTATCAGTAAACAGGGATGAATAAAGGCAGAACATGCCTGTTCCCTTCAGAAACTAAATGGCTAGAATAAAGTACTGTTCCATTTCCAGGGTGGCTCAGCTAAAACGCCAAGGAAACGGCCACCTGAGTGTTCGATGGGAACACAGTGTGAGATGCAGGTTAAGAGGATGCTTTTGAAGGCTGCAGTGCTTTGTGGTTGGGCTGTCCTAGTTATAGGCCCTTCCAAGGCTGTGTCAAAGAGATTCAATGCACAGAGACCACCCGGTGAAACTACCACATCCCCCTGCTTTCATCACATCACTCCTTAGAGGAACACACGTTACTCTGAGGAAGTTGAACATCCGTAGCCCAATTAAGACCATCTATGGCCAGGCACAGAAGGCAGTGTCCAGCTCTGTTCCCCTTCCAGACTGGCCTTTCTGCAGCATGACTTACCAGCCTTCAATCACACTCTGTTTCTGCTCCCCTGTGCCTAACTTGGGGTACCCACAACCCACTGCCCTTCTCTGTTATCCACTGGATGAAAGCCACCCAGCAATCATGGCTAGCTCCAGCTCTGCCCCTCCCTGAAGCCTCTTCTGATTGTTCCTGCCTCCAGATGCCAAACAAACCGCTGCCTAAAGACCTTGCACCACAGCACAAGGCTCACAGCTCTTTCTCCTGCAAGTGGATGGTACGTGCCGGACAGAAGACAAGCTGCTTGAAAGCAAGATCATCATGCATTGTTTTTATTCCCCCAAAGAACCTAGGACAGTGTTTCCAATACTGGGAGCACCCTCCTTCCAACAGTGATCGACTGTAAAGCCATAAATATTTCTAAATGTATACTGAACATAATTAAGAAATTCCAAGACAGCAAATATTCATTTTATAAGCTGGTTCTGGGGGTGGGATCTAACTTGCATCACTAGACCACCAATGGTACCTAAATGTGAATGATTAAGAAAAGACAGGCTGGGCATGGTGGCTCATGCCTGTAATCCTAGCACTTTGGGAGGCCAGGGTGGGCAGATCACTTGAGGTCCAGAGATCGAGACCAGCCTGGCGAACATAGTGAAACCTCGTCTCCACTAAAAATACAAAAATTAGGCGGGGTGGTGGCGCATGCCTGTAATCCCAGCTACTTGGGAGGCTGAGGCAGGCGAATCGCTTGAACCCAGGAGGCAGAGATTGCAGTGAGCCGAGATTGCCCCATTGTACTCCAGCCTGCGCAACGAGAGCAAAACTCCATCTCAAAAAAAAAAAAAAAAAGCAAGACAGATAATCCAAATGAACATTTGCAGGGTTGATTAAACTAATTAAATCTTTAATAGTGTCTGAAGTTGCTTTTCAATTATTAATTTGGATGCATTTTTGTTAAACTTCTGAATATGATTTTAAAATATAGTTCTAATCATTAGCCAACACATACATTTTTAACAATTATATGATAATTAAATCTGTTTTGAAACTGTTGAAAATTTTCTTATGTAACCCCAGTTTTCAGGGCTTCAAGCAACTGTGGAGCTACAAAAAAAATATATTAATATGATTTTTTAAAAAGTTCTTCCAACGTTAAGGTAACACACACAAAACCTGCACAAAGGCCACCAGAGCAGCCCCATGCAGCCAAATGCAGTGGCCTTTCTTCCCTAGGGCTCCGGCTTAGGATAAGGCTGGAAGAGCATCCGAGGTGGTTCCACCCCATCCCGATAGCCCCCTTCCAGAAATGCTGACACATGCAACATCCACCAATGGATGAACCTCGAGGACATGGTGCTGAGGGAAATACGCCAGTCACAGAGGACAAATCCTGCAAGATTCTGCTTCTTTTTTGTTTTGTTTTGTTTGTTTGTTTGTTTGAGACAGAGTTTCGCTCTGTCGCCCAGGCTGGAGTACAGTGGCGTGATCTGGGCTCACTGCAAGCTCCGCCTCTTGGGTTCAAGCAATTCTCCTGCCTCAGCCTCCTGGGTAGCTGGAATTACAGGCGCACGCCACCACGCCCAGCTAATTTTTGTATTTTTAGTAGAGACAGGGTTTCACCATGTTGGCCAGGCTGGTCTCGAACTACTGACCTCCAGTGATCCACCTGCCTTGGCCTCCCAAAGTGCTAGGATTACAGGCATGAGCCACCACTCCCAGCCGCATGACTGCACTTCTATGCAGTACCTGGAGTAGTCAGATTCACAGAGAAGTAGAGTGGTGGTTGCCATGGCGGGGGAGGGGAAATAGGGAGTTGGTGTTGAATGACTACAGAGTTTCAGCTTGGGAAGGTGAAAACGTTATAGAGATGGATGGTGGTGATGGCTGAGCAACAGTGTGAACGCACTCAATGCCACTGAGTTGTACACTTCAACATGGTTAAGAGGATCAGTTTCACATATGTGTATTTTACCACAATTAAACATTTTTTAATAAATTAATTTTTTTTAAAAAGCCTCCCTTCCAGCTCCAAAGGCTACCTTTGAGACAGCCTCCTGGAAGGGACCCAGCAGGTCCCCCGTAAGACTCTGATTAAAGTTGTAAACTGCCACCTCCATATTTCTATCTATAGTTGAATTTTCTTTACCACTAAAGAAGTACTTTTGTCTCCTTTTCCACATTCAGTGCCCCTGGGTCATCAAAAGTAAGAGCTAAAAGCACTGATTTTTTGACAAGCAAGCCACAGATTCAATATCATGTATGTTCAACACAGCCTTGAAAACCGCAGAATAGATTTCTTTAAATCACTAAAAGGAGCCTAAGACAAGATCAAAGAATGGATCCCAAATTAACTGAAAACCTTCACACACATACCACAGACAGTCACGGCGTGTGTGTGAACACGGGCAGGATCCAGCAAAGCCACTCAAGATTGGCAGAGGGGCTGCTCGGTGCCCCCCACTGCCACGTTTGTTCTATGTGTGGTTGAGCATCCGGAGGGTCCTGAGGCAGTGCCAGCCCACTGAGGTCACAGGTGAAGCCCACAGGTCCTGGGCCCTGCCAAGGGCTACAGGACACTCATCAATCAGCAGGTGAGAGTACATTTACCTGCTTCGTCTCGGGGAGCCTCCTGCCAGCTCCCTTGCAAACTTCATTCACCTCACGCCTCCCTCCTTCCTGCCAAGTTCACCTCTGTTGCAATCCAGGGCAGGCAAATACTCGTCACTCGGACAACCAGGGCCCATCCTTCACCGCGGCTGCCGCTACTAATCAACCATATGGTCTTTTCCAGGGAAGCCCAGACGCACTTCGAAATCCTTCCCAGTCCTACAAACGCTGCCGGAAGCCACAATCAACTGACAAGCACTGGCAGACAAGGTGATGCGTGTGACTCTTCCACAGCATCCTGACAGTGGCCAGCTCGGGGCTCATGAGCCTGAAGGACGCTCTGCCTTCAAGACGTCTGACATGAGACAGTCCCTCAAAGATATGCTAGCCCTGACAGTGAGCAGTTCCTCCTTGATTCTCTTCCTAGATTAATTTTTTGTTTAATTGGTAATTAATGTTCATTCCTTAATACCAAGTCACAATTAAAAATTGCTCAAGTCACAGTCATTTGACAAACGTCATGCCTTGTTTCACATTAGCAACCACTATTACAGGTGATCTCACTAGACCAACTCAAAATACTGGCTATGGCTCGAAGTGACTCTGCTAAGTAAACAGAGGTGGGGCATTGGAATCACTCCACATTTTCCTGCCGACTCCTGAATTCATTAAGCAGAGCTCAGCCCAATGCACTGGTTTTTTATAGTGCCCCACACAGCCCCAGAGGATCTAGGGGACATTGATGGTCCTGGGTGGGGAGTTGCTAAGTGGAGAGGGTTGTAATGCCTGGGCCCCACCTTCATCCAGATCAACTCCATTTTCACATACTGAGCTTCCTCATAAGATTTCATTGGTAGAAAAGGCTCCATCACTAAGAGTAAAAACGTTTCCCAACTGTTGGCTAATGCATTGTGCAGAGAGTGAATGTGCACATAGAAAAAGCTCCAAGAAGGACTTCTGACCACACAGCGGCCCCTCGAGCTGCAGGGGCAGCCAGCATGGACTGGGATGTGCTACAAATAGAAAGTGAGGGCACAGGTGGCTGAGAATAGGCACAGGAGAGAACAGAAAGACAAGCACAGAAAACAGAGAGACCCCGGGAGGCGCCGGGATAACAGAGAGGCAGAACAGCGGCTACAAAGTGGCAGGAAGGGCTGGCAGATCCCTAGGAATAAAGGGAGTAGCAAAGCTCCAAGCAAATGCTCACCAGAGCCCATATGCCCATCATAACCCACACGGCAGCACGGGGGCCAAGGGCCACAAAAGGCAATGCACGCATACACCGGGGTAATACGTAAGCCCCGCACCCGCCAGTAGGACAGCACACCTCTGGTGCAAAGGCCCTGGGTGTTTCTTTGAAAACAATTAGTCACACTGATCTACAACACATTGTTTCTCAATCTTTTTTCTACCTCATGCCTTCTTCTGAAAAAGAAGATTCTGAACAAGCTGCAGGCAGCCCACATGCACACGTGGAGATTTGGGGGCCCTGATCCAGCAGCCCCGGGAGAATCAGAACCTGCAGTCCACATGCACAACTCTCTGATTCAAGATCAATGCTGACAGTGGTCACCCAAGGAGGAGTGGCCCTGAGGGCTGGGGTGGAGCAGAGGGTGGAACACAGCAGCACGCGGTGGGGGCCCAGAAGGGCTGGGCCAAGCAACAGGGCAGTGGGCCCCCACAAGCTGGGGAGAGGAGCACCCCAAAACAATCTTCCCCCAAGAAATGCAAAGCAGGAATCATCATGAGGCCTCAATGTGCTCATGTTACAGAACAAAGCTCTCCTGATGGTGTTGCCTTTGTTACCTTGTCTCCAACTCTGGGGACGCTTAAATGCTGAAGCCAGGCCTGTCATGCAATTCACCCAGCATCAGCAGGGACAATTCAGGAAGAGGTGGCACCAGGAGGAAAACAGCTCTGGAAGGGCAGGTCTCGATAATCAAAACCCACCTTAAAAATGGCATCATGATGAACTGTTCAGACAAGGCAGCTCTGGCTTCAGTGTGTTAATATTAAATATTTTATACACACACACAACACACAACACACACACACACACACACACACACACACACACACACACACATATAAATTTGAGACGGAGTCTCGCTCTGTTGCCCAGGCTGGAGTGCAATGGCGCAATCTCGGCTCACTGCAACCTCCGCCTCCTGGGTTCAAGCAATTCTCCTGCCTCAGCCTCCCAAGTAGCTGGGATTACAGGCTCCCCCCACCACGCCCAGCTAATTTTTGTATGTTTAGTAGAGATGAGGTTTCACCATGTTGGCCAGGCTGGTCTCTAACTCCTGACCTCATGTGATCCATCTGCCTTGGCCTCCCAAAGTGCTGAGATTACAGGTGTGAGCCACTGCACCCGGCCTATAATCAATTATATTATAAGTTATTTTATAAATTAGTGTAATAATACATGTGATATAAATACAAGAATCTCCCTTTTATCCATTTTTTAAAGATTTTAGGTTTAAGCATACAAGTACTTACATTTGACTACTAGAAAGAGAATAAAAAATAGATTGTAACTATCTGCTGAAGGATGACAAAACAGCCACTGGCTGGTCAGTACACTCAGTCACCAGAGAAGTCTTCAAAGTAGTCCCAAGAGGCCAGTTAGGAAGGGGGAAAGGAGGCAGGGTAGGTTCTTGAGGGTGGGGGAAGCAGGGGAGGGGCAGCTCACCAGCACTCACTGTACAGCTGGTTTACCTGTTGGACAGGACGGTGTTTTTCCAGCAATCTCACTTGGGAAAGAAGGAGGAGCAGGTGGCCCAGCTTCACCCTATGACAAGTGTGACTTTCTTGCAGCCACACCATACCCAGGCTGCTCCCACCCCCTCCTTTCCCCTCTCTGGCTACAGCTCTGACTAACCCGGGTAACCTGTCCCTGGGCAGCTGGAATGTGCCCTCTTCTATAGCTGAATGTTGGTGTCTCTTTTCCTGGAAAACCATAACACTTCCAACAAAATAAGGAGGCCACCGAGGGATGGTGGCAGCTGCAGTTCCCCCCATGTAGAGGATTCCCTGCGGCAATCCAGACCCAGCATGCCTGGATCTTCCAATTCTGCAAAAGAATTCAAAGTCCATTCTGTACTGTGAACTCTCCCAAGTTTTAAGTGTTATCAAATAAACATTTTTAAACACCGCATGAGCTAAAGAAAACATACCTGGGAGCGGAAGGCCACCTGTGGTCTTGGTTTTAGGACCTCTGAACAAAAAGATAGACTTCAGTGCTCAGGGTGAACAGAAAAATATGTTTTTGAAAGAAATAATAACTTGTCAGAAAGACGTCTACTCTATGTCACGTCAATACCAGGCACAGCAGCGAGGGACCATTGGACACCGGCTGTCCTCAGTTCAAGAAACCGCCTGAGGCTGCTGGCAAATTGACCTCAGGGCCCCGGCCGCAGCCACGGCCCCATCTCCCGGGCTGAATGCTGCTGCTCTAGCACTCATTCATGACAACGAGGACATCTCAAAGCTAGGAGGCCCCCGGAGGCTCCAGTTCAACAACATACCCAAGGTCACCCCGTGGGCCACGGCAGTCCGGACTCCCACATCAAGCTGGGCCTCCTGGAAGACAGCACTGAACCTAGCCATGGATTCTGCAGACAACCTTCAAACCCCCATCTACAGCCTTCAATAGCAAACCCTGAAGCACAGTGCGTGCTGCCCTACCCTATGACCTAGTTACAGACGGGCTTGCGACGGTTACTAGGAGTGAGAGCAGAGGCCCTCATTGTATAAAGACCAGTGCCCATCCTGCTACCTCACTGAAATGGAGGGAGAAAGCCTAAATCACCAAGTTTAGAGTTGGTGGGCGAGAAGAGAGGCTACCTACGGTTCAGGGAAACCAGCAAAGATAAGCCATCCAGGCTGGGGCGGGGGCCATCCCCACCCTACCCCAAGTCTCAGAAAGGCTGCGCCCGGCGTCAGGGCACCCCTCCTGGGTAGGGGCCCTGAGATGACAGTTCACACAGATCAGCCCTTCAGAAAACACAGTCATGCTTCTCAAACACATTAAAACACAAATGACTACGGTTCAGGTTCATGGTCAAGTCCAGTCCTTCCATCTCTCCCTGACAATCTATATGTCCTGGTCACTGCGTGGGGACTTAGGTACCTCCTTGGCCACACAGTTCAAGGTCATTTCTGTTGTTGTTTTTTTTTCCTTTGGAGACAGGGTCTCACTCCGTCACCCAGGCTGGAGTGCAGTGGTACAATCTTGGCTCATGGCAACCTCCGCCTCCCGGGTTCAAGTGATTCTCGTGCCTCAGCCTCCCAAGTAGCTGGGATTATAGACATGTACCACCACTCCCAGCTAATTTTTGTATCGTTAGAACAGACAGGGTTTCACCATGTTGGCCAGGCTGGTCTCGAACTCCTGACCTCAAGTGATTTACTCGCGCCTCAGCCTCCCGAAGTGCTGGGATTACAGGCGTGAGCCACCGCACCCGGCCAAGGTCATTTCTTCGGGGGATCTTTTGTGTAGATGTCGTATCTTGCTCATTACATATTGATTTTTCCTAGTTTTATTCATAGAAAGAAACCCCATTTTCCCAATGTGGAAGCACCTCCTTATATAAGGCAAATGTATGAACATTTTTATCCTGCAGAAACCTGTGTGCCCTACATTGTATGATCCAGAATAGATTCTGGCCCTCCACCATAAAAAGCACATGTTCACACCAAAGCAAGCAAAGACATGCGGCACTGAGCGAGAGTGTGTGGGAGGGGGTGACAAGAATGGTCTGTGGGACCCCGGACAGCCTTTCTGGGCCCCCGGTCCTCACTGCACAGATGCCAATAATCACTGCTGCTTCCAAGGGGTGAGCTGGAGACAGAACGCTGAGAGAGTACAGGCTCACAGCAGGCTGCATCTGCGCACGCTCTTGGTGTCATCACTACTGCTGGCCTGAGCAGGAAGGCCCACCCTGCCACAGCGGTCCCTGCACAGGGCTGAGTCCTGTGACCACAGCCCCATTAAAAAATGCTCTGTGCTCCATCCGGCTCCCTTAGCAACCTCACAGGGTCCCAACCTCAGAGCAGGATCTGGAAGGACCGTTCACTCACCGCACCTTGGAATGCATTCAACTTGGCGGTGGCCCGAAGCTGACTCCCACCAGGGCAGAGGAAAAAACACAACCCAGTGGGCAAGAGGGGCTGAGGGAGGAGGAGTAGGGGGCGAGGGGGCAGTGCTGGGCAAAAGGAAGGGGACACCAAGGGCAGACACATCCCTGGATGTCCAAATGGAAAGAAATGAGGAGGAGGAGGAAGGGTCCCTTGAAGGGCCGTACCATCCCGCAGAGGGGACATGAGGCTGTCCCAGAGAGGGGTATGGGTCCTGAGAAGCTAGTTAGCACCTCTGATGCCAGCCCTAATGTCCACTCTCCCTGGTCCATGGCACACCCTCTCCAGGCAGGCCTTCCCGAGAGGAGAGACCTCCAGAGAAGCAGGATCTACGGAAGGGCGAGCTGACCCATGGTGACAGGTCTCCTACTTCCCTGCCCAAGTGGTTGGCATCTGTATCTTGTTCATAGTAAGATCTGCTCATGAGACAAGAGCCACTAAGAAATATTCACAGACAAGATGATTGCATTTGGGGAAAATGTGACAGACCTGAAGTGAAAACAAAGGCCAACTTACAAAATGTCAAGAGTCCAACAACCTGAAATGCAAAGCAATAATACACACATATACATTTTAGACAGCAAATTATACTCTTCAAAAGGAAACTTTAGCTCTAAATTTTTATAACTAAAATCTGCAATTCTTTTCTATCCCCCCAAATAACAATGTTTTAACAGGAAACTGGCTATTTACATAACGTGTTCAATAGCGTGGAAAAGCATTTTGTGTATTTTATTATATGTTTATTGTTTCAGAAGCCACCATAAAGTTGACCACCTGCCACTGCCACCCCATAAAAGGGAAAACGTCTATGTGTAGTTCTATTGGACTCACTGGGAAGCCATTAGCTGACCCTTCATTATTTTTAGGCTTCTGAGCTAAAGTGGGAGGAGAAAATGACGTTAGAATGCCCGTTCACCAAACAGCTACTCAGTGGCTGCTGCTGCAGACACCAAGGAGGTCAGCATGGGGCCCACAAAGAGAAAGGACACATCCCTCTTCGTGGTCCAGCCACCAAGGTTTTACCACCACCAGGCAGGGCCAGACCTGGACATGCGTCCCCAATACCCCACCTCTGCCCCTGACCACCCTTGTCCTTCCTGGACACTTCTGGACCTGAGGACAGACATTTCCCTCGACTGCAAAGATGAGGCAGAAATGACACCTGGAAGCAGGGGACGAGTGAGTCTCTCACACTTCCCTAGAGTAGAAGCCACAGAGGTACCAAAGTGAGGGCGGAGAAACACCAAGTGCCAGCAAGGAGCGGCCAAACCTCTCACATGCTGCTGGCGGGAGCAGACAGCGATGCCACCACCCTGGAAAACCGATTGCCAGCCACGACAACAGTTGAACACAGGCACACTCCGTGCCCCAGCAATTCCACTCTCCTAGGCATACACCCATCCAAACAGGCGCGTATGCTCACCAAGGCCACGTACGAGAATGTGTCGGCAGCACTGACTCTAAGACCCGAAACTGGAAACTACCCTAGTGCCATCAACAGCACACTGGTAGGTAAGTGCACTCATACAAGAGAGCACTCTACAGCAATAAACATGAATGAACCACTCAACAATACAGATGGCTCTTCACAAACACACTGTTGAAAGTGTAAGAGATCAGACACTAAATAATACATGTTGTATGAATCCATTTATATAAAGTTCAAAAGCAAGAAAAATTAATACAGGATGCTAAAAATCAGAAGAAAGGTTCACCTTTGGGGGCAGTAAGTAGAAGGGAGCACAAGGGGGACCTTGAGGTGCAACTGATGTTCTGCCTTTGGGTGCCGGCTACACAGAGACATTCAGTTTGTAAAAAACATACTGAGCTATACACTCAACTGTTTGTGCAGTTCTCTGCATGTATGTTAGACTTCAACAAAAAGTGCAAAAAAAAATAAGGGCTGAGGAGAGAAACTGTTGCTAGGAGACAAAGAAATGAAGATTCTGGCTTTGGTTATTAGCCCTTAGAGCTTGGAGAACTGTGGATACACGCTGAAAGCCCATTAAATTTTTCAAGGAATCTTAGGACCAGAGAAACACCAAACCTGGCCATCAGTGGTCTCTGGTACTCTGCTACCAATCTCCAGACCTGTGCCTGCAAGACATGGCTGAGAAAAAGCTGCAGGCCTGGAGAGGGGACCCTGTCCATCTCAGACATGGCCGGGGAAAATGGTCCAGGGAGATCTCTATACAGACCATGCCCACCCCATACACAGGGGAGACTCAAGGCTGTACCCACTTGGGGAGGGGGTGGGTGTACTTCACGTGGGCATGAGCGTTCCCGAGGTGCACGTGGGTAAGAATGGACTGGATGGCCCTCACTGGTCAATCACTGTCCTGCAAATCACGTTCTGCTTCCCTCTGTGAATCACTGTCCAGCAGAAGCACAACACAAGCCTTGGGTGTACTTTACAATTTCCTCATAGCCACATTAAAAAGAATAGAAAGAAATTAAATTTAACTATATATATATATATATATATATATATTTTTTTTTTTTTTTTTTTTTCTGAGACGGAGTCTTGCTCTGTCACCCAGGCTGGAGTGCAGTGGCGTGATCTCAGCTCACTGCAAGCTCCGCCTCCCGGGTTCACGCCATTCTCCTGCCTCAGCCTCCCGAGTAGCTGGGACTACAGGCGCCCGTCACCACGCCCGGCTAATTTTTATTGTATTTTTTAGTAGAAACAGAGTTTCACCATGTTAGCCAGAATGGTCTCGATCTCCTGACCTCGTGATCCGCCTGCCTTGGCCTCCCAAAGTGCTGGGATTATAGGTGTGAGCCACCGCGTCCAGCCTAACAATATATTTTCTTCAACCCAATACATTAAAAATATTATCCTTTCAATGTGTAAACAACATAAAAAATATTCAGATGTTGTACATTCTTTCATGCACCTCAAGTCTTTAAAGTGCGTGTGTGATGTAGTTTGGATATTTGTCCCCGCCCAGATTTCATGTTGAGATATAATCCCTGATGCTGGAGGTGGGGCCTGGTGGGAGGAGTTTGGATCATGGGGGCAGATCCCTCATGGCTTGATGCCGTCTTTGTCATATTGAGTTCTTGCACGATCTGGTCATTTAAAAGTGTATGGGGCAGGTGCAGTGGCTCACACCTGTAATCCCAGCACTTTGGGAGGCCGAGGCAGGAGGATCACTTGAGGTCAGGAGTTCAAGACCAGCCTGGCAAACATGGCAAAACCCTGTCTCTACTAAAAATACAAAAATTAGCTGGGCGTGGTGGTGGGCGCCTATAATCCCAGCTACTCAGGAGGCTGAGGCAGGAGAATCTCTTGAACCGGGGAGGCGGAGGTTGCAGTGAGCTGAGATCTTTTGAGACTCTGTCTCAAAAAAAATTGAAAATAATAATAAAAGTGTGTGGCAGGCCAGGCGTGGTGGCTCACACCTGTAATCCCAGCACTTTGGGAGGCCGAGGCAGGTGGATCACGAGGTCAGGAGATCGAGACCATCCTGGCTAACATGGTGAAACCCCGTCTCTACTAAAAAATACAAAAAAAAAAAAAAAAAATTAGCCGGGCGTGGTGGCGGGCGCCTGTAGTCCCAGCTACTTGGGAGGCTGAGGCAGGAGAATGGCGTGAACCCGGGAGGTGGAGCTTGCAGTGAGCCAAGATCACACCACTGCACTCCAGCCTGGGTGACAGAGCGAGGCTCTGTCTCAAAAAAAAAAAAAAAAAAAAGTGTGTGGCACCTCTCCGACCCCCGCTCCTGCTCTCCCCATGGTATGCGGTTGCTCCTGCTTTGCCTTCCTCTGTGAATAAAACTCCCTGAGGCCTCCCCAGAAGCAGATGCCGCTATGCTTCCTGCACAGCCTGCAGAACCAAGAGTGAATTAAACTTCTTTTCTTATAAATTACCCAGGGTCAGGTATTTCTTTATAGCGACACAAGAAGGGCCTAATACAGTGGGTGTTTTCCACATACAGCAGCACATCGCAATCAGCACCAGCCACACATCAGTGCTCCGGAACCAGCTGGACAGCACAACTATGGGAAGGAGTACCTGCTCCCCACTACTCCACCCCTAAGGGCTACTGTGAATAGCTTTGGCTGCAATTCTCTCTCTCCCTCCCTCTCTTTCTCTCTCCCTCCCTCTCTCTCTGTCTGTCTCACACACACATACACACACACACATACATACACACACACACACACACACACACATGCTGGGACCTAGAATAAGCTGTTCTATCCCTCTAGCCACAGAGGTCAAGTCAATGAGAGATCTGCCAGGAATCTTGCAGAAGAAACAGACACTTTTCCCATTGGGCTGAAGGTGAGAGAAAGGATGTGAGGTCTGGAATTGTAGCAGCTGCTTGAGGCCATGAGGTAGAGGCTGTCTAGGAATGGAGCCACAGAGAGAGGAGAACAGAGCCCAGGAAGAAAGGAAAAGCAATGTGGTTCTGTGGACATGGCTGGAACCTCTGCATCAACAGATATATCCCCTACTCTTGGATTTTTCAGTCTCATGTGCTAAAAAATTTGCTTGTTCACTACGCAAATTTGGGCTGCACTGATGTGATCTGTTATTAAAATAGTCCCAGATAATACACCTCATTATTCTAATTATCTCTGCTTTTTTTCCCTTCTAGCAACTTTAAAGTTTCATATTGTTGTTGAATTCTTCTTACTGATTCAAGTTACTAGTATGCTTTTAATAACATGTCTGAATATATCTAAGCCTCAAAACACTGCATTTCTTTTGAAGCTACAATTTCAGTTTTAAGGGCTCATCCTACGAAAATAACCAGACAAGTGTCCAAAAATGTGTACACAAGACCATTCACTATAGCAAAAAAAAAAAAAAAAAAAAAAAAAAAACCCACAAATGCACACTGAGAAATAAGTGGGTGTCCAGTCCTAAGGAGATAGCTTCCCTCTGGCACAGAGGGCCCCCCAGTGGGCAGCGTTCTTTGTTCCCTGCGTGGACAGCACCCTGGTAGGGCAGGGAGGCCACAGGCTCACTGGAGCACGGTCACAGAAGGACGTGATGCAAAGAAAAAGAGCCGGATGTGGTGGAAGGAAGGGAACATGCAGAGAGTTAGGCAGGGCATGGGGAGGCAGCATGGGGCCCACTCTCCCATGTCCCAGCAGAGAGGAGGAACGTCTAGGAGGGGGAGCGGGGGCAGAGCCTGCCAACCTGGACTGCTGTCAGAGCAAACCTGTGCCAGAGCAAACCTGGTGGACACTGGTTTAGAGGCATTGAACATCCCATTTCCCGGGCAACTCTGACTTTCCGAAGGTGTGAGTGGGACCCAGAAAACCTCACGGCTGCAGTTGGGGGGTGAGAGTCTGGGAGGTAACAGCTGGGCAATGTGGAGGCGAGACAAGGGGACCACCATGGGAAGGAGGTGAGGTGGCCCCCAAGGGCCAGATGGGGGAATGTGTCAAACACTCAGAAATCCTGCAGAGGAACCCAGGGGAACTGAGTCAGCGAGGGAAAGTCCCTAGACCATACCCCAGCATGGGAGAACAGATGACAGCAGTAAGCAGGTGGAGAAGGAGTGCTGCCTTGGGGGTCCATGGCACCAAAGGATGCTGTGCCCAGAGTCTCTGCTCCTCACCCCCAGTGACATCAGACAGCTACACCATCCCTGCTTCCAGATGCCATTCTGAAGACGAGCCTGCAGGGCAGGCAGAGGCTGAGAAATCTGAGAGGCTCAGCACTACCTATACGGGCACTTCTCAATTAGAAGTGTGCATAGGAATCCCATGGGAATGCCGTTAAAATGCAGATCCTGCTACAAAATATCTGGGGGTGGGGCCTGAGACCCTGCATTTCTAACAGACTCCCAGGAGATGCAGAGACTCCTAATGGATGGGCCACACTCAGAGTAGTAAGGCCCTCAGGGACCTCTGTGAATGAAACAGAATTAAAACAACCCTCCCGCTCTCAAGTAGATGTAAGATTCATGCAGAAGACAGACTGATTATACAAAAAAATAGTATTAATAAGGAAGACAGACGTACCCTCCACATCTGAGATTAGTGTGAATACTGTACTCTGCAACTCCACTACACCTACTTATAATCTAATAAAAATTCTGAAGGAAACATTTATAAGGCATAAAGATTAAAAATATTAAATTATATGCTTAACATAGCCTGGCTAAGTGCACTCTGGGGGTTGAAGGCAAGGATAAGGCCATAAGGAAAAGAGCAGTGCCTTGATCTTCCTCTATAAATCAAGTCACTTAGTCCTAGACACCATTTGCCTTGTTAGGACTGCAATGGTTCTCTGACTTCACGAATAAGCGGATCCTGCCTTCTACCCCCACATACTGCCAAACATGACGTTTTTAAGGTTTATTTAATTCATACATGTTATTATTTAGGGCAGATTTTGGTTCACAGCAAAATGGAGCAAAAAAGGGCAGAAAGTTGCCATATACTCCCCCTCTCCCCAGAAGCACAGCTTTCCCCATCAGAGTGGTGTATTTCTTTTTCTTTTCTTTCTTTCTTTTTTTCTGAGATGGAGTTTTGCTCTTGTTGCCCAGGCTGGAGTACAGTGGAACAGTCTCAGCTCACTGCAATCTACACATTCCAGGTTCAAGCAATTCTCCTGCCTCAGCCTCCCAAGTAGCTGGGATTACAGGTGCCTGCAACCACAGGCAGCTAATTTTTTTTTTTTTTTTTGTATTTTTAGTAGAGATGGGATTTCACCATGTTGGCCAGGCTGGTCTCGAACTCCTGACCTCAGGTGATCTGCCTGCTTCAGCCTCCCAAAGTGCTGAGATTACAGGCGTGAGCCACCATACCTGGCCAGTACATTTCTTACAATCAATGAACCTACACACTGACACATCATTATCACCCAAGTCCATGGTATACATTAGGGTTCACTCTTGGTGTTGTACATTCTGTGGGTTTGGACAAATGTATAACAACGTGTATCCACCATTGTAGTATCTTAAGAGACAGTTTCACTGCTCTCTGTGCCCCACCTATTCATCTCTCCCTCCCCCAAACCTCTGGCAACCACTGTTCTTTTTACTGTCTCCACAGTCTTGCTTTATCTGGAATGTCATATCTTGGGAATCACAGCAGTGTGTAGCCTCTTCAGACTGGCTTCTTTCCCTTAGTAATATTAATTTAAAGTTCCAGATCTTTTCATAGCTTGATAGCTCATTTCTTTTTAGTGCTTAGAAGTATTCCACTGTTTGGATATCTCACAGTTTATTTATCAATTTACCTACAGAAGGACATTTCCACTGCTTCCAAGTTTTGGCAATTATGAATAATGATGCTATAAATATCCAAGTGCAGGCTTTTGTAGGGCCATAAGTTTTTAATTCATTTAGGTAAATACCAAGGAGTATGACTGTAGGCTCATAGGGTAAGAGTATGTTTCATTTTGTAAGAAGCTGCTCAACTGCCTTCCAAAGTGGCTGTAGTGTTTAGTGTTCCCACCAACAATGAATGAGACTCCCTGTTGCTCCACCTCCACATCAGCATTTGATGCTATCAGTGTTTTGGCTTTTAGCCATTCTAACAGGTGTGCAGTGGTATCTCACTGTTGTTTTAATTTGCATTTTCCTAATGATATATGATGTTGAACATCTTCATATGCTTATTTGACAACTGTATATCTTCAGTGAGATGTCTGTTCAGGTTGTTTGCCCATTTTTTAATCAGGTTATTTGTTTTCTTATTATCAAGGTTTAAGAGTTATTTGTATATTTTGAATAAAAGTCCTTGATCACATATAACTTCTGCAAATATTTTCTCCTAGGTTTGTCTTTTCATTCTCTTGACACTGTCTTTAGCAAGACAGAAGTTTCTAATTTTAAGGAAGTCCAGCTTACCAATTTTTTCTTTCATGTATTGTCCCTCTGGTGTTGTATCTAAAAAATCCATCACCAAACCTAGGGTCATTAAGATTTCCTTCTGTGTAATTTATGAAGAGCTGTATAATTTTATGTTTTACACTTAGGTCTATGATCTATTTTAAAGTGCATTTTTGGGAAGAGTTTGCGTGTTGGCCTCTAGCTGTTCCAGCCCCATCTGTTGAACACACTATCCTTTTGCCCTTGAATTGTTTTTGTTCCATGTTTCAGATATTAGCTAACTATATTGTGTGGTCTAACTAGTTAGAAATAAATTGTCTATTATTTAATCAAGACTACACTATCCTGATTAAGTAAGTGTTGAAGTCGAGTATTGTTAGTCCTCTAATTTGGTTGATCTCCTTCGCTATTGTGTCAACTATTCTGAATCTTTTGCTTTTCCACATAAATTTCAGAATCAGTTTATTCAAATCCTCAAAATCACTTGCTGAGATTTCTGATTATTACATTTTTTAAATAACTACAAAATGATTGATTTTATTAGTTTGTTGGAAACTGCCTATCTGGCTATAGTCTACGTTTCAGCTGTTATAAAATCTGCAAGTCCTCATACAAAAACTTTCACACTATGATGACACCTCACTGCTGACAGCCTCCTCTGCAGTCCTGGAGCTCCTGCAGGATACACGCTGCATGCACAGGTAGACATGTGCAACCCAGGAGGGCAGCCAGGGTTTTCCCAGGATGTCAAAGCTCAGAAGGAACCAAAAATTTTAAAGATTTTTAAAAATATTTTAATTTTTTACAATATAGGTTGAAAGCAAATAGCTCCTTCAAGAGCTAGAACAACTGAACTTCACATCTAATAACAAGAATGTTCAATTAAAACAGAAAGCTACCCTATGGCCCTTCCATTCATAATGCCCATCCATGAGCCTCAGCATGGACTACAAGTGGATTTAGGGGTCCCTTTCAAGATCTTCAATTGTTCAGAGGGCACTCCACTGCCCTAGCGGAAGGAATAAATCTGTCACACCACCCACAACACAGCTAGTTCTGGAGGGCCAGGACCATGGCCCAGAAGCAGTACTGCATGAAGATTAAACTTCTCTTCCTTTTAAGTGTCAGATCCCAAACTGTCAACAGTGTATACATGCATTGTAACAAACACAAACACTACCAACAGAAAATAATCATTCACATGCCATAGGTACATGCATGTGTACACACACACACGCACAGACTCTCACACACATACTTCATATTTGCTTGTCTTTTACTGAGAAAAAAGGGATTATAATATGCAAAAAACAGATTTTTTAAAGTAATCATGATAACAGAAACACTCAGCTAAGATGCTATTCTATTCATTTATAAACACCTTGCTTCCTAAGGGCCTGCCACACCTTAACCCATAGAACTCACTTGTGGAATAAATTCTTTACTGAATGAAATAAGAACTTAAGTCACAAAGTATCTATTGACTATGATATGGAAAAAAGCCTTTTAAAAGCACGTATTATCATATATAAATACAGAATATGAACTAAGGGCTACAGCAGGAAAACGTTAACTGGTTATGAATTAGAATTTTTATTTGTCTATTGCTTGCAGGGTTTTATTGGGCACCTAGCCTGTTTGAAGCATGAAAGCTTTAACCCCAAGACTCACCCTGCAAGCCAAAAGCATACTTTGTTGGCAACATTAAAGCATTTCTGGCTTCTGGCCTGGGACATCAGCAAAAAGGCAGAGTAGGCAGCTCCAAGGGTCCATCCTCCACAAAACCATTGAAAATTCAAGCAAAAACTGTCAGAATCAACTTTGTCAGAATAATGGAAACAGTAAATGGTTCGCAGCAACCAAGCAAAAATGGAATGGAGAGAAAGGTAAAATAAAAGCAGGAGGAAGGCCCTGTGGTGTTTTCATCTACCCAAATCCACCCTCCTCTCCAGCTCCACAGTGCAGGACCTGGCCCCTGTCTTGAAGACAGCAGCAGCATTCCCAGTGCAGGACCTGGCCCCTGGTTCCCGAGGGTGCAGAGCAGACTTGATTCACAAAGAATTGTGTTTGCTCTAACCTGTCTGGAGGCTGCTGAAGGACTGATTCAAGGGGCTCCTCTCTGTTCTGTGTAACTCAGAATGCACTCAGGGCAGAAAAGTGGCAGGCACTCCTGGAAAACACTAGAAGGCAAATGAGCAACCTGCAGTCCCTGGGACAGAAGATTACCATTGAGGCACACGGTAGAGTGCCAAAACCATGAAAGGAAAGGCTGGGGACAGGGTTTAAGAAATTCAGGCATTCAACACAAGGAACTCAAACATCTCAACAGCAAAGAACAAATAATCCCATTAAAAAGTGGGCAAAGGATCTGAATAGACATTTTTCAAAAGAAGACATACAAATGGCCAGGAGATATATGAAAGAATGCTCGACATCCATCACCAATCATCAGGGAAATGCAAATCAAAACCACAATGATATATACCATCCCAACCCAGTTGCAATGGCTATTATCAAAAAGACAGAACGTAATAAATGCTGGTGAGGATGGAAAGGGAACTCTTATACACTGTTGGTGAGAATGTAAATTAGTATAGCTGCTAAGGAAAATCGTATGGAGATTTCTCAAAAAAGTAAAAACAGAACTACCATATGATCCAGCAATCCCACTGCTGGCTGTTTATCCAAAGGAAAGGAAATCAGTATGTTGAAGAGATATCCATACTCCCATGTTCATTACAGCACTATTCACAATATCTAAGATAGGAAATCAACCTCAGTGTCCATCAATGGATAAAGAAATTGATAAAATGATAAATTGATACATTGTTAAAGAAAATGGGAGACACACACACACACAAACACACAATAGAGTACTATTCACACTTTAAAAAGAAGGAAATCCTGCCTTTTTTAATAACATGGATAAGCCTGAAAGACATCACACCAAGTGAAATAAGCAAGCCAGAGAATGATAAATACCATGCGGTGTACGTATGATATACTATTTGGCCATAAGATAGAATGAAAATGGAATACTATCTGGCCATAAAAAAAGAAAAAAAAGAATGAAATCCTGTCCGGGCACAGTGGCGCACGCCTGTAATCCCAGCACTTTGGGAGGCCGAGGTGGGCAGATCACTTGAGGTCAGGAGTTGAAGACCAGCCTGGCCAACATGGTGAAACCCCATCTCCACTAAAGACATAAAAATTAGCCTGGCGTGGTGGCGTGCGCCTGTAATCCAGCTACTCAGGAGGCAGAGGCAAGAGAATCGCTTGGACCTGGGAGGCAGAGGTTGCAGTGAGCCAAGATTGTACATCTGCGCTCCAGCCTGGGCGGCAGAGCGAGACTCTGCCTCAAAACAAACAAACAAACAAAAAGAATGAAATCCTGTCATTTACGGCAACACAGATCAGCCTGAAGGATATTATGTTAAGCAAAGTAAGTCAGGCACTGGAAGACAAATACCACATGATCTCAACCATATGTGATGGCTGAAAAAAAATGAGCTCATGGATATAGAAAATTAGAATTGTGGGTGCAGAGTCTGGGAAGGGTACCAGTGAGGGGAGGATGATGAGAGGTTGGTTAATGGATACAAAGTTGCAGCTAGATAGGAAGCATGAATTCTGGTGTTCTATAGCACTATAGGGTGAATATGGTTAACTACAATTTATTATATATTCTCAAAAAGCTAGAATAGAGGATTTTCAATGTTCACAACACAAAGAAATGAGGTGATGGATATGCTAATTATCCTGATTCGATCATTACACATTGTATACACATATTGAAATATCACTCTGTATCCCATAAATATGTACAGTTATTATTTGACAACTAAAAATAAAAGGGAAAAAGAAATTCAAGCATTCCAAAGCACCTATGCATATGGGTGGGAATGTAGACAGCCATGTGAATGCCCAGAGCAGAACGCATGCTCAGAAGAAGCCTGAGAAGACCCCAGTCTTTCACCTCTGGATGAGCTCCAGGTTCAGTATAAACAAGAAATGAAGGTCAAGGCATAGCTGTAAAAAGCCAGGCTAAGTGTTAAAGGAGGACTCCACCACAGAGCCACTCCATACAGATAAGCGGTCAGTCTCTTCTCTCTCTGTTTTTCTCTGCCTCTCTCTCCAACCCCCTCGCTCTCTCTATCATGTTTTGGCATCTGGTGCTCAAGGAAATCTCTTTGACAGCACTAGCTGAACAAACAACTAAACAGAGACTTCAGAGACCACACACGGTAAGGAATTACAGATCTTGCAAAACTCTACAGTCTATAGCAAGCAACAACAAACCCTGAGGTGGGGGAAGAATCTGATCTCCAGAGTTACCTCTGTTTAATATGCAAAATGTCCAGGCGTTTGTTCGTTTGTTTTGAGACAGGGTCTCACTCTGTCACCCAGGGTGGAGTGCAGTGGCTCGATCTCAGCTCACTGCAACCTCCACCTCCTGGATTCAACTAATTATCCTGCCTCAGCCTCCAGAGCAGCTGGGATTACAGGCATGCACCACCACACCTGGCTAATTTTTCTATTTTTAGTAGAGACGGGATTTTGCCATGTTGGCCAGGCTGGTCTCAAACTCCTGACCTCAAGTGATCTGCCCACCTTAACCTCCTAAACTGCTACAATTACAAGTGTGAGCCACCATGCCTGGCATGTTCAGTTTTCAACAATAACTTATGAACCATGTAAAGAAACAAGAAAATATGGCTCATTCACATAAGAAATTAACAAACATTGTCCCTGAAGAAACACACACACTGGACTTACTAAAGACTTTAAATCAACTGCCCTAAATATGCTAAATGACTTAAAGGAAAGAAAGGAAAAGGAGCTAAAGGAAATCAGGATAAGAATGTATGAACAAATAAGTGAATTGAAATAAAGATATAGAAATTATAAAAGGGAGTCAAATTCTAAGGTCAAAAAGTACACCAACTGAATTTTTTTAAAAATCACTAGAGCATCTCAGTAACAGACTTGACTAGGCAGAAGAAAGAACCCGCGAACATAAAGACAGGGCAATGAAAATTATCCAGTCTGAGAGGAAGAACAAAAATGATAAAAGATTAACAGGTATGAAATGCCATCAAGCATACCAATACCAAGTACATAACAGGAATCCCAGAAGGAGAGGTGCGAGTGAAAGGAACACAAAGAATATTTGGAGAAATAATTGCCAAAACTTACCATACCTGATAAAAGATACAAATCTACACACACAAGAAGTTCAGTGAGTTTCAAGTGAGATGAATACAAAGAAATCCACACTGAGACACATTATAATCAAACAGTCAAAAAGCCAAGGGCAAAGAGAAAAATCTTGAAATCAGCGAGAGAGGAGCCACTGATTCACATACAAGGGATCCTCAATCAGATTAACAGCTGACTTCTCATCAGAGACCAGGGGACCAGAAGGCAATGAAATGACATTTTAAAGTGATGGGCAGGATGGGGGTGATGCTTCCAACCAAGCATTGTATGATACATCCTACAAAAATACCCTTGAAAAATGAAGGAGAAATTTACACCCACATATTGAATGGCTCCAATTGTATAAAATATCAGAAACAGGTAACAATCCACAGGGACATAATTCAGACTGATGGCTTCCAGGGGCTAGGAGAGGGGAAATAGGGAGAAACAATTTAATGAGTATGGGATTTCCTCTGGAGACAATGAAAATAATTTTGGACTTTTATAGAGGGAGTGGTTACACAACGGTGTGAATGTACTAAACGTCAAAGAATTATTCACACAAAAATTATTACTGTTAAGTTAATTTCACCTCAGTAAAGAAAAATAAAACATGGGAAAAACTGGCTTCTGACAAACTGATCAAAGTTCTGAATCACAGGCAGTAGCAGAAGCAGCATGGATTACCCTGAGATCTCTTCCTTCCTTCCTTACCTGCCTGGCCGAGAGAAATATGGAGCGAGGGTACTGATTTAAGATAATATGCTAACTGGGTGCTTGTAGCAATATCAAAAGGTAATGTAATATAGACTAAACCATATGGAACCATGAACTGCCAAGGACATGAGTTACCTGCCAAAGTAAGACGTTGCCCTTGGGTGCAGACAGAAAACATGGTGGGGTGATCTTTATCAACAGTCAGCAACAGGATAAAATTCCATGTGTAAAGGCCACCTGAACTTTGATTCTGTATGTGCGTATTTTACAAGAATGTAAGAGCAGTCCAAAAACTATTTTAATTGAATTCATTCTATACATAGGTGCATCCCAATGCCAATTACTGGCATCAATTCTAAACCAATAAATAAGAACATATGTATTTTACGCACAAAATGTCATGTCTCTCTGGATATCCCATGCACAACCCCAACAGTACCCGTCCATCAGAGCCTGCAGCTCTATGAAGGAGAACTTAACAGCACTCTAGGTGAACACGCCCCTGCCTGATGCCGTCCACAAAGCTAGGCACATTTGCACGTCTGGGTACCATCGCTCAGCTACACAACCACAGGCCATGACGGCGCAGTTCTTCCAACTAGGCTGTGCTGACACAGGTCTCGAGATGGCTGATGCTTTTGATGCATCCTGAAGTTTTGCTACAAAGATCACCACAAAAATGTTCAAGCATCAAAATGTTTTAATTCTTCTGAAATGAAACTGTCTCTAAATAGCTCAGCAATAAAATTCAATAATTCTATTGGGTTCAAAGCAGTTTAACAATGGAAAATGAATTATATAGTCAAAGGTGGTCCATTCTCGCTCTCCAGTAAACATTTCTGTATGTGCGGAATTGGTGGGTTCTCGGTCTCACTGACTTCAAGAATGAAGCCGTGGACCCCCGGTGAATTTTACACTTCTTAAAGGCCGGTGCATCTGGAGTCGTTAGTTCCTTGTGGTGTTCGGACATGTTGGGAGTTTCTTCCTTCTCTCCCAATGGGTTTATGGTCTCTCTGGCCTCAGAAGCAAAGCTGCAGAACTTCGCTGTGAGTATTACAGCTCTTGAAGGTAATACAGAGCCTAAGAGTGAGCAGTGGCAAGATTTACCGCAAAGAGCGAAAGAACAAAACCTCCACAACATGGAAGAGAACCCAAACAGTTTGCGGCTGCTGGCTCCGGCAGCCTGCTTTTATTCCCTTGTCTGACCCCACCCACATTCTGCTGATTGGCCCATTTTACAGAGAGCTGACTGGTCCATTTTACAGAGAGCTGATTGGTCCGTTTTACAGAGAGCTAATTGGTCTGTTTTGACAGGGTGCTGATTGGTGCGTTTACAATCGCTGACCTAGACACAGAGTGCTGATTGGTGTATTTACAATCCTCTAGCTAGGTGTAAAAGTTCTCCAAGTCCCCACTAGATTAGCTAGACACAGAGCACTGATTGGTGCATTTACAAACCTTGAGCTAGACACAGAGTGCTGACTGGTGCATATACAATCCTCCAGCTAGACATAAAAGTTCTCCAAGTCCCCACCTGACTCAGGAGCCCAGCTGGCTTCCGCTAGTGGATCCCGTGCCAGGGCCGAAGGGGAGCTGCCTGCCAGTCCCACTCCAGGCGCCTGCTCTCCTCAGCCCTTGGGGGTCTATGGGACTGGACGCCTATGGAGCAGGGGGTGATGCCCCTCTGGGAGGCTCAGGCAGGAGGCTCGGGCAGCACGGGAGCCCACTGCAGGGGGCAGCATGGCGGGCTGCAGATCCCCAGCCCTGACCCGTGGGGAGGCGGCTGAGGCCCCGCGAGAATTCGAGTGTGGCACAGGCGGGCCAGCAGTGCTAGGAGACCCAGCGCCCCCTCCACAGCTGGTGGCCCAGGTACTAAGCCCCTCACTGCCCAGGGCCAGTGGCACCAGTTGGCCACTCCGAGTGTGGGGCCGCTGCCTGCACCCACCCAGATCTTGGGCTAGCCCACGAGCCCTGTGCACAGCCCTGGTTCCTGCCCGCACCCCTCCCTCCACACCTCCCCGTAAGCAGAGGGAGCTGGCTCCTGCCTCGGCCAGCCCAGAGTGGGGCTCCTACAGTGCAGCAGGGGGCTGAAGGGCTCCTCAAGCGTGGCCAAAGCAGACATCGAGGCCCAGGAGGTGCAGAGAGTGAGCGAGCGAGCACTGCTAGCACATTGTCACCTCTCATCTAGACTTGTTGAGTGTGAGTACCTGCCCTTTCTGGAACAAACCATCAATTCTTTTGCTCCCTACAATTTTAAGTTCCAATCTGGTGAGCCCTAGGGTCCCTAGGTTTCATATTGTAGAAGGCTTTAAATCTAAAGAGTCCTTGGATAAATGGAAGGGCAAAGTAAATCTCAGGAAGTTTCACACAGTAGCTATCTGACTGCATTCAAGAAAGAAATCTCTGTATTTTCCTTCAACTTCTCTCACACAGCCCAAAGTTGTTGGGAGAAGGTAAAGGAAAAAACATGAAGATTTATTTCATGGAGATAGCCAGCATAGGGGAAATTATTTACCTTTTCGACTTAGAACAACTAGAAAACAAGTTTCCAATCATGGTCATCTCCTGCCTCACAGTAGACATTAAAGTTAAGTTAGAGAATTCACAACCACACCCTTCTGATTGACACTATACATATCAATCTCGTTACTCAACTGAGGGGAAAAAACTATTTCCATCAGCTAGACCTTTTCCTGCACTCCATGAAAAGCTCAAACACTCAGGATGTCAAACTTAACTTTTTTGCAATCACACAGCAAGGCCCAATCTGTCAAAGCCATACGATTCACTGCCTTTATTTCTACTGTTGGTTTGATTTTTTTTTTTTTCTAGCTTGTGGGTTTCAGGGCAGACAAAGGCAGCTAAAAGTCTCAGGGAGAAAAAGAATCTCCAGTAGGCTGTACCATAGACATCCCCATTTATTGCATGTAACTTACTTCACTTCTCAACCCCACAGTTTAATCACCTGTATAAAACTGGCGCAGTAATACTCAGACTGCAAAGTCATTGTAAGAATTAGCAGTAGCATGAGGAAAACATCAGCTCATGTTAGGAATGCACTGATTATTACCTGGCATTATTTAGATTGATTAATAAGTTCATATATGCATAGTGGGAAACACCTTGGTCTAACATTCTTTGGTTCTAATTATGATTACGATATCATGTGATTTCCATGTGTTAGAGAGCAAGTCATAATTATCACCATTGTAAAAGGAGAAGTACATTCTACATCAGATTGACAAATTGTGTTCTATAAAACTCTAAGAAGCCAGGCAGATACCTCAAGAGCCATGAGGACTCAATAGGAAGGTTGCTAAATTCTATGAGCTATCGGTTATGACCTTCAAGTGTTAAACATATTAATATAGAGGTATAACTTTTCCCGATAGGAAATAAAAGGCAATTACTATTTTAACATGCTGCCAAACACACTGCCTATTGTTAAAATAATTGTTAAAATTTTTATTGAGGCTGGGCACGGTGGCTCATGCCTGTAATCCCAGCACTTTGGGAGGCCAAAGCAGGTAGATCACCTGAGGTCAGGAGTTCGAGACCAGCCTGGCCAACATGGTGAAACCCCGTCTCTACTAAAAATACAAAAATTAGCCAGGCGTGGTGGCGGGCACCTGTAATCCCAGCTATTCAGGAGGTTGAGGCAGGAGAATCGCTTGAACCCTGGAAGCGGAGGTTGCAGTGAGCTGAGATCACGCCACTGCACTCCAGCTGGGGCGACAGAGTGAGACTCCGTCTCCAAAAAAAAAAAGTTTTTGTTGAAATAAATTATTTTAAATAACAGTGACTTCAGTTAAAATCCTAATTAGTGAACTTATTAGTAATTCAATAATAGTATTTCCAATGCTTCCCTGACAACCCTTTTTTTTTTTTTTTTTTTTTTTTTTGAGACGGAGTCTCGCTCTGTCGCCCAGGCTGGAGTGCAGTGGCGGGATCTCGGCTCACTGCAAGCTCCGCCTCCCGGGTTCACGCCATTCTCCTGCCTCAGCCTCCCAAGTAGCTGGGACTACAGGCGCCCGCCACTACGCCCGGCTAATTTTTTGTATTTTTAGTAGAGACGGGGTTTCACCGTTTTAGCCGGGATGGTCTCGATCTCCTGACCTCGTGATCCGCCCGCCTCGGCCTCCCAAAGTGCTGGGATTACAGGCGTGAGCCACCGCGCCCGGCCGACAACTCTTTTTACCTCATAAAGAGAAGCTATGTAAATCCTGAGGCAAACAGCACGCTTAATGCTGAGCATTTAAAAGCATTCTCAGGCAGAAGGATCACTTGAGCCCAGTAATTCAAGGCTGCAGTGAGCTATGATAACACCACTGCACTCCAGCCAGTGTGCAGAGTAAGATCCTGTCTCTAAAAATAAATAAATAGTTCAGATAGAAATAAACAGAATATAGATAGATAGACAGATAGAGATAATAAAAGCATTCCTGGCTAGGCATGGTGGCTCAGGCCTGTAATCCCAGCACTTTCGGAGGCTGAGGTGGGCGAATCACCTGAGGTCAGGAGTTCCAAGACCAGCCTGGCCAATATGGTGAAACCTCATCTCTACTAAAAATACAAAAAATTAGCCAGGGTGGTGGCTCACACCCGTAATCCCAGGTACTCGGGAGGCTGAGGCAGGAGAGTTGCTTGAACCCAGGAGGCAGAGGTTGCAGAGAGCCAAGATCACACCACTGTACTCCAGCCTGGCCAATAGAGTGAGACTCCATCTCAAAAAATTTAAAGAAAGCATTCCCAATGAAGACACAGCAAAAATGCTCTCCTTCACTATTACTATTCAATATTTAATGGGAATTCCCAGCCAGCACAATTAAGAAAATAAGTAACAAGGATCGAAAAGAGACAATATTATCATTCTTTACTGACAGAATGATTACATATAAAATTCAAAAACATATACAAAGTATCAGACCTAATACGAGTTTGGAAAGACTATAGGAAAAAAAAAACTTTAAAAACGCTTTCCAATATTTCAATAACAATCAATTAAAAACCATTTTTAGAATTAGCAATAAACTCCACCAGGTACCTAGAAAAAAACTAAGACACAAGAACTTTATACACATAAAATTGTGCCAAAATACGTTAAAATGTATTCAACTCTTCCAGCTTTATTGTGGTATAAGTGACAAATAAAAATTGTATATATTTTAGGTGAACAACATAAGTTGATACACATATTCACTGTAAAATGATTACCACAATCAGGCCAATTAACATATCCATCACCTCACATAGTTACCATTTTTATCCTTGTGGTAAGAATATTTAAAATCTACTCTCTTAGCAAATTTCAAGTATACAAAACATTATTATTTTAGTTATAGCCACATTAGGTCTCCAAAACTAACTCATCGTGTAACTGAAAGTTTGTTCGCTTTGACCAACACCTACCCATTTCCCACAGGCCCAGCCCCTGCAACCATCATTCTCCTCTCTGTTTCTATGAGCCACGTTTTTAGATTCCACATATAAGTGAGACCATGTGGTATTTATCATTCCCTGGCTTGCTTATTTCACTTAGTGTAATGTCCTCCAGGCTTATCCATGTTGTTCAAAAAGGCAGGATTTCCTTTCTTTGAAGGCTGGCTAATACTCCTCTGCCTGTGTGTTTGTGTGCATGTGTGTGTGTGTCTGGATGTGTGTTTGTATGTGTGTCACATTTTATCAGTTTATCCACTGATGGACATTAGGTTGTTCCCATTATCTTGGCTATTGTGACTAATGCTGCAGTGTACATGGGGGTGTAGATTTATCTTTAAAACACTGATTTCAATTACTTTGGATATATACCCAGAAGTAGAATTGTTGGATCATATGGTTGTTCTATAATTTTTTGAGGAACCTCTATACTGTTTACCACAATGGCAGTACCAATTTACATTCCCAGCATCAATATATAAGGGTTCCCTTTTCTCCACAACCTCACCAACTCTTGTTATCTGTTGGTACTTTGAGAATAGCCATTCTAACAGGTGGGAGATCACATCTCATTGTAGTTTTGATTTGTATTTCCCTGATGATTGATGATGTTGAGCACTTTTTCACATACTTGTTGCCATTTGTATGTCTTCTGTGAGTTGCCTTTACATTTCATTGTTTCCTTTGCTCTAAAGAAATATTTTAGTATGGTGTAGTCCAATTATTTGTTTTTACTTTTGTTGCTTCTGTTTTTGGTGTAATATTCAAAACATCACTGCTAAGATCCATCTTATTGAGCTTTCTATGTTTTCTTCTAGGAGTTTTGTGGCTTCAGGCCTTTCCTTTAAATCTTTAAACAATTTTAACTTGATTTTTGTGTACAGTGTCAGATAACTCTCCAATTTTGTTTCCTTTCATATTTTTTCTTTTTTTGCATGAGGATATCCAGTTTTCCTAACACCATTAATTGAAAACAATGATCCTTTTCCCATTGTGTATTCATGGCACCTTTGTCAAAGATTAGTTGACCATATATGCATGGGTTTATTTATGGGCTTTCTATTCTGTTCCATTGGTCTATGTGTCTGTTTTTATGCCAGTAGCATGTTTTTTTGGCTACTATAGCTTTGTAATATAATTTAAAATCAGGAGATGTGATGACTTCAGTTTTGTTCTTCCTGTTAAAAATTGCTTGGGCTATTCGGGGTCTTTTGTGGTTCCCTATGAATTTTAGGATTGTTTTTTCTATTTCTGTGAAAAATGCCAATGAAATTTTGATAGACTGCATTGAATCTGTAGATCACTTTGGGTATTATGAATATTTTTATAATATTGATTATTCTGATCCATGAACATGGGATATCTTCCCATTTGTGTATCATTCCATTTCTTTTATCAATGTTTCATAGTTTTTGGTGTATAGATCTTGCATCTCCTTATTTAAGTTTATTTATGTTATTATTTTTGATGCTATTGTAAATCAGACTGATTTCTTAATTTCTTTTTCTAATACTGTACACTAATGTGTTATTAGTGTACAGAAACACAACTGCTTTTTATATCCTGCAACTTTACTAAATTCATTTATAGTTCTAATTAGTTTTGGGGTGGTGTCTTTAGGAATTTCTATTACAAGATCACATCTCCTGCAATCAGAAACAATTTCCTCCTTCCCAATTTGGATGACTAATAAAATAAATAAATAAAATAAAATAAAATAATAAAATTATTTTTACTGCCTAATTGCTTTGACTAGGATTTCCACTACTACTTTAAATAAAAGTGGTGAGAGTGGGCATCCTTGTCTTCTTCCTGATTTTAGAGAAAAAGCTCTCAACCATTTATGGTTGACTATGATGGTAGCTTGTGAAATATGACCTTTATTGTGTTGAGGCATATTATTTCTATACCTAAATTTGTTTAGAGTTTTTGTCATAAAAGATTGTTGAATTTTGTCAAATGTTGGTTTAAATATTTGAGATAATCATATAATTTTTGTCCTTCATTCTTTCTGTTAATGTGTTGTACCACACTTATTGATTATATTGAACTATCTTTGTATCCCAGGGATAAATCCCACTTATTTGTTTAATATGCTATTGAATTCAGTTTTCTAGTATTGTGCTAAAGATTTCTACACATATATTCATCAGGGATATTGGCTTGTAATTTTCTTTCCTTGTAGAATTTTTGCCTGGCTTTGCTATCAGGGTAATGCTAGCCTCATAAAACAAGTTGGAAGATGTTCCTTCTTGCTATGGTTTGAATATGCCCTCCAAAGTTAATGTGTTAGAAACTTAATCCCCAATGCAACAGTATTAGGAAGTAGGGCCTAATGGGAGGTGCTTAGGTCATGAGGGTTCCATCCTTATCAATGCATTAATGCTGATTATAAAAGGGCTTGAAGCTGTGAGTTCCATCTCTTGCTCTCTCGCACTCTTTTTCTCTTCTGCCTTCTGCTATGCAATGACATAGCAAGAGGATCCTCACCAGATGTGGGCCCTAGATCTTGGACTTCCCCGTCTCCAAAACTGTAAGAAATTAATTTATTTTCTATGTAAGTTACCAAGTCTGTGGTATTTTGTTACAGCAACACAAAATAGACTAAGACATTTTCTCTTCAATTTTTTTTGGAAGCGTTTGAGAAGCACTGGTATTAATTCTTCTTTAAATGCTTGGTAGAATTCATCAGTGAAGCCATCGGATCCTGGACTTTTCTTTGATAGAAAGATTTTTGTTACTGATTCAAACTTCTTACTCATTATTAGCCTGTTAAGACTTCTTTTTCTTCACGATTAAATCCAAGACTTCTTTTTCTTCATGATTAAGTCTTTGTAGGTTGTGTGTTTCTAGGAATTTATCCATTACTTCTGGGCTAATTTATTGGCATATAAGTGTTTGTAGTACTCTCTTAGGATCCTTTGTAATCCTGTGGTATCAATTGTAATGTCTTCCCTTTCATTTCTGATTTTATTTTAGTCTTCTTTTTTCTTAATCTAATTAACAGTATGTCAATTTCATTTATCTTTTCAAAAAACCAACTCTTAGTTTTGCTGATCTTTTCTATTATTTTTCTAAGTTCTATTTCATGTATTTGTTCTCTGATCTTTACTATATCCTTCCTTCTGCTAACTTTAGTTTGTTCTTCTTTTTCTAGTTTCTCAATATGTAATGATAGGTTGTTTATTTGAGATCTTTCATTTTTCTTCATGTAGGCATTTTTCACTATAAACTTTCCTCTTAAAACTACTTTTGCTGCATCACCTATGATAAGATTTGGCTCTGTGTCCCCATGCAAATCTTATCTCAAATTGTAATCCCCATGTGTTGAGGGAGGGAACTGGTGGGAAGTGACTGGATCACAGAGGTGGTTTGCCCCATGCTTTTCTCGTGTTAGTGACTGAGTTCTCATGACAGCTGATGGCTTTTAAGTGTGGCACTTCCTCACTCTCTCCTGCTGCCTTATGAAGATGTGCCTTGTTTCCCCTTCACCTTCTGCTATGATCGTTAAGTTTCTTGAGGCCTCCCCAGCCATGTGGAACTGTGAGTCAATTAAACCTCTTTTCTTTATAAATTATCCAGTCTCAGTATCTTTATAACAGTGTGAGAATGGACTGATATACCCAAAGTTTTGGTACACTGTGTTTTCATTTTCATTTGTCTCAAGATATTTTTTAATTTTCCTACTGATTTCTTCTGCTCCATTGGTTGGGAGTATGTTGTTTGATTTCCACATATTTGTAATTTTCCCAATTCCCTTCCATTAGTTATTTCTAGTTTCATGATACTATGATCAGAAAGAAATATTACATAATTTGATATATAATTAAAATATAATTTCAATCTGCTTAAATACATTAAGACTTGTTTTGTGGCCCAACGTATAACCTATCCTGAAGAATGTTCCATGTATACTTTAGAAGAATCTGTACTCTGCTGCTGTTGAATAGAATGTTCTGTATTTCTGTATATATCTGTTAGGTCTACTTGGTATAAAGTGTAAAATCTAATGTTTCCTTACTGATTTTCTCTCTGGATATCCTGTCTGTAGTTGAAAGTTAGGTAATGAGGTCCCTCATTATTACTGTATTGCTGTCTATTTCTCCTTTCAGATCTATTAATATTTGCTGTATATTATTTACGTGGTCTGATGTTGGGTACATATATGATTATTGTGTCCTCTTAATGAATTGATCCCTTTTTCATTACATAATGACCTTTTTGATCTCTTTTAAAGTTTTGTAGTCAAACTATATTTTGTCTGATATAAATATAGCTACCCCTGCTCTCTTTTGGTTTCCATTTGCAAGAAGTATCTTAATTCCTTCACATTCGGTTTATGTATGTCTTTAAAGTTGAAGTGATTTTCTTACGGCAGCATATAGTTGAGTCTTGTTTTTAAATCTATTCAGCCAATCTGTCTTTTGACTGGATAATTTAATGCATTTACATTCAAGGTAATTATTGATAAGAACTTTCAATTGTCATTTTGTTAATTTGTTTCTGGGTGTTTTGAGGATGCCTTGATCCTTTCTTCCTCTCTTGCTGTCTTCCTTTGTGACTTGACAATTTTCTGTAGCAGTATGCTTTGATTCCTTTCTCTTCATCTTTTCTGTATCTACTATATGTTTTTGCTTTGCCATTACCATGAGGCTTACATAAAGCATATTATAGTTATAACAGTTTAAGCTGATAAAAACTTGTTTGTTTGTTTTGAGACAGAGGCTTGCTCTGTTGCCCAGGCTGGAGTGCAGTGGCGTGATCATAACTCACTGCAGCTTCTAACTCCTTGAGAGATGATCCTCTCACCCAAGCCTCCTGGGTACCTAGGACTACAGGTGCACACACTAGGCTAATTTTTTTTTTTTTTTTAGAAATGAGGTCTCACTATGTTGCCCAGGCTGATGTCAAACACCTAGGCTCAAGCAATCCTCTTGCTTTGTCCTCTCAAAGTGCTGAGATTACAAGTGTGAGCCACCATGCCCAGTCAAAAACTTAACTTTGATAACATACAAAAACTCTACACTACTTTCTGATAGTGAAGTGTAAGTAAATTCTTCCTAATTGGTAATTACATATTGTGTAAATGAACTAAACTCTCTAAGAGAAAGGCAGAGATTGGCAGAATAAATTAGAAACTTGTGGAACTGTATGCTGTCTACAAGAGACTCACTTTAGATTAAAAGACAAAAACAGGTTGAAAGTAAAAGGAAAGAAAAGGATATTTCATGTGAACAGAAACCAAAATAGAGCTGGAGTGTATACACTAATATCAGATGAAATACACTTTAAGATAAAAATTGCTACTAAAAACAAAGCAGCACAATATACACTAATAAAAAGGTCAAGTCATTAAGAAAATACTGCAATTATAAATATACCACACCTACCAACAGAGTCCTAAAAATACCTGAAGCAAAAAATTGACAGAATTGAAATACAAAATAGGGAATTCAACAATAATAGTTGGAGAATTAAATACCTCAATTTCAATAATGAATAGAACAAATAGAATAACAGCAAGGAAACAGAAGACTTGAACAACACTATAAACCAATCAACTTGACATCTATAGAACACTCAACCCAACAGCAGCAGAATACACATTCTTCTCAAGCATACATGGAACATTTTCCTGATGAAACATATATTGGGCCAAAAAACAAGTCTCTGTAAATCTTTAAAGATTCAAATAATGCAAAACATGTTCTCTGATCACAAAAGAATAAATTAAGAAATCAATCACAAAAGGAAAACTGGAAATTCACAAATACATGCAAATTAACAACACATTCCATTGGCCAATGGGTCAAAGAAGAATTTACAAGAGAACTTAGAAAATACTTTGAGATAAAATAAAAATAAAATACAATATACTAAAGCTTAATCTTTCATATCAGAGTTTAATCCATTTGAATAAAAGCAGTGCTCAGAGGGAAATTTATATCTGTAAATGCCTTCACTAATAAAATAAAAAACTCTCAAATCAATAATCTAACCTTCCACCATAAGAAACTTAAAAAAGAGCAAATTAAATCTAAATCAAACACATACAAAAAAGAGATTGGAGCCAAACAGAGAACAGAAAAACAACATAGAAAATCAACAAAACCAAAGTTGGTTCTTTGAAAAGATCAACAATATTGACAAACTTTAGCTAGGCTGAGCAAAGAAAAAATAGAAGACTCCAATTACTAAAATCAGGAATGAAAGAGAGAATATCATAATTCTAAGAAAATTCTATGAAAGCTGGATACCATCAAATTAGATACCCTAGATGAAATGGACAAATTCTTAGAAACACACGATCTACCAAAATTGACTCAAGAAGAAACAGACCTGTAGCTAATAAAGAAATGAGTCAACTTTTCTAAAAAAAAATCTTTCAATGAGGAAAGCCTCGACCAGATGGTTTCATTGGGGTATTCTACAAAATGTTTAAAGAAAAATTAACAACATTATTTCTCAAACTCTTACAAAGAGTAGAAGAGAAGGGAATACTTCGTAATTCATTCTGTGGAAGTGAAACACATCAAAAGTAAAAACTACAGATCAATAACCGTTGTGACTACAGATGCAAACATTCTCAACAAAACATTAGCAAATGGAATCTAACAGCATATGAAAGGGGTTATTCACCATGACCAAGTAGAGTTTATCCCAGAAATGTGAGGTTGGTCCAACATATAAAAATTTATCAACATAATAAAGCATATTAGCATAAACCCACATGATCATCTCAATAGATGCAGAAAAAGTATTTGACAAATTCCAACATCTTTTCATGATAAAAATTCTCAACAAATTAGAAACAGAAAAGAAAATTTCTTAACCTGATAAAGGGCATCCATGAAAAACCAATAGCTAACATCATACTTAACAGGGAAAGACTGAAAGCTTTGCTCCTAAGATCAGGAAGAAGACAAGGATGTCTACCTCTCACCACTTCTATTCAACATTTTACTGGAGGTTATAGCCAGGGCAAAAAAGAATGCTGTAGGCAAGAAGATGAAATAAAATGCATCCATACTGAAAAGGAAGAAGTAAAAGTATCTCTGTTCACAGATGACCTAATTTTATATAGAGAAAACCCTAAATAATAAACACACATACATATTAAAGCTAATAAATTTGGCAAGGTGACACGATATAAGTTCAATGTATAAAAATCAGTTGTATTTGTATACACACAATGAAAAATTTTAAAATGAAATGAAAAAGACAATTCCATCAACAATACCAGTAAAAAGAATAAAATATTCAGAAAAAATCTAACTAAAGAAGTGCAAGACATATACACTGAAAACCATAAAACATTGCTGAAGTAAATTAAAGACTGAAATAAATGAAAATATATCTAATGTTAATGGACAGATCAAAGCAATTCCTATCAAAAATCTCATCGAGAATTTTTTTTTGCAAGGATCAACAAACTAATCCTACAATTCATATGGAAATTCCTGAAACCCAGACAAGTCAAAACAATCTTGAAAAAGAACAAAGTGAGAGGAATCACACTTTCTGATTTCCAAATTTACTACAATGCTACAGTAATCAAGACAGTGTGATACTGGTATAAGACAGTCAAATAGATCAGTGAAACAGATCTATGGCCAAGTAACTTTCAACAAGAGTGCCAAGACCATTCAATAAGGAAAGAATAATTTTCTCAAGAAATGGTTCTAAAACTAGATATCCACATACAAAGGAATGAAGTTGGACCCCACCTTATACCATATACAAAAATTAATGCAAAATGAATCAAAGGCCTAAATGTAAGGGCTATAACTAAAAATCCTAGAAAAAAAAAGCATAGATATAAATCTGTGCAACTTTGAGTTAAGGAAAAGTTTTTTGGAAAGGACACTGAAAGCATGTGTGACCAAAGAAAAAATAGATGAATTGAACCTCATCGATATTTAAAACTTTTATGTTTCAATCAGCCCTATCCACAAAATGAAAAGACAACCCATAGAATGAGGGAAGACATTTACAAATCATATGTCTGATAAAGGTCTAGTAACCAGCATATATAAAGGACTCCTAGCATTCAACGACAAGAAGTCAAATAACTCAACTAGGAAAAGGGCTAAGGATTTGAACAAAAATTTCTCGTAAGAAGATATACAAATGGCCAATAAATGCATGAAAAGATCTTTAGGGAAGTTCAATATCATTGGCCATTAGAAAAATACAGATCAAAACCACAATGACATACCAATTTCATACCCACTAGGATGGCTAGAATAAAGGGGGAAAAAAAAACCAGAAAATAAGTGTTGGCAAGAATATGAAGAAACTGGAACTCATACGTTGCTGATAGGAATGTAAAATGTTGCAGCTGCTTTGGAAAACAGTCTGGTAGTTAAACACTGAATTACCGTGTGACTCTGTAATTCTACCCTTACATATATACCTAACAGTATTGAAAAGATATGTTCACACAAAATCCAGTACACTAAATGTTCACAGCGGCAATCATAATAGTCTAAAAGTGGAAAGAAACCAAATGTTCATCAATTGATAAATGGTTAAACAAAATGTGGTATATACATATGGAATGTCATTTTCCACAAAAAGGAAGTGCTATTGCATGCTATAACATGGATGAACCTTGTAAACATTATGCTAAGTAAAAGAAGCCAAATACAAAAGGCCACATATTGTATGATTCCAGTTATGTGAAATGTCCAGAAGAGGCAAAATCATAGAAACAGATAGTAGATTTGAGGTGCCAAGGGTTAGAGGATTGGGGAATTGGAGGTGACTGCTAACAGTTATGAGATTTCTTTTTGGGGTGATGGAAATGTTCCGGAATTACGTCATGATGATTTAACATAACACTGTGACTATACTAAAAAAACACTAACCTGTACACTTCAAAATGGTGACTTGCATGTTATGTGAATAATACCTCAATAATTAAAAGAAGTAAGGATAATAAAATCATCTTAATCAGCCAGCTATGCTAGAGCAAGTAAAGCTAAATATCTTTTTAGGATCTAGAGAAAATAAAATTATAAAATTATCATACTAATAGACAATTAATGAATATGCAGCAAAAAACTATTACAAAGATGGGTCATGCAATTCTTTAACTTGTAAATGTTATTTTTCTCAACTGTGTGGTATATTTCATGCATTTAAAGCATTTTTAAGTTTATAATTCATTGTGATTTGTTTTTTCATTCCAAATAAATATCCACTGTCATGACTAAATTTGTATTTACAATTTTGTATTCTTTCTGTTAAAAGAACTGAGATGGGCCCTACAAAACTTGAATCCTCCACTGGAGATACCTTTTCACAACCATCACAGTAGCTAAAATTAAAAAGTCTAATAATACTTGGTATTGGAGAGAAAGTAGACGAATGTTAACTCTCCTTGGCCCTACTAGGAGTACAGATTGATTTAAACAATTTGAAGAGCAGTTTGACGATTATAGTGACATTAAGGTGCCCCAGGAATTCTACTTCTAGAGACAGGCTCTACCAACATGTTTCTACCTATGCACCCCTGCAGCATGTTGTAAAGGCAGAACACCAGAAACAGGCTAAACGGTCAGCAACAACACAACACAGAAGATTGGGATATGTTCTCAGAAGGGCACTCTATAGAGGAGTTAAATGACTTTATGCAGATCAACCCACATGGAAGTGGAAAACAATACCAACTGTGAAAAGCAAGTTTCAGAATGACATCACAGTTAAAACCATTTGTGTGATGTTTTGAAACATGCACACAAGTACTACATATTGATTCCAGAAACAAAGAAATGAAGTAAAAGAGAAATTCCTCTTTGTTTACAGAGGAAATAGACAGGTTGGAAAAGGACACGAGAGACTGTAACTTGATCTGTGATATTTTGAGACACCATGAAGAAGAACTGAAGCGTGTGTTTCCAAGTTTAGGCATCCATGAATTCTGCCTCGTGCTTTTATACTTAGGATTCTTAGGCTCACTCTCTGACCTTTTCTATTTGAAGCTGGATTCAGACTATTTACCTGAGTGGAGGAAATACTTGAATCTTAAAGATCAAACTCACCAACAAAGAAGTGGGGAAAGCAGTCATGAGTAATTCATGAAATGCTAAGTAAAATAATAATGCATTCATAACATTTTTCATCTATCAAACTAGAAGCTCTGGTGTCTTCCATGATGATACCCAGGGCTGGCACTGTCATGTTAGGTCATTAGAAAGCCTTGAAAACATATTTATCCCTTTGCAGAAGCAGGTCTGTTCTCATAAGGAGATTCTTCTGAAGTTGTGCAAAGATTTTGATACAAGGATGTACAATGCCAAGTCACCTTGTAGATGACAAGAGAAAAAGGAGAAAAAATGTCCAACAACTGTTTGTTAAATTGGAATATCTTATACAAACCATAAACATAGAGTGGATACTTATAAAGACAATAAAAAAGGCATGGAGAATGTTTAAGTGTTTAGAAAACATGCTCCCCCTGGGCAGAGCCCACCCCAGTGCCACAAAGCCACTGTAGCCAGACTGCCTCTCTAGGTTCCTCGTCTGTGGGCAAGGCATCTCGGAAAGAAAAACAGCAGCACCCGTCAGGGGCTTATGGATAAAACTCCCATCTCCCTTGGACAGAGCACCTGGGGGATGGGACAGCTATGGGCGCAGCTTCAGCAGACTTAAATATTCCTGCCTGCTGGCTCTGAAGACAGCAGTGGATCTCTCAGCACAGTGCTCGAGCTCTGCTAAGGGACAGATTGCCTCCTCTAGTGGGTCCCTGACCCCAGTGCCTCCTGATGGGGAGACACCTCCCAGCAGGGGTTGACAGACACCTCACACAGGAGAGCTCTGGCTGGCATCTGGCAGGTGCCCCTCTGAGATGAAGCTTCCAGAGGAAGGAGCAGGCAGCAATCTTTGCTGTTCAGCAGCCTCCGCTGGTGATACCCAGGCAAACAGGGTCTGGAGTGGACCTCCAGCAAACTCCAGAAGACCTGAAGATGAGGGGCCTGATGACCGTTAGAAGGAAAACTAACAAACAGAAAGCAATAGCATCGACATCAACAAAAAGGATGACCAAGCAAAAACACCATCCGAGGGTCACCAACAGCAAAGACCAAAGGTAGATAAATCCATGAAGATGCAGAAAAACCAGAGAAAAAAGGCTGAAAATTCCAAAAACCAGAATGCCCCTTCTCCTCCAAAGGATCACAACTCCTTGCCAACAAGAAAACAAAACTGGACAGAGAATGAGTTTGATGAACTGACGGAAGTAGGCTTCAGAAAATGGGTAATAACAAACTCCTCCTAGCTAAGGAAGCATGTTCTCATCCAATGCAAGGACGCTAAGAGCCTTGAAAAAGGTTAGAGGAATTGCTAACCAGAATAGCCAGCTTAGAGAAGAACATAAATGACCTGATGGAGCTGAAAAACACAACACGAGAACTTCGTGAAGCATACACAAGTATCAGTAGCCCAATCTATCAAGCAAAAGAAAGGATACCAGAGATTGAAGATTAACTTAATGAAATAAAGTGTGAAGACAAGATTAGAGAAAAAAGAATGAAAAGGAGCAAAGCCTCCAAGAAATATGGGACTATGTGAAAAGACCAAACCTACGATTGATTGGTGTACCTAAAAGTGATGGGGAGAATGGAACCAAGTTGGAAAACACACTTCAGGATATCATCCAGGAGAATTTCACCAACCTAGCAAGACAAGCCAACATTCAAATTCAGGAACTAGAGAGAACATCACAAAGATACTCCTCGAGAAGAGCAACCCCAAGACACATAATCATCAGATTCACCAAGATTGAAATGAAGGAAAAAATGTTAAGGGCAGCCAGAGAGAAAGGTCGAGTTACCCACAAAGGGAAGCCCATCAGACTAACAGCAGATCTCTCTGCAGAAACCCTACAAGCCAGAAGAGAGTAGGGGCCAATATTCAATGTTCTTAAAGAACAGAATTTTCAACCCAGAATTTCATATCCAGCCAAACTAAGCTTCATAAGTGAAGTTCAATAGAATCCTTTACAGACAAGCAAATGCTGAGGGATTTTGTCACCACCAGGCCTGCCTTACAAGACCTCCTGAAGGAAGCACTAAATATGGAAAGGAAAAACCAGTACAGCCACTGCAAAAACAAACCAAAATGTAAAGACTATCAACACTATGAAGAAACTGCATCAACAATGGGCAAAATAACCAGCTAGGATCTTAATGACAGGATCAAATTCCCACATAATAATATTAACCTTAAATGTAAATGGGCTGAATGCCCCCAATTAAAAGGCAAACACTGGCAAACTGGATAAAGAGTCAAGACCCATCCATGTGCTGTATTTAGGAGACCCATCTCACATGCAAAGACACACTAGGCTCAAAATAAAGGGACGGAGGAAGATTTACCAAGCAAATGGAAAGCAAAAAAAAAGCAGGGGTTGCAATCCTAGTCTCTGATAAAACAGACTTTAAACCAACAAAAATCAAAAAAGACAAACAAGAGGATTACATAATGGTAAAAGAATCAATGCAACAAGAAGAGCTAACTATCCTAAATATAGATGCACACAATACAGGAGCACCCAGATTCATAAAGCAAGTTCTTAGAGACCTAGAAAGAGGCTTAGATTCCCATGCAGTAATAGTGGGAGAATTTAACACCCCACTGTTGATATTAGACAGATCAATGAGACAGAAAATTAACAAGGATATTCAGGACTTGAACTCAGCTCTGCACCAAGCAGACCTAATAGACATCTACAGAACTCTCCACCCCAAATCAACAGAGTATACATTCTTCCCAGGACTACATAGCACTTATTCTAAAATTGACCACATAATTGGAAGTAAAACACTCCTCAGCAAATGCCAAAGAACAGAAATCATAACGGTCACTCAGACCACAGTGCAATCCAATTAGAACTTAGGATTAAGAAACTCACTCAAAACTGCACAACTACATGGAAACTGAACAACCTGCTACTGAATGACCACTGGGTAAATAACGAAATTAAGGCAGAAATAAATAAATTATTTGAAACCAATGAGAACAAAGACACAACGTACCAGAATCTCTGGGACAGCTAAAGTAGTGTTTAGAGGGAAATTTATAGCACTAAAATGCCCACAGGAGAAAGTGGGAAAGATCTAAAATCAACACCCTAACATCACAATGAAAAGAACTAGAGAAGCAAGAGCAAATAAATTCAAAAGCTAGCAGAAGACAAGAAATAACTAAGACCAAAGCAGAACTGAAGGAGATAGAGACATGAAAAACCCTTCAAAAAATCAGTGAATCCAGGAGCAGATTTTTTGAAAAGATTAATAAAATAGGCCGCTAGCCAGACTAATAAAGAGGAAAAGAGAGAAAACTCAAATAGACACAATAAAAAATGATAAAGGGGAGATTACCACTGACCCCACAGAAACAAAAACTACAATCACAGAATACTATAAACACCTCTATGCGAATAAGCTAGAAAATCTAGAGGAAATGGATAAATTCCTGGACACATACACCCTCCCAAGACTAAACCAGGAAGAAGTCAAATCCCTGAATAGACCAATAACAAGTTCTGAAATTGAAGCAGTAATTAATAGCCTACCAACCAAAAAAAGCCCAGGACCAGATGGATTTACAGCCGAATTCTACCAGAGGCACAAAGAGGAGCTGGTACTGTTCCTTCTGAAACTATTCCAAACAACAGAAAAAGAGGGACTCCTCCCTAACTCATTTTATGAGGCCAGCATCATCCTGATACCAAAACCTGGCAGAGACACAACAAGAAAAGAAAATTTCAGGCCAACATCCCTGATGAACACCAATGCGAAAATCCTCAGTAAAATACTGGCAAACCAAACCAGCAGCACATTAAAAAGCTTATCCACCACAATCAAGTCGGCTTCATCCCTGGGATGCAAGGCTGGTTCAATATACACAAATCAATAAATGTAATGTATCACAAATAAACAGAAGCAATGACAAAAACGACATGATTATCTCAATAGATGCAGAAAAAGGTCTTCGATAAAATTCAACACCCCTTCATGCTAAAAACTGTCAATAAACTAGGTATTGATGGAACATATCTCAAGATAATAAGAGCTATTTATGACAAACCCACAGCCAATATCATACTGACTGGGCAAAAGCCGGAAGCATTCCCTTTGAAACCAGCACAAGATAAGGATGCCCTCTCTCACCACTCCTATTCAACAGAGTACTGGAAGTCCTGGCCAGGGCAATGAGGCAAGAGAAAGAAATAAAGGGTATTCAAGTAGGAAAAGAGGAAGTCAAATTATCTCTCTTTGCAGGTGACATGATTGTATATTTAGAAAACCTCATCATCTCAGCCCAAAAACTCCTTAAGCTGATAAGTAACTTCAGCAAAGTCTCAGGATACAAAATCAATATGCAAAAATTACATGCATTCCTATACACCAATAATAGACAAACAGAGAGCCAAATCATGAGCAAACTCCCATTCACAATTGCTACAAAGAGAATAAAATACCTAGGAATACAACTTACAAGGGATGTGAAGGACCTCTTCAAGGAGAACTACAAACCACTGCTCAAGGAAATAAGAGAGGACACAAACAAATAGAAAAACATTCCACATTCATGGACAGGGAGAATCAATATCATGAAAATGGCCATTTTGCCCAAAGTAATTTATAGATTCAATGCTATTCCCATCAAGCTACCATTGACTTTCTTCACAAAATTAGAAAAAAATTACTTTAAATTTCATATGGAACCAAAAAAGAGCCTGTATAGCCAAGACTATCCCAGGCAAAAAGAACAAAGCTGGAGGGCATCACGCTACCTGACTTCAAACTATACTACAAGACTACAGTAACCAAAACAGCATGGTACTGGTACCAAAACAGACATACAGGCCAATGGAACAGAACAGAGGCCTCAGAAATGACACCACACAACTACAACCAAATGATCTTTGACAAACCTGACAAAAATAAGCAATGGGGAAAGGATTCCATATTTAGTAAATGGTGTTGGGAAAACTGGCTAGCATATGCAGAAAACTGAAACTGGACCCCTTCCTTACATCTTATACAAAAATCAACTCAAGACGGATTAAAGATTTTAACGTAAGACCTAAAACCATAAAAACCCTAGAATAAAACCTAGGCAATACCATTCAGAACACAGGCATGAGCAAAGACTTCATGACTAAAACACCAAAAGCAATGGCAACAAAAGCCAAAATTGACAAATGGAATCTAATTAAACTAAAGAGCTTCTGCACAGCAAAAGAAACTATGATCAGAGTGAACAGGCAACCTACAAAATGGAGGAAAATTTTTGCAATCTATTCATCTGACAAAGGGGTAATATCCAGAATCTACAAGGAACTTAAATTTACAACAAAAAACAAACAACTCCATCAAAAAGTGGGTGAAGGATATGAACAGATACTTTTCAAAAGAAGACATTTATGTAGCCAGCAAACACATGAAAACAAACTCATTATCACTGGTCATTAGAGAAATGCAAATAAGAACCACGATGAGATGCCATCTCATGCCAGTTAGAATGGCGATCATTAAAAAGTCAGGAAACAAAAGATGCTGGAGAGGATGTGGAGCAACAGGAACGCTTTTACACCATTGGTGGGAGTATAAATTAGTTCCTCCATTGTGGAAGACAGTGTGGCGACTGCTCAAGGATCTAGAACTAGAAATACTATTTGAACTAGCAATCCCATTACTGGGTATATACCCAAAGGATTATAAATCATTCTACTATAAAGACACATGCACATGTATGTTTATTGCAGCACTATTCACAATAGCAAAGACTTGGAACCAACCCAAATGCCCATCAATGTTAGACTGGATAAAAATGTGGCACATATACACCTGTAATCCAGTACTTTGGGAGGCCGAGGCGGGCGGATCACGAGGTCAGGAGATCGAGACCATCCTGGCTAACACGATGAAACCCCATCTCTACTAAAGATACCAAAAAAATTAGCCGGGCATGGTGGCTGGCACCTGTAGTCCCAGCTACTCAGGAGGCTGAGGCAGGAGAATGGCGTGAACCCGGGAAGTGGAGCTTGCAGTGAGCTGAGATCATGCCGCCACTACACTCCAGCCTCGGCGACAGAGTGAGACTCCATCTCAAAAAAAAAAAAAAATGTGGCACATATACACCATGGAATACTATGCAGCCATAAAAAAGAATGAGTTCATGTCCTTTGCAGGGACATGGATGAAGCTGGAAACCATCGTTATCAACAAACTAACATGGGAAGAGAAAACCAAACACCACATATTCTCACTCATAAGTGGGAGGTGAACAATGAGAACATATGGGCACAGGGAGGGGAATATCACACACTGGGGCCTGTCGGTGCGGTGGGGGGCAAGGGGAGGGATAGCATTAGGAGAAACAACTAATGTAGATGACGGGTTGATGGGTGCAGCAAACCACCATGGCACATATATACCTATGTAACAAACCTGCAGGTCTGCACATGTATCCCAGAACTTAGAGTATAATTTTAAAATAAAAGAAAGAAAGAAAAAGAAGACATGCTCCCATGTGTTAAGCGGGTTTCCTGCAGAGGAGGGCTCATTTTTACATAAGATTCCCAAAGCAGCCTCCTTATATCCAGAGTGTCAGAGATTTTACTTTTCTTCTTCTTTTTTCTTTTCTTTTTTTTTTTTTTGAGATAGAGTCTTGCTCTGTTGCCCAGTGGCGTGATCTTAGCTCACTGCAACCTCCACCTCCTGAGTTCAAGTGATTCTTCCTCCTCAGCCTCCCAAGTAACTGGGATTACAGGCGTGTGCCACCATGTCCAGCTGATTTTTTTTTTTATTTTTTGTAGTTTTAGTAGAGTTGGAGAGGCTGGTCTCCCAACTCCTGGCCTCAAGTGATCTGCCTGCCTTGGCCTCCCAAAGTGCTGGGATTACAGGCGTGAGCCACCACACCCGACTGAGAGTGTCAGAGATTTGTCAAAGGGCCTGCAAGTATCCTGGCCTGAAACCTCACAGGCTGCTTCTGAATGATAAAAACTGACCTGTCACTTCTGCACCATTGGTTTCTGGTCTTCCATCACTTCCAGCCTCGAAGGGTGCTCCCACAGCTTAGTACCTGCATAACAAACCCCTTACCCCAGCATATCTAGGATGCCAACAACTGTAAGGCACACCACAAGAGAAAATGTATGCTGCCAATAAATGCTGACGTGTTATCTATTGTAAAGAAGCATGCAGGCCCTGGCAGTGTTGAAATGTGAAAATATGCACATCCAGCAATCAAAACACCTCATGCATACTACAATATTAACAGAGATTGTTTTAGAATTATGAAATCAGGGCCGGTGCTTTGGCTCATCTGTATTTTCTAAACTTTCTATGGTGAACGATATTACTGCCAATATTTGAAAAATGGTAAATAAACATTATTTTAAACAAAAAAAATGAAATGAGCCAACCAGAACTACCATGAACCTAATGAAACTAAAGCTTTGTGGCCTTCCAAAGGCCCCTGGAAGAAGCCCTAGTTTGTTTATATTTGTATTTTTTGTTATTTGTCATAAAACAACCCCTCAAACTACACATGCTTCAGGCCCCATAAAGCTATGAGCTGTCTTGGATTCAACAAATATGGAGTACCTAACAAGTCCACGTGGACTGCTTTAAAAGACAGACAGAAATAGAAACATTTCAGCTTAAGTGAGGATACAAGCAAGCCCAGATAACCACACCAAGGCAACAAGACCAATAATCCCTCTCCCTTTCCTAATTATCACTCCTGCTGCTATGGACTGAACTGCGTCCTCCCAAAATTCGTATGTTGAGGCACTAACCCCAATGGGATGGTATTAGGAGATGGGGAGGTGATCAGGGATAGATGAAACCATGAGTGTGGAGGCCCCATGTTGGGATTAGTGACCTTATAAGAACAGGAAGAAACACCAGAGCTTTCTGTCTCCACCATGCAAGGACACAGCAAGAAGGTGGCCATCTGCAAACCAGGATATGAGCCCTCACCAGGAACTGAATCTGCAAGCACTTTGACCTGGGACTTCTCAGCCTCCAGAACTGTGAGAAATAAATGTCTACTGTTTAAGCCACCCAGTTTATGGTATCCCATTAGAGAGCAGCCCGAGCTGACTAAAACACCTCCATACTCCATCTCTAGTGATTATAACTGGTGATGCACAAATCCACTGGTAAACTGTCAGATATTGAAGCCACCACCACGCTCTATAGTTTGGTTCTGTTGAAGTTTTATAAGTAAATAATGAACTGCCAATGTTGTATAAATGCTATGGGGAATATTCACCCAAGGATTCTTTCTTTTCTCTGAAATCTCTCATATTCTTTAAAAAGTCAGCCTCTTTTCATCTGCAGTGAGATTTTCTCTCTAAATCCTTCTTTAAACACTCTTTTTGTGTGACGTCTTAGCCTTAAGTACTGAGCCTTAAAGAAAAGCTGTTTTCCACTCACTGCCTTGTTTTACATATGCTCTCCCTGAGCTTTCAAAATGGCAAAATAAAGCATCTTAGGGACCACAAGGGCCGCCTGCTTTGAACTACCCAGCAGTAAAGGGGCCAAGTGACAAAGCTAGTCGGTACACCCGGCCCAAAGCACCCTAAAGCCAAACACAACACAACACTTTGTCAAATTAATTATTAGGCTGCATCAAAATATGAAGCCACTAAAAGTGGATGTACTCTATTTGAAAAGGAATTTTAAAACCCTAAGGTTCCACGGAACCTAGTTTGAAAACCATTGGTCAACATTAGCAAGAAGCAAACAAAATGAGGAATTTTTCCCTCTGCAAAACCATGTCCCCTCCACCTTCTCCGTGGAGGGAAGACACAGTGTTGATACACATACCTGCCATGATACAGGGGAGAGTGCATGACACACATTTAAAAAGGCGTGGGGTGAACAGGCAATTCTCATTTTAGCAAGACTGTTAGAACTTCATTCAGCCAATGATGAACATGTGCTCCACTTTGAAAACAAAAGGCAGCCTTGTCTCACCCATGACTCTCTGTCCCTATTCCACAAGGAGCATTCCCACCCAAATGCAAGCTCTCAGCTTCATGGACACGCTAAGGAGGCTCTCACCAGGAGCACCTCCGAGTCCATGTCCACATCTCTGCAGTATGGCCCCAGCCAGATCTGGAGCACATTCTTGTATTCAACACATTTATAAAGTGCCTCATCAATACCTGGCGCTGTTCTTGACCATCCGTGAACAAAAGAAACAACAATCTCACCCTTGCAGTGTCTACATTCTAGAGGGGAGAGACCTCCTAAGTAATTAAATTGGGCACAAAAGAATGATGAGTGCTCCGGGGGAAAAACAGAGCCCAGATAGGGGGAGCAGGGAGTGCTGGGGCAAGTGTTTTGCTTCTGTTTCGGTTTTTATGTGGTAAAAAACATGTAAGATTTACCATCTTAGCCATTTTTAAGTGTACAGTACTATAGTGTTAACTACATGTACCCTGTTTGACAACAGATCTCTAGAACTTCTTCACCTTGCAAAACTGAAACTCTATATCCAATGAACAACTCTCCTTTCCCCCTCCCTCCAGCCCCCGGCAACCACCATTCTGCTTTCTGTCTCTAGGTGCCTCGTATGAGTGGAATCATTCAGCATTTGTCTTTCTGTGGCTGGCTTATTTCACTTAGCATAATGTCCTCAAAGTTCATCCATGTTGTAGCCTGTGTCAGAATTTCCTTCCTTTTGAAGACTGAGCAATCTTCCACTGTGTATACAGACCACATTTTATGTATCCACTCATCTACTGATGGACACTTGGGTAGCTCCCACCTTTTGGCTATTGTAAACAAGGCTTCCATGAACATAGGTGTGCAAACATCTGTTCGATTCCCTGCTTTCAGTGAAGACCTAGTTTTAAACAGAGCTGTCAGTGTGGTTCCATGCCTTTCCTTTCCTCTGCAGCCCTCTGTCCACCTTCTCTGTAGGGGGGAAATTCCCACTTTAGTCTATTTCCTGGCACTATTTCATCAGTAGCTATGCAACCCACACCTGCATTTTCAGAACAACTCCCACAAACTGCAGAGGACTCAATATCACCTATTTTCTAAAGATGGATTTCTTCAAAGCACAGGGCTGTTGGGACCAGAGTGCAATAAAAGAGTGAGGAATGGAGAATGAAAACATGAATCATGAACGTGAGCAGCTGGCTCTGTTTTCAGAGGCACTTGTCAGTTCCCCCAAAAGACAGCCCCTCATCATGTCCTTCAACACGGCAGGATAGACAGGACAATGTCACCCATGCTCCCAAGGGCCCCCCTGTCCTTACTGCCTAGGAAAGAACGGCCCCTTGATGGAATCTCTGTCTGCATGAAAACCTACCACGAACACTTTCTTCAAAGTTCTGGAAAGAAAAGTTTTGACACCTGTTAAAGGAATTTCAAGAATTCAAAATTAAGTGGGGACTTCCCAAAGTCTCAAATAATCATGACACAACCTACTCAACCATGGAACAAATCCTGACTGCGGAGCAGGACCCCCAGCTAGACAGTGCAGAGCAGCCAGAGTGGGTCAGACCTGAGTCCTGACCCGAGGACTGCTTTCTGGAGGTAGATATGAGACCCCAAATATGAACAAGATGCACTAGGGACCCAGGAACCAGGAGTGCTGATATCCAAAGGTCGGGGGGATGATGGATGTCCCAATTCGAGAAGAGAGACAGAACGCACCCTTCCTCTGACTCTCTGTTAAGACTGGCAACAAATCGGATGATGACCACCTGCATTGGTGAGGATGATCTTCTCTACTCCGTCTACTGATTCAAATGCTCATCTCTTCCAGAAACACCAGCTATCTGGGCATCTGTTAGCCCAGTCACATAAAGTTACCATCACAAACCACAAGGAATGAATTCTGCTGGCACCTGAATGAGCAAGGAAATGGATTCTCCCCAAGAGCCTGCAGAAAGGAACAAGACCTTGACTGTAATCCAGCGAGTCCTGTGTTGGAGTTCTAATCTACTGAACTAAAAGAAAATAAATGTGTTTTGCTTTAAGCTGTTAAATGTGTGGTCATTTGTAACAGCAGCAGCAGGAACTAATACAGCCACTTTAATGAGCAGCCCAGGTGGCTAGTACAACTGATGGGGAATGTATCCCCTGGCCATATCCCCAGGTGTGTGCCCGAGAGTATCACTGTCCAACCAAACTCTCTGCAGTGGTAGAAATGTTCTATACCTATGCCGTCAAATATGGTAGCCACTTGTGACCATTAAGCCCTTGAAATATGGCTAGTGCAACTAAGGAAATGAATTTATAATACAGGTCATCTTAATTACCTTAAACTTGAATAGCCATGGGTGATCAGTGGCTCCTACAATGAACAGCAGAGCCTCAAGCAGAGGTTCTTAAATGTTGCTGCATATTAGGATTTCCTGGAGAGATTTTTTTTTAATGCTGATGCCCAAGCTGCCTCCCAGATCAATTAAATCAGATTGCACTTAGGGGATGGGACCCAGGCATTGGTATTTTTAAAAGTCTCCAGGGGTTCTAACATGCAGCCAAGTTTGAGATTCAGTGACCCAGGGAAACGGTCACACAGGGTACACACAGTCAGATACATGGATGGTAACTGAACCCCTGCCTTGGAATGTCAACAAATGGCAAACGCTAAGGTTTCCATTCATGCAATGGAATAGAATGTCCACAGCAATTAAAATAAATGCATGGATCTATACATACCAACAATGGTAAATACAGAAAACACAAAGTTGACTTAAGGAGCAGAAACACTAGTAACAATACAATATCATGTCTATGAACTTTGAAGTGTACACAACAATACTACCTGTTGACTATAAACACATATAGTAAAAAGCATAAAAACTTGGACAAGAAGAACACACACCAACTGCAGGCTGGGGGAAACCTGCTGGGAAATGAGAGCAAAGGAGGGGATGGGGGGGTGCAGGTACAAAGAGCTTCACTTCCATGCAGCAATTTATTTCACTTTAGAAGATGTGAAGCAATTATGGTAAAGTGGTATTATTTGCTGTAGCTCCATGTTATGAACACAAGTGTGTTGTCATATTTTCTCTATTCTTTTCTGGGCGTATAACATTTTTCATAATAACAAAAGAGACCAACATATGGATCTCCAGGCAGGAAGAGTTTATCCCTGGGCGGGCAGCACAGAGGAGGGTGGTTCTCTGGGGTGAGTTAGGCTATGTCATATTGAGGAATTTATTCCTAGTAGGTTTTCCTTCAAATGGAAAGCCAATTGTCTTCCAGAATTTAAGGAAATAAAACAATTATGAGCCAAAAAAAAAAAAAAAAAAACTACTGGACAACAAAATCTGGCCAAAGGTGAGTCAGGCAAAATAAAGAAGTTAGAAATGGCCTTAGTAAAGGCAGCATGGCAGCAGCTCAGGAGGAGGAGAGGCAGGTTGGCAGGGTTCTCTGAGCACTTAAACATAAGACTATGAGGAAATACCACAGGAAGCGGGGGAGCAGCGGAGAGCAAATGCTATCAACCTCATCCCACACATGCAACAATTTGCAACAATCTAGCCACGGGAGGGAAATGATAATATTAGTGTGCCAGACACTGCCCTAAGTGCTTTACATTATAAATTATAATAACTCAACTGTTAGAATAATTCTACAAGATACTGCTATTACTTCTATCTTAGACGTAACAGAGGGAAACTGAGTCACAGCAAGTTTGGTGATTAGCCTGAGGTCAAGTGGCCAAGATGGGATTTGAACCCAGCTGTCTGGGTCCCAAATGTTAACCCCTACATTATACCGTTCTTTGAAATTAGGTATGCCTGCACTAATGTCCTCTGCGCTTCTACACTTGAACTTCCCGTTGTAAAAAAAAGGACTCTAACCACTTAAAAAATTCTATAGCCTTTTCTACTTGACTGTGAAGCATATTCATATTCTTTTTCTTGTTAAAGTAAATTTCAAACTTACCATTTATCCTGAAAGTAAAATGTATAATATATAACTCTTTGGACACACATCCTCCCTTTACATCCATGAACAGCGTGATGTCGAAGTCCCGCTCACCAATGTCTATGAGGGGTTATTTGTGAAAGGTGACATTTTATGTCATTTTTCTTCTTCTGTTTTTCCCTGGCTTTACTGAGGTACACTTGACAAATAAAAATTCCATGTATTTAAGGTCTACAAGGTGATGTTTTTGTATTCACCTTGCAAAATAATTACCATAATCAAGCTAATTAACATGTCCATTACCTCACATAGCTCTGATGTTTTGTACATGGGGCGAGAACCGCACTGCTGGGTGCGGTGGTTCATGTTTGTAATTCTAACATTTTGGGAGGCTGAGGCAGGAGGATGGGTTGAAGCCAGGAGTTTAAGACCAGCCTGGGCAACACAGCAAGACCCTATCTAATTAGGCATAGTGGCACATGCCTGTAGCAGGGAGACAGAGGAAATGGGTAACTTGAGCCCAGGAGTTGGAGGCTACAGCGAGCTATGATTGCTACACTCCAGCCTGGGTGAAAGAGTGAGACCTAGTCTCAAAACAAAACAAAACAAAACAAAACAAAAAAACTACTCTCTTAGCATATTTCAAGTCCACAACACAGCATTCTCAACTATAGTAACCATGCCGTACGTTAGATCTTCAGAACTCATTCCTCCTGCATAACTGATACTTAGTATTTTTATTCTTTCTACTTTTCTGTATTGCTGGAATGTTTTATAGCAGGTATTCATAAATTTTCACAACAAATGTTCAGTTAATGACATTTCTAAAAAAACAAATAAAAAAGAAAATACCAATAAATGCACCTCCTATAGAAACACAAGGAAAAGGAGGCGTGCCATGGACATGAGGAGGGAGAACACACCTCTACATCTGTAGGACCCAGGACAGTCCTTCTGGACCCGCAACCCAGAGGACTGCAGGCAGGCAGCACCTCCCTGAATCCAGGGTAGACAGCCGGGAAGGGCAGGAGGAAGGCCACAGGCATGGAGCCAGATGAGGTCAACAGGAATGCCATGGAGACAACAGCTATAACCACAGGGGGAAACCCACGCTGAAGGAAGTAAAAATCAGAACCTACACCCTGGAAAACCAAACTAGTGACACAGGGGAAAGCTTCAGAAATTCTCCCAGAATGTCAAAATGAAAAAGACCACCACCTGACAAAGCCTCTTATGGCAAGAACAGAGAGGAAGGTCACAGATGACAAGGACAACAGAGATCAAGGGCGTTTCAAGAGGAACTGCTAACTCTTTTCCAAAGAAAGGTGTGCACTACTGCGACACAAAAGCAGACCCTTGCTCTATGGAAGAAAATCCCTCTCCACCAGTGAGTACTTCAGAGACTGCCTGAAATGCTCCCCAAGCTGTTCTCAGTAAAAGCACCAAGTCCTCTTACCAAGTCAGGAAAACAAGCCTGCATATTTATTTGGAGCACTACATTTCTTGGTATTCTAAAATAATATACACCTCTTTCTCTCTCTCTCTCTCTCTCACACACACACACACACATACACACACAGAGTAGATAAAAAGTCCCCTTTAAGCTAAAGTTGGGAGCTCAAGTACAACTTCAGGATTATCAATAAATATACAGCTGACCTTGGAACAGCACAGGTTTGAACTGGGCGAGTCCACTTATATGTGGATTTTTTTCCATCAAAGTTACACTGAGTGTGCCTGCCTCTCCTGCTGCCCCTCCTACTTCCTCTGCCTCTTCCTCCTCTGCCACCCCGAGATAGCAAGACCAAGCCCTCCTCTTCCTTTTCTACTCAGCCCACTCAATATGAAGACTACAACAAAGATGAAGACCTTTATGATGACCCACCTCCACTTATAAATAGTAAATATATTTTCTCTTCCTTATGATTTTCCTATTAACATTTCTTTTCTCTGGCTTACTTTATTGCAAAAATACAGTATATAATGCATGTAACCTACATAATGTGTTAATTGACCGTGTTTATTAGTAAGGCTTCCAGTCAACAGTAGGCTATTAGTAGTTAAGTTTGGGGGAAGTCAAAAGTTATACATGGATTTCTGACTGTGAGGGAGGTTGGGTCCCATCAGGGCTCTGAGCCCAGGCTAAGCCATCATATGCCCTGTGACCTGCAGTATACATCCAGATGGCCTGAAGCAACTGAAGAACCACCAAAGAAGTGAAAATAGGCAGTTCCTGCCTTAATTGATGACATTCCACCATTGTGATTTGTTCCTGCCCCACCCCAACTAATCAATCGACCTAGTGACATTCCTCCCCTGGACAATGAGTCTCAAAATCTACCCACCCTGCACCTTGTGACCCCCGCCCCTGCCTGTAAGAGATAACCACCTTTAACTGTAATTTTCCACTACCTACCCAAATCCTGTAAAACTGCCCCACTCAGCCCACTTGCATTCAAGTAAAATAAACAGCCTTGTTGCTCACACAAAGCCTGTTGGTGGACTCTCTTCACATGGATGCGCATGACGGGTCCCCTAACCCCTGCACTCTTTGAAGGGCCAAATGTGCATTATGTGACATGGATAAAAATTAATGTTTTTCTAAATGGCAAAGTCTACAACCTACAAATTGAAGAATAGTTCTAGCTTCATCTGAAGTGTTATTGAAGAACAAAAATAATATTCTCCATAAATATAGCAGGCAGATATACATTTTTAAAAGTCTCAACTAAAGCTGACCAATGCAAACAATTATTTATTTAGGTGATCAAATAGCAAACTGACTGTCAGAGACCCATTCAACCTGTGATATGTGACCTATGAATTCACTTTCTACCTTCATGCTTCCAAAATTATCTAGATTACTCACTATCAATATTTTTCACCAAGAAACAATGGAATCCTGAGTCTGGTCACCTGACCCTATATTAAATTGTACCCATCAATTCTACAAAACACTGCCCATGTTTCCTATAAAAAAAAAAAATTAGAAGAATAAAAGAGTAATCCACATACAATGTAAAGCTAAAAAACTGCATTGGAATAAAAAACAAAATTGAAGTATTTTATGAAAACCTACAAGAACTAATAAGTGAGTTTAGGTTAGCAGGGCTGCAGAATACAAGAGCAATATACAAGATGCAACTGTATTTCTATACACTAGTAGTAAGTAATCAGAAAGTTAAATTTAAAAACAATACCATTTACAATAGCATCAAAGTCTGTAAAATAAATAGGAAGAAATCTGACAAAAGATAAGTAACTCCTGTACACTGTAAACTACAAACTACTGTAGAGAAAGATTAAAGACCAAATAATTGGGAAGATATAATGTATTCATAGGGCAGAGGACTCAATATTATTATGACATCAACTCTCCCCAAGTTGATCTGTAGAAGTGCTTTTCAACCACGGGTGATTTTGTCACTCCGGGAGATATTTGGTAATGTCTGGAGGCACTGTTGGTTGTCCCTACTTGGTGGCAGAAGGTACTGTTGCCATCTAATGAGTAAAGGATGGGATGCTGCTACCCACCCCACAATGCAGAAGACAGCCCCACAACAAAGAATTATCCAGCCCAAAATGTCAACACTCCCAGTGCCGAGGTGGAAAAATCCTGATGTACAGAGTTAGTGTAATTCCAATCAACATCCCAGCAGGCTTTGTTCTAAAACTGACAAACTAATTCTAAAATTCGCACAGAAATTCAAAGGATATAGCATAGCCGCAACAACTTTGAAGAAGAGGAACAAAGAGAATTAACATAACCTTTCAAGAGGTTTCAAGAATTAAGTCAAAGTATGTTAACAGACAATTCTCCATGAACTTCTGCATATGTGGTTTTTCTAAACAAGCAGCACTGTAAAAATAAGGATAGAGGATTTGAATGCCTTGAAAGCTAGAAGTAGTATAACGCCCAGGAGAGATTTAGAGACATATCTGTCTTGCAACCATTTGCTACCTTTCAGTAAAATAAAACTAGGGAACTTTCCTCCTCTCCCCAGAGAGGATTTGTTTAGATTGCAGAGTAAGAGTCTCTCCCTCTTTGTCTCTGGGGCAGAAAAAGGGCAAAGTTATTAGACACCCTATAGCAATTCAGGGGCCTCTCCTGAACAGCACTGCACGCACAGGGGAGTAAGTGGCACTGACCACACTGTCCCTTGGGGAATTGACACTAGTTGGCACTGTGAATATAAAATATTTCCTCTGATCCAGAGACATTGTTCCTCATCAGAATATATACATACACTTAAACACACACACACACACATTTTTAAAACACATTAATTAAGACAGTGTGGTGTTGGCATCAAGACAGACAAGTAGACCAATACAGTATAATCTCTACTGCAGAAATAGATCCACACATATACAGAAAAAAATCTTTGATAGAGGTGCAAAAGCAATTCTGCGAGGAAAGGATAGTCTTTTCAACAAATGGTGCTGGAAAAACTGGATATCCATCTGGGGAAAAGATGAAATAAACCTCAATCCATATCTCATACCACATAAAGGAGTTAGTTTCAAATGAATCACAGACATAAATGTAAAACATGAAACTATAAAATCTGTAAAGGAAAGAATGGAAACAAATCTTTATAACTCTGGATTAGGCAAAGATTTATTACATATGACAACAAAATTTTAAATGTGGCATCTTCAAAACACACTGTAAAGGGAATGAAAATACAAGACACATTCCAGGAGAAGATATTTACAAAGCATATAGCTGATACAGGTCTTGTACCTAGAACATAAAAAGAATCCTCAAACTTTAATAAAAATGATGTCAACAAAAATGCCAGAGTTGAAGACCAATGAAAATTCTCTCTTCCATAAAATCAATGAGAAAACTGGCAGAAAGTGTCAGAATCAACTTTTTCAGAACCCTAAAAATTAAAAACAGATTGCAGCAATCTGATGAGTGCTTCCTCAAGAAAAATGTCTGAATCTCGGTAAGAACAGGTGAGCTTTGTGGCACATTAGCTTGGTGCTATTCCCTTCCCACCTACCCGTCTCGGCAGGAGCCTTGCAAACCAATAGCCCACAATCACAGTGCATGTGAGAACCCTGGCAAAACATGGCTGGAGCTCCTTCAAATTCTCATTCCCAGAGAACTGACATGAAATGACCTGTCTGATGTTTCTCTAGAAGAAACCACCTAGAAGGCTGTTTTTATTTGACCTGACTCAGACCTTGCTCAGTGTGACATGTCTTTAGCCTCGGGGCATTTGCTGAAAACAGTTGAAGGTGATCATTAACCACAACAGCTGCTAGAGGTGGTGGTTAACAAAAAGGCAAAAAGAGGCTAACCAAAAAGCTTAAAGGAAAAAGCCATGGAATGAAACGTCTGTAGGTCCTTTGAAAAACTCCAATAAAGTGCTGAAAATTAAAAGGCCACATGCACACAGGCTGTGTACATGCCAAGCACTGTGTTCATGCTCAGGAAAGGCCTGGGAAGGCCCTAAGCTCTCATCTCCGACTGACCTTGAGGCTTTGCACAAGCAGGAAGGGAAGACGAAGGTAGGGCTGTCAACTGCCTGCCTGGCTGAGTAGTAAAGTAACATTTGCAGATGACTTCCTTAGAAAATCTTAAGGAATCCACAAAAATACTGTTAGAGGTAATAAATGAGTTCAGCAAGGTTTCAGGGTACAAAAATCAATACACAGAAATCTGAGATTCCTGTACATGTGCAATAAACAATCAAAAACTAAAGTGAAGAAAACAATTCCATTTATAACAGCATAAAAAATACAATACTTAGGAATAAACTTAACAAAAGAGATATAACTTGTACACTAAAAACTAGAAAAGATCATTGAAATGAATTGAAGAAAGCTTAAAGAAAAGACATCCCATGCTTCTGAGCTGGAAGACAATATTGTTTGGATGGCAATATTCTCCAAAATGTTCTACAAATTCAACACAACCCTTATAAAAATCCCAGCTAGATTTTTTTTTTTTTTTTTTTTTTTTTTTTTGCAAAAATGGACAAGTTGATCCTGTAATTCATACGGAAATGCTTGGATCCAGAATAGCCAAAACAATCTTGGGAAATCAAAGTTGGAAGATTCACATTTCCTGATTTCAAAACTTACTACAAAGCTACTGTAATAAGCCCATACATTTATAGTCAATTGATTTTCAACAAGAGTGTCAAGTCAGTATAATGCAAAAGGAACAGTCTTTTCAACAAATGGTGCTGGGACAACTAGATAGCCACATGTGAAAGAATAAAATTGAACCCTTGTCTCATATCATATACAAAATTTAAGTCAAAATTGATCAAAGACCTAAATATAAGAGGTAAAACTATGAAACTCTTAGAAAAAGATATAGATGTAAATTTTCATGATGTTGGATTAGGCAATGTTTTCTTAGCTATGATACCAGAAGAACAAGCAAACAAAAAAATAGATGGGATATCATCAAAATTACAAATTTTGTGCTTCAATGGACACCATCAAGAAAGAAAGACAATCTACAAACTGGAAGAAAAAAATTGTAAATCATATGTCTGTACAGGTCTAGTATCCAAAATACATAAATAACTGTTACAACTCAATAATAAAAAGACAACTCAATTGGAAAATGAGCCAAGGATTTGCATAGACATTTCTCCAAAAAGAGATTTGAAGGACCAATAAGCACATGAAAAGATGCTCAACATCTCTAGTCAGGAGGGAAAAGCACATCAAAACCACAGCAAGAAAGCACATCACAATCACAAGGATGGCTGTAATAAAAAAAACTAGAAAATACATGTGTTGGTGAGGATGTGAAGTAGAACCCCCACACATTGTTGGTAATGTTACGGGCAGGTCTTTGTTCTTAGAGCTCCCAAGATGTGGCAGACCACTCCCAAGATGGCAGCAAGCCTTTTGTTCTCTGACCTGGGGTTCTTGGCCTTATGGATTCCAGAGTTTTATAGCTCTATTAGAAGCCGTAGGTCACGGAAGAGAACCATGGAACCCAGCGACTAGTGTTCAGCTCGATTAGGATGAACCTGGGCACTCAGCCGTGCAGGAACAATGGCGAGCCTTTAGCCCAGTCGGAAGCAGCAATGGGCGCCTCGCTGGATCAGGAGCACAGCAGACACCCTGCCAGATCTAGAGGGGTGTCAGTCAGTGGCAGGTCTGCAATGGCAGCCAACAGCAGTGGTGGACAGCGAGCGAAAGCTCAGCTCAAGCCATAACAAACATGGACCAGAAGAGTGTGCAGTTGCAAGATTTAATAGAGTGAAAATAGAGCTCCCATACAAGGGAGGGGACCCAAAGGGGGTTGCCCACTCCCGGCTCGAATGCCTGGGTTTATATCCCGATCATTGTCCCTCCCCCTGTGCTCTCAGGCGATATATGATTTCACTATTTCTTTACCTCTTGCTTTAGCCTAGTTTGTATTTTAGTGAGCCCTCTTTACTACCTGATTGGTTGGGTGTGAGCTGAGTTACAAGCCCCGTGTTTAAAGGCAGGTGTGATCACCTTTCCCAGCTAGGCTTAGGAATTCTTAGTCGGCCTAGGAAATCCAGCTAGTCCTGTCTTTCAGTAAGAATGTAAAATGAAGACACTTTAGAAAACAATTTGGCAGTTCCTCAAATGGTTAAATCCATAGTTACATATGACCCAGTAATTCTATTCCTAGGTACATACCCAAGAACTGAAAACATGTGTTCACTCCAAAACTTGTACAGGAATGTTCACAGCAGCATCACGCATAACAACCAATGTCCATCATGCGATGCATGGATAAACAATGGAATATACAACTGTTTACTGGAATACTATTCAGCCATAAAATGAAATAAAGTATTATTAGATGCTCACAAAATAGACGAACCTCAAAAACATTTTGCTAAATGTTAAGAAAATAGACCACTACCAAAATTCTTTCAAGAGGTAAATGAGTAACAAACTGTGGTGTAGCCACCCACTGGGATACTACCAGGCAATTAAAGGGGCTAAACTAGGCACATGAAACAACATGGATGAATCTCAAAGGCTTTATGCTGAGTGAAAAAGGCCAGTCTCAAAAGGTTATATGCGGTATAATTCCATTCACATAATATTCCGCAAAAGACAAAACTATAGTATGGAGAACTGGTCAGTAGTTGGTGGCTGGCATGGGTTTGAGAGGGGTATCACAAGATGAAGCCATTTTACAAGGTAATGAAACTGGTCTCTAACCTGATTTTGGTGATGGTAACAGGAATGGATACATGTATTACAATTCTCAGAACTGTATACCCAGAAAACAAAAATAAAAACCTAACCACAAACAGAAAGTAAAAACACAGAAATAAGGCCCTCCTTTCCTGACATGCACATTCTTTAGTAACTACGAAAGTAATTTCTTCAACTTCAAAAAGCACAAGTTTAACTGATTTATTTCAAGAATGAGCTAATCAATTCTGTATTTATTAAATGCAAATGTTTCCAATGGGTAGATTTAATATGCTATGGCAGGAGAAAGGTACATTCTATACCCTGAAGTACAAGAATTGATTGTGCAAGCTTGGATGCAAAAAGTAAAATTAAAATTCCATGTACGTGATATAGTGCTACACCTGGCAAAAAGCTTTTCTGTAGAGTGAACTGAAAGGCACTTGCAAACAACTCAATCATCTGGTTAAAAAAGAAAAGAAAAAATAGGATCACAACTCTCTCTTGTTACAGGGAAAGTGTCCATCTTCCAAAAACCAAGGCTCCCCTCACGCTTCTCAAAGATGGTGTCCCTCTTGGACAGCCTCTGACTCTCCACATCATTCCCTCTTTCCTCCAACCCCCACTGATAAATTCCCACCTTAGAGGCAAGCCACAGCCCACAGACTGCTACTTCTTAATCTCCCCCTGTACAGAGTATTTTCTTTTTTTCAGAGACAGGGTTTCATTCCATCACCCAGGCTAGGGTGCAATAGCGTGATCATAGCTCACTGCAGCCTCAAACTCCTGGGTTCAAGCAATCCTCCCACCTCAGCCTCCTGAGTAACAGACTATAGGCACATGTCACCACACCTGGCTACTATAAAAAAATTTTTTTTTTTTTAAAGATGGTGTCTTAACGATATTGCCCAGGCTGGTCTCAAACTCCTGGGCCATAGCAATCCTCCCGCCTCAGCCTCCCAAAGTGCTGGGATTACAGGTCTGAGCCACTGTGCCCAGCCTGGAAAGGATCATGTTTGCCCCATACCTTCCCATCTTTCCAGTCGTGCCAACCTAACACCCCCAGAGAACCATGTCTGCCTCCACACTCCCACTCTCCCTTCCATCACTCCCATCTGGCCTCCTCACTGATTTTCCACAAAACCTGTCCTCAAATGGTCACTAACGATCTCCATGCTGTGGAATCCGGGGGGCACGTGTTTGTCCATTTGCTCAGCTTCTCAGTTGTCACCAACCCATTTGGCCACACTTTCCTTCTGCTGATATTTTCTGCTTTCAACATCCTTGAAACCACACCCTCCTGCTTTTCCCCCAGATCTGGCCACACTTTCTTGGTTTCCTGTGGCAGCTCAGCCTGCTCTCCTGAGCTTCTAAATACTGAGGAAATTCCTCATGGCCAGGCCATGCCCCCGTTTCTCCACACTCTTCAATTTGTTGCCTGCCTGCATCCAATGCCATCCGTATGCACCTGCTCGCTCTGTTTCATCGGCCCAACCTTTGCTGGGTTTCAGGACATTTTCTAATTAGTCTGTGAGATCTAAGTAGATGTCCCATTAAAAAGGGGGTTCCATGGGAAAATACCTTTGAGAAACACTGCTTCACATGATGCCCCCCAGCCACCCCACGATCAGCTGATGAGTCTTTAGGAAAACAAATCTGTCTAAAACATTCCTAGAAAAATAATCCCAACAATCAATAGTTTGTGTCCCTGTTGTAGGCTCAGGTATTTCACAAAATCCTTCTCATCTTCCCCACTGAAATTTAGTCTCGTGTGAAATGAAACACAGAATTTACTACTTTACTCCTAGGTAATTCCCAAGATCACCTGCCTCACTTCCTCCCCAGGGCACAAAATCAGAGATGTGCCAACAGAAGGCATCCACTGCAGACCCTGTAATCTTGCCACCACCATTCTTCATGAGCCATGGAGAAGCTTATAGAAGCTGGACTCCTCTCCCCAGAAAAATAAACACACACACAACACACAAGGATCTGTATGTAATCTCAAGGTCTCACCCCAGGAAATTCACCCCAGGGTCCATGAATTCAAAGTAAGCCCCCCTCAGTAAGGATGCTTCAGCGGACCCCTCTGATTCACAGGGGTCTCCATTCTCACGGGCTTGCTGGTTTCGCTGCTAAGATTATGACAAACTAGGGCTGATGAGACCTTGCTTCACTCCAGCAACACACCAGTGCACCATAACTGAGGCCTCTCTGCACACATCCGCCCTGCAGACACCGTGCATTCATCCATTTGGCAAACACTCACTGAGCTCCCCTACCTTCCAGGTGCTGTGCTAGGTGAAGGTGACAAACTCCATGATCCTTGCCCTGGGGAGCAGACCTCCTGGTGAACAGACGCAAACAATAAGCACAACAAATGACAGGTTGTGATGGCATTATACCAAAATTCAAGGGGTCATCTGACGGGGTCAGATCCTTGATATTGGGTGGTCCGTAGTATCATGTGACAGCATCTGAGATTGCATTCCATAAAAATCCCATCAAGATTTGTAAAACCTCAAAGTCCTTCAAAATAAGAAGATACAGTCTCAATGTTAAAGGCTGACCAAAAAAAAAAAAAAATAGGATGAGTTGGAAGAGAAGCTGCATGTCCTTCCAAACTAATGAAGTGATGCTCCTCCTCTTGGCTCCCCACTCCCAGTAGAAATCCAGCCGCTAGTACCCAAGTGAGAGTGACACATTCCTGCCTAGCAAGCCTACAGTACAGACCATCTGGTCCACTGGCCTTGTGCCCACTTGAAAGATAACAAGCCAGTTTCCAATGATAAAGGAACCCAAAAATAAAGATGTAAAAACAGAGCCCCTGAAATGAGTCAAATGATACTTCCTCACCAAACACATCTTCTGATAGCAAATCAAGTCCAAAGGTCTCATTACAAAGAACTGTAATTCTAGATAGTAGGATTAGCTCCACCATGAAATCTATATGCCAACGCTCTTTCGTAATTCACTTAAAGGCCCACTCACAGGTAATTCACTTAATTTCAGATCTCTGCACTTGAAAATCACATTTTTTGTGTTTCAAATGGAACTGTCTAAACTCCATCCATCGCAGAACAGTTATATAGATTATGTTCATAAAATTTTGTATATACAACCATTAAAAATAACTGGGTAAAACTATGTTACTCAAGTGATATGTATTGTTTTATCTGCGTAAAACTCTATTCTTCTTGTAAATTCTCCTTTGTCCCATGTGATTGTACTTGAAACTTCCAATTATACTCTTTCTAGCCCCTCCCCAGCCACTGTGGCTAGTCCAGAGATAGGACCATGACATGAAACCAGCCTATTTGAGTCTTCCCTGGGATTCTCCAACCTGCAAAACAAAAGCCTCTTGCATGTCCGGTCAAGGAGCTGTGGGCACATAAGCTCCCAAGAGCTGCAAGTGGCAGAGGGTCCACATAAAGGTGGGGTTGTGAGGGCGTGGAGGGGTGTGTGAGGGTGTGGAGGGGTGGGGGCGTGGAGGGGTGTGGGGGGCGTGGAGGGATGTGGGGGGGCGTGGAGGGGTGTGGGAGGCGTGGAGGGGAGTGGGGGGGAGTGGAGGGGCATGTGGGGGCATGGGGGACGTGGGAGGCATGGAGGGGTGTGGGGGGGCGTGGAGGGGTGTGGGGGCGTGGAGGGGTGTGTGAGGGTGTGGAGGGGTGTGTGAGGGTGTGGAGGGGTGTGTGGTAGCTAATCCAGTAAAGGCACAGGAAGGCTACGCCTCACTCAGTTTCTGAGTATCTTCTCTATGAAGTCAAAAGAAGTTTGAGGATGATTGGTGCCATTGGTGAGGCAGGTTAAGCATGGTTAGGACTGGCTAGTTTGAAGAATCCAGCAGCCTCTGGGCTGGAGGGGCTGTCATGAGTTGTCTGGTACCTGGCTCTGAGGTGTTTAGGGCTGGTGGACCGTGGCCTAGAAGGTGAGAGCCAGAAGAAGTGCTGGGGAACTGGGCTCTAGGCTGGCTGGTTTGCATTCTGAAAGGCTCACTCACAGGTGAGCCATTACCACCTGCAGGAATCAGCTAGCCTGGGAGGGACAGTCCCTCCAGCATCAGCAAGGCCCCAGATGCCAGAGCACCCAAATATACAGAATAAAAGGGCACAATGAACACACACCAAAACCTTGTCTCACAGAGAATGACACCTAGAGTGGCTGATTGACTTGACCAAGCTCAAATGAGCTAATAAAATTTCTACCTTAGGGTTTACACAGCACTTACAAACTACCTCATTTTAGATATAGCAAAAACTCTAAAACATCACAGGTTTATGGCCATTCTGAATCTCAGGAAAACCGAAGGTCAGAGAAGTTAAGCGGTGTTTCTTTAGTCATCTGACTAAAGACAAACAGAGCTAAAATGAAGCTACATCTTCTTGTCTAGCCTTTTGCATGGATTCTTCACCACACGGCCTCTGCAGACCTCAGGCCCCACCTAAAGCTCCATTCTGATGGATGAAGCCCAGGGCCCCTCGTGCTTATAAGTCTTGGTTGGGGTGGTCTTTCCCGCTCACATCTCCCATGCTCGGATGTACGGAAGGCGCCTAGGTGGGGAGGGGACGCTCCAGAAAATGCAAAGCTCTTCCGAACAAGGCTTTAGTATCCACCTGCAGCTGCCTTCTCACCCTAGGGAACTGGACTGAACAACTTAGTGCTCCCTGAGCCTCGCCCAGAGCAATGGTTCTCTGGGAATCTGTGCGGGTGCTGGGTTGTCATAATGGCTGTGTAGTTCCTGACCTATGGGGAAAAGTGGCCAGGGATGGTAGCCATCCATCTATGCAAGGAGTGTTAACCTTTACGTGTTAATGTAGGTGAAACACCAACTTATAATAATCACAACCTAAAACTTGCTTCCACTTTTAACCTCCAGGAGTTTTCTCATTGTTTTTATATACACTAAGGTGCCCGGCACTGCAACTACCAGATCGATCAAGCGAACTCCAACGTGTCTGGAACTCTACCAAGAGCGGTTCACCACTTTGGAAAATCATGTCCCCATTGACAAGGACACTCCAGTGCAACATCCTGTCCTGCTGTGCGGCTGCCGTCATGTCTGTGGTGATGGGTGGAGGTGCAAGCACCCAGTCGTTCCCTGTGTCTCCCAGTGGTCAACATGCCTAAGCACAGAAACATACATTATTTTCAGTGAAAATTACATTTAGGGCTTTGTAATGCTTTTTGGAATCGTAAGTGAGAATACGGTGCACTTTCTATGACTTCCATTTGGGGATATAGCAAAAACATCATGACAAAGGGCTGTGGATCTGACAGAGTTCCAACCACAGGCCCAGAGCAGACTCTGGCCAGACACCTCCTGTAGCCTTTCCTTTGAGCCCTGTCCTTGATCTCGATCCAGTTAGCATTTCAAGGTTCAAATGCAGACCCATCCCAAAACGGTGCCGCACCCAAGTCTGGGACCAATGACGGAGAGAAGAGGGAGGCACCTGCCTGCATTCTTCCCCTCAGTGGCTCTGGCCACACATGGAGTCGTGGGCTCCCCTGTGCACTGTTCTCAGCCTCAGGTAGGCTGTGTTCTACCTTCCCCCCAGTTTTCTTCTTACCTACGAGGGCTCTTGATTTCTCCTGACTTTGCAAATCCTTTATGCGTGACAGTCTCGCCTTGAGAAGACAGGGAGGTAGGGGACGGGAAGCCAGCAATTTTACCCACTACTGATTCATTCAAGAAACACAAATCTGAATGCCTACTATTCATTTTACCAGGGCTCTTTGCAGACACGCCAGACTTTCAAACTAGCCATCATCATTTAACATCTTTCAGGATTTCACATTAGAAGCTTTTGGTAACTGAAAGTGGACTGGTGTGGGGGAGGGCCAGGTCCCACTCTGACAAGGGCCTAGAAGACAGGCCAACTCCTGTCTGAGGTCTGAAACTGGGCAGAACATGAAGGGCAGCCCTGGGGAGGGCCAACCATGGGGACGGAAGGCAAAAGGCTGTGGGAAACCCATTTTTAAATTTTTTAATTCATTTTTAATTGACAAATAAAAATTGTACATATTTATTGTACAATTTGTACAACTGCACGTACTTCAACATGTTGTTTGAAATATGTAAACATTATGGAAAGCAAAATTGTTTCTGAGGCAGGGTCTCACTCTGTCACCTAGACTGCAGCGCAGTGGCGCAATCTCGGCTCACTGCAACCTCTGCCTCCCAGGTTCAAGCGATTCTCCTGCCTCAGCCTGGGGAGAAGCTGGGACTAAAGGCACCCACCACCACGCCTGGCTAATTTTTGTATTTTTAGTAGAGATGGGGTTTCACTATGTTGGCCAGGCTGGTCTCAAACCCCTGACCTCAGGTGATCCACCTGCCCCTACTTCCCAAAGGGCTAGGATTACAGGCGTGAGCCACCGCACCCAGCTTGAAAGGCTAAACTGAGCTAATTAGCATATGCATTACTTTGCATCCTTATTTTTTGTAGTAAGATCACTTAAAATCTACTCAGCAATTTTCAAGAAGACAATGCTATTAACTATAGTCACCATGTTGTACAAGAGATCTCTTTAACTTCCTCCTCCTATCGAACTGAAATTTTGTATACCTCAGATTCTAATTTTTACCCTATATTACACAGAGCAATTTTGAATTTATTTCGCTAAACTGTGACCTAGAGAAAATATTTTATTCAGAAAACATCACTGGTAAACAAACAGCTCAGGAAGTGATCTGTGTTTACTAAAACTTTGAAATATATTTTACACATATTCTGCATTAAAATCTGATTAAAATGTAGTTATACAAAGAGACAGTGTTTTCTGATTTGTAGCATTCATGGCCGAGATACACTATTTAAAAATGCACTTGATTTAGGCATTTATTCAAAATCATAAGCATAAAACATGATCATACCTTCCTACTGGCAGACACAAAACTGGTGCATCCCACACACTTGTTTGAGTAATTACAACACCAGCTGTTCTAGCACCTACCAAGAGAAGCTGCAACTCAGACTGACTCCTGGTCACTGATGTGCCAAACAGCATCATCTTCTAACCAAAAATGAAAATCTCACTTTGATAAATGGGTTGTCCAAGTTAAATTAGCTAAACCAATGCTTAAGTCTAAGTTCCAATTTTTAAAACTTTCTGTATATGCTATACTAGCAAATGTGGATTTATCTGATTTTAACACAAAAAGGAGAGACTGCCAATAGAATTGATTTCTGCTAGATTTTAAAATCTACAAAACCTGAGATCTCCCCAAGAATTAAAGGCAATTCTCAGGTTGAAATATTTATGAAACATACAAATTTCAATGGCATTTCACAGAAAATAAATATAAAGCATTAAATAGCAAGACAAAGATTACAGCCAAGACTCTCAACTATCCAACTGAAACTCACTTCCATATTTACCACCCAAAGACAGCAGACCCTCCATGTGCTGGAGCCTCTACAGGAGGAAGGGGAAATGGCCATGTGCTCAGTGTGTGTTCCAATCCAGGGATTGTACACAGGCTACTTTATTCAATTTTCTCTGACTCTGGATTTCCCACAGGATAGGCTTCGTAGCAGCACTCTACAGTTGGGGAAACTGAGGCCTGGCAACTCCCCTAAAGGCTGCCCAGCCAGGAAGCACCCGCCCAGCAGGTCTGACGAGGCCTCCATTCTCTTGCAGTGCGCTATGTCTATCCACTCCAAAAGCCACAGCACACACAACTTCAACTCTCCAGAAAATGTCCAGTCACCCTGTCTATATTTTTCTTGTTTCATAAAAATTACGCATTTTGGTTGGAGTAGACTTATGACCAGAAAGAGGCTCTCTGCAAAGCAGATGCTGCACTTGCAATGGTGGGATGAAGGGGGATGGAATGCAATAGCTTGAAAAGTGACCGGGACACAGCAGCTGGACTAGACTCGGGGATAAGAAATACCTCTCTATTTTTCCCCAAAGTTAAATATTTCTAAGCTTCCACCTGTTCACCTGGTGAGAAATAGCATTTCTTCATGGAGTACAAGAGTCTTAAGTGGTATATGCAACCCAGAAAATTTGGCAAACGGTCCATGATGATCACCATTGAGCTCCCTGCCCATAAGGTCCATTGTAGAGGCCCTGACCCTGGAAAGTGTTCTGTCTGCAGACATCTGTGGCCATCCTCACCTTGGAATTTCCCCTTCTTAGACGAGCCAGTCTGACATCAGTAAAAAACAGAAGTCAGGCATTTCTCCCCTGTAGAAAGGGAACCTCCCATTCTGGCAGACCAAGATTCAACACTCTCTTGGAAAGGAAGAAGGGAAATACCACTCATGCCTGCAATGAGCCAACAGCAGACCCCAGTAGGCCCAAACAATGAGAAACAGGACAGAGTTTGGGTTTGCTTTACATCTATTCCATTGTGAAATGCCAGGGCCCCAGGACTCCCCACGGCTCAGGAACGTATGGAGACGCATTAGGTGGCAATATGTGCTGCTGCCTATAGAAACGATATGTGACCCACAGAAAGAGTGTCATATGTCCAACCTAACACCACACCAGTGGGTCACATCTGCAAGTGCCCCTTGGCCAAAAAAAAAAAAAAAAAAAAAAAAAAAAAAGAAGGATATGTAGCCTTGCTCTCCTTCCTAATCAGGAGCTCACCGGAACGTGGGAGCCAACCAAACCAAACTGTGGCTCCAGCTTTTACAACCCTAACTACTGGGAATCTATTTTCTCGCTGGAGTGTCTGAGAGGATGGAGAAATACACACTAAAAAGGGTTCCGTGGAGATATTGGATTTAGACTTTATAAATGTGGCTCATGAATTCCAACACCCAAAATGGAAAACTGGGCTTCCAGGATATTATACTGTTTTGTACTTAGCTACTTTATTTATACCCCTCCTGGTTCTGAAGAATATTTAACAGGTTTTATTTCACCATGAAAAAAAGGGTTGCTTTAGCAACAGGGCAAACAAGTATACTTCTTAAATGTCTATAAATGACCCAGATTAGTCTCCAAGTTTGTAAAATACTTAATCTCTTTCAGCAATGAAATGCCAAGATAAGAGTAAATTCCAAAAATTCTTTTGAGGGCATGAGGGCTTACTTATTGTTAAGTAGGAGATGAGCTAAGCCTCTGGTACTCTCGGTCCACAGAGGCACCCTATAAAAACGTGGCAAGCCCAGGGCGAGGCATCATGGAATGGACCCTGAATTCTACCTCAGTGGTGCCAATTCCTGAGACCTTGTTACCACAATGTGGCCAGGCACAAAGTTTTCACTGGCCAAGACAAAAATAAGAATAGTTCCCAGCACAAAAAAAGGCACCAATAAGTATCTGTAGACTGATGGACTGATAAGTGAATGACTGATACTGTATACTTTTCAAAAGTCAAGAGATAATTTATTACATGTGAAGAACAATCCTTAAAAATAAAGCTGGGGCCAGGCATGGTGGCTCACGCCTGTAATCCCAGCATTTTGGGAGGCTGATGCAGGAAGATCACTTGAGATCAGGAGTTTGAGACAGCCTGGGCAACACAGGGAGACCTCGTCTCTATAAAAAAAAGAACTTAAAAACTAGCCGGGCATGGTGGGGCAAGCCTGTAGTCCTAGCTGCTCAGGAGGCTGAGGCAGCACAATCGCTTGAGCCCAGGAGTTCAAGGCTGCAGTGGGCTATGACTGTGCCGTTTGCACTCCAGCCTGGGCAACAGAGCAAGACATCATCTCTAAAAAAATAATAATAAAAATAAAGTAAAAAGCTAAAGTTGAACCTGAGAGTGTCCCTTATAACATTCTCCTAATAAAATCTTTTTCTTTGTATAATAAAATGGTGTGATAAAAGACAATAGTTTCAGTGTGAATAAAAACTAAACAGTAAGGCCAGGCATGGTGGCTCATGCCTGTAATCCCACAACTTTGGGAGGCTAAGGCAGGGGGACTGCTTGAGTCTTGAGCCCAGGAGTTCAAGACTAGCCTGGTGAGACCCTGTCTCTACAAAGAAAAAAAAATTTTTTTAATTAGCCAGGTATGGTGATAAGCACCTATAGTCCCAGCTAGTCGGGAAGCTGAAGCAGGAAGATCACTCGAGCCTGGGAGTGCGGGATGCAATGAGCTGTGATTGTGTCACTGCACTCTAGCCTGGGTGATAAAGCAAGACCCTGTCTCAAAAAACAAACTACCCAAAAAGTTAGCAACTTTATGTCTGAACCCCAAATATTCTTTTTTTTTTTTGAGACAGAGTCTCACTCTATCGGCCAGGCTGGAGTGCAGTGGTGTGATCTCGGCTCACCAGAACCCCAAATATTCTCGAACTTTCATTTTAACTACAAAATCTGACAGTGTGAGAACCACTGCTTGAAGCACTGGCTACAATCCCAGGAAGAAGAGTGGAAATCCAAGACACAGGGGCTAGTCGGAAAACATTCCCCAAAGGCAGGGAGGCAGACCCAGGCGGCAGAGGAGCCTGCCCAACAGCCACGTTCCCTCTTCCCTCGGACAGATCCCCAGCTTTGTTAGAGGATCCTTTTCCCATGTGACTCAAGGTCAAGTGAATCTACCTCCCACTCTAAGAAAAGGTCAGTATTAGCTAATTCCCCTTGCCAGTGATTGGTTCAGGGATGATCACATGACTTAGGTCTGACCACTGAGGGGAAGTCTGGTGGGGGGCTTCTAGGAAAGATTTCCTTGCCACTAAGAAGAGACACAGGGATCAGTAACCCCTCTTCTTTTGTGTACATGTGTCCTCTGATTCTGGTGCCTAAAACTACAGCAGCCTTCTAGCTGGATTCAGGTTAAATTAAGATACTCTTACCAGCAGAGCAGAAAGATGGAAAACACATGGGTACTTGATAATGTCACCGAGGCACTACATTAACCAACTGGAAACCTGTTATGGTTGAATTCTGTCCCCCATAAAAGATACATCAAAGAATTAGCCAGGCATGGTGACATACGCCTGTAATCCCACCTACTCAGGAGGCTGAGGCAGAAGAATCGCTTGAACCCGGGAGGCAGAGGTTGCAGTGAGCTGAGATAGTGCCACTGCACTCCAGCCTGAGCAACAGAGCCTGACTCTGTCTCAAAAAAAAAAAAAAAAAAGTCAAAGTTCTAAACCCTAGTACCTCAAAATCTCAGAATCGGAGTTTATTTGGAAAGAAGGTCTTTGCAGATTTAACCAAATTAAGATGAGGTCATTGGGTGGGCTCTAATCCAAGATGACTGGTGTCCTTATAAAAAGGGGAAATTTGGACACACATACCATAGAAGGATGTGGTGAAGACACACAGGAGAGCCCCAGGTGAAGACGGAGGCAGAGACTGGACTGCTGAGACTGCAAACCAAGGAATGCCCAAGGACTGCTGGCCACCACCAGAAGCCAGGAGAAAGGGGAGGAAGGGATCTATCTACCTGGAGTCTCAGAGGGAGCACAGCTCTGTTGATGCCTTCAGGTTGGACTTCCAGCCTCCAGAACTGTGAGAGAAGAAATTTCTATTGTTTTAAGCCACCTAATCTGGGCAGCTCTAGCAAGCTAATACACCTTCTTTCTTCTGGACCTTTTTATGTATACGTAACATAATATATGTATACTATGTAAATTAATAAATTTTCCTTCTGCTTAAGCCACTTTGAGTGATGATGTCAGTAATTGCGATTGAAGGCAACTCGATCAACTGGTCCCAAGGGAGGGGACTACCAAGCAGAGAAAGGGTCCTAAAGGAGCCAATGCCCACTAGAGTCCACGCACCGCTTTAACCAGCCAGCACCAACATCCTTCCTTCATCCCAAACTCACACCGCCAGACACAAACACAAATTGCTGCTCCACACAGCATGCCGTTATCCTTATATATACAACCAAAAGCACACACCACAAATTCTAGAACAAGTGCAGGACCTCAGGAGAGGTCCACTTCCCCTTTGGTTTCCTCCTGATTCTTCTTTTAGTCTAATGTAGAGATTAAACTGTAAAGCTGAGGACCAGCCACGCACCCTATATACAGTACATGCAAATCCAACTATTTCTCCTCAAACCCTTGGCCTGGCCCAGGGCCCCACCATCTCTCTCTGGATCATTGCATTAGCCTCCTAACTGGAATCTCCACTTTGCGACCCTGGCCCTCCTTCAAAGCACTCTACAGAGCTGCCAGGATGATCCGGTTAGAATAAGTTAGGTCAGGTCACTCCTCTGCTCAAAACCCTCCAGTAGCTCCTGTTTCATTCAGAGAAAAAGCCACCGTCCTCCCAGTGACTCAGGAGGCCCCTACTGATGGGGATCCCTGTCCCATCATTGTTTCCCATTGCTCCCCCTCTTCCTCACTGCACTCCGCTGGCCTCCTTGCTGTCCTGTGAACAACCCAAGGCGGTTCCTGCCTTGGCCTCTGCACTTGCTCTGCCCTTCTCCACACTTCTGCAGGTCGCTACTGAAAAATCACCTCATTAATGAGGGCTTCCCTAGCCATCCTTTCTACAAAGGGGCCTTCCCAACCCCTTTCCACTGACCCTTCACACCCCTTCTCCTGGATTTAACAATACGTTTTATTTATGTGGCATGTTCATTGTCCACTAGAATGCACGCTGTAGGAGGGTGGGGATTTTTGCCAACCTTGCTACATCCCACAGCAGTGTCTGGGATAGGGTCTGCCACATGCTTGAATGAGGGAGAGGGAGGAAAGAAGAGGTGGGTGACTATGCATGTGGTTGGTTAGGTCACTTAGCACGGCCTTGTGTTTTGTCCCAGTCATGTTCAGCTGGGCAGCTACAGGCCTGGAGGAAGCAGAGAGTTCAATTCAGCAGGGCTGGAGTTTTGCCAACAGAGTATAAGGAAGGAGAGAAGAGCCAGAGAGCTGAAGAGGCAAACGATGACTGATCATAATGGCTGAACTCGGAAATTATTATAAGTTAGGTAAAGAAGGAAGTGAGGGCATGAAGAGAGGACAACATGAAAAGATAATCAAAGGTTTATAGATCAGTGTGGGGTTTAAGATCTTTTGGGCCGGGCGCAGTGGCTCACGCTTGTAATCCCAGCACTTTGGGAGGCTGAGGCGGGCAGATCACAAGATCAGGAGATCGAGACCATCCTGGCTAACACGGTGAAACCCCGTCTCTACTAAAAATACAAAAAAAAAAAAAAAAAAAAAAGGTAGGGGCGTGGTGGCGGGCGCCTGTAGTCCCAGCTACTCAGGAGGCTGAGGCAGGAGAATGGTGTGAACCTGGGAGGCAGAACTTGCAGTGAGCCGAGATCATGCCACTGCACTCCAGCCTGGGTGACAAAGCGAGACTCTATCTCAAAAAAAAAAAATCTTTCTGGAGTAGGTGCACCTACATTGATAATTTTTGTGTAATCTAAAATTGTGTTTGTTCCTCCTTGGTCTAACACCCTCAGATTCCACCAGCATATATATTAGCCAAGTTTGCATCCATGTATATTAGCAAAAATTCAGTTCAAGTGGCACGTGGCATGTAAGCTTTCTCCCTGTGGACTTTATAATGGCAGCTGCACCTTCCCTGCTGGGGACTGACTTCAGTCTGGATATGACAAGGGGTGGTGAGGGAGAAACATCGGGAGACTGCCTTCCCAGGTGAGATACTGGGGCCGGGTGGAAACGCTGCACCCGACAGAGGTCCCAGCCTGCCTGGGTTGGCAAGCACAGTTGAGAGGGATCCTGAGTCTTCCCAATCCTCTCCCCACCCCCCACCCCCACCAGCATCCACCAGAGTGTCAGACCTCATGCTTCCTAAATCAACGACAGTGTTCGGGAACCAGGCAAGGCCATGAACACAACTGCTGGTGTGCTCAGCAACCAGAAGGATCACACTCTGAAACCCTCTGCTCCTTTCTTGTTGCCCCCGCCTTTTGTTTCAGTGCAATCACTGCAAGTTCACGACATGCCAGGAGCTGAAAGTTTCAGAATCTGGGCTCTGCATTCTTTTTCTTTAAGCTAATCAGCAGGAGCCCCTGAATATCCAATTCCCCACTGCCTGCCATGGACGGTGAGGAGTCCACCACTCAACCCTGGCTGTACTTTCACTAGCTCTGCCCTTAAACTGGGCAAATTACCAGTCCCACATGCCCTGCCCCTATTTCCTGGAGGGTCTACCACCTGCCTCCACTCCTTATTCCAATCCTGCCTTGTTCTGGGTTTTGACTTCCAAGCAACAGAATCAAGTTGGCAGAGCAAGGTGGAAAATGGCATTTACCTAAACAATGTTGGAGAGGGCCCAGAATCGCTAGGAGGGCAAAAGGAAAGGCTGAAGGCTACAGAGCCAAGAACAGTGCCCCACATCCTGCCCAGAGCAGCCAAAATCCCCTGAGTGACAAATGACAGATGACGGATGACACTCCAAGCCAAGCCCTGGCGAGCCCTCACACCATGCCAGGGCTGCCCAGGACGCCCACCTAGCTGCAAACGTGGCCACCAACAGCTCTCTCACTCTGTTTGCCTCACTGCCTCCCAAGAGACAAAGTCTAGGCAGATGTGGCCCAGGCAGGCCAGTGGCTCCCGTGCACCCAGGATGTATGGGGATCACTCAGTTTGGGTCATATCACAGCCCATTGCCTCCCTGCACCCCATACTCCTGACACCCCAGCCTTTCTGGGACCCTTATCCACAGTCTTCCAGTTTAAATGAAAGAAAGTAGACCTCAAAGACAGGCCAATGTATTGAATGTATAATAATCAAGCCAGGGTATCCATCACCCTAGTGTTTCCCATTTCTATGTGTTAGGTACGTTTCAACTCTCTTCTCGCTATGTTGAAATGTATTATACACACTGTTGTTAACTATAGCCACTCTACTCTGCTATCAAACATTAGAACTTATTTTTTTCTATCCAACTGTATGATTATACCCCATAAATATGTACAAATATAATGTATCAAAAAGAAAGAAAGAAAGAGGCCAGTGGAAGGCATTCAAAAACAACACACAAACCTGACAACTCTGTTTTCGCCCACCAGGGCTCAGTGAAACTCTTCTTAGGCATCACACAAGAGAGAAGGAAAACTGGCAAGTTCACAACATAAACACGCCGAGACAGGTAGACATACCGCTAACTTTATGGTGATCTGGCTATCTGAATAGAAATAGAAAGAGTGCTATACCATGTCAGGAGACGAAAACCTAACACTTTGCCTGCCATCTATAATTGCTTGACAGCATAATTGATCATGTAACTGACAACTGTCCCATCATCCTATTCTCAAGCACTGATAAAGTGATGTAACACTACCAACGGCACATGGGATCTTCCCTAAACAGTGTGATCTGCACCAACCAGGGATCACACAGTTAATACCACTGGAATTTTAAAAAGCTTTCTCTAAACAAAAGCATCAAAAAGCTATCTTAAAATAAATGAAAAGCAGACAAGTTAGTCCTATAGCCTTGAGTATTTATCCTAGATGATGTCCTAGTGGCTAGTGAACTAGAAATAGACTCTATCTGTGGAAATGAGGGAAATATTTTTTAAAATAACAACGCCCATTAGAAGAATCCAGCTGCCTTCTCAAAATGACAGAGCCAGAGCAGTTCTTTGTCATCGCTATGGCTCGGGGCCTGGGGATCACAAACCTCCAGGTATTCACCGGGTCTGCACTGACCAGAAAGCATCACTCCCTCCCTATGTCAGGCATTTGGACATAATGTGGATGGTTAATAAAAGGCACAGCAAGCTGAGAAAGACTCACCAGACCCACCTTGGAGGACCCAACAACTGACCCGGAGCACACTGCGGAAATTTCAACTCATCTCATCTGTTCACTCGCTCCTTCCGTAAATCGGTACTGAGCACCTGCCGTAGGCCAAGCACGGTCCTAGAAACAGGATGGACACAGCTACCAAGGCCTCAGCCTCAGCCTGAGGGAGCCCATGTTCCAGGAGGGAAGACAGATGAGAAACAGAATTTAATTTCAGATAGTGAGGAGCATGTAACAGAAGACAAGAGCAAGCGGGGAGGACACAGGGCAGGAATGCGGGCTGGGAGAGGGGCCAGCCATCCAGAGGAGAGGCGGGGAGAGCCTTCTCTGAAAGGGACTGCTGGGTGAGACGTGAAGCATAAGAAGGCATTACTGGGACCTCGGAGTCAGCTTAAGGGCAGAATCTCACACCCTTGTCTTAGAAAAAAGGAATGAGAAGTTTTCTAGACAGGGAAGAAAAGGCACCCATGCTTAAAATGGGAGGGAACAGGCAGAGTTCAGGTGACTGCAAGAGGCCACTGTGGCTGGGCACAGAGAGCACACAGGAGCTGCACAAGACAGGTCTGCTGGTGGCCACAGAGCCAGGACAGCGAGGTCGTGGGGAAGAAAGGGAAGGGCTTTAAGCTGCTGGGGCTGACACAGTCAGAACTACAACACACACAGAAAAGCGTAACAGGTCTTTCTTCTTCCAAATAAGCCTATCTTTTACGCTTTTCTGAATTAGTTGGTCCTCCTGTTTTGGCTTGAAGTGGTAGGGTTTACTCTATTTTTTGGCTTGAATTGGTAGGGTTTATTGGTTTGGTTTGGTTTGGTTTGAGAGTCTCGCTCTTTTGCCAGACTGGAGGGCAGTGGTGCGATCTCGGTTCACTGCAACCTCTGCCTCCCAGGTTCAAGCAATTCTCCTGCCTCATTCAGCCTCCAGAGTAGCTGGGATTACAGGCGTGTGCCACCATGCCCAGCTAATCTTTATATTTTTTAAGAAGGGACGGGGTTTCACCATGTTGGCCAGGCTTGTCTCAAACTCCCGACCTCAGGTGATCCACCTGCCTTGGCCTCCCCAAGTGCTGGGATTACAGGCATGAGCCAGCACACCCGGCTGCTTTACGGAGTCTCACTCTGTCACCCAGGCTGGAGTGCATTGGCGTGATCTCAGCTCACTGCAAGCTCCACTTCCCGGGTTCACGCCGTTCTCCTGCCTCAGCTTCCCGAGTAGCTGGGACTACAGGAGCCTGCAGCCATGCCCAGCTAATTTGTTGTATTTTTTTTTTTAGTAGAGACGGGGTTTCACTGTGTTAGCCAGGACTGTCTCGATCTCCTGACCTCGTGATCCGCCCACCTCGGCCTCCCAAAGTGCTGGGATTACAGGCGTGAGCCACGGCGCCCGGCCCTCCTTAGCCATTTTTAAGTTACGGTTCTACGGCACAACGTACATTCACATTGTTGTGCAACCATCACCACCAAACATGCACAGAGCTCTTTTTATCATGCAAAACTGAAACTGCTCCCACTGAACACTGCTCCCCTGCTGTCCCTGGAAACCACCATCCTACTTCCTGCTTCTATGAGTCTGGCTACTCTGGGTACCTCATATAAGTGGAATCACACAGTATTTGTCCTTTGGGGACTGGCTTATTTCACTTAGCATAATATCTTCAAAGTCTATCCATGTCATAGTATGTGTCAGAATTTCCTTCCTTTTTAAGAATGAATAGTATTCCATGGTATGGAGAGACCCCATTTTATTGATCCATTCATCCAAGGATGGGTTCCTGGGTTGCTTCCACCTCTTAACTATTTTGGTTGATGCTGTTATGAACATGGATAAACAAGTATCTCTTCAAGTCCCTGCTTTTAATTCTTTGGGTATATACCCAGACTTGCTTTTAATGAGACTCTCTACATGTTAACTTCTTGCTTTTAATGAGACTGTCTACATGACATGTTAGTCACATGTGATTTACAACAGGAGGTAAGAGCAGGCTGGGTGAATCATAATAGTGTCCATTAATGCTGCACGTACACAGAGGACTCCTATGGTGCCAGTGAACAAAGGAGCAGACACCTGCTCCCAGGACCACACAAAACTCACCACTGCAGACATAGATGACTACCTCCATTCTAACACATAACATAATTTGGTCTCAGGTACTTAGTGAGGAGAGTTTCCATTTTTCCTCCAAAGATACCTAGCAGAGAAAGAATGTCATGTTTGATGGGAGAATTTTTAAATTAGCTTCAGAAACCAATTACATACCTCAGGCTTAAAAAAAGACAGCAAAATTGGACAGGTGCAGTGGCTCACGCCTGTAATCCCAGCATTTTGGGAGCTGAGGTAGGTGGATCATTTGAAGTCAGGAGTCGAGACCAGCCTGGCCAACATGGCAAAACCCTGTCTTTACTAAAAATACAAAGATTGGCCAGGTGTGGTGGCGGGCACCTGTGGTCCTAGCTATTCAGGAGGCTGAGGCAGGAGAATCGCTTGAACCTGGGAGGCAGAGGTTGCAGTGAGCCAAGATTGCGCCACTGCACTCCAGCCTGGGCAACAGAGCAAGACTCTATCTCAAAAAAAAAAAAAATCCCCCAAAAAACTTTTTCAAACCCACAATCTGACTTTAAATTTCATAAAGAAGGTGATCAACAAAGATTGGTCTTGGTCTATTACCAAAATGATGTCAAATTTTCCATTCTCTTTCTTTGTTCTTTACATTTCCACTCCGATTTTATGTAAATGAAATTGAACTTTTACTAGAGCTGTTTAAACACATTCTATTGAATACAACTGTATTTTATATTTTCTTTTATTTTTATATTATATAAATTTGTATTTATAAAACAGCTTTTATTAAAAGTATTTTTGCTCTGAATAATTGTATTCCATACATGTAAATATAAAAAATTGCTACATGGCCCTTTAAGGCATTTAATAATTTTACAAAATACAGTAACACTGCAGAAGAAAGACATAAGAAGTTTTACTGTTAGGAACATTCTCCAAGCCAGAAAAATAGGCATTAGAGTAAGGACATTTCCACATTCAATATTAATTGATATTTGGAGCAGAATAATTCACAGTTAGTAGTCAGATTGATAGAGACAGGAGGTATAACAGTGGTTGCCAGCAGCTGGGGGCAGACAATAGGAAAATGTTGAAGGGGTACAGAGCTTCACTTTTGCAAGATGAGAAGTTCTGGAGGTGTATGATGTTGATGGCTGCACAGCCATGTGAATGTACCTACTACTGAACTGTACACTTTAAAATTGTTAACATGGTAAATTTTATACATGTATTTTACCACAATTAACATTTTTTTCTTAAGGTTTTCAAATAAAAAATTCGGTAGTTATTTGAATAACTAATGCTAGGCAGGACTGGTCAGCAGGAAAAAGCTGCTCCAAAGGTGGCTGAGGGTAAGGAAAGCCTTCGTAACCCCTCAGGCAAATCAACAAAGAGATCTTTTACTACAGGAAGGTGCTACATCTGCCTCAGAGCAGAAGTGGTGCAGCACTGATTTAGGTTCTGAATTTCTTAAGGTCTAACACTGACATTCTTCACATGCTAACAGTTCCGATGTTCAGGTGCCTCACAGAAGCAATGTCAAAAGAAATATGCTATCTGCCAAGCAAAGAAACAAACTGAGAAACAGCTGTGTCTGCCTGTGCATGCATAAACTTAACCAGGCATAAAGGGTTCCTAGTGACACGTATCTGCATGGCAGTACCACAGAGTACTGCCATGTAGTTGAATTTGAATTGTCCCGTAAATGCCTCCAAAAAGATTTCATGATGATATACAACTGAGACTGCACACTACTGTGTGGACAGAAGGTTGCCTTCCATCGGGCTAAGCTCCACAATTAAGTAAAAACTGCCAAATCTTTTGGGCAGATCATAAAATGTTCGAAGTCAGGACAAGCTGGTGAGACTGACTCACACACTGTAAGGACTATCACTGAACATTTTTCTGTCCTAAGTCCCAGCTGACTTTCCATGACAGTTGTTTAATTTCCACAGATACATAATGCAATTATGGAAAAAGTGAAAATCCGATATTTACCAAAGAAGAAATGCAGACATCTGGTAGTTTTTAAAATGCTTTGAAATTATGCTGTCAATGCTAAGAGGACACAAAAGGTCAAGAACATGAGCATGGAATATGAACAGTATTAAAGCTGTCAGGCAAAGCTATCAATGGCCAAAAGAGATAACAGAAAACATTATCCTATGAATGAAAAGAAAGCTTAAGAGTCCAGTTTTGTGATCTTGAGTAAAACAACAGTATGATGTGTGGGATAAATGTAGCTGCCACTGGGTAGATATTTTATGAAAGCTTTGTTTATTATAGTATTTCTTTTTTCTAAAACAATGCTGCTTAGTGGAGGGTAGGCTTTATAAGAGTAGGTACATGACTAGTCTTTTGCTGCAGTGATTTAGTTTGTGATGATCCACGTCATTTTTGCCACAGTGTACAATAGCTGCTGAAGGCCACCCTTGTCTCTCACTTTTCATTATTAAACCAAAGCAAACTCTTCTGATGAAGTTAGAATACATTTTTTTAAGTTAGTCAAATGTGGACACTATAAATCTAACCTCTAGTACTATGGATAGGCAATGGAAAACATCTTGAAATGTTAATCCTAAATAAACACTAAGCAATGTTTAATGTTTAAGATTGATGTCATTGACTATGCTTAGCTGAGAAGAAAACATGTGATTAACCAAGGGAAGGACTTAAAGGATATGTAATAATTCTATATCACCACTAGACATTTAAATTTCACAAAGAGGTTCAACAACTTGAGGAAGCTACTGCTGCCTTTGCCACAGAACCTTCTATCTCAACAATGAAACTCTATCTCATTGCCCTCTATCTCAACAATGAAACTTAGGAGACTTCTGATATGACACATTGGGAGATCACTTTATGTTGGACACTCAAAATAGAAAGCCTGAAATGGTACCAAAATTGACAGCTCTAATACACAAGGGAAAGCCCTACCCTGTGACACTGTAATATTAAAGCAAGCATCTTTTTTAAGATAAAAGTACCACACAGTGGAAGGAAAGCAATGAAACATCTGCAGACCCTGAGAACAAAAGAACTCCAAAATCGCCAACAGATAATCAGTGCAAAGTGCTGGAGCCAGTATAAAAATGCAGAGTCCAATTTGCAAAACAAAACTACTGGGAGTAGAAACCAACTTGGGAAGAAGATAGGTAATAGGGGTAAAAAAAAAGAAGGAAAAGGATGATACAAGTGGCAGACTAGAGAAGAGGAGCCAGATGTCAAAAAGTACATGGCCAAACCAATCGCCACTTTGTGAAAATAACGAGAATGTGTGCTAGAGCTATGAAACTAGAAATCTATCCTATATATAAACAGATAAAATTGGCCAGGCACGGTGGCTCATGCCTGTAATCCCAGCACTTTGGGAGGCCGAGGCAGGCGGATCATGAGGTCAGGAGATCGAGACCATCCTGGCTAACATGGTGAAACCCTGTCTCTACTAAAAATACAAACAAATTAGCTGGGTGTGGTGGTGGGCACCTGTAGTCCCAGCTACTCGGGAGGCTGAGGCAGAAGAATGGCATGAACCCGGGAGGCCGAACTTGCAGTGAGCCAAGATCACGCCACTGCACTCCAGCCTGGGTGACAGAGCGAGACTCCATCTCAAAAAAAAAAACAACAACAAAAAAAAAAACGGATACAATTAGAAGATGAAAAGATAGAAAATTTTAATAATAAAAAATAAAGAGATATGGAGCATTCAAGAGAAAGGGATAAAGAAGACAGGTAAAGAGGGCTCAACATATGTATAAAAGGAATTCTGCAAAGAAAGAAACAGAACAACCACTGAAAACTACATATTGACTCAATTTTTTTTTTTTTTTGAGATGGAGTCTCGCTCTGTCACCCAGGCTGGAGTGCAGTGGCGCAATTTCGGCTCACTACACCTCCGCTCCCAGGTTCAAGCAATTCTCCTGCCTCAGCCTCCCAAGTAGCTGGGATTATAGGTGCATGCCACCACACCTGGCTAATTTTTTTTTTTATTTTTAGTAGAGACCGGGTTTCACCATATTGGCCAGGCTGGTCTCAAACTCCTGACGTTGTGATCCACCCGCCTCAGCCTCTAAAAGTGCTGGGATTACAGGCGTGAGCCACCAGACCTGGCCCACATTGATTCTATTTTTAAAAATGAGTAAAAGACTTGAATAGACATTTCTCAAAAGAAAATATAAAATGGTCAACAAGCATATGAAAAGATGTTCAACATCATTCATCATTAGGGAAATGCAAATCAAAACCACAACAAGGTATCACCTCACCCTCATCAGGATGGCTATCATTAACAACAACAATAACAAAACATAATAACAAGTGTTGGAGAGGATGTGGAAAAATTCAAACCCTTATAGACTCCTGGTAGGAATAAAAAATGGTGCAGCCACTGTGGAAAACAATTTGTCTGTTCCTCAAAAAATTAAAATTAGGATTGCCATGAGATCCAGCAATTCCACCTCTGGATATATATCGAAAAAATGGAAATCGGGGTCCAAGAGAGATATCTGTACACCCATGTTCATAGCAGCACTATTCACAATAGCCAAGAGGTGGAAGCAGCCCAAGTATTCACTGTTAGATGAATAAATAAAATGTGGTATAGACATACAATGGAATTCAGCCTTTACAAGGAAGGAGATTCTGATACATGCTAAACATGGATGAATCTTGATGAGGCTAAGTGAAATAAGGCAGTCACAAAAGGACAAATACTGTATGATTCCACTTCTATGAGGTATGTAAAATAACCAAATTCATAGAAACAGAAAGTAGAAGGGGAGTTATCAGGGGCTGGGTTGGGGGTAAAAGTTTCTCAAGATGAAAAAGTTCTGGGGGTTAGCTGCACAACAGTGTGAATATACTTAACAATATTGAACTGTACACTTACAATGGATAAGATGGGGCCGGGTGGCTCACATCTGTAGTCCCAGTGCTTTGGGAGGCCAAGGTGGGCAGATATCTTGGGTCCAGGATTCAAGACCAGCCTGGTCAATATGGCAAAACACCATCTCTACTAAAAAACTACAAAAAATTAGCCAGGCATTGTGGTGCATGCCTGTAATCCTAGCTACTCAGAGGCTGAGACACGAGAATTGCTTAAACTTGGGAGACAGAGGTGCAGTGAGCTGAGATCATGCCACTGCACTCCAGCCTGGGCAAGAGAGCGAGATTCTGCCTAAAAAAAAAAAAAAAGTTAAGATGGTAAACTTTATGTTACGTGTATTTTACCACAATTTTTAAAAATTGAATTAAGCTGAATATACTGAAATATACTGAAAAATACTGAATATACTGAAAAGGTACATCACATACCTAAGAAAAACAATCCAGAGAAGCCATAACAAGACATATTCTAGTAAAACTATTAAAGAAGAAAGGATAATGGGACCACAAAATCATAAGAGACTTCCAGCACTATTTGTTATGCTTCAATCCTTTAGAGGGAAACAACTGTACCATGAAGCACATAAGAAAAGAGTTATATTTTTCATCATAAGAGGTGCATAAATGAGGATTTGTTATATTATCCTCTATACTGGTCTATACACTTGTAATATTTGATCACACATTCCCACAAACGATTCAGGGAACCTACTGGCTCTGTTAAATTAAACTAAATTTGGGCTGAGGAGGTGCTTGTGTAATGAACTGCAACTTAACTTAGTATGCAAACTAATGGAAAGCCTAACTCAGGAGGATACTTTGGGAACAAATTGCTGAGTCTCAGGCAATCATAGCAGCTGAGCTCCAGTTAACTGCAGGCAGCAGGACAACTGTTCCAATCCTGTTCATGTAAGACGAACACTGAGCCATTAACCATCAGCTGTCTCTCTACCTCACTTCTGTTTCTGTACCTCACTTCCCTGCTATCCACAAATGCTTTTAGACCACGTTGCAGCCCTGGAGTTCTCTGAACCTGTCCCTGGTTCTGAGGGCTGCCTGATTCTAGAATCACAAATAAAAGGCGATTAAAATCTGCAAAACTAGATTTGTTATACATTTTTTTTTTTTGAGACGGAGTCTCACTCTGTAGCCCAGGCTGGAGTGCAGTGGTGTGATATCCACTCACTGCAAGCTCTGCCTCCCAGGTTCACACCATTCTCCTGCCTTAGCCTCCCGAGTAGCTGGGACTACAGGCGCCCACCACCACACCTGGCTAATTTTTTTGTATTTTTAGTAGAGACGGGGTTTCACCGTGTTAGCTAGGATGGTCTCAATCTCCTGACCTCGTGATCCGCCCGCCTCGGCCTCCCAAAGTGCTGGGATTACAGGCATGAGCCACTGTGCCCGGCTTCATTCATCTTTTAGCAGTTTCCATAATTCAAGAGTTCACAGACTAGTGCTGTTGTTGGGGCAAAACTTGAGCCAGGAGCTCAATATCACCTAGTCCCAATTCTTCTTCACCTTCTGCTCTGCCCAGTTCATCCCTGGACTCCTCACAGAACCCCTCAGGCTCTCCTATGACCATGATTAAATGTCTATAGCAGTCCCAGCCTAAATCCTCATACCAGAGTAAGCAAGGGCATTGCTTCTAGAAACTCCCATTCAGGCTCCTGGAACTCCCTCTCTCAGGCTGACTGAAATTGGCTCCTGAAACAATCTCTGTGTCAAGACAGTGAGATTCAATGATTCAGAGTCAGAGTGAGTTGGGGTGGAGTCAATCCTAAGAATGGAAAAGGGAAACTGAGGTGAATGAAGGAGAAATGGATTCTGTGAGGCACCCACAACAAGGACAGCAGAGACCACAGTTCTGGTGGCTGTTTCTTACCCTCCAGACACTGTCCCTCTGCTGAGCTCCTTCAAACCCTCCAGACATGATCAGACTCATCTGGACTTACTGTGGGGACATATCTAGGCCCCGACTCTGTCAAATATGTATAGTGACTTCCATCTAAAAGGCACAAGGTTCTTTACAGATAGGACAACCTTGATAGCACTCATCTGAGAAAGAGAACAAATTAGAAATAATCATCCTTCACTTCCTAACACTCACACAAAAAAAAACAAACCTAAGGGAAAGCAAGTGCATATTAAAACAGAGTTGATCACCAATGAGCAAGTCCTACCAAAGATGGCAGAGAAGCTGAAAAGGTCCTCTAGGAACTCACTCAATAAATGCTCATTTATTCCATTTATTGCAAAGCCAAGAATTGTAAATAATTTAACTCACTTAGGAAAGGATCTTCTCCATTATTTTATCTGAATGTTATCTGATCTTGATGTTCTGAAGTCTGACAGTTACCAAAGCGAGTAAAAATCCTCATGTTTTCCATGCTAGGAAAATCATTAATAGTTTATCCAAACTGAAACTTTCTTGGCAACTGTTGCTTCCTTGTTCTTGCCATAAATTAACTGTTTTTAAAAAGCTAAAATCTAAAGAATTTCCAGGACCTTAAAACCATTAGAATACAAAGACACTCTAATTTAAATAAAATTCATAACCAAAAGTTAACTCACCTAAACACAATGTTTCCTTGTGTCATTTATCTTCTTTGAAGCCCAATCAATAACAGATTCATTCATTCACTCACGCAGCAAACATTTAGTAAGTGCTCTAAATATACCTGAAGGGACCTCACACATCATCTTTCCTGAGCTCTTCCTTTACAGATTAGGAGATTGAGGTCAAAGAGAGCAAGTGATCTGCCCACAGTCACACAGCAAATATGAGAATCCATGGGTGCAATCAGATTTCCTCACCTCTGGCCTGACACGTTATCCACCCTGCCATGTTTCCTTGGCTACAGCAGGCCAATGATGCAATCGGCCTCCAGCAGAGAACACTACTGTAGTAAATATCAATAGCTGTCAAATTTATGGCCACACAACATGGTTTGAACACCCTTCCTACAACTGGAAGATCTCCCATATGAGTTCCTTCTCCTGAAATGTAGAGGCAAAAGCTCATCCAATCCTCCCTGCAGCTAGAGCTCAGGCATATGGCTTGGCTTTGCCAATCAGGGGAGCAGTGTGACGTAGTGGGCACAAGCAGGGTAGGCAGCAGTGGCAAAGCTTCTAGTGTTTGACCTGCAGGGAGCTGGCACTTCCATGCTGAGCGATGGTCACAGAGCTGTCTTCACTTGTCACTGCCCATCGGTGAGATTTGGGCACTGATCCTGGCTATATAGAATTCTGTGAAACTGGCTAAAATGGACTCTGGGGTGGGGATTGCATCTAAGAACCCTGACCTCTGTGCTTCATTATTACGTGCTCAATACATATGCCTGGAGCTATATACAAAATAAAGGGAGCCTCTGCTCAAAACTTCACTGTGCATCATAAGATACCAGTTCTCAGCTATCTATCTGAGTCTTAAGACTTTTTAAAAACTAAATGGTTCTTTTCTATTAAAAAATAAGACAATGATGGGACTACTTCACTTTTAACAATATATGCTGAATTATCAAATGCCTATTTAAAAAAAAAAAAAAAGATCAAGAAGGTGGCAGAGCAAACCCCAGTATTAAAATACTCCTTCACCAAAATCCAACAGCAAAGCAAAGCTGGTCCTCGTGGCTTTTTGGAAGCAAGAAGCAAGGGAGAAGCAAGTAAACAAAACCCTGAACCATTTCCCTAACAGCTCCCATCTTAAAGAATAACAGAAGGGAAAGAGCTGAAGGCAGCCTCCAGAGAATAAGTAGCATTTTCCCCAAAACCTTCATGTCATCTATTTTTTCCAGAGATGGAAAAAATGCTGTGACTCCCTGCTGGAAGAAAAGCAAGAAACCCTTCCCTGTGGTTACAGATGGTAAATGCTTAAACGTGACAATGTCAAAGGAACAGTCTCCTAAATTGGACAGCATGGAGTGGGAAATGGAAAGACACATAAGGGCCTTCCTTTCCTCTCCCCATCTTGATGAGCAGTCCTCAAGATATGGCCTAAAATTCATAAACCTAGAAACAGAGGCGGCCTGAGATTTAAAGTGAAAATGTAGCCAACAACAAAACAAAAAAACTCGGGAGACAGAAGGGGAAATGTGATAATTTTTTCATTTTTCATAGCAAGTGAACAATAGATATAATTTAAGAGTTGCTAAATCAAGAAACAGAAGGTTATACATAACAAATATACAGAGTTATATGAGTAACCACTGGAAAAACTAAAAGTAGACTCTAAACCGTCCAAAGCACCAGAAGGGAAACAGTACACGCACACACTCAAATAACAAAAAGGAAAGCAGGGCACCAGAGTGTACACCTGTAGTCCCAGCTATTCGGGAGGCCAAGGTGGGAGGATCACTTGAGCCCAGGAGTTCAAGGCCAGCCTGGGCAACATAACAAGACCCCATCTCTAAAAATAATAATAATAACAAAAAACGAGGAAAATTGGCAACAGAAAAAAACCCCACAAACTAGATTATAAAGAATTAGGACTTAAAACATCTATGATAACAATAGATGCAGATGAGAGAAATTATTATTATTATTGGAAAATGATATGTTACACGTCTACAAAACAAGAGAATCCAATTTTTAAATTATTAGAAAGAATTAGAATAGTTAGCAAGTTGACTGTTTGCAGAATTTTAAAGTACCTTTTTCCTATAAACAAGCAAAACCATTGAGAAAACAGCTGAAAAGACCCCACTCACAGTAACTCCTGAAAAGAACGGCACATCTGAACTAGATGTGGGCAGAACCTACATGAAGAAAACTGGAAAGTTCTCCAATGAGGCAAAAAGGAGAAATTAAAAGTAGCACCATGTGCTTGGATTGGAATGTTTCATACTGTAAACTTGGCCGGGTGTGGTGGCTCACGCCTGTAATCCCAACACTTTGGGAGGCCAAGGCGGGCAGATCGTTTGAGGCCAGGAGTTCAAGACCAGCCTAGCCAGCATGGCGAAACCCCGTCTCTACTAAAAATACAAAAATTAGCCACTTATGGTGGCACATGCCTGTAATCCCAGCTGCTTGGGAGGCTGAGGCATGAAAATTGCTTGAACCCAGGAGGCAGAGGTTGCAGTGAGCTGAGATCGCACCACTGTACTCCAGCCTGGGCAACAGAGCAAGACTCTGTCAAAAACAAAAACAAAAACAAAAAAACCTGTAAAGTTGTTAATTCTCCCTAAATCAATTCATAAATTTACTGCAAACCAATTAAAATACCAGGAGGATTTGGGAACTTACTTTGGAACTCAGCAAAATGATACTAATAGTAATCTGAAAAAAAATACACGAGAATTACCAGGTGTGGCTGTTTGTATTTTCCACATGCTTTTCTGCAGTGTGACCCTTGTCTTCCTCCCATCAAGAGGTAGGGCCTATGTCCCCTCCCCTTAAATGCTGGCAGGTCTGTGACTGCTTCAGCCAACTGAGTACAGAGGAAATGGCCCCATGAGACTTGTGAGCCTAGGCTGGAAAAAGCAAGCAGTTTCCACCTAGTGTTCTTGGGATACTAGCTCTGGGGGAAGCAGCCATCATGTAGGAAGTCCAACTACCCTGAGACCACAGTGCTGGAGGAGCTACAAGTATACACGTGGCTGAGGCCCCAGCTGCCAGCAGGCCACAACTGCCAGCCATGTGAGTGGGACGTCTGGGATGTCCCACCCTGTCGAGTCCTCAGATGAGTTACAACCCCAGCTGATATCCAACACAATCACATGAGACCTCAAGCAAGAATCACCCAGCAGAGCCGTTCCAAATTCCTCACCAACAAGATTATAAACAAAATAAAACACCTGTTTTAAACTGCTAAGTTTGAGGATAACTTGTGATGTTACAACAGTAACTGGAATTCCATTTAAAAGGAAGGAAGGGGGCCGTGCACGGTGGCTCATGCCTGTGATCCCAGCACTTTGGGAGACCGAGGCGGGCAGATCACAAGGTCAGGAGTTTGAGACCAGCCTGATCAACATGTTGAAACCCCGTCTCTACTAAAAATACAAAAGTTAGCTGCGTGTGGTGGCGCGTTGCCTGTAATCCCAGGTACTCAGGAGGCTGAGGCAAGAGAATTGCTTGAACCCAGGAGGCAGAAGGTTGCAGTGAGCCGAGATCACACCACTGCACTCCAGCCTGGGCGACAGAGCGAGACTCCGTCTCAAAAAAAAAAAAAAGGAAGGAAGGAAGTGAGGAAGGTAAGGAAGGAAGGAAAGGATGGAGGGAGGAAGGGAGGGAGAGAGGGAGGAAAGGAGGGAAGGAAGGAAAGAAAGGGGAGGGAAGGGGGAAGGAGAGCCGAAGGGGATTGGCCCTATCACATTTAACAACATAATGAATCAAAATCCATTCATAAATTCATTGAACAAATATTGAAGATCTACAGGTCCACCACAAGCTAGGCATTAGAGAGACACTGTGTTGTGCAAAATCTTTGTCTTTATGGGATTTAGATTTTAGTGAAAAAGAAATTTCAGATAGTATTAAGTGTGCTGAAGGAAAATAAAAATCAGGATAAGAGAAAGTGCTGCTTAAAATAGAGTGCTCAGAGAGGCCTCTTGGAGGAGGTGGCTGTGGCGCTGAGCCAGGGAAGGGCCCGGGTATTCTCACCTACTGCTGTGGGGTTTTGCAAACGGTTCAGCCTGTCCTTGGGGCAATTTGAAAAATCTATTTCCATCTAAAAGGCATGGACCTCTTGACCTAGAAACCTCTTGGCTAGGAAATTACCCCATGAACATTCTTACACACGTTAGCAATACTTCCAAGTATGTTATGACAAAAATGAGATACACAAAAATGTCAGCTCAATGGGAGCTTATTAAATAAATTACATTATAGTCATTCAATAGAGCACCATAAGACTTTTTAAAAATTACATGAGCTATATCCACTGACAAACAGCTACATGAGACACTGTTAGGTGACAATAAGAAAGGCTGGAACTGTGTGCACAGTATCTCCTCTTCTGACTCACAGAGAGAGAAGGAACCGGGGAAGAGGGAAGGATACTCATCTATGATCTGGAAGAAATCCCCCTTTCCTCGGGGAACACCTCTGGGGAGAGGAGAGAGATTTGGGTTTTTCATTTGGTACCTCTCCGTAGCACCTGAATTTTCTAACAAGATGCTGTACAACTTTTACTTTTGTCCTTTCAATGCCCGCTAGGGTTACCTGGACCATGAGTCAGTGTTTGACAGCTTCTCCCCAAAGAAAGAATTGGGGCTACTAGACCGGACAAGGTTGGTTTTCTCTTTTGGTACTCTGTATTTCCAAAAATAACTGAATGGTATTTTTTTAAATAAAATAATTTGAAAGAATAAAGCCCTATAACAACAAAGTATTAAACTGTTAAAATATTTTCATTCTATTGTAATTATAAGAAAGCCTGCATGGTCCCACTGCAGCAGCCACCATGACGAGCAGCACTCTCTGTAAATGCAGCCCTTCCACGCTGCTCAGGGTGACCCACCCCAGTGAGCTGGCTATTTGCATATTCCCAGATCCCCCACCTGCGCCAGGCAGGCATATGCTAGATCAGCTCAGAACTAGAAAAGATGGGCACCAGGAAGAAAGGCACCAAGCCCTCCCTAACTCCCCTCTGAGAGTTGCATCCTTCTTTCCTACCTCTTTCCTTTTTACAGAGCCCACTGTGCTCTGGGTCCCCCATGACCTGGGGGTCAGAGTCAGACACACTCCTGTGCACAAATGGAACCATTCGTTCTTCACCACCACCTGTGCCCACACCCCTGTCAAAGCTCCCCCGCACCCACCTCTGAATCTCCCGCATGGGTAGGACAGCTTCTTCCCGAAGAAGGGGAATTCCTGGCCAGGCACGGTGCTCACGCTTGTAATCCCAACACTTTGAAAGGCCAAGGCAGGTGGGTCGCTTGAGCCCAGGAGTTTGAGACCAGTCTGGGCAACATAACGAGACCTCCTCTCTACAAAAATTAAAATTAAAAAATTAGCCGGGAGTGGTGGCATGCCAGTAGCCCCAGCTACTTGGGAGACTGAGGTGGGAGGATCGTTTGAGCCCATGAGGTTGAGGCTGCAGTGAGCCGTGATCCTGCCACTGCACTCCAGCCTGGGCTGTAGAGAGAGACCCTGTTGGAAGGATCTCTCCGACAGTTATCTCCTGGATAACTGCAATGGGTCAAGTGACAACTTTCTCTAGCTCTCCTAAGCCACAGTGCAGTACGGTTTGGAAACAGCAATAAGAGTCAATCCCCCTTTTCACAAATGATCAAATGAGGCTCAGAGAGATTAAAGAATTAGGCAGTCATTCTTCACAAGGAAGGAAGGGAGGGAGGGAGGAAAATTTCTTGTGAAATTCCCAAAGAACAGAGAACATTTTTAAATGTTTCCTTACTCATTAGTTAACTCAGTATTTTCATGCCCAAAAAATGTCAACAACCAGTTTTGCCAAGAATAATAAAAACAGATACTGACTCTGAGCCTTTCTTGCAAGATCTCTCAGGGTACACACCCGGCTGACTCCCGCACATTTCTGTCTCTCCTGCCTTCTCAAATCTCGCTGTCTCCATCAGTGTCTCTTCTTCCATGCAAGGCTCTGTCCTCTGAAGTTCTCTCTCCCCTGGCTTCAGCCCCATGCAGGTGCCCCCCCCCCACCGCCCCACATGTGGATTCAGTTCCCCACCTGTGGTCCCCATGATTGTTCTACTCCAACTCCGGCTCTCATCACCCACCGCCAGTGTGACTGGGGCACAATGTGACTGGGTGCAGGATGGGGCAGCCACCTCAGGCCCCAGAGCGCTCCATCCCATGGCCAAAGGGGTGGATATTCCGCCCTGAAACACCTGGGAGTGCATAATGCTCAAGGTATTCCTTCTTCGAAGCTGATAAGTTTGTCTATGAGCAAATAATCCACTAGTTCCTCTGCAAGGGGACTGCCTGACTTAGAAAGAACACAGATGTAAAAGATTAGTCTTTCTCAAACACTGCCGGTCATGTGTCAGATATCTAGAACAGCCCCTCACCAGCAAACCTGGCTGGCCCCAGCCCTGTCTCAGGCCCTTGTGTTAATGCTGGGTCTCTGGCCCAGGCTCCCCTCCCTGCCTGATGAGTTCCCACTGTGCTTTCAAGGGCTCTTTCAGGTGAAGAGACTTAGATCAATACCACCTTAGGTGACCCGAACTTTGACTCTCCCTCAGGGAGCAGCGACGGGGTTTTAGTGTCTTCTCTCTGACAGCCCAAAGCGCAGATGCCAGCTGCTCCACCTCATTCCCAGGGACGAGCTCCACAGTTGAGGATCCCAGGGAGCAGAGCAGGGGTTGAGATGCAAACAATTCTGATCACAGGCCCCTCTCTCCACCCTCCCCAAAAGTGCCACCTGCTGCATCTACATAATTCTGAGAGCCCATTCAAGAGACCGCTGCTGGAACCAAGAAGCTAGTTATCTGGATGATGTGGGTCCCCATCGGAGACACGGGAGGGGAGAAGTGGTGGGACTGCTTCATACCCACACCCACTTCATGTTTGCCCTAGCAGGCACTGTGTAGCACTCATCTGGGGCCAAAAAGGAATAAATGACAACTTGTTTACAGAAACTGTGTTGTAAAAATACCTAGTGGGACCTTGTTTCACCACCTGGATCTTTAGGGAGGTGCCCGTTCTCCCCTTCGAGCTCAGCCTGCCCTTACCAAGTTCCTCTGTTTCCCCTCACTGGGAACTCTCAGGAATTGTCCCCCAACATTATTCCCAGAAACCTGTGCCAACCGCTCATGCCTATCTTGGAGCATCACACTATCAGATACCTGGATAACTGCAATGGGTAAAGTGACAATTTTCTCTAGCTCTCCTAAACCACAGTGCAATATGGTTTGGAAACAGCAATAAGTCAATCCCCCTTTTCACAAATGATCAAATGAGGCTCAGAGAGGTTAAGGAATTAGGCAGTCATTCTTCAATCATTCTACAAACTTTTCTTCAACACCCACCTGTGCCAGCGGATACCTGCCCCTCATAAAATACTCCCCTCCCCAGAGATCTGGGGGTGGGGTTTCTTGCTCCTGGAAACAAGGGAAAAAGGAGAGAAAGAGGTGTGAGGGCACTCAGAGAGGAGCAGCCTGTCATCATGTGATCACTGCCCACGCTGCCTAGCAGGCCTCTGAAGCCACCCCACGGGAGAATGGCTCTGCTGTTTCCCACGCCTGGGGTCTCCCTCTCCCACTCCAGCATCCTAGCCCACCAGGTAGGATGAGTGATGCTACATGGACTTCCAAACATGCTTAATCTCTGCAGACCATGGCACAGGCCCGAAGCTGGCCCGCAGCACCCAGGCTCAGTACATGCCCGCCCTCTTCACGACCTCCCAGACCAGCCCGGCCGGTCACCCATCTTCTGCACACATCCCTCCCCAACCTCCCCTCAAACCCTTCGCCCAGGTGGGGCTTCCCAGGCAATCTCCAATCTACGGCTGACCTTGAAAAACCCAGGTTTGAATTGTATAGGTGCATTTATACATGGATTTTTTTCAGTCAAAGCTACACCAAGTGTGCCAGCCTCTCCTGACTCCCCTCCCACCTCCTCCTCCACTTCCTGCACCTCCTCCTCTACCTCCTCCACCTCTTCCACCTCTTCAACCTCCTCCACCTCCTCATCCTCCACCACCACCTCTTCTACCTACTCCTCCACCTCCTCCACCTCCTGCTCCACCTCCTCCTCCACCTCCTCCTCCACCTTCTCCACCTCCTCCTCCTCTACCTCCTCCTTCACTTCCTCCACCTCCTCCTCCACCTCCTCCATTTCCTCCACCTCGTCCTCCACCTCCTCCATCTCATCCTCCACCTCCTCGTCCTCTACCTCCTCCTCCACCTCCTCCACTTCTTCCACCTCTTCCATCTCCTCCTTCCTCCACCTCCTCCTCTATCTCCTCCACCTCCTCTTCCACCTCCTCCACGTCCTCCTCCACCTCCTCTTCCACCTCGTCCTCCACCTCCTCCATCTCATCCTCCACCTCCTCGTCCTCTACCTCCTCCTCCACCTCCTCCACCTCCTCTTCCTCCATCTCCTCCTCCACCTCCTCCACGTCCTCCTCCACCTCCTCTTCCAACTCCTCCTCCTTCACCTCCTCCACCTCTTCTTCCTTTACCTCCTCCTCCACCTCCTCCACTTTCTCCACCTCCTCCACTTCCTCCACCTCCTCTACCTCCTCCACCTCCTCCTCCACCTGCTCCACCTCATCTACCTCCTCCTCCACTTCCTCCATCTCCTCCTCCACCTCCTCCTCCTCCACTTCCACCTCTTCCTTCACCTCCTCCACCTCTTCCTCCTTTACCTCCTCCTCCACCTCCTCCACTTTCTCCACCTCCTCCACCTCCTCCACTTCCTCCACCTCATCCTCCACCTCCTCCACCTCCTCCTCCACCTGCTCCACCTCATCCTCCACCTCCTCCTCCACCTCCTCCTCCACTTCCTTCACTTCCTCCACCTCCACCTCATCCTCCACCTCCTCCACCTCCTCCTCCACCTGCTCCACCTCATCCTCCACCTCCTCCTCCACTTCCTTCACCTCCTCCACCTCTACCTCATCCTCCATCTCCTCCTCCATCTCATCCTCCACCTCATCCTCCACCTTCTCCACCTCGTCTACCACCTCCTCCTCCACCTCCTCCACCTTGTCCACCTCCCCCTCCACCTCCCCTTCCACCTCTTCCACCTCGTCCTCCACCTCCTTCTCCACCTCCTCTACCTCGTCCACCACCTCCTCCTCCACCTCATCTACCTCCTCCACCACCTCCTCCTCCACCTCCTCTTCCACCTCCTTTACCTCCTCCTCCACCTCCACCACCTCCTCCTCCATCTCATCTAACTCCTCCACCACCTCCTTTTCCACCTCCTCCTCCACCTCCTCCTCCACCTCCTTTACTTCCTCCTCCACCTCTGCCACCTCCTCCTCCACCTCATCTATCTCCTCCTCCACCTCCTCTTCCACCTCCTCCTTCATCTCCTCTTCCAGACCTCCTTTACCTCCTCCTCCACCTCCTCCACCTCGGCCTCCACTTCCACCATCTCCTCCTCCCCCCTTGTCCTCCACCTCCTCCTCCACCTCCTCCACCCTCCTCCACCTCCTCCACCTTGTCTTCCACCCCTCCTCCACCTCCTCCACCTGGTCCTCCACCTCCTCCTCCCTCTTCCACCTCCTCCAACTCTTCCCCCACCTCCTCCACCTCTTCCTTCTCTGCCACCCTGACACAGCAAAACTAAGTCCTCCTCTTCCTCCTCCTCCTCAGCCCACTCAGTGGGAAGACGACAAAGATGAAGATCTTTATGATGATCCACCTCCACTTAATGAATAGTAAATACATTTTCTCTTCCCTATGATTTTCTTAATGATATTTTCTTTCCTCCAGCTTACTTTATGGTAAGAATACAGCATATAACGCATATACAAAAGATGTATTAATCATCTATTTACATTTCCAGTCAATATGAGGCTATTAGTAGTTACGTTTTGGAGGAGTCAAAAGTTACACGTGGATTTTCAACTGCAGAGGGAGTCAGTGCCCCTAACCGTGTACTGTTCAAGGGTCAGCTGTACAAAATGAGGACAAGACGTAGTACCCATTCCCCAGGGTTTACTGCTAGGCTTAAATAAGTTGATATGAAACACTGTTAGAATCGCGTCTGGCAAAAAAAGTAAGCACTCATTAGTTCTTGTGATCGATCCAGTTACAGTTTCACATACAGATGACTGTACCCACCCACCAGCACTCACCAGAGGGGGCCCTTGGATCTAAACAGTGTGGAAGCCACGCCTGTTCCCCTCACCTCACACAGGCCTGTGTGCAAGGTGACTGAGCCCCCCTGGATTTCTGACTAATCATCTTTGGACCACCAGCAGGTAAACAACTCTCCCCTCCTGTGTCCCCAGAATGCCTCAGCAGCATTAGTTTCCTATTGCTGCTGTAACAAATTGCCACAAACCTGGTGACTTATAGCAACACACAGCTATCATCCTACATTCTGGAGGTCAGAGGTGCAAATCAGTCTCACTGGGCTAAATTCAAGGGGTCACAAGCCTCGATCCTCCTGGGGGCTCCAGGAGAGAATCTGCTTCCCTGCCTTTCCGGGCTTCCAGAGGCCACCTGCCTTCATTGGCTCATAACTCTCTTCCTCACATCATTCCAGTCACTGCGTTCATCATCCCACCTCCTACTACTGACTCAGATCTTCTGTCTCCCTCTCAGGAGGACCCCTGTGATTACACAGGGCCTGCCTACATAATCCAGGATAGTCTCCCTCTCTCAAGATCCTTAACCGAATCACATCCGCAAAGTCCCTTTTTGCCATGTGAGACACAGATTCACAGCTTCTAGGGATTAGGATGTGGACTTCTCTGGGGGACCACAATTCCATCTACCACATTGACCTAACCCATATTCAACCTACCCAGCTTTGCTAGCTCTTAGACGTTGGGTTAGTCCCAATACCTGGTCCACAAAACTGGAACTGAATATGACATTTCACATTTGCATCATAAAGATTCTCCGGATGCTGTGTGAAGGGGAAATTGAGAGGACAAGAGCAGAAGTGGAGAAGCCACTTACGGGGCTACCAGAATAATCTGGGTAAGAGAGACACAGCAGGCAGAAGTCTGTATTTTTGAAGAAGAATCAGTAGGATGACAAGAGGCTACGTTAGGAAGGACCACTGGTGTCTGGTTGGAGGAACTGGGTGAATGGTGGTTCCACTCCTTGAAAACAGAGCAGAAGACACTTATTTGGAGGGGAAATGAGCAACTTGGTTGGGGATATCCTGAATTTTAAGTGTCTATGACTTGTCCAAGTGCAGATGTAAAGTCAGCAATAGGGTATGTCAAGAGGAGAGAGGTAACAGCTTCAAATGCAGAGACCTGTGTGAGTGACAGAAGTGTCCAGTGGGGCAGAGAGAGAGGAGCCTGGGCCCAGGAATGTCCTCCTGCTGACCAGCTGCAGTGAAGCTCCGCTGGCCCCATCTCTCAGTGTCAGCCCTGCCCTTGCTGTGTCCACTGCCAGGGTGTCCCTTGCAGGGGCACTCACTGCACAGTCATCATTCCCAGGGAGCATGGCCACTTCACCTTGCTGCTCCGCCACACCTCTGTTTTGGGCGGCCCTGAGGATGCTCTGAGACTGGGCTACAGTCTCCACAGGTTCCAGCTATGGATGTCTGCCCCACAGCCTCATCTAGGGAGGTCTGTTTGCCCACCATTGAGGGCCCTGTGGCAGCACCTGGCTCTTCCCTCTCTGCTATGTTCAACATGTCCCACAGCAACATGGAAATTAGCAAATGTCTTTATTCCACACACTGTCCATGGGAAATTTCAGACCCAATCTTGTAGACCAGAGGTCAACAAACTATGATCCCTAGGCCAAATCTGGCCTGCTGCTTTTGCAAACAAAGTTATACTGGAACACAGTTATACCCATTCATTTATAAATGGTCTATGGTTGCCTCCACACAATGATGGCAGGGTTGAGTAGTTGCCACAGAAGACCATGTGACCACAAAGCCTAAACACTGACTCTTCTGTATAGAAACGTTGGTCCATCTCTGGTCTACACATTTTCCTCCCCCAGTGCTATCTTATGGCTCCTCCATCATGGTGGAAGACATGGAAGGCAAGGGACAGATGGCCAATGTCCAGTCCTCATTCATTCAATCATGTGGAGTAGTACAGGGTGCTACGGTGCTATGTCCCTTCTTAGGGACCCAAGAAGCTTCTTCACTTCTAAATCTCTCCACCTGCTCAGAGTCCTTCCTCCCAGACTCACATGGCTTTCTCCTTCCCCTTCCTTTCCACTCCCCGGTGGAGGGGAACTTCTCTCCCATCATCTCCTCCATCCTACCACCAATAAAACCATTTTCAGGCCTCCCAGCTTTGCTCTCAGTATATAAAAGAAAGCTTCTGGAATATGATTCTTTTTCTCTTGCCACAAAGCCTAGTTTTCATGACTGTAGTCCCTCTTGAGACTGAAGAAAGTCAGTGCCAGGACTCAAAGCTGAGTAATGAGCTTTTTGTTCTACATAGTACTTGCTCTTCCCCCAAAGAAAAGAACACCCTTGATTTAATGGGTGGGAGAGCTGCAGGGTAATATGATTTACAAGAAAGAAAAAAAAATGGGTCAATTTAAATTTTCAGAGCTATTATTCTTGCAAGAACTAGAGTGAGGTCCAAAAAGTTTCCACCAGTCTATGGAAAGAGAGATACAGCATGAAACTTGGAAAACTGGGTCAGAACTCAAGAAAGAGCTAGCTGGAGATGAGCCCTGCTAATCAGTCTCTGAGACTGTGAGCTGCTCCCTTGGAGTTCTCCTGCTGATGGAGTTCATTTGGGTGGAAGAGGAGAGAAAGACGGCCATTGAGAGTTATGAATAAAAGTTAAGATCAGTTACTGGCAGAGGAAACAGAGAGAAGAGTCTCAACTCAGCACATGAAGGAGAGAGGCTTTAGAGTGATAAGATGAGCTGCACCTAGGAACTCCCAGAGTCTACAAGTTCCAACAGCTAAAGCAAAAAATGGGATAAAAAACCAGGTGACAAAAGGCTACCTGCAGAAATACAGATGAACCCTGGGCCTCCAGACCCCTATGTCTCACGCCAGCACTTACAGCACTAGTATCATTCTCAGGCAGAGGAAAAAAGAACGCTGCACTCCCCAAAGAAATGAGCCATCGGCCTCTTCTGCTTTCAAACTGGGAAGTCATGCCCCCCAGAGCAGACACTCTTCATATTAGCTAAGAAATGGCAGGAGGGGCAGCTCATCTATGCCCAGCCCAAGCATCCAAAGGTGAGGCCGCCAGCTGACATGCTCTGCCCACATCCAGACAGAGCTAGGCCACACCCTCATTTGATGGGGAGGTCAGGGACATAGAAGAAAACATGCCAAGCACCTTTAATCAACCCTATAAACATCAAAGGACAACCAAGGGCCACCAGACTGTTAAGGAAAACCAAAACTAGCAAAGACAAAGATTTAGAGCAATACACAGAAAAACTGACTCTGGAGCAAACTAGAAAACTTATCTTACTTAATTCCAATTAGTACCCTCAGGTAGAAATGAAAAAAATATGCAACCAAAAGATAAGACAAATACTAAGAAAAAGTAGCAGGAAATATAAATGAGAATAAAAAATGTATAAAATAACAAGTTAATCTCACCTGTTCTGTTGCAACCCTGTGCTAGGTTTCCAGAAGGCTTAGAACTGCCACTCAGATCTTCAGCCAAACCAGGATGAAATGTAACAACTAGCAACTAATGTCAACCCATGCTTGGGTCCAAGACTGACCAGGGAGCAAACTGCACGGTCAGATTGTTTATACAAAATGTTCAGCATAATGGTCTGCACCTGGTTCTCTGATTTTGTTACTGAACTCGTCATGCATCCTGGTTCTAGATACCTGACCAAAAGGGTAGGAAAGACTCCTCCTCCGATAAGCCTGTTGCTCCCAAGGCCAAGCGTCTCTCCAGTATCTTAATGATTCACAATCTGAAGACAAAGTGCATCCTGTGTGACAGAGAAAGGCCTCTGGGAGCAGCACATGGGTGGGCTGGACCTCTCTAGTACTGCCCTGTGTGACCTTCCTACTCCTGCCCTGCACCATTTCCCTTTCTGAAAGCCTTAGGGTCAGGCAAAGTGGCTCACGCCTGTAATCCCAACACTTTGGGAGGCTGAGGTGGGAGGGTTGCTTGAGGCCAGGAGTTTGAGACCAGCCTGGTCAACACAGAAAAAAACCCATCTCTACAAAAAAATTAAAAATTAGCTGGGCATGCTCCTGAGTGCCTGTAGTCCCAGCTACTCGGGAAGATCGCTTGAGCCTAGGAGTCTGAAGCTATAGTGAAATGTGATCATACCACTGCACTCCAGCCTGGGTGACACAGCGAGACCCCAACTCTTAAAAAAAAGAAAGCCTTACCCAAGTATACCCTGGGGAGTCTCAGAGTCCTTCCAATTGTCCAACCCTGTGTCACTGATGTACTTAATGGGTACAATGTTCAGTAGTTGGGTGACAGATACCCTAAAAGCCCTGACTTCACCACTATACGATCTGTGCATGCAACAAAATTATACTTCTACCCCATAAATCTATACAACTGAAAGTAAATAAATAAAAATTAAAATTCAATAGGTGGTCCAGAAGATGGAATTAAAGAAATCTCCTGGATTATAAAGCAAAAAGCACAGCAGTGGAAACTGTGACAGAGAAGTTAAGACACCTGGAAGATGAACACAGAAAGTCAGACACCTGGCCAGGCACAGTGGCTCACACCTGTAATCCCAGCACTTTGGGAGGCCTGAGGTCAGGAGATCAAGACCATCCTGGCCAACATGGTGAAACTCCATCTCTACTAAAATACAAAAAATTAGCCAGGCATGGTGGTGGGCACCTGTAGTCCCAGCTACTCAGGAGGCTGAGGCAGGGGAATCGCTTGAACCCAGGAGGCAGAGGTTTCAGTGAGCCGAGAGAGATTGTGCCACCGCACTCCAGCCTGGTGACAGAGTGAGACTCTGTCTCAAAAAACAGCAACAACAACAAAAAAGTCAGACACCTAACTAACAGGAGTTCCATAAAAGAGAAACAACAATTGAGGAAATACTCAAGGTACAAAATTTTCAGCATTAAAGAAAGGACACATTGAGTAGCTAAGACCCATCACTAAGTTCTGCAAAATATCAGAAAACCAAGAACAAAGAGTAGACCCTAGCAGCTTCCAGAAAAGCAGGTTAGGTTACCAGCAAAAGAAGATGAACCAGATTAGCATTAGATGCTTCTTCAGTGATGTCGGTTATGAAGACAATGGTGTGCTTGCCACCAAAGAAGTAACAACAGAGGGTTGAAATATTTAACTCTGAGGAATAGGGAGGGCAGGAGCTGAGGAGTAGGTTTTGCCTTTCATTCTGTACCTTTCCATACTGTCTGAATGTTTATTTCCATGAACATATATTGCTGTCATCATCATCATCATCATCATCATCACCATCATAAAGCACACACATATACATGGTTTTATGCACAGATACATACATACATATTTTAATATGTATATGTATGTTTTATGATGGTGATGATGATGCTAACAGTAATATGTGAAAACAATCAGTAATATATGAAAAGAAAAATTAGTTATATATGAAAAAGATAACAGAATATATGAAAACTACATTATATAATATATAACGTACATTATATATAATATACATTACTATATATATATATATATACACACACACACACACACACAGACACACACATACAGCACTAGTATGCATTCTCAGGCAGAAGAAAAAGAATGCTGCACTCCCCAAAGAAATGAGCCATCGGCCTCTTCTGCTTTCAAACTGAGAAGTCATGCCCCAGAGCAGACACTCTTCATATTAGCCCAAGATATGGCAGGGGAGGCAGCTCACCTATGCCCAGCCCAAGCATCCAAAGGAGAGGCCGCCAGCTGACATGCTCTGCCCACATCCACACATCATCACATATATTATATATAATATATATTATATATATTTTTATATAAATTATATATTATACTATATATTATATATAATATATATATAATGTGCTTTCAGTACCAGGGGAGCATGTCACAGCAGGGCTCTTTCTCCACACAGACACAGTGCTTCTCTACCTCCTTAAACTCTCTCAGATGTCACCCCACTCACCAAGAGGCATGCATCTGGGCCACTGGGAGCAACCATAGGTAGAACTTTTGAAGTCACTGGGCAGGTGCCTTGCTCAGGGGGTTCCAAAGGTTTTTGCTTTCTTTTTTATTGTTGTTGTTATTGATGATATGGCAATAAAGCAATAAAGTATCATGAAATGTATATACAATTATATGTATACTTTTTAAACACATTCTCTTTTTTCCAAAGAGAAAGCCAATCTTAAGGAGCAGCTATTGACCATGTTATGACAGACTCACAGCCCTGTTAACCTGCTCACATTTCTTAGGTGTTACTTCCTCTTCTGGAAGAGTCCGCTCTGGGGTGTCTCATACCCTCTCAAGGCACCAAAGACAGGGGCAGGCCCAGAGAGGGGACCTGGGTGTCACCAATGCTGGATTTAATGAATTGGCAGGTGCAAAGCAGATGCTATGTTCCTCTGCTTTTTTCTGACACTGGGTCAGAAATCAGTTTCAAAAAACATAGTATCCCTTTGCAAATGGTAGAAAAGAACTCGGGTATAATTGAAAAAAAATGTGTTTTTTTAAAAAAAATCAAGAGACTGATGAGGATATGCTCATTGTGGCTAAGTTGCTTATTAACATGTTAAGTAGGTATCATTATCATAATCCTTTCAAATTCTGCTGAGGGTTCCAAAAATGTCTTTCAAAATCACTATCCCTATTCACTATCAAAGCCATTATCTATAATTTCTCATTACAGATGAGAAGCCAGCACATCTCTTATAATTAGTTAACTTCGAGGTTTACTTTTCAAATAAAAATTTGCTTTTTCATGAAGTCCCACATGTTCTCTGTTTTCTCTGCAAAAGAGTGAGCTTAAACTTTAAGGATTTATTTTAGAACAAATAACTTGAATGTTTATGTAATAATTATGTCATAGGCTTTAGTAGCTGGGATGCAAAAGAAGTAGTTTGTTTACATTTATTATGCCCTAAATACTAGACTCACCAACACCCCTTCCTCCCCCACAAATGCCAGTGTTTTAACATCCTCCATTCCTGTGGGCTGCCTACATCACCCTCCATCTCACTGTACCATGTCCTTCAGGTAAATCATGACACTTTTATCAGCAGTTGGAAGTGGAGATAAGAGCAGTCCAAGCTTATAAATTGAAACTATAATTCCAAAACATGGTATCAAAAATGGGGACACATTGGTCAAAGTGTGCACATTTTCAGTTAAAAGATGAATCCGTACTGGGTTTCTAAAGTACAGCCTGTCAAGTACAGTTAATAGTATTGTCTTGTATACTTGAAGTCTGTTAAGGGAGTAGATTGTAAATGTTCACACACACACATAGAGGTAACTACGTCAGGTGATGGACACGTTAATTAGCTTGATTGTGGGAATCATTACACAGGTATACTTACATCAAAACACCATACTGTATACCTTAAGGATGACAAATTTTTTATTTGTCAATCATCATACCTCAATAAAACTGAGGAAAGGCCGGGCACAGTGGCTCACACCTGTAATCCCAGTGCTTTGGGAGGCCGAGGTGGGCGGATCACAAGGTCAGGAGTTTGAGACTAGCCTGGCCAACATGGTGAAACCCCATCTCTACAAAGATACAAAAATTAACCGAGCATAACGGCACCTAGCTACTTGGGAGGCTGAGACAGGAGAATCGCTTGAACCCGGGAGGCGGAGGTTGCAGTGAGCAGAGACCACATCACTGCACTCCAGCTGGGGTGACAGAGTGAAACTCTGTCTCAAAAAAAAAAAAAAAACTGGGGAAAAAAATTTAAAATGCCTAAATGCAGGAATAGAATTCAGGTAGGCCTGAAGCTCGGGGACGCCGGGGGACAGTGGGCCTGGGAACCGCACCTGCCCTGCACCTGGCCAACACACAGGCAGGCATCTAGCCAGAGCTCCAGAAAAGCTCAGAGAAGCCACTGCATATCCCACCTCTGCCACAAAGGCAGAGTAGGCTTCTCAAAGGCCCTGAGAGGACCCTGTCCCCTCATCAGGCGATTCCCCAGCAGCACCTGCCTATGGGGAACCAAGGAGGGTGAGGTCCTAGGGACTCAGAGGAAGCCATGTTCTAGCCTTTGCTGTCTGTCAACATCCTTCCTTCCATGACTGTCATCCTGAGAAGAGCTCTGTGATGACAAAAAAAAAAAAAAAAACACGTGGTTTAAACTCACTATCAAACGTGGAAACAACAGAGTTTGAAGAAACCATCCTAGGTTTTATAATTTCTTTACTCTTCAATAAAACTATCGGATACAGTACTTTTGACCTTTTCAAAATTCCAGTTTGAAATTCCCCCAAATAAAAAGGTGAAATACAAAGGAAAAAAAAATCTCTTTCACACACTCAAATTATGTAGACCCCGGTATAATGTTCAAGGTCCGTTTTCTTTTGAAGAATTATTTTTAAATGAACCAGGCCAGGGATTCTTCCTGTGGGGTTACAGAGTAGAAGATGACAAGGGGGGGGAGGGTGAAAGCATAAAGAAACCATTTGGCTTGAGCAAGGGGGATTGTGATCACAGCTGTCATTTAGTCTGGTATACTAACAGAAAACACAGATTTAAATAGATTGTTAAAGAGGAAAGCGTAACCACTAGAAGAACGGAGACACACAGGAGAGAGTGGTTGGAGTTCATGAATACACATTTTTTAAAAGAAGACACACGAATGGCAAACAGGTGTATGAAAAAATGCTCAACATCACTAATCATCAGGGAAATGCAAGTCTAAACCACAATGAGATATCATCTCACACCTGTTACAATGGCTATTCTCACAATGACAAAAGACAGCAAGTGTTGGCAAAGATACGGAGAAAGGGGAACAATTTCTCTGCTGGTGGGAAGGTAAGTTAGTACAGCCATTACGGAAAACAGTATGAAAGCTCCTTTAAAACTTAAAAATAGAACTATCCCATGTAGCAATTCCACCTTTGGGTATATATCCAAAGGAAATGAAACCAGTATGAATGAAGAAATATCTGCACCCCCATGTTCTAAAATGAATTCATAAATCCATACATATATACATACATACATAGGAGAGAATGGAAAAGCTCTTCCTACAGTAGAATAACAATTAATAAATGTAGAAGGAATGGGCCGGGTGTGGTGGCTCACGCCTGTAATCCCCGCACTTTGGGAGGCTGAGGCAGGCCGATCACGAGGTCAGGAGATCGAGACCATCTTGGCTAACACGGTGAAACCCCATCTCTACTAAAAATACAAAAGAATTAGCCAGGCATGGTGGCGGGTGCCTATAGTCCCAGCTACTCGGGAGGCTGAGGCAGGAGAATGGCGTGAACCCAGCAGGCAGAGCTTGCAGTGAGCCGAGATTACGCCACTGCGCTCCAGCCTGGGCAACAGAGCGAGACTCCATCTCAAAATTATAATAATAATAATAATAATAAAATAAATAAATAAATAAATGTACAAGGAACGGAAATATAAAATTATGACTTGGCAATCATCGTAGAGGAGGCTGGTTCGGGTGGCAATCATCAACGGATGTGAAGTTGAAAGAGAGAGGTTTGACCAGAAACAGGATATTGGCATAATCTGAGACTTCCTTACACAAATTATAATTAAAGGGGAAATGGTGAATTTAAAATGATAACACCTGGAGGACAGCAATAATGTTAGGTGATCAAGGTGAATATCGCCAATGGTGAGAAGGGCTGACATCAACGCCTCCTGATGCGATGCACTGAGAAAAGCATGGCATCAACTTTGGGATTGTCCTGCCAAGAATGCATGAGCCAAGTCTGCCCATGAGGATAATCAGATGGATCCAGGTTCAGGGTCATCCTACAGAATGCAAGGCCTGTGCCCTTCAAAACTGTGGAAAACGTGAAACAGAGAGGAAGGCTGAGGAGAGTGAAGACACACAAGGAATGCTCATGTTCCTGGGTAGGACCCTGGGCCAGAGAGGAAAAAGAAACACTACTTGGTCAGGTGATGAAATTGGAATGGGGTCTACAGATTGGATAACAATGTTCTTCCAATGTTGTTTTCCTAATTTGGAGAGGTTTATGATGAGTACATAAAGAGCATCCATGAGTGGTGAGAATATACACTGAGTTTTTTAGGGGTGAAGCAACATCACGTCCACAGCTTTCTCCCAAAACACTGAGAAAAAGACTAATGATAATTGAGAATTTTTTTACCTTGAGAAAGACAATGTGCACAAGCTCAAGCCATGGGGTAAATGCAATAACATGTTTACAATTCGGGAATTTAAGAGAAGAGACACAGGAATTCTTGGTTCTGTTCTGTAACTTTTCTATAAGTTAGAAATTATTTCAAAAAATTTCCAGAAAACAATATTAAGACAGAGTTTCATTGTTTATTAGCATAGAATTTGGCTATGAGCATTCCAGTGTACTATATCTTCAAATGACTAGGACTTTTTACCCGATGCCCAAGGGAGGGTTCTGTCTATGTGTGTGTGTTGTTGTTGGTTTTTTTTGGTGTTTTTGTTTTGTATTTGTTTTTGTTTTTGAGATAGGATTTCTCGCTGTCACCCAGACTGGAGTGCAGTGGTGCAATCGAAGCTCACTGTGGCCTCAACCTCCCAGACTCAGGTGATCCTCCCACCTCAGCCTCCCAAGTAGGTGGAACTACAGCTGTGTGCCACCATGCCCAGCTAATTTTTTGTATTTTCAGTAGAAACGGGGTTTTGCCACGTTGTCCAGGCTGGTCTTCAACTCCTGGCTCATGTGATCCACCTGCGTCAGCCTCCCAAAGTGCTGAGATTACAGGTGTGAGCCACCACGCCCTGTCAAGTTTCTCTCCTTATCTTTAAAATCCATTATTTTACAGGGAAACATGTCAATGCTGACTATTCTACATTGATTTTTCCCAGTTACACAATGTAACCTTTCAAATCTTATTTTAGGCAGGTTTTCTTGCATTATAGTTCTAAATATTTATGCTATTCTATTGCTTTGTTTTTCTGTCCCTGGACACTAATTATACATATATTGAACCTCCTTTGCCTGTGTCCTACATTCCTTTAATTCACTATATCACCTTCTTTTTTTTATTATTTTTCTCCTTTTCACCCTCTATTTTTATTTCTGTGCTTCCTAAGAATATCTATTTGCTCCCATGTTCCTTCTAATTAAGTCTTCATTTTTGAAACTCATTTTTCCAAATTCTTTTCTGACATCTCTCTGTTCTCCTTTCATAATTTCCTGTCATCTAGCCATATCTTTTGTAGTTTTTACAATTTCTGATTCAGGATGGGAGCAGTGGCTCGTGCCTATAATCCCAGCACTTTGGGAGGCCGAGGCTGGTGGACCACCTGAGGTCAGCAGTTGAAGATCGGCCTGCTAACATGGCAAAACCACGTCTCTACTAAAAATACAAAAATTAGCTGGGTGTGGTGGAAAGCACCTGTAATCCCAGCTACTCAGGAGGCTGAGGCTGAGGCAGGAGAATCGCTTGAACCCGGGAGGCTGAGGATGTAGTGAGCCAAGATTGCTTCATTGCACTCCAGCCTGAGCAACACAGCGAGACTCTGCCTCAAAAATATAAATAAATAAATAAATAAATAAATAAATAAGTAAAATAAAGTTTCTGATTCATACTACTCTTAGGAAACTTTATTTTCTTTTAGCTTATATTGAAATATTAATTTATAATTTTTCTGGTGTGCTCTCATTTTCAGTAGTACCATTATGTTCATTTTCATCATGTTTTCACTGAATAAATGTTGCATGAGGCTGGATCATATTCCTTTTTTGTTGTCCATGATTAAATGAGGTGGATTTTCCTGATCTATTAGGAGGAAGTTCCCAATAGATCAGGAAAGTTCCTAATAAAGGGATGGACTAGGATACCTTTCCCATTTGGCTCTACTGATCTGTGAAAGACTCAAAATAGGAATTCTCCAGGTACCCAATTGTTTCCCAGCATCAAGTCCAGAACCTTTGTAAAGCTCAGAAAGATCTCTTGCCTCTAGTCCTTTGCTCCAGCTCTAGAACTTTGAAGTCCTTCTTTTCCAAGGCTATATGCTCTCAGCTTTTGATGTTATCTTTCACTGTTAAAGCAGTTTTTGAGATCTTTTTCCTTGGGGGTCCCCTTCCATATCTCCAACATCTGAACCTATTTTCTCTCGCCATCTGTCTTCTGCTTAACTTGGTGTATGTTTCCAGTAATTTCTGCTCAAGGTGAGGTGCTTAGAAGGGAGGACTTACTGTACGTTTCTAAGATTCTCCAAGGCCTCTGCCACCACATCGACGCTGATTCTCCCAGGTCCACACACAGTTAGTTGCTCTCACCTGTTGCCAGAAGCCTGGGAGCCCCTTTCCAGTTTTGCCAGTTGCTCTCAGGTCTGCCCACCAGACTTCCATCCTACTTTAAAGGGTGAGCAGCTCATGGTAGTTTTTGGGTTCCACCACCTGTCAATAGTTTCTTTCATTTCCCATCACTCCCCTGAGGCCACTGCGGCTCTTCTCCAGGTCCTTCTGATGCTGGTGGTTTGGCCAAACCCACCCAGTCCTGGGAATAAAGGAGTGGGGAGAGAGTCCCCAACACTTTTGTTGACATATCCTCTTTGAGCTTTATCTATGGCTGTCTTGCTGATTGGTTTAGCTTCCAGGAAGAGTTCAGGGGAGACTGAAAAACTACTTTGCCACCATGAATACATCCCCATAAAACATGTTCTGAAGGGCATAAAACAAGGAACAAAGAAATGAAGAGACATACTCTGTTTCTGAATTGGAAGATTTAATATGATAAAACTGTCAGTACTCCCAAAATTGATGCACTATATTAAAAGTTTTAAAGTTTTCTATCTGGCAAGACATCAAAAATTAAGCAAAATGAGAAAATATTTGCAACACATAATAAAGTATCCATGGAAATTCAGATCCAATGAAATATCTTTCTGCTTCTATGAAATTAATAAAAATGCTCAGCCTTGCTAATATCCCACGCTGCAAGAGGACAGAAAAAGGGGCACACACTGTAGGCTTCTGTGGGTGGATGTGCCTACATTCTTTTGTGAAAATTAATCCAGAAATAGCTAACAAAACTCCCAATTTGAATACTCATCAGCTAGCAATTCCACTTTGGGGAATCTATCCTCAAAAAAAAAAAAAGCAGTGGCATCTCAGGCTGGATAAGCAGCACTGTTTGTAGACACATAGAACTGGTAGAGATTATTCCCAGCAGGAGAATAACTGAATAACTTGTAATAATTCATACTTTGGACTACTCCACAGCCATTAAAGATAATGTGTTAAAAAATAATAATAATGAGTTATGGCTGGGAATATTCGTTATACATTAAATTTTTAAAAGAAGTTACAGAGTAATATGGGTGGTATAATGTCATTTTTGTAAATTGTTTTTAAAAAGAAAAGAAACATTTTCCGGCCGGGTGCGGTGGCTCACGCCTGTAATCTCAGCACTTTGGGAGGCTGAGGCAGGCGGATCACGAGGTCAGGAGATAGAGACCATCCTGGCTAACACGGGGAAACCCCATCTCTACTAAAAATACAAAATTAGCAGGGTGTGGTGGCGGGCGCCTGTAGTCCCAGCTACTCGGGAGGCTGAGGCAGGAGAATGGCATGAACCCGGGAGGCGGAGTTTGCAGTGAGCCGAGATCACGCCACTGCACTCCAGCCTGGGCGATAGAGCAAGGCTCTGTCTCAAAAAAAAAAAGAAAGAAAAGAAACATTTTCCATACATATATATACAAATTCTAATACATTTTATGATTGTAAAGGGAAGCATGGAAGGATTGCATTAAACAACACTGGTAATGTTGGTGGTCTATGGGTAGAGAATTGGGGTAGGCGAAAGCTATACATTGTTTGTGTGTATGTGTGTGTATATATATTTTTTGTTTGTTTGTTTGTTTGTTTTCTGAGACAGAGTGTTACTCCATCGCCCAGGCTGGAGTGCAGTGGCGCGATCTCACTCACTGCAAGCTCCGCCTCCTGGGTTCACGCCATTCTCCTGCCTCAGCCTCCAGAGCAGCTGGAACTACAGGCACCTGCCACCACGCCCAGCTAGTTTTTTGTATTGTTTTTTTTAGTAGAGACAGGATTTCACCATGTTGGCCAGGATGGTCTCGATCTCCTGACCTCGTGATCCACCTGCCTCGGCCTCCCAAAGTGATGGGATTACAGGCGTGACCCACCGCACCCAACCTATTTTTTTTGAGATGGAGTTTCACTCTTGTCCCCCAGGCTGGAGTGCAGTGGAGTGATCTTGGCTCACTGCAACCTCCGCCTCCTGGGCTCAAGCAATTCTCCTGCCTCAGCCTCCCAAGTACCTGGGATTACAGGCGCCCACCATCACACCTGACTATTTTTTGTATTTTTAGTAGAGACAGGGTTTCGCCATGTGGGCCAGGCTGGTCTCCAACTCCTGACTTCCAGTGGTCCGCCCGCCTCAGTCTCCCAAAGTGTTGGGATTACAGGCATGAGCCACCATGCCCAGTCACTTTTTTATTTTCAGTTATTTTTACTTTTTATATATTAATTTCAGAGTATGAAAAAAATCCAGTGGAGTTGCTTTTTAAAGGAAAAATACACACACACACACACACACACACACACACACAGAGTCAGCTTCCAATGGCTACGTCTTTACCAACATATGTAACTGGTAATGTGGATAACTCACAATGTAGCTGTTTGTCCCTGAGTTCTGGGCATTAATAAAATCTCCAAGAAAAATAACAAACTACTCTATTAAAGGATAACTATTCAAGACCTCCATCCAGCTCTCTTAGTCTTCTAAACTATGAACACAGCTCATTACCTCTCAAAATGGGCAGGACATCTATCCACAAGGGAACTGATCCACCTGCTGACTCACTGGCTGGCACAGCCCGGCACAGGAAAACCACCTGCAGGGGGTCCTCAAACAATGGAAACTGCACAGCTCTGTATTCATCACAGACCTCCGGCCAGGCCTGACACCCACCCCTGTCTCCAACCTTGCCGAGTCCTCCCCTTTCAACCTTAAACTTCTTCAACTTGGTCCAGTGGAATGGCTCCTTAAATTTCTCTTGTATCTTCACCTTTCCAGGCATGTTTTATGCTTTTCCTAAGAAAGAGAGAGCCTCCTTGCTAAAGTGGACCCCTTTACCAGCATGCTTTATTTCATCCCCTTCTGCCTAATCGTTAGCAGGAGTTTGGCCTCTAAAAAGTCAGAGCAACTAAGTTCAAAGCTACTTCATAGCTGAGTGACCTTGAGTAAGTCACTCATCCCTCTTCCCCTTAGTTTACTCAGCAGAAGCACCAAGATTTCTTGAGGCTTTGGCTTGGAACAGAGTCAGGCTCAGTTCTGCTGTGTTCCAATGGCTAAGGCAAATCAGAGGCCCAGTCCAAACTCAGGGAGAGGGAACCACACAAAACCCTGAGCACCAGCAGGCAGAGGCCACCAGAGTAACAGGCTATTACACACACAATAAGTAAGTGCTCACTAAGCATGGGCTGTCTGTCTTAGCTAATAATTTTGTTTCTTAAATCCAGGAGAGTTGTTTCTACAATGGGTTTTCACCATGTGCAAACCACAGAGAGGGCCTAGAAAGCCATATGTTGCTAAAGAGCACATAGGTCTCATTTTAGAAGATTTAGAGAAACCAGAGGGCAGCCCTAAGCCCCACAGTATGGATTTCTTTATGAAGCCAGCCCAGCCATCCCAGCTGCCATTCTTAAATGACGAACAACCTTGGCAAGGCAGTTGCACCAATCTCAGAGGGCAGGCATATATATGGCAATGGGTCAGTGTTCCCCACTCACAACCATGTTAACATGCAAACCTGTCTCAACACAGCAGGAACCAATCATCATTTCTGCAAAGTGTTGTAGACAACAGATGAAAAATGGTATACACTGTACCGTACTGAAAGAACTTTCAAGGTGCTTGCAGCAAAGTAAGTTTGAAGACAGAAAATAAGCCCATGAAAAAACAGACAGGAGGGTGGGAGATGGAGGACTCAGGACAGAAGTCATCTTATAATCTCCAAAATGTAAGCAGAGTGTGCTGTGTTCATTGTTGATCCCCAGACCCTAGAGTAATGTCCATACATAGGAGAACTGTGTGGAATTGCTCAGAATCATAGGAAGCTAGAACTAACAGGTTATAGGTCGGGCACAGTGGCTCAAGCTTGTAATCTCAGTGCTTTGGGAGGCTGAGGCAGGAGCATCCCTTGAGATAAGGAGTTTGAGTTTGAATCCAGCCTGGGCAACATAACGAGACCCCATCTTTTAAAAAAAAAATGTTTTTAGTATTAGCCAGGCATGGTGGTACACACCTGTAGTCCTAGCTACTTGCAAGGCAGAGGCAGGAGGATCGCTTCAGCCCAGCAGTTCCAGGCTGCCGTGAGCTATGATAGTGTCACTGCACTCCAGCCTGGGCAAAAGAGCGAGATCCTGCCTCTTAAGGCAAAAAAAAAAAGAATAGGTTAGAGCTGTTGAAGAGAATAACACTGCAAAAGCAAACTGAATTAACTGTTTTTACACATTTATTTAACTCTTTAAACTAAAATGTAGGGGATGATGTGCATTTTTCACATAAATAAGCTTTTCTACTGTGTCCAATTAATGTTTTCCCCTTTAGGTTTATTATTAAAAGGCAGTTCTCTCTCCACACCCTTGGGAACCCAAGGCTAAACCAGGAAGGGCGGGCTCAGGGAGGAGCCAGGAAGTGGAGCTAATTCACCAGTCTGCCACCTGTAGGCTGGTTCCAGCAGACTTAAACCTCAGTGCCCGCTAGACAGACATGAAAACAATGCATATTAAATAATGGTAAAAACTGAGCAATAGATGTGTGAAAACTATATAGAGAGGGGCATTTAAATCATGGCTCCCGTGTGCTTGCCTCCAACCTCCTCTCTTTTCTTTGAATACTCCCAGCTATGACCACACAGTCTGTTGTTCCTATTCAGCTCTCCAAGGCTCACCCTTGATCTAAAATACGCTTTGAAAATTAATACTCCCATTAGGATGAACAACCACACCTGTATCGATCGAGGTGTTCCAGAGGCAATTTTGCTCAGATCTTATGGTAAAAGCCATGCAATGAACTTAAAAAACAAAGACCATTATGAAATAAACAAATAAGCAAAGCTGGACGAATTTTTCAAATTTTAAAACTCAAGAACAAATAGCAAACATTAAAGGATTGGTTTGGATTTCTGTAGATGGAAGTAAAACATACTGAGTTTACAAGCCTATGCGATGTATTTCAGCACGATCCACCAAATGCAGTTACAGATGTCAAGAGTTCTCAGAACAAGTGCCTCTCTTCATAAATATCTGCTCTGCATATATATCTCTCCCATTCCCATAACGTCCATTCTTTGTTAATATAGGAAAAAAACCGACTTTCATCAAAATGCTACAAAACGCCAAAAATTAACTCTTGGGGACAGTCACTTTAATCGAGACGTCTTTCTTCTATGGAGATTTGTTCACCACTGGCTTCTCTGATTTGGTGGTTAAGAGTCTGAAAATCGGTCATCCTTAAGGTCTGGAGCTCAGAAAGCACGCCGCCCCCCCTTGCCTGCCCCCTGCCCCAGGACGCCGGATGCGGGTCGCCTGCCCAGTCCCGTCGCCCACAAACCACGCCGTTCTGGGCGGACGCGGGAAACCAGAAGTCCCCGAAGCCAAGTCAGCGAGCGACCACAGGGGCCGCCCGGCCGATCCCCGATATCCGGGCTGACCCAAAACCCGACGGGAGGCGCCCCTCCCCCGCCCCCCCACCCCACCCCCCACCCCCACCGCCCCCGGTCAGGGCCGCCGCGAGGGTGAGAGGCGCGCCCACATGCTGCTCCGCTCCGGGTTCGGCTCCCACCTCCTCGCCTCGGCCGCGGCCGCTCGGATGGCGAGGTCGTGTCCCCGGCGCGCGCGGTCCCCGGCGCTCCCTCCGGCCGCTGCGGGCTCGGAGGACGGCGGGCGCCTGGCTGCTGTTTCCTCCAAGAAAAGTAACTCCGGGAATCAGCGCAATAGGAGCGGGAACGCGATGCTCCGAGAGCGGCGAGCCGGGCCCTGGAGTTATTCTGCTCGGAGTTTCGAACTGCGCCCCGCGCTGCAGCTACTCGGCCCCGGCGTTGGCCGCCGGAACTTGCCGCCCGCGGTGGCGTCCCGGCGGCCGCAGCGCCTAGCGCCCCCGGCCCGCGCAGTCCCCGGAGCCCGTCCCCGCCTGGTCGCGGACACTCACCGAGAAGCCTGCCCAGAAGGGGCAGGAGTGGCGGACGCGGGCCGAGGTGGTGAGCGCCAGCGCGGCGAAGCTGACTGCCACGATGAGGCATCCGAGCGCCATCTGCGTGGCCCCGAGCGCCAGCACGATGCGGGAGCGGCCCGGGCACTCGCGCAGGCGGGACAGGCTGCGGGGCAGCGCGGCGGGACGCGGCGCTCGGGGGCCGCCGGCCGGAGGCATCGCGCCGGGCGCCCGCACGCCTCGCCCGCTCCCGCCCGGCCCGGCGCGCGCCGCCGCCGCCTCTCCTCACAGAGGGTCCGAGGCAAGTTGCGCCGGGTGCAGGGACGGCCTCCCAGCCGGCTGCCAGGGCTGCGGCGGCCGCGCGCCGGGAGCGGGCCGGGCCGGGCGGGGAGCCGGGCGCCCGCAGCCCCCGCCGGTGCCCGCGCCCATGCCGCCGCCGCCGCGCCGCCCGCCCGCCGGCCGCGCCGCGCTGCGCCCTCCCCCGCCCGCCCCGCGCGCTCCCCGGCCCGAGCGCGGGCGCGAGCCGCCGCCGCTGCTGCCGTACCGGGCGCGAGCCGCTGCCGTCCCCGGGCGCGAGCCCCGCCGCCGTGCGCTGGGCCCCAGCTGGGGCGGGAGCGGGAGCCGGGACCCGGGAGCCGGGAGAGGGGCGGGGAAGGCGCAGGTGCGGTCCTGGCGTCCCAGCCTCCGCGCTCACGCCTCGCGCCCTGGCGGCTGCAGGTCTGCGGAAGGAGAGCGGGGGCGGCAGCGCATCAAGGGCAACGGCATCAGCCTCCGCGGCGGAGCCCTGGGTCGGCTGCGCGGAGGGGCCCGATAGCGGCAGCGGGCCAGCCGAGCCTTCAGAGCCTGGGGACGGCTCGGGATGGGCGCGCGGGGCGCTGAGGACGGGGAGACGGGCTGGGAGCAGACAGGAGGGAAATTCCGAGCGCTGGGCCGCAGGTGTGGCGAACAGGAGCCTCTTGAATGCAAAAATCCAAGATCCAAGATGCTGCTTTTCTGCAGTTCGAGAATCTCCCAAGCCATCCGCTGAGAGAACTCAGCTCTGGAGGACATTCCGAGAACATTGCCAGGACACACACGATGTCCCTTACCCACCTTTGGTTTGCATGCTTTTGATACAAGTTAAAAGTTTGGGCTTTAAAAAAAAATTGCACAAAACGAATTTAAATGCGCAATATCATTAATAACCGATTAAACCATCTCCACTCCCTCTTGCCAACATAGAGTTTAAAATATCTAAGTACTGGCTCCCTTGGAATACCGGGAAATCCTGCAAGTTTTGATTGCCATAATTCCTTTGTGGCCCTGTTGATGAGCCAACTTTAAGACTCTGCTTGTGTTGAAAAGGGCTGCATTGACAGATTAAGAGATCACCAGCGTTAGGGAGTCTGAAGGGACCAGACGTGAAAAGGCAAAGTTCAGAGTAATAAAGGGAAACGGCCGGTCATTTCCTGAGACCATTCTTCCGTGTCTTTCTAGCAGACCTTACTGTTGGATGAGAAACGCTAGAGAGTGTAGTCCCAAAATATCTCGGTTGCTGGTGCTTGAAATTTCACCGTTAGAGATATTGATTCCTTTGGGGCTTGACGATCCTCTATTAAAATGCAAATTCCCCTTGAAGGGGCTATAGCTCAAGCCTTTATCAGCCAACACTTTAGCAGGGATGGGATTTATTTTCCAATTTAACGAGATGGCCAAGGGATGAACAGGGGGTAGGGAATTCCACAGATAGAGTGACTGATCTCAAAATGCTGGCCCGTGGCCAAACGCTGCCTTCTCCCCCAGTTCTTATCTTTAACAGGACTAAGCCTCTGGCCGGCATTGTTTAAAGCACTCCAGTACAAATTCCAATTTCCTGGAGACATTTTCTGCCTAGAAGTTCGCAGTGCAGCACTTTTTAAGAGCTTGAAACAATACAAGGCATGACCCTGGACTGGCAGGAAGTTATGTTCGCATTTGATCATCTCCCCCATTCATTCATTCATTCATTCATCCGTTCATTCATTCCTCCAACAAAAGTTCATAAAGAGCTCTCTAATCATAAGGCTTTTTTTTTTTTTACGTTCTTAGGGTACATCAGTGAACAAAACAGACAAAAATCCCTGCCTTTAAGGGATTCAGAGAGAAACACACAATAGCCTAACAAATTAGTGAATTACAGTTTATTGACATTGTATACTATTCAAAAAATAGTATACACCCACTATGTGCCAGGCACTGAAGATCGAAGAATGAGTTGCAAGCCCCCTGTACTCAGAGAACTTTCGGTCTAGTGGGAAGACTGGCGGCACACTGGGTTCAGTGTTATGGAGACTACACAGTGCCCCCCCAACCCCACCCCCACCAAAAAAAAGGAATCAGATGATAAGGAGATTTGAAAAGAGTTTTCTGACCACAATACCAAAAATGGGTTGAGGGGTGCCCAAGTGAAAGAGTGTTCAGAGGCTGTTACTGTCAGCTGGCAAGAGGTGATAGTGTTTTGGATTAAAGTGGGGTTAGTGGAGATGTCGAGAATTGGGTGTGTTTGGGAGATGTTTCGGAGGTGTCAGTGACGAATTAAACAGAAGGGGGAGCCAGTTGGTGACCTCCAGTGATCTCCCATTTATGAATGAGAGATGCTTCCAAAATATATGTGAATTGATTTGTTTTATTTATTTATTTAAGAAAGGTACGGAAAGAGAGCTCCAAGCAATACAGCAGGAGATTTTGGTGAAGGTGGGTTAGGAGAGGGATCTACTTTCGCTGTAAAATTTCGTTTGCATCCAAAGGGAGAGACTGATCTAGAAATTAAACTTACTTCACATTTCTATCAATGAAAAAGCAGTTTTGTTGATAAAATGAAAACTTTAGACAAATAAATTTAACAGAGTTTACTTAAACAATGAACAATTCATGAATAAGGCAGCCCTCAGAATCATAAGAGGTTCAGAGAACTCCACTCTGCCATGTGGGCAGTGAGTATGTATAGACAGAAAAAGATTGAAGAAAGTAGAAATGAGGAACAAAAAGCAGATTAGTTGTTTCAAAGTTACTTTCCCCATAATGGTTAAAACGGAACTTCCTTATCATGTCTGCTCAAACTGGCCTTTCTGGATATTTGTCTATTCTCTCTCTTCTTTCTCTCTCTCTCTTCTCTCTCTCTCCCCCTCTCTCTCTCTCCCTCTCTCTCTCTCTCTTTCTCTCTGTGTCTGTCTTTCCCCCACCCCTCTTCCTCTCCTTCTCCTGATTTCTCATAAAGTCAGCTAAACAACCGAGTTTCAGCTTGGTGGATTAGGACTTTAGCATGACTGACTCCATTTTAATTTGGTCTGTTGGTGGGAGCTCTGTCCAAATCAATGGCCTCCAAAAATTTCTATTTCATACTATGTTTTACAGAATTTTTTAATCCTGTTGTATTAAATGCAACAGCCAAAGTTACCTTGATGAACACTTGCAATTTGGAGATATAAATAGGGAGATAAAAGTAGTTAAAGTGAGTTGATTTCATGGGAGTGAATCATAAAGAAAGAAAGGAAAGAAGAATGAAAGGGAAGGGAGGAAAAGAACAGAAAGAAGGGAAGGAGAAAGGTAGGGAGAGAGGGTGCTGGCCTGAGCTTAGCCTCCCTGGCACTGATCACGACAACTCATTGACTCTCTTTGATCTTCAGTGTTTGTCTCTTGTAAAAGCATTATAATCATACATGTCCTAGTGTTACAGAAGATTCTTGGAGACCCCTGGAACCAAGTTATGGCTTTTATTCTCCCTGGATCAGATGGGACTAATAGACAAAACCATTGTTCTTTTGGGTTTTGTTTCTTTGTTTTTGTTTTTTTAAAGACAGAGTCTCAGTCTGTCATCAGGCTGGAGTGCAGTGGCATGATCTCAGCTCACTGCAACCTCCACCTCCTGAGTTCAAGCGATTCTCGTGCCTCAGCCTCCTGAGTAGCTGGGACTACAGGCGCACGCCCCCATGCCCAGCTCATTTTTGTATTTTTAGTAGAGACAAGGTTTCACCATGTTGGCCAGGATGGTCTAGATCGCTTGACTTTGTGATCCACCCACCTTGGCCTCCCGAAGTACTGGGAATTACAGATGTGAGCCACCACACCCGGCCAAGACCATTGTTCTTAAGCAAAGCATGACAAGGTGGCTGAGCTTCTTGCTGAAAGACAGGTTTCAGGGCTGCTTGCACCATGGGGAGACAAGGAACACTTACAAATGCCTCAGTCACCACATGCTTGTTTCAGATTCCTGCTCTTTTTGACCTGTACCTGTCCATACATAATGGATGAGAAAGAATCTAGACCCTTGGTAGCCTCTCTTACGCAGTAGAGAGTTGTGCTTGGATCTCACAATTTCTGCCTCTGGAAGAGTAATAGGGGAGAAACTCTACTTCTAGGAATGTCAGACCAGCTACTTCTCCTACTAAAGACAACTTAGAAACCAGGGGGACTTTTTTTAAGTATCTCCTTAAAAGTATCAAAGATTATGGAGATAATGAGGGAACACCAGGCCTAGATGCAATAGGAGAAGGAATGCGGAGAGGTGTGTGCAGCACGTGGGCTGCCTTTCTAGCTCTGGCAGCTGCACACAGAATCAGAAAGATGAATTTGAGTTCAGGAGTCTCCAAAGGTGGGGACCCAGTAAACCAGTCCCCTGCCTTGTGACAGAACCCCAAATGGCTGCATCCCTGGAGCAGGAAATAAGTCAAACTTCCCTCTTTTTGCAGGTGCCCAGAAACCCCAATTCTGCATTGCACAAGCCCCTAGGAGCTGGCAAAACAATAGAAAATTCTCTCTAAAGAAAGATATTATCATTCTAGGCCTCCAATTATTTCTATGAATAGCATTTTTAAAACTCACTTTCCCTTAACTTCCTCAACACGATAAAGGACATTTATGAAAGACCCACCACTAACATCATAATCAATGGTGAGAGACTGAAAGCTTCTTCCCAAGATCAGGAATTTGACATGTGGTGAATGTCCACATTCACCACCACTGTTCAATATTTTATTGGAAGTTCAGCCAGAACAATTAGACAAGAAAAGGAAATAAAGGACATCCAAATTGTAAAGGAAGAAGCAAAACTATCTCTATTTGCAGGTGACATGATTTGATATATAGAAAATCTCAAAGAATTCACAAGAAAGCTACTAGAACTAATAAACAAATTCAGCAAAGTTACCAGGTACAAGATCAACACATAGAAGTTAGTTGTGTTTCTATACACCAATAATGAATAATCTGAAAAGGAAAACAATAAGACAATTATAATAATATCTAAAAGAATGAAATACCTGGGAATAAATTTAACCAAGGAAGTGAAGGCTTGTACACTGAAAACATTGCTCAAATAAATTAAATACCTAAATAAATGAAAAGACTTGCTATGTTCATGCATAGAAAGACAATATTAAGATGACAACACCCCAAATTCTCTACAGATTCAAAGCAATCCCTATCAAAACTCCAACAGCCCTTTTTGCAGAAATGGAAAAGCCAATCTTCAAAATCATATGGAATTCCAAGGGTCCCCAGATAGCCAAAGGGTCTTGAAAAAGAACAAAGTTGAAAGACTCATACTTCTAGATTTCAAAACTTACCACAAAGGTATAGTAATCTAAACAGCATGGTACTGGCATAAGAGTAGACATCTAGACCATTGGAATATAATTGAGGGTCCATAAATAAATCCATACATCTAAGGACAACTGATCTTTAACAAGGGTGCCAAGTTCATTCAATGGGAGAAAGAATAGTCTCTTCAACAGATGGTGCTGGGACAACTGGACTTGTACTTACAAAAGAAAGAAGTTGGACTCCAAGCTCATATCATAATCAAAAGTTAACTCAAAATGGACCTAAATAAAAGAGCAAAAACTATGGAAGTCTTAGAAGAAAACATAGGCATAAACCGTGACCTTGGCTCTGGCTGTAGATTCTTAGATATGACAAGAGAAGTATGAGCAATGAAAGAAAAAATAAACAAATTATACTTCATCAAAGTTAAACACTTTTGTACATCAAAGCACATTGTCAAGAAAGTGAAAAGACAAACTATAACATGGAAAGAAATATATGCAAAGCATTTATCTTGACCAGAGATATATGCCATGTATTCAGATTATGGATAGAACTACTCAAAACAAAATGACAACCCAATTTAAAAGTGGGAAAATGACTTGAATAGACATTTCTCCTAAGAAGATAAACGAGTGTCCTGTGAACACCTGAAAAGATGCTCATCACTCATCATTGGGGAAATGCAAATTAAAACCATAATGTGATGCCACTTCACACCCATCAGGATAGCTATATTATTAACTTGTTTTTGTTTTTGTTTTTGAGACGGAGTCTCGCTCTGTCACCCAGGCTGGAGTGCAGTGGCGTGATCTCGGCTCACTGCAAGCTCCGCCTCCCAGGTTCACACCATTCTCCTGCCTCAGCCTCCCGAGTAGCTGGGACTACAGGCGCCCGCCACCGCACCCGCTAATTTTTTTGTATTTTTAATGGAGATGGGGTTTCACCGTGTTAGCCAGGATGGTCTCGATCTCCTGACCTCATGATCTGCCCACCTCAGCCTCCCAAAGTGCTGGGATTACAGGTGTGAGCCACCAGACCTGGCCAGCTATATTATTTAAAAAAAAAAAGAAAGAAAGAAAGGAGCAAGTGTTGGTCAAGATATGGAGAAATTAGAACCCTTGTGCATTTCTGGTGGGAATGTAAAATGGTGCAGCCACTGTGGAAAATGGCATGGTGACCCCTCAAAAAAATCAAACAAATTCTACTTCTGGATAAATACCCAAATGAATTGAAAGCAGGGACTCAAAGAGGTGTGTGTGTGTGTGTGTGTGTGTGTGTGTGTGTGTGTGTGTGTGTGAGAGAGAGAAAGGGAACACGTGTGATAGGGTGTTACTCTGTCACCCAGGCTGGAGTGCAGTGGCACAAAGACGGCTCATTGCAGCCTGGACCTCCCAGACTCAGGCAATCCTCTCACCTCAGCCTCTCAGGTAGCTTGGACTACAGGTGCGCACCACCGTGCCTGACTAATTTTTGTATTTTTTGTAGAGATGGGGTTTTGCCGTGTTGCCCCAGTTGGTCTCAAACTCCTGAGCTCAAGCAATCCACCTGTCTTGGCCTCCTGAAGTGCTGGGATTACAGGCATAATACCCATGTTCATAGCATCATTATTCCAAAGGTGGAAGCAAACCAAGTGTCCATCCTTGGATGAATGGATAAACAAAATGTGGTCTGTACATACATTGGAATCTTATTCAGCCTTTATAAGGAAGGAAATTCTGACACATGCTACAACATGAACAAACCATGAACATTAGGCTAAGTGAAATAAGGCAGTCACAAAAGGATAAATATTGTTCAGATCCACCTTATGAAGTACCTAGAGTAGTCAAATTCATAATGACAGAAAGCAGGGTGGTAGTTGCTAGGGGCAGAGGGGTGGTGGGAATGGGGAGTTAGTGTTTGGTGGGTACAGTTTCAATTGCAGAAGATGAAGAGTTCCTGGAGATGGTTGGTGGTGCTACTTGCACAACTATGGGAATGTGCTTAATGCCACAGAATTGCACACTTAAATTTGTTAAAATGGTAAATTTTATATTATGTATATTTTACCACAATAAGAAAAAAACAATGAAATTCTCAAATCCACGAGGATGGCTATAATAAAAAAAATGAAAATAACAAGTGTTGGAGAGGATGTGGAGAAATTGAAACACTTGTAGGTTGCTGGAATGAACGTAAAATGCTGCAGCCAACGTGGAAAACAGTCTGGCTGTTCCTCAAAAATAAACGTAGTATTTCCACATGACCCAGTAGTTCCACTCCTAGGTATATACCCAAAGGAAGTGAAAGCAGTGACTGGAAAAGATATGTGTGCACCAGTGTCCTGGAGCATGTTTGTTCAGGTGATTATCATTGGAGGGCTGGAAGCAAGCTGGACTCCCTGGACACTGATGGAGAATCAGGCACATATAGAATTTTGACTTGTCTTTGTTCGTTAGGTTTAAAATGTCTGTCTCATTGCTACCAAAATAATTAAAGGTCAACTAAGTGCAGGGAGAGAAGAAATCTAATTTGACAGGCCTTGAAATACTTATTACTTCATAGGTTTTGTGATGAGATTTAAGTTAGATCATGAATACAGAAAAGTATTTTTTCAAACATTACGCACTTTATGAATGCTGGCCTTATTCCGTTAGCAGTAAGTTCCTTACGGACAGGAATCATTCACGTTTGCAGTATCCTAATGCACTTAGCACAGTCCTAGCAGATAGTGGTATTCAATTACTATTTATTCAAGCTAATTCTGTATCTTAAACTATGTTAAAATTGAAGTTTTTAACACTTCTGGGATAGTATTGACTAGAATTTTGTGAAAAACCCCTGAGAAGTAAATGACTTAATTATTGAAGGAGGGTAATAAGGCTAAGAAGTGAGTTCCAGTTAACTCAACTAGCACTATTAAATCAGGTTATTAGAAACCTATGCATTCTAATGGTTTCATTAGAATAAGCAGTTATTCATATGCTCAGACTCAAACAAACTTATACATGAAAGAGGTGTTTTGCCTTTAGGGAAAAACTATGAAAATTATGAGTCAAGCCTCATGAGATTTGATAATTCTCATCCATCAACTGAACAGAAAATAATGGAGTAAAATTTATCATTTGGCTCTAAAGTATGGGTCACCTTCAATCAGAACTCCTTCACTTTTATTTTATTAAGAAGCAAAAGTAAAACACTTTGCTTGTGGATAAATGGAAAGTTGCTTAGAGAAATAAGCATTAGGATGCACTCATTTTTGGTGTCGATTATGTGATTGGCCCACATTTTTATAGCAACAGCAAGAGCAGCAGCAGCAAATTGCTGAGACGTAATTCTTATGGCATATGTTGGCTTTTTTCATGCAAGCAAGCTATATGTTCAGTGGTAACCTGGACCATTCAGCAAAATCCATTTCTCTCTTCACTCTCTCCAACATGTTTCTCTAATCCTCTGCTCCAGCAAAATACTGGCCTTTGGTTTCTTTCTTTTTTTTTTTTTTTTGAGATGGAGTCTCGCTCTGTCCCTCAGGCTGGAGTGCAGTGGCGCGATCTCAGCTCACTGCCATCTCCACCTCCTGGATTCAAGTGATTCTCCTGCCTCAGCCTCCAGAGTAGCTGGGACTACACGCACCTGCCACCACACCCAGCTAATTTTTTTTTTTTTTTTTTTTTGAGACGGAGTCTCACTCTGTCGCCCAGGCTGGAGTGCAGTGGCGCGATCTCGGCTCACTGCAAGGTCCACGTTCCGGGTTCACGCCATTCTCCTGCCTCAGCCTCCCGAGTAGCTGGGCCTACAGATGTCCGCCACCACACCTGGCTAATTTTTTGTATTTTTAGTACAGACAGAGTTTCACCGTGTTAGCCAGGATGGTCTCAATCTCCTGACCTCAAGATCCACCTGTCTCGGCCTCCCAAAGTGCTGGGATTACAGGTGTGAGCCACCGCGCCCAGCCAATTTTTTCTATTTTTAGGAGAGACAGGGTTTTTCCATGTTGCCAAGGCTGGTCTCTAAACTCCTGAGCTCAGGCAGTCGGCCCATCTCAGCCTCCCAAAGTGCGGGGATTAAAGGCATGAGTCACCACGCCTAGCCTGGCCTTTGGTTTCTAAGCTTCTGGACAGTAATGGGTCACTCCTGCTGAGAATGACTTTCTTCATCACCTTTGCAAATTCTATCCCTCTCTTAGGTCTTCTCTCACATCTAAAAGTCAGGGCAGCAGAATGGTTAGGGCACCCATGTTAGTGTCACACTGCCTTAGTAAAAACCCCAACTCCACTTCCTAATGAAGGTAATAATAATACCTATCTTATAAATTTCTTGTGAGGATTAAATGATTTCATTTATCTAGAGTTCTTAGAGCAGTACCTGGCATATAGCAAACACTAAGTGCCAGTTATTTTTCTATTATTGTGTCAGTACTTCTATTTGAACATATTCCCGTTAGGTCTAGCTTTCCCTGGCCTATAGCGGCAGAACAGATTATGCTGGAAAAGACCAAAGGGAAAGTTAGGCCTACAGGGTCTGCATCCAGAAGATGAAGTTATATTAGAACCTCAAATGCAAGACTGAACCAAAATAGGAGGAAAGGTGAGATCTAACACCATTGGTAGACTAAGAGCAGAATACAGATATTCAGCAAAGGTGGCTTGGTACCTGGCACCCATCTTCTAAGTCAGCATAAGGCAAAGAGGTTAGGCTGTTTCCTCAAATATGGTATAATAACTGAGAAGAGACTTCACAATGGGTATTTATTTGAATTTCCCACAGTGTACAGAATAACACCTTATTAGAATAAAAGCTATAGTAAATATTTGTATATTGATGTCTTAAAATTAAGAAAGTATTTAAAATGCTCCCCCTTTTAAGCCATCTATTCTATAAATATCTATTGAGTGAAATAATATACAAGACATTACCCTAAGCCATGTAAAGATCAGTAAGACCTCGCACCAGACCTCATATTTCTTATGGGCTAATTACTACCTATAATTCAATAGTCATTATTGTAATGACTATTAGTTTTAGTCTTCTAATTATATCATTATTTCAATATCTTTAGAATAAACAGACCAAGTAATGAAATTTCAGAAATGATTTAGTGATGTAAGTGTGGGATCTAAACAAAAACAACTTTCTAGGAGGTTTCAGATTTGATTATAATCATCTCCTAACATGGAAAGGATGTAGAAATCCTTTTTCTACTCTTTTCTTGTAGGGATTAAGTATCATTGATTCTTAAGAAGGATATTGAAAAAAGGCAATAAGAAATACAATAACATCCCTATAGACAGTGAGAGCATACCAGAAAGATATAACCACAAAATAGATCAACTGATTAGATGAGTGAGGGCCACCCACATTATGGAGGGGAATCTACTTCACTTAAATTCCACTGGGTTAAATTTCCATCTCATCCATAAACACCTTCACAGAAATACCCAAAATAATATTTGGCCAAATATCTGGGTACTGTGGCCCAGCAAAGTTGACACAAAATTAATCACCACAATGATGAAATTTTTTAAAAACTCCTAAACAAATGGAGAGGCATAGTGTATTCATGAATTGCAAGAGTCAACATAGTAAAGATGTAAATTCTCCCCAAATTTCCTGATAGGTTTACTGCAATTCCTATCAAAATCCCAGCAAGTTGGTTTTTTTTTTAAAAGACATATGTACATTTATTTTTAAATGTATGCAAAAAGGCACAGGCTCTAGAATAGCTAAAATAATCCGGGAAAAGAATTAAGTGGGAGTAATTACTTGATATTAAGGCTTACTACAGAGATAGAGTAATCAATATATTGTGGTGTTGGCAGAAGGATAGACACACAGTTCAATGTAACTGAATAGAGAACCCAGAAATAGATCCCCAAAATATGCTGGTTTTTTTTTTTTTTTTTAGATAGAGGCTTGCTCTGTTGCCCAAGCTGGAGTGCAGTGGCATGGTCTCAGCTCACTGCAACCTCTGCCTCCCAGGTTCAAGAGATTCTCATGCTTCAGCCTCCCAAGTAGCTGGGATTATAGGCGTGCACCACCATGCCCGGCTAATTTTTTTGTATTTTTAGTAGAGATGGGTTTCACCATCTTGGCCAGGCTGGCTAATTGATTTCTGACAAAGGTGCAAAAGCAATTCAATACAGGAAGAAAATAACTGTTTCAACAAATGGTATTGGAGCAAATGGACATCTGTAAGCAAAAACAAATAAATAACAACTTCTATTTAAACCTCACACTTTATACAACAATGTATTCAAAATGAATCATGGACGGACTTACATGTAAAACAGAAATGAAAGGAAAAAAGAATTTCAGAAATAAAGACTAAACAAAAAGCAGTACAAGAGTGAATAAACACAATAAATAAAAACCTGAGGAGCAATAAAAAGCAAAAAGGAGGAAAATTTTTAAGATCATAAAGAAATTAAAAAGATAGAAAAGATTTTAGATAGTGGCATATTTGAAGAGTGTTAAAGAAGATCCAACATATGGCTGAAAGGAGTTTCTGAAAAGGGAAACCAAAGCAAGGGAACAAAACAAATATTAAGAACTGTCTCTCAAGAAAATAATCCTGAATTTATTTTATTTTATTTTATTTTATTATTTTTTTTTGAGATGAAGTCTCACTGTGTTGCTCAGCCTGGAGTGCAGTGGCACAATCTTGGCTCACTGCAACCTCTGCCTCCCAGGTTCAAGCGATTCTCCTGCCTCAGCCTCCTGAGTAGCTGGGATTACAGGCAGGCGCCACCACGCCTGGCTGATTTTTGTATTTTTAGTAGAGATGGGGTTTCTCCATGTTGGTCAGGCTGGTCTCGAACTCCTGACCTCATGACACGCCCCATTGGCCTCCCAAAGTGCTGGGATTACAGGCATGAGCCACCGTGCCCAGCCCTGAATTTTTAAAAAGATTTGAAATTGCACATTAAAGGAGGATACTCTGTACCAGACAATATCAAACCAGAATGATCATGACCAAAATATATTGGAATAAAATTTCTGAGCTCTAAAGAAAAAGAAGATATTTTGGGGGATCACGGCAAAAAGACCAGGTGACTTAAAAGGGAAATAAAATATTGGACAATAATTCATTATGCCAGAAAAATGACATGAAAGCATTTTAAGGAAAATCAAGTAAAGAAAATATTACTCAAAGATTTTATATCCAGTAAAACTAAATTTCAAGTAGAAAGGACACAGATAGACTGAATAAAGAAAATGTGGTACATATACACCAGGGAATACTATGCAGCCATAAAAAGGAACAAGATCATGTTCTTTGCAGCGACATGGATGAAGCTGGAAGCCATTATCCTCAGCAAACTAATGCAAGAACAGAAAACCAAACATGCATGTTCTTACTTACGAGTGGGAGCTGAACAATGAGAACACATGGACACAGGGAGGGAACAACACTTACTGGGGCATGTCAGGGGAGAGCAATGAGGGGGAGAGCATTAGAGAAAAGAGCTAATACATGCTGGGCTTAATACCTAGGTGATGGGTTGATAGGTGCAGCAAACCACCATGGCACACATTTACCTATGTAACAAACCTGCACATCCTACACATGTACCCTGGAACTTAAAAACTAATAATAATAATTTTTTTAAAAAGTAAGGATGCAGATAAACTATCATCAATGTGCAAAAATTCAAGGAATCTTGTTCCCCATAATCCCTTTCTGAAGAATTGTGTTAATGTGCTTCAAACAACCAAAATAACTAGACAGACATTGACATAAGTATAGATGGTGAGCACTGATATATTGCTCCTTTTAGAACTGAAAGTAAATGAGGGCCCTTTCCTCACACCATATACAACAATTAACTCAAAATCCATGAAAGGCCTAATGTAAGAACTAAAACTGTGAAACTCTTTGAAGAAAATATAGGTGTACATGTACTTGACCCTGGATTGGAAGTGGTTTCTTAGCTATGAAACCTAAATCACAAGCAACCAAAGAAAAAAATAGATAAATTGGACTTCATCAAAATTAAAACTTTTTTCAAAAGACACTATCAAGAAAATGAAAAGACAATGCACAGATAGGGAAAAAATGTTTGCAAATCATGTATCGCTTAAGGGTCTAATATCAGAAAATAAATGTATATATTTATCCTACAAATACAGTAAACGTATTTGTAAACTGTTGCAGCTCAACAGTAAGGAAATAAACAACCCAATTAAAAAGTGGGCAAAAGATCTGAAGTGATGTTTCTCCAACAAAGGAAAGAAATGGCCGCTGAAGAAAACAAAATCTATATCTTGAAGAGATATCTGCACTTCATCTTCATTGCAGCATTATTCACAATAGTCAAGTTATGGAATCAACCTAACCATCCATTGATGGATGAAGGAATTTTTTAAATGTATGTGTGTGTGCATGTGTGTGTGTGTGTGTGTGTATGAAATGGAATATTATTCAGCCATAAAAAAGAAGGAAGTCCTGTCATTTGCAACAACATATATGAACACAGAAGACATTATGCTAAATGAAATAAACCAGGCAGAGAAGGACAAACAGTGTATGATCTCACTTACATGTGGAATCTAAAAAAGTTAAACTCACAGAAACAGAGTAGAATAGTGGCTGCCAGGGACTTTGGGGTGGGGGAAATGGGGAGATGTTGGTCAAAGGGCAAAAACTTTCACTTATAAGATGAGTAAGCTCTGAGAATCTAATGTACAGCATGCTGATTATTGTTAATAACACTGTATTTTGTATTTGAAATTTGCTAAGACAGATCTTCAGTGTTCACATACACAAAGAATGGTAATTATGTGAGATGATGGATGTATTAATTTACTTAATCATGGAAACAATTTCATAATGTATATGTATATCAAGTCATCACATTTCATATCTTAAATATATACAATTTTGTCAATTATACTTCAATAAAGCTGGAAAAATATAAACAGTAAACTCAAAGATCGATGGATAGATAGATAGATAGATAGATAGATGATGGATAGAATGATTTAGTTGTTTCTCCATTCATTGTAAAGTTAAAGATGAATACAAATTATGTTGCATTCCTCTTATATACACCTAATTACATCAGAGAGCTAATATGTACCTCAGAAAAATACATGAAAATGAGTGCTTTATAAGACAACAAGGATTGAAGCTAACTGGGAAATCCTTATATACTTTTATACCCCTATATACACTTAAACAGGAGTTTCAACATCATTCCTAATTTTTCAGAGAAGCACATCCATTTTCAAAATTATTGATTCACTGAAATTTATCTCTGATCATTTTCAAATCATATTGAATTGCGTGAAACCCTCGAAAAAAAGAAATAGCCAATAAGCACATGCAGAGATGCCCAACATCATCAGTCATTAGGGAAATGCAAATCAAAACCATGGTGAGACACCTCTTCACACACACATGAAAAGATGATCATAATCAAAACTATGGACGAGAGAAAGTGTGGGTGAGGATATGGAGAAAGTGGAGCCTTTATACAGCCAGTGGAACATAAAACGGCACAACCACAGGCCGGGCGCGGTGGCTCACGCCTGTAATTCCAGAACTTTGGGAGGCCGAGGCCGGCAGATCACGAGGTCAGGAGATCGAGACCATCCTGGCTAACACGGGGAAACCCCGTCTCTACTAAAAATACAAAAAATTAGCCGGGCGCGGTGGCGGGCGCCTGTAATCCCAGCTACTTGGGAGGCTGAGGCAGGAGAATGGCGTGAACCCAGAAGGCGGAACTTGCAGTGAGCCAAGATCCCGCCATTGCACTCCAGCCTGGGCAACAGAGTGAGACTCTGTCTCAAAAAAAAAAAAAAAAATGGCACAACCACTTTGGAAAACAGTCTGGCAATTTCTCAACATGTTAAACTTTGATTTACCATATGACTCAGCAATTCCAGTCATAGGTATATACCCAAGAGAACTGAAAATGTATTTTCGCACAAAAACTAATATACAAATATTGACAGCACTATGATTCATAATAGCCAAAAATGGTAACAACCTATATATCCCTCAACAGATGAATGAACAGACAAAATGTGGTATATCCCAACTAGACAGTATTTTCAGCCACAGAAAGTAATTAACTATTGATACATGCTATAACACAGATGAATTTTGAAAATATTATGCTAAGTGAAAAAAGCCAGTCACAAAAGGCCACGATTCTATTGGTATGAAATGCCCAGAAGAGGCAAATCCACAGAGAGAAGGAAAATAGATTAATGGCTGTCAGGGCTGGAAGGAGGAGGAATGGGAATCTCTACTAATGGGTAGAGGTTTCTTTTTCAGGTGACAAAAAAGTTCTAAAATTGGATAGTGGTGATGGTTGCAGAACTCTGTGACTATACTAAAAAACAATGAATTGCGTACACTTTAAAAGAGTGAATTTTATGGTATGTGAATTATATTTCGTAAAGGTGTTATTTTTCTAAAAGACCAATGGAGGGTTAAAAAGAAAGTATAGGCTGGCCACAGAGGCTGACACCTGTAATCCCAGCACTTTGGGAGGCCAAGGTGGGCGGATCCCTTTAGGTCAGGAGAATTAGCTGGGCGTGGTGGTGCACACCCAGCTACTCAGGAGGCTGAGACACGAGAATCACTTGAACCCGGGACGGGGAGGTTGCAATGAGCCAAGATTGCACCACTGCACTCCAGCCTGGGCAACAGAGCAAGATACTGTCTCAAAAAAAAAAAAAAGAAGAAAAGAAAAAAGAAAGAAAGTATAGTATGCTCTGATTATATGCTCTGACAATATAGATGTAATTTGGCTATTTTTAAAAACGAGTTGAATGGGGAAAACATATGTAAAACTGGGAACTACTTGCAGTAATCAATTGATTCTGGTAGTATTAGTATTAGCATGGGGAGATACTTAGCATAATACAAGATTAAGCAAATGAGGTATTATGGGATATTCTATCATCCCTTGTGTTCTTGAAAACCAAATTCTCGAGGTAGAGGAAAGGAGTTGGAGACATACCCAGGCTAGGTTACATACAGAACTCTGTAGTCCTGAATTTGAACTAGAAATGGGAATATGAGTTCATGAGATAGGCTGTCTATCTGTGTAGCTAACCGTGTGTGTGTGTGTGTGTGTGTGTGTGTGTGTGTGTATGTGTGTGTGTGTGTGTGTTTCGTAGCTCTGTCCACTGAAAAAATCTAGAAACAATGACCAACCCAGTAGCAATGAACATCCCAAGGGCCCCAACTATGGTCCTGAAATATTACACCATTTCTCAAGAAGAGAAATGGCTGAGCTGAAGTTTGGGATCATACAGGACTGCAAAAGAGCTGTGAAAGACTGTTATACTAGAGCGATGACAAAACGGTTCAGGAGCCCACTTTAGATGTTCTTATTTGCTAAAGATTAAAACAATTTTTTTCTGAGTGCCAATAAGAATACTCATTGTAAGGCATTCAAACCTACCAAATATGTTTAAATTCAGAAGTTTATAATCATATGTTTTAAAACTCACTGGTTGCCCTCAGAGGATGATAGGAAAACAACTCATTATCTTAAAACCTGGCAAATTAGAAAACAATTATCTTGCCTTCCTATATGAAGTGTATCATTGGGAAACCAGTTAGTAGATGAGAGGAAGTGTCTTTTTTTATTTTTTGAGAGACAGTCTCGCTCTGTCACCCAGGCTGGAGAGCAGTGGTATGATCTCAGCTCACTGCAACCTCTGCCGCCTGGTTCAAGCAATCTGCTGGCCTCAGTCTCCCGAGTAGCTGGGACTACAGGCATGCACCACCATGCCTGGTTAATTTTTGTATTTTTAGTAGAAACGGGGTTTCACCATGTTGGCCAGGCTGGTCTCAAATTCTTAATCTCAAGTGATCTGCCTGCCTCAGCTTCCTAAAGTGCTGGAATTACAGGTGTGAGCCACCACGCCCGGCTGGAAGTGTCTTTTTGTAATAATACTGCAAACAATAATTGAAAAAGATATTGAATTAAAATGTCATCATTTTGCAAATCACAATTAGTTAAAAGATACAGGCACTGAGCATCGACAGCGGCTAACATTGAAAAAAGACATGAATTGAAACAAGACATGAAGGCCTCCTGATGAAAGAACAAGCCATTTATATCCTGCAATGGGGATCAAGCCAGACTCCAATTCAGTCCAGTTCCAGGTACCAATTTTCAGGAAACTCAGAAGACAGAGTAATCATGTTGAACTGCACCAAGAGGGTACACTTGGCAAACTCCAGACTCCAAATGTCCTAGGCACTTCAGCCTGTAAATTGCAGGGAAAAGAAAGGGATAGAGGGTGGCGGGCGCCTGTAATCCCAGCTACCCAGGAGGCTGAGGCAGGAGAATCGCTTGAACCTGGGAGGCCGGGGTTGTAGTGAGCAGATATTGTGCCACTGTATTCCAGCCTGGGCAGCAGAGCAAGACTCTGTATCAAAAAGAAAAGAAAGAGAGATCAAGAGAGAGAGAGAGAGAGGGAGGGAGGGAGGAAGGAAGGAAGGAAGAGAAAGAGAGAGAGAGAGAGAGAGAGAGAAGGAGAAGGGAGGGAGGGAGGGAGGAAGGAAGGAAGGAAAGAAAAGACAGAAAGACAGAAGGAAGGAAGGAAGGAGAAAGAGGAAACCTGTACATTAAAAGAGACTTGATGACATAGTACAAATTTTTAATGGACAAGACTAAACTATAGGCCGGGGCTGTGACTCATGTCTGTAATCCTAGCACTTTGGGAGGCTGAGGCAGGCAGATCACTTGAGCTTAGAGTTCTGGGCAACATAATGAAACCCTGTCTCTACAAAAAATACAAAAAAATTAGCCTGGCATGGTGGGACGCACCTGTAGTCCCAGCTACTCAGGAGGATGAAGTGAGAGGATCACTTGAGCCCTGGGAAGTTGCGGCTGCCATGACCCATGATTGTGCCGCTGCACTCCAGCCTGGGTGACAGAGCGAGACCTTGTCTCAGAAAAAAAAAAAAAGAAAAAAGAAAAAAAAGGCTAAACTACAGTGTCTAGGGATAGCTACTTGAGTGATAAAACCATACAGAAATGAAAGGAAGTGATTACTATAAATCAGAGAGTGACTACTTTGAAAGAGAAGGAAGAGGATTGTCATTGGGGCCAGGCACGTGGAGGAGATTCTGGGGCAGCTGGCAAAGTTTAATTTCTTGACCAGAGAGGGTGATTACAAGCCCACTCACCTCACAATAACTTATCCAGCTCCACACTTGATTTGGGTGGATTTCTGTGTCTGTTTTGTCTTTCCATAAAAAGGTTTTTAAAATCTCTACCAGAGCATGTTTGTTTACAATTTCAGATTAAAACCTCGCCTTCTTGGCTCGTCCAAGTTCCATATGACCTTCCTGCACCATGACTTTTGTTCTGTATTTGAGAGCAAGTTTTTAAACAACTCAATTTTGTGTCTGACATCAATGAACAAAGATGTAGATGCTGTTCTGGAATCTGCCTCTGCGTGTCTTCATTCGTCACGGAGAAGGGGCTGCATATCATCTTCCAGATGGTGCTTGACAAGCACACTCTTTATAGAATGAAAGGAAACTGTGGCCATGAACACCGCATTCAGCTTTCCCTCCGCTACCTCTGCAGCCTTTTAGATGCTAACATAGACTGCCTGCCCCGCTGCGGATTTACAGCTATTCGGATGTCAACTCTATTCCTTCCAGACTTTGTCTGCGTCAGATTAGTCAAGGCAGGCAGCTGTGATACAGACAGTAGGAAAAACAGTAGGCTTGGAATCAAGACACCTGGCCTCCACTGGCAACTCCTTCCAGCTCTGTAACCTGGGACAGGCTGCTCAATATTCCTGCATCCGTTTCCTCATCCGGAAGGTGGGGATTATACACGGGATTGTTGTGAGGGAGGTGATGCGTGTAAAAGCAACTTGTGAACTTTGAAATGCACTCTCACCATTCAGAGGTCTTCAGCATCCTCACACAGCTCACTCCCAGTGAATTTCTTTCTCTATGTCATTACCCACAGTAATGGGTCACATTATCATGCTGCCCTATCCAACACAAAAAATGATCAGAAGATCTTATTGTCCTTTGAATGCCCTTGCAGCTGGGCCACTGAGGTTTGAAGAGATATGGTGTTGGAATGGGAAGAAGGCCTCAGGGGGTCTCAGAGCCATCTGGTTCCCTGAGTGTTCTCTTGTGTCCCTTCTGAGGTGCCTGGGGTTCCATGGCCAGGTTCAGCGACCACCTTAGGGTCAGGAAGTAGATATCGGCCACTCTGACCCTCATGCCTGCCTCTTCAGAGGAGCTCTGCCTTATCCAATCCACATCCTGGCGCATTTGTAAGTAAGAGTTCACGTCACAGGTTCTGAAAACAACAGCAGCAACAAGTATGAGTTCAAGGCCAGGCGCGGTGGCTCACGCCTGTAATCCTAGCACTTTGCGAGGCCGAGGTGGGCAGATCACCTGAGGTCAGGAGTTCGAGACCAGCCTGACCAACATGGAGAAACCCCGTCTCTACTAAAAATACAAAAAATTAGCCAGGCGTGGTGGCAGGCACCTGTAGTCCCAGCTACTCAGGAGGCTGAGGCAGGAGAATTGCTTGAACCCAGGAAGCAGAGGTTGCAGTGAGCAGAGATGGCGCCACTGTACTCCAGCCTGGGCGACAGAGCAAGACTCCGTCTCAAAAAAAAAAAAAAAAAAAAAAGAAAAAGAAAAAAAAATACACTTGAAGGGGAGAAGGAGGGAAGGAAGGGAAATTTTACATGATTGATATAATGGTATGTTTAAAGACACAACACAAAAGGTTTTTAAGGGAGCCAAATATTCATAAACACACTGATAAGAAGCCTGTGCTTTATAAATGTTCTAACATAACTTCCTGTTAATATGCAAATAATGCCCCAGGGGATCTATAATGTGATTCTCTTCAGAAGTTTAACAAACTGCTGTGTAAACTAGTAGCTATTAATACTTTCTGCATTCATCTTACACATTAATTAAACCTTCAAACATTGCTGTCAGTTGTTCTTTTGCCAATCTTCTGTCAAACATTATTAAATACAATTTCTCATTTCTTTCTATCTAAAAACATCCTTTTTTTCCTGAAATATTTAAAAAAACACTGTAATGTACCAAAAGATTTGAGAAAACTTGTCTCTTCTGGGAGATGCTGTGGCAAATCAATTCCTTCTAAATAATTAATTTTCTTGAGATCAATGCCTAATTAGTTTTGCATTTTCTTTTAAAGAACTCACTCAATTTTAGAAGATTATTGTTAAGGGAAAACTTATTTCCCGTCTTCATGCCCTGGAAGGGGCAGTATCAGAACACACAGCTCGGGCTTCTCGACTCCTCACTTGCTTCTTCCCCAAAAGGAGTGACTTATTTCATGGATGAGCAGACCCCATATGTAGGGCAGTGACCCCCATCCTACCTGCTACCTGTTATGGGTTGAATTATGTCTCCTAAAAGGTACGTTGAAATCCAAATCTCCAGTAACTGTGAATGTGTCTTTATTTTGAAATAGGATCTTTGCAGATAGAATCAGGTTAAAATGAGGTCACTACAGTGAGCCCTAATCCAAAATGACTGGTATCCTCATAAAAAGAGAAGGCTGGGTGCGGTGGTTCACACCTGCAATCCCAGCACTTTGAGAGGGAGACCCCATCTCTGCAAAAAATAAAAAAATACAGCCAGGCATGGTGGTGCACACCTGTAGTCCCAGCTACTCAGGAGGCTGAGGTGGGAGGATCATTTGAAACCCAGGAATTCAAGCATCGATCACACCATTGCACTCCAGCCTAGGTGACAGAGTGAGACCCCATCTCAAAAGAGAAGAAGAAGAAGAAGAAGAAGAAGAAGAAGAAGAAGAAGAGAGAAAACACAGATGTTTCTACAAACCAAGTGTGTATCTTCAAGCCAAGCAATGCCAAGGATGGCTGGCAAACACAGAAACTAGAAGAGGAAGGAAGGATTCTCCCCAACAAATTTCAGAGAAAGCGTGGCCCTCCTGACACCTTGATCTTGGACTTCTAGCTTCCACAACTGTGAAGTGACAAATTTCTGTTGTTAAACCACCCAGTTTGGGGTACTTTGTTACGGCTGCCTTCACAGATGGATACACCATCCTTGCTCTCTCTGCCCCCTGGTTCTGCTGGCACCCAGGCATGGCAAGGGCTTCCTCAAGCCAGGTCTGATCTTTCCAACCCATCTCTCATCTGTGCCAAAATCAGGCAAGTCATGCTCATGAAATTCCTATAGGTCTAGGTTCAGGGAAGGAGACAAGGGGCCTGTCTTTGTTTTGTGTTGCTATAACAGAATACCTGAAACTGAATAACTTATAAAGAAACGTATTGGCTTATGGCTCTGGAAGCTGGGAAGTCCAAGACTGAGGGGCTGACATCTGATGAGGGCCTTCTTACCATGTCATCCTA